>NC_000023.11:107462542-108087542 GCF_000001405.40 Homo sapiens
TGATGCACCTGGAGAGAAGGGAATGCACATCAAGAGAGGGCTGAAAGCTTAGGGTGCAAAATGCCCTGGAATTCTGCTGACTCTGATGACACAATCCCCTTGCCATGCTAGATTTTTACCCCTTTAGGAAGCCCCTGGAAACGTTAATTCATCCTGGTGGCCAGAATCAGCTTTTCCTAATATTTTGGCATTAACTGGCAAGAATCCACAGTTGCCCCCTTTGCCCATCATATTAAAGGGAAATCTCTCATCTGGGTCTTTGCAGACCACCTGCCAGTTCATTTGCCTTCTCTGTTTCTCACTAAAGTATTTCTCCTGATTTCACCAACTAATGCCTTCACTTTAACCAAGCCAGCCAATGTACCATCTCCTCAAAAACTGAATTTCAGTTATCTGCTGTCTGCCACCACCCCCACAACCTCAGCTCCAGGCGCAGCTCAGGGTAGTCCTTCTTCCATAAATACTGTCCCTATTTTTCTCCACCACTGAGGTTTGTGACCCCCAGCAACATGATCTGCCATTGACCTCACACTCAGTGTGCAATCTTCTGGATGCTTGTGTAATTATTTTGTTTTAAAATATTAATATGTACTTGCTATTATATGATCATATCAAAGTGTTCCCCAGCTATTTCCCATTTGGGTTTTATAAAAAGCATTAGACAGAGCATGTACTCTGGAGTCAGCCTTACCATTTTGTGTATTTCATATTTGAATACACATTTTTAACATTTCTGAAACTGGAATACTTCTATGATCCATGGTTCATTGTAGTTTAATTGGCAGCATTTCTTCTTTGTTAGGGAAATCTGAGAAAATGTTGCCTCTTACAGTTGATAGCATCTTAGAGTCAATGAAATGCAGTACTAAGTTACTTAACCTCTCTGAGACCCAGTTCCTTTATCTGCAAAATACCTATTTCAGGAGGCTATTGTTGCGAGAACTCAAAGATAATATTTCTATAGCACTCAGCACAGGGCTAAGTGCTATACTTCCCACTTTGGTAGAGGCTCAATAAATGTTAGCAATTGTAATCCCCCCACTATATTAACTGTAAACCCCACAAGGGCAGGAACATGTTGTTTCCTCTTCTAGCAGATGGTCTGATATGAAGGATGGAAAATGGTTCCCATTCTAAAAATGTCTCCTTGCTGGACTGCCAAACAGACAAAATTTCAATATTAATCACTCCTTTGAGTTAAGGCATTATCTCCAGAAGACCTCTGTTAAAATGCAAATATGTCACTTGGGAAGGTAACACATTAATTCATTAGCATTTCTGATCCCATTAGTGCAGATTAGTTTATCAGATTAACTAGCTGTCACCAAGCAAACCCTGAGAGCCCTAGTATGGGGGATGGTAAGATGTGATGATTTCAGGTGGAAGTGGAGCTAGGGGACCAGGTAGTCCTGAGTTTGGGGCCACCTCTAATCTAATCTTGCCTTTTGGGATTTGTTTGTAGGTAAGATTGTGGCTCTTTTCTGTGATAAACTAGAAAGGGTCTCAGTGACATAGACAAAAACATGTGGGTGGGAGGAAATGCAAAGCTGGAAGGGATGTTGGACCTTAGAGATCATCTAATCCACTCTCCCCCTCAAATTTTTAACTCTCATCATCAAGGCATTCACTGCCTCCCAAGGTAGCCCATCCTGTTGAACAACTCTAATTAGCACATTTTTTGATATTGAGCTGATAGCAATCTTATACTTCTTTCCTCCTTCCTGTTGGCAGCCCCTTTAAAATATCTGAATATAGCTATCACGTTCCCTCAAGTCTATCTTTTGACTTTTATTTTATTTCATTTATTTATTTATTTTGTTTTTTTTTGCTAAATCTACCCAGTTTGCTCAGTGATTCCTTTTGTGATATGGTTCCACAGCTAAGCTTCTTAACCTGGGGTTCCGTGAACCTCCTGAAATTTTATGTAGAATGTTGGCTTGTATCTCCATGTCTAGAAAATGTCCTAGCCTATTGACCCACTAGCATATTAGTCACTTTCCTTTGGCAACACTCCAATTTGTAAGGCTGCCTCTTAGGGGTCCTTTCCAGAACTGAGCACAGTACTCCTGGAGTACTCAGAGTAGCACAGAGTACAGTAGCCAGAGTGCTTTTATTAGCTGCCTGATGTTGCACAGTTCTCAACTTTGCAGAGTTCTCAATTTAATGGATGAGAACTTCCTGTTCTTAGGTAGCTGACGCTTCCCAAGATTAGGTCACCTGATTCAAAAGAACACCTTGGTGTCCACCCTGCTCAGTTCACCAGGTTGATGAGCATCTCAGCTATTTTAAGGGGAGCTACTGGAGGTCACTTTTGGGGACCTATCTGGTCAGGACACTTAATAAGCTGGCAGAGAAGCAGTGTGACTGAGTACAGCCCTCAAGTTCTCTCCAATGCCTCCCATTTTTCTAATACCGTGCACAATAAAGAAGTGACTCGTTCATGCACATATATGGGAGAACCCAGAGAGAGGACCAGTGCTCCCAGCTAGTCTTTCTTGAGGCATCATGCCCAATGGGGTTTAGAGAATGGAGTTTGGGGGATTGGTGGTGTCAGTGAAGAACAAAGTCACAAATGGCAAATGATTCAGGAAGGACCTGATTCATCTATCAAACATGAGTGTATCAACGTGAGAAATAGACATGTCTAGGCTGGGTGCGGTGGCTCACACCTATAATCCCAGCACTTTGGGAGGTCAAGGCGGGCAAATCACTGTATGTCAGGAGTTTGAGATCAGCCTGGCCAATGTGACAAAACCCCTCTCTACAAAAAATACAAAAATTAACCAGGAATAGTAGTGCGTACCTGTAATCCCGGCTACTCAGGAGGCTGAGGGAGGAGAATGACTTGAACCCAGGAAGCGGAGGTTGCAGTGAGCCAAGATTGTACCACTGCACTCAGCCTGGGTGACAGAGTGATACAGTGTCTAAAAAAAGAAAAAGAAAAAAGAAATAGATATGTCTTGAGATAGGCTCTCCTCTATTCCCTCCACACTACTCTCCCAGACACAGCACACACAAAAAAAGTATTAAAGACATTTGGGACTGTATGAGATTGGAGCAGGCCAATTGGTAAGTGACAACCACCTATAATGTGTGGCACAAAACAGCCAGGTCACCAGGGTCCTCTGGTCATTTATATCTTCCCTATGGCCTGGTGGTTGATCCAGTCTAACCATCACTGCCTTCTCTAACTGTAAGGGTGCCTGACTTTCCCACCATTACAGTCACTGTTTAAAGTTTAAATATTAAGGACTGTTATGAAATGCAACTAAGTTATCTGAGAGGGAAAATACATCAAATAAAATACTGGTCCTTTAAGCTGCTCTACCAAAAAAAAAAAGAAAAAAAAAATCCGTGGCTGGCCAAATAAGTTTGAGAAATGCTGTATACCTACCTCTCTTAGAGCTTTGTAATGCACATTAGCATATGAAAGGCTCTGAGAAGTTTTGCAGTAGAGAAACTTGCTAAAAACATAGTTTTGTGGCTTCCAATACTTATTTGACTATAGGTCGCCATCTCCTTCTTTTCCTCCTCAAATACACCTTATTAACAGCCACATAACAGCTGTGGAGAACAAAGCTTTCAGCCATGACCACCATTTCACACCTTGCTGCACAAATGACTCAATGCACCCAACGTTCTGCAGAAATGGGACAGGGACAGGTGAATTTTGTTTTGTGGGGAGGTTGTGCAAGACTCTTGGGACAGGGAGAAATCCCTGGGAGTCTGGGAGAGGGGACCTCAAAATGGAGATGAGGACCAGACAGGGAATGCTGGAGACCAGCTCCCCCAACCTCACAGTTTTGCCACTGACCAGCCCTGATAGATTCTGTGCTCTCTGCACTGAGCCAACAGTGAACAGAGTGGAGCAGCTTTGGCCAGGCTAGGACCCTGCAGGGCCGTTTGTGGTCATTGGCTTCTCAGCTGGGGGCTTTCCTCTTTCACTCCCTGTCCTGCTGCTCTCCACTTCCCTCCCTGGGCCTCTGGCGCATTTTCAATTTCCCAGTCTACTAGTTGATCCATTTCATTTAGGTCTTGTTCTTTCCTTTTCCCTTCAGTGGGACTGAGAAGGCCTTTGAGTTTGCTGCTGCCAAAGGGAAGAAAGAGAGGATGGAGTGAGAGGAAAGGCAAGGAAAATCACATGGCCTCTTCTGCAGTGCATGGAGCAAGTCTGTATTTTCCCTGGACCCTCAGAGCAGGAATGGGCCCTTTTATAGTCACCACTGGGCCTTGGGGCAAGGGGTACCATAGATTCCTCTGGAAGCAAAGAAAACTCCCACCTTTAGCCAAGAGACTCTAAGAGGAGTTGACATCAGAAAGGCCAAGAAAGGACTGACTCTAACACCTCCCCTCACTGACCACATTCACAGTCCATAGCATTCTGGGAACCAGAAAGACATGAGGCTGGAGTCCAGCTGATATCTGTTGAAATTGAGACAGGTTGGAGGTGTGTGTGTGTGTGTGTGTGTGTGTGTGTGTGTGAGAGAGAGAGAGAGAGAAAGAGAGAGAAAGTATACATGTCTGAAGGTAAATCTGCAAGGTTGAATTTTTCCTGACTGGAGAGGCCTGAGAGACACCCAGAATTTTGCAGGGGTACATCAGGATCACAAGAAGTCACTTGTCAGTGAGGAGAAGTAATACATTCTTTATAGCGTGATAGCCCTTTTGTCATCAATGAAACAGATAAGCTGTAGGAAGATGGAGCAGAATTGTTTTTTTCCATTTAGTGTGCAAAAGTGTAAATGTGAGTGTGAGTGTGTGTGTGTGACAGAGAGAGAGTGCAAGCACATGTGTGGTGGCCTCCGAGGACTGACTCCAACACCTCCCCCCACTGACCACGTTCACAGTCCATAGGCACAGGCTCACCAAGAGACCTAAGCATAGGACTATAGATAAGTAGTCCCTTGCTACTTATAGGGGACTTCCTTTCCCCTCACACCTTATGACTACATCACTAAAGGTCTATTTATCATAGTTCCTTTTACATGGAACATCGTGTCTGGCCGATTTCCCCTAGTTTGAATGATTCTAATACCAATGACTCAAGATCCTCACTAGGCAGTTTATTCTGCTCCCTAACTGCATTAAGGTTAGGAAATGGGTTTTTCCCCCTCTCTCACTAGATTATTTCTGTTTTTAGATGTGAAGAGTCTAGGCCTCTCTCTCTCTCTCCATTTTTCCTCACCCACACCAAGGTCACTGAGGCCTGCAGTATTATTCCACATTCCTACTCAGACAGAGACTCCCACAGTTTGCTTTGCAGCCTCAAAATGTCCTAGCCACCCTGCAGTTTAGGTACCGAATGCCAGCTCCTGTTCTAAGACCAAGATTTCCTTAGATTTCCTTTCCTTCAACATATATTGATGGCCTTCAGCTTTTTCCTGTCTGGTAGGCCCTTCTATCTTTCCTTTTGACTTCTTTGTGGCTTCTCCACTACAAAGACTCTTCCCATTACCCAGAAACTGCAGAAAACCTGCCAATCTTCCCACTCCCGCATTGGGTTTCTGCAGATCACCTCTTTGGAAAGTTCAAGACTAGAACTTTGTGCAGTCAAAAAGCCCACCCCTACTCTACTTCTCCCCATCCTAGGCAGTCTATTAAGGCAGGGTGGTGTGGTTAAATGAATGAAAACATTGAGGCATGGGCAAGAACAATTTTACTCCCCGAAGTATGGTCTCAGGATTTACTAGATGCCATGGAAAACTGAAGACAATAACATAGGCCTTGCCCTTATGAAACTTGTTCTCTAGCTAGGGAAAAGCACACAAACGAACTTGCAGGTGAAATATTTTTTTCATTCAACGAACAAATATTCATTGAGCACCTCCTATGTGCCAGGCTCTGTTCTAGATGCTGGGGATACAATGGTGAACAGGACAGACAAAATCCCTGCCCTGCTGGAGCATGTGTTTCAATAGGGACACGTGTTTAAAAGTGAACAAATAAATAATCACTATTTGTATTGACATGTGCTAGGAAGGAGAGAAACAAGGGGCTGTGCTGAGGAGTAACAGGGAGCTACTTCAGCTAGAGCAGCCAGGAAAGGCTTCTCTGAAGAGGTGACATTTGAATTAAGAATTGAATGGCCTGAGAACAGTCTACATTGCGTGCCTCAGACTACAGATAGCATCAGATTTCAGAAATAAGAAAAATGTGGGCAGGAAAAACTGGGGAAGACTTTCGGGAGGAGATGGGGTCTGGCTCAGTGCAGTGCATGAGACAGAGCTTTGGCCACCTGCTTTGCAGCATTGGCCTCACTTTGGCAAAACTGAGAGATACACCTCCACGTGGGTAGAGGATCCATAGTCTTCTCTTTGGAATTTCACACAACCACTGTAAGAGAAAGGGTCTTCAACATTTCTCCAGATGATCTGACTATAAAACCCTTTCATATTTCACACCTAATTGTTTCCAACAAACATTGATGATTTTCAGGTGGGAGAAAATCAGGAAGATGATATATGGGGAAACCAGGGGATTATTGTAGCTACAGGTAGAAGTTATGTGGTGGAGAATAGAGAAAGATATGTAGAGTGGTGGTGGATTATGGTAAGGGTCATGAAGAGGACTTTGGACTTGATCCAGTAGGCATTGAAAAACTGCTGTAGGTTTTTGAGCAAGGAAATGTATATTAGTCCATTTTCACACTGCTGATAAAGGCATACCTGAGACTGGGCAATTTACAAAAGAAAGAGGTTTATTGGACTTACAGTTCCACATGGCTGGGGAGGCCTCACAATCATGGCAAAAGGCAAGGAGAAGCAAGTCACATCTCACGTGGATGGCAGCAGGCAAAGATGGCTTAAAATGGTTTTAAAACCATCGGATCTCATGAGACCCATTCACTATCATGAGAACAGCATGAGAAAGACCTGCCCCCATGATTCATTCATCTCCCACTGGGTCCCTCCCACAACATGTGGGAATTATGGGAGCTACAAGATGAGATTTGGGTGGGGACACAGAGCCAAACCATATCAAAATGAAAGGAAGAAAAGGATAGAAAGAAAGGGCTCTGATACCTCTTGGTAACCAGAATCCTTCCTTTTGCCCAACACATGTGGACTTCCCATGAGTAATATGGTTATGAGCATGGGCTCAAATCCCAGCTCTGCCACTTAGTGACTGTGAACTTGGACAAGTTGCTTAACTCCTCTGTGCCTCAGTTTATTCTTCTTTAGAATGGGGTGGTTATGAGGATTAAATGAGTTAATAATTGTGAAGTGCATAGAACAGTGCTTATTTAGTTAGTACTCAATAAACTTTAGCTATCATTATCCAAAGAGGAAACTGGTATGAGGAGGGTACAGTCTGGATACTGCCCTTAATTTGTATATTTGGGTCAAAGTTTGATCATCTGAGGATTCTAAGACACTGTGAACATTGCCTAGGCTTAGGACTCACTGTATGCAAAGTAACGGTGGACACTCTGCCCCAGTAATCGTTTCTATTAGCCTTCCGCCAGCATCTAAAATCCCCAGTGTTCATTAGTAGCAATCTGAAGACTCAAGTATTTTTAACTGAATTAAGGTCTCCTCTTATCTGGCAGTAAAAAAAGAGAAATTGAACATTAGATCACCAGCCATTGTCAATTGGGATAAAGCAGAGCTTTGAGGAAATGGATACTATTTCTGTATAACAAATTATCCCAACATTTAGCCAATAAACAACAATAAACATCATCTTACAGTTTCTTTGGATCAGGAACTTGGTTATGACTTAGTTGGGTGGTTCTGGCTCAGGGTCACTCATGAGGTTGCATTCAAGCTGTGGGTCAAGGTTGCAGTATCTGAAGACTCAACTGGGGCTGACGGATGTGCCTCCAAACTCACTCATGTGGTGCTGGCAGGCTTCGTTTCCTCACAGGCTGTTGGACTGAGAGTTTCTGTTCCTTGTCATGCCATTTGGGCCTCTCTATTAGGTTGCTCCTCACAACACAGCAGCTTGCTTTCTGTGGCATGATTGATGAGACAGAGAGAGTGCACACCTAGGCCAGCCCAAGGCAGAAGCCACAGTCTTTTTATAACCTTGTCTTGGAAGTTATATCCCATCACTTCTGCCATATTCTATTCATTAGAAGTGAGTTACTAGGTTCAGACCATGCTCAGGGGAGGGGATACACAAGGGTGTGAACATCAGGAGGTGGGGATTATTTGGCAACATTTTACAGGCTGGCTATCACAGATGGATAAGTATTGATGGTAGGAGGTAAAAGAAAAGGCCCTAGTGAAATGAAAAATTGGAATCTCCTGGCTAATTGGAAGCCAGCATAAATAATTACTGGACTTAGTGGTAGCCAAAAGTGTTGGGTACCTAAAGAGCAAAGAGAGGAACCAAAGGGTGGGTGGTGGTACCTGGAAGGTATTTGACCCACACCCAGGGTTGCTGAAGTCCTGGGACCCTCCTAAGATCCAAGCTCAAGTTTGTTGTGTAGAGTATCACCTGCCTTTGCTCAGAAAGCCCAGCGCTATGGGCGTGGCCAGGGAATAAGGAGAAAGCTAGGATGAGGCCCAGGAAGCTCCTTGGCAGCAGAAGCAGTAGAGGGGAATGCAGGTTCAGCAATTGCGTTTGTTTGCAGTTGGGAAAGTTGTTAATTTTAGCTTCGCACAAGGGGCTGAAGCAGGAGGGTTTGTCATTTATGCTGAGCTAGCCCTTGGCTGCCTCCCACAGGCCACTGCCGCAGTCGCAGTGTCTGCTCCAAGCCTCTTCTTTCCCTTCCTTCCTTCCTTCCTTCTTTCCTTCCTTCCTTCCTTCCTTCTTTCCTTCCCTCCCTCCCTCCCTTCCTTCCTTCTTTCTTTGTTCTAAAAAAAAAAACGGGATACATGTGCAGAACGTGCAGGTTTGTTACATAGGTATAGGTGTGCCATGGTGGTTTGCTGCACCTATTGACCTGTCCTCTAAGTTCCCACCCGCCATCCCCCCAACAGGCCCTGGTGTGTGTTGTTCCCCTCTCTGTGTCCATGTGTTCTCAATGTTCAACTCCCACTTATGAGTAAGAACATGCAGTGTTTGGTTTTCTGTTCCTGTGTTAGTTTGCTGAGAATGATGGCTTCTAGCTTCATCCATGTTCCTGCAAAAGTCATGGTCTCATTCCTTTTTATGGCTGCATAGTATTCCGTGGTGTATGTGTGCCACATTTTCTTTATCCGGTCTATCATTGATGGGCATTTGGGTTGGTTCCATGTCTTTGCTATTGTAAATAGTGCTGCAATAAACATACGTGTGCATGTGTTTTTATAGTAGAATGATTTATATTCCTTTGGGTATATACCCAGTAATGGGATTGCTGAGTCAAAGGGTATTTCTGTTTCTAGATCCTTGAAGAATCGCCATACTGTCTTCCACAATAGTTGAACTAATTTGCACTCCCACCAACAGTATAAAAGCGTTCCTATTTCTCCACAGCCTTGCCAGCATCTATTGTTTCCTGACTTTTTAATAATCGCCATTCTGACTGGTGTGAGATGGTATCTCATTGTGGTTTTGATTTGCATTTCTGTGATAATCAGTGATGATGAGCTTTTTTTCATGTTTGTTGGCCACGTAAATGTCTTCCTTTGAAAAGTGTCTGTTCATATCCTTTGCCCACTTTTTGATGGGGTTGATTTTTTCTCATAAATACGTTTAAATTACTTGTAAATTCTGATATTAGACCTTTGTCAGATGGGTAGATTCCAAAAATTTTTTCCCATTCTGTAGGTTGCCTGTTCACTCTGATGATCGTTTCTTTTGCTGTGCAAAAGCTGTTTAGTTTAATTAGATCTCATTTGTCAATTTTGGCTTTTGTTGCCATTGCTTTTGGTGTTTTAGTCATGAAGTCTTTGCCCATGCCTATGTCCTGAATGGTATTGCCTAGGTTTTCTTCTACGGTTTTTATGATTTAGGGTTTTACATTTAAGTATTTAATCCATCTTGAGTTAATTTTTGTATAAGGGCCAAGGTGGCCAACTAGAAGCAGTGGCGTTTGGAGGCTCCCATAAAAAAAAAAAAAAGAAAACCATAATAAGTGTGTGAATCCTTCACCGGCAACCAAGGTATCCAGGTTCTCTCATCCAAGCCACTTTTTATGGGAGGGTGAGCTCGGCTCACAGTAATGAAAGGTGCATGGGCTCCCTTGGGCCTGTTGGGTCTGAGGCGCTAGGTAGAGGGGCCCAGCCAGCCCCAGGCAAAACAGTGCACTAGGCCAGCAACTACCTGCTGACATCTCCTTTTTCCCTTTATCACTTCTGTGTTCCCATCCCGGATCTACCACTTGCTGATTTTGTGACTTAGGGCAAGTCACTTTATTTCTCAGCACCTCCATTTCTTCCTCTGCAAAATGTAGATAAATAGTCTCTAGCTTACAGAAGTGGTGTGAGGAATCAGTGAGCTCATGTAGGTAAAGCACTAATAAATGGTAGCTGCTGTTACTTAATTTACCCAGCCCTGACTCAGACCACCCAGCCCAAAAGGGGCAGGTCTCTCCTGGAACAGGACCCCTTACCCAAGCCAATCAAAAACCCTCTCTGAGTGTTAAGTGGCTTCTTTTGCGGAGAACTTTACATGAGTAAGGCACTCTAATGATCTTCAGTTTATGTAAAAAGATACTGGCTCAGAGAGGTGTAGTGACTTGCTCAGGGGCACATGGCTAATAAGTGGCAGAGTTGGGTCCATAACTCAAATCTGTTATGGTCCCAAATCTGGCCTTTCTCTCTTTTTCTACGGAAAGTATTTGATTGACACCTCTATGTGAGAGATATGAGCTGCTGCAGAGGTGAGAAAAAGTTACAGTGGATTCCAGGCCCTGGAACCAGAGAGGCTGGAAACCTTTCAGTTGGCGGCCATAATGTCCTGGATGCACTTGTATTTGCAGACTTTTGTGTAGATGCCAGGTTTGCCTTTGCGGGCACGGAATCTGTCCTTTTTCTATTCTACCCCACAGTTGTTTGGCCCTGAACATGATTTCAGGATGTGATAGAGGTAGATACCTTGCCAGAGTTTAGCTACAAAGGTAGAAAGCTTTAGGTCCAGATCATGTGACCTTTTGGAGCCCCACAAACTTGACTTTGCAGAGAAGTTTCTACTACACTTCCACATGGCAGAGCCAGGAGTAGAGGTTCTAATTAGTGTAATATGACACTCTTTTACCCTCACCCCCAACATACACACACTTTTCTCCCAAATGGCCAGTTTCCTTTTGAACACATTTCTGAGTCCAAGAAATAGGGATGCAGGTGTGGGTGTGTGTATTTGAGGGCCTGTTCAAAATGCTAAGCTCGGGACTGGGTGTGGTGGCTCACGCCTGTAATCCCAGCACTTTGGGAGGCCGAGGCGGGTGGATCACCTGAGGTCAGGAGTTCGAGACCAGCCTGGCCAACTTGGTGAAACCCCGTCTCTACTAAAAATACAAAAAATTAGCTGGGAGTGGTGGTGGGCACCTGTAATCCCAGCTACTCGGGAGGCTGAGGCAGGAGAATTGCTTTAACCTGGGAGGCGGAGGTTACAGTGAGCTGAGATCACACCATTGCACTCCAGCCTGGGCTACAGAGCGAGACTCTTTCTCAAAACGAAACAAAACCAAAATGCTAAGCTCCAAGTACACAGTCTTCCTCCCAGAGATGCAGGTATCCTTTCCCTGTTACCACGGGAACCTCAGTCCCTACAGCAGGAGGAGGTCATCTGGGCTGGCCACAACTTGCCCTGGCCGTGCAGCTTAGGGCAGCTTCTCCTTTATTTACAATAGCTGCAGAGAAGGAAGAGCTTGAAACCCTTGGAGCTTGAGGTAAGGAATTCGGAATAGAGAAGATTCCAGAATTGAGGCTTGGTCTAGAGAGAGGGAGGCTAGGTGAAGAATATGCACGCCTGAGAGGTGGAAGGAGAATAAAGAAGAAAAAGCACAGGGATCAAGAGATAGGAAAAGAGGAAATCAAGGAAGAGAGGAGTTTGAGAGATATGAAGGAATGGCTAAAAGATAAAGAGGGCAACTCAAAGAGCAAAATGTAGAGAAATACTAGGTGGCTTCCAGAATTGTCATATAGGAAGAATTTGGGGGCAAAAATCTCATTGGTAGGGGGTTTAGGAGGCTTCTCTGAAAACTCCCTTTGCCACATGGTTTTTACATAGGTTGCATATTCACTGGAAATAGCTTGTGGGGGTGAGTGGCAGGTGATGCTAAGGATTAATGGGGGAAGGCTGATTCCTCTGCAAGCCACCCCTTGCCACTACTGCCACTAATGAACAACATTTGCAAAGTGCCTACTCTGTGCTGGAAAATATGAGTTTGAAGAAAATGAAACAGCAGAAAGTACACGGGGGGGAAAAAGGATAAGGCTCAAAGGCTGCAATAGATTAAATTGCCCTGGCAGGGCTGGTGATGGGGATTTTGTGCTCTGCAGCCCAAGGAGGACAAATGGACTAAATGAAGGTTCAGTATGGGAGACTACAAGTGGAGAACGGGTGTATATTTCAAAATCTTATTTTAGAGTACTATCAGGCCCACCTCCAACAGGGGGACCAGCTCTGAATTTAGAGTAGAGAACACCAAATGTGTCTGAATATGTGTATGTGTGTGTGTGTGTATGTTCATAGGGAGAAAAATTTCCTCTCCTGGAACACAGATGCATTACACATCTATGGATAACACATACGAATATGTGTGTATGAGAGAGATTATTCTCTCTCTTGTCCGGGTGTCAGTAGGTCTTCATTTGGCCGATGAAAGCCACCTTAATCCCAGCTCTCCTCCCTCTTTGAGCTACTTTCAAGTGTCTGCTCTGCTCTGTGGAAGAGGGGCCCTGATTGGGGATGTGTTTTTGTTTTCTGCGGTTCCTTTTTCCTCTGCCCCAACCTTAGCCTGAGCTGCTATTTTCTCAACAGCATCCAAAGGGGGAAGCAATCATTGGTTTGAGAAGAATCTCTGAGCCAATGAAATGTCAGCTCAGCTATTATTTCCAGGTGCCTAAAGGAGAATTATCCATAGATGGAGCAAAACCTCTGTTGACCAGAATATTTGAGGATGGGCAGATAATTACACAGCTTTCCGGTGAATCAGGGTTATAATTTTGATTCATTGTTGAAGTTCTCTCTAAAGTATGAAACCTCTTTCTTGTCTTAGAATGTAAGGCCCAGTGAAATGGATTCTGTGTTTGATGACTAAGGACCTTGCTTTCTAAATATCAGCCATAATATTTAGTCTTATAGAAAGTTGTATGGTGTAGCAGTTAGAACACCGAATTCTAGGAGTCAGAGGATGTGGGTTCCACTTTGAGTGCAGCCGCATATTAACAGGTGATTTTGGGCAGTGGTTTATCATTTCTGAGCCTCAATTTCCTCACCTGTAAAATGAAGTGGTGTTATTTTTATTTTATTTTGTTTTATTTTTGAGACAGAGCCTTGCTTTGTCGCCAGGCTGGAGTGCAGTGGCACAATCTCGGCTCACTGTAACCTCCGCCTCCTGGGTTCAAGCGATTCTCCTGCCTCAGCCTCCCGAGTAGCTGGGATTACAGGTGCCTGCCACCAGGCCTGGCTAATTTTTTGCATTTTTAGTAGAGACGGGTTTTCACCATGTTGGCCAGGATGGTCTCAATCTCTTGACCTCAGGTGATCTGCCCACCTCGGCCTCCCAAAGTGCTGGGATTACAGGCGTGAGCCACCACGCCCAGCCTGAAGTGGTGTTATTTTTATAAGATGGAGAAAGTATATGTAAAAATGTGGACTGAACTCAGACCATCTCTTGGAAATTACTTACTTGAATTATCTCCTTATGCAGGCTTACTTCATTATTCTTTGCCTCTTTCTCCAAACAGCTGAGTGAAGGAAAAAAGGTATATGATCAATCAATAGATCGAATACATTGGATTTTGTTGGCTGAAGTTTTATAATTTATCCCATTTCGTCACTAGAATCTTAACCACTGAGGACATGCTGTATCTGTCCAAACCATTCAGACCCCTTAGCTCCCGGTTGCAAACATGTCACCAATGCTTAGTCATATTTAGTAATGGTGCCAGTGCTGATGCCTTTGTCACCCTACTACTGGGCCAGGCTGTAGGCTCAGACAGGATCCTCACATTGATATCTCTGGACTAGCACAGTGCCTGGCATTCAGTGAGTGCTTAGTAAATGGTAGCTGCTATTTCTGGTATCATTATTCTTTTGGGCTACCCAGAAACTGAGGAAGACAGTGGAAATGAATGCAGAGTTTCCAATTCTCTTGCGATTGCCAGAGTTATATGCAGAATCATGGTGAGGAGAATGTTAGATCAGGAAGATACCTTACAGATGAAGAAGCTACAGCTGGACATTCCTAACTCAGGCCATATGCAAGAGGCAAGTACAACCACTCTCTCTTCAGAAAGGAAAAAGCTGAAGAAGTTTGTAGTCTCAGCTCAGTCCCTTCCCTCATCTCTTTCCCATCTGCCCGTTGGCTGGGATTACTTCACCTGGTTAGGCTGAGGGTTTGGGATAGAGGAAGGACCGGCCTCCAGGGTAGGATTCCAAGCCTAGGTGACTTGAGAGAACCTGGGGCCTTAAGAAAGGAAAGCAGGAATGAATGGGGAAGCCAAGCTAGAAGGACAGCCAGAGGGCATCTAGCTAGGGACTGGTACAAGGGGGTGGTAGTGGTAGCATATATGTCTCTTCTTAAAGATATCCAACTTATTCCCTAGTTTTGCCTAAGGATACTGGAGTTGTAGTGTGCTGGCCTTGCCCCAGGGAATCCCTTTGGTGCCCCAGGACACAGGAAGAGCCAGCTGGGTGCCCTAGGGCTGCTGGCATCCTGGCTCAGTGATTCTGCAGGCAGAGCTGAGCTGGTGGAAATGCAGGAGGGGGGCTGGGGGGTGGGGAGAACCTACTGCAGAGAGAACTGTTGGGGGAGAGGCCAGGCAACTGGCTCACCCAGGATGGGACTGTCATATAGAAATATTCCCATCTGGATAGTTCTAGAGAAGCAAGTCTGGGTAATGATAAACTATGAATTTTATGCATGAGCTGAACATTGAAAAACTTCAGCCCCAAGCTCCCGGCTAGCATCTGAGCCAAATCCCACTCGCACAGCATTTAATCAGCTTCCTGACAGATCCCAGTAAAAGGGAGATGAATTTACGAGATTGATTAGCTAATACCCAAGTGTTATGCTTACTCTGTGATCCAAGAGCACCAGGCTGGGACTCTAGACTTTCTGCTGCTGAGATTCTGCAGCTGCTGCGATGGTAGGTGGGCCTGGGGGTTGCCCCCTGGAGAGGGGGACTGAGTGAAGCTGTTCCAGCTCTCAGACTCCACAGCCCAGGAAACCCTCCAATCTAGGATGTGTCTGGGCCTTGGGAAAGAGTTATTCTCATCTTTGCCCTCCACCCCCTATTATGGCCTCAGCCAGTTTTATTACTCATCTCCATCTTATGCCAGAGATGCCCTCTCCTTGTCTCTACTAATCCAAAGCATGCCGGCCCTTCAAGACCCACCTAGATCCTCATCTCCTCCAGGAAGCCTCCTCTGGCTATCAGAATCCTCAGTAAGCTTTCCCTTCTCCCAACTCAGAAGGCTCTGTGTCATCTGAACAACAGATAATCACAGACTATGGTTAGAGCTAAATGAGAATTTAGCTAGTTCCATTCATTCTCATTTGTAAATGCTAGATTTATTTAACCACAAAAGTAATATATGCTTATTATAACAAGTCAAAAAATAGAGGGTTAGAGAAGTAATCTCCCTCTCAAGCCTCTCAAATCCCATCCTCTCAGAAAACCAGTATTGCAAGTCTCCATGTTGTGTCTCTATGATCATATGGACATTTATATACAGCCCCTTTGTTTTACATATAAGGAAACTGAGGCCCAGAGAGGTAAGGTGACTTTTCCAAGATAACACAGCTGACAAGTGGCTGAGCTGGAAGTAGGACCTAGATGTCAGGCTCCCAGTTCCCAGGCCAGTGCAGTTGTGGTTTAGTTGTCTCCTCAGAGAGTTTTGTCTCCCCAAGTGAATTGTAAACTCAACTGAGGGTTTAAAAGAAAAGAAAACCGTGTGTTCTCTCTTGCATTTTCCATAAAACCTAGCACAGTTTCAAGCATCTGGTCCAGGGTGTTTACTAAATGTTCGTCTCCTCGTTTTAAATCCTTTCTGAAACAAGACACAATATAAATAAAGAAAAAAAAAATGTTTGACTCCATGCCTGGTTTTGCTAGATTGTAAAGCCGAGCCATGCAATCATACAGAAATTGATTGTTAAGATGGCTGGGTAAAAAGCAGCCGAAAACTCAAGTGATTGGTGACCGTGTGCAGATATCTGGAGGCAGAGACAAATACAGAGACTAAGCAGCTCAAACATGTGAGGGGCTTGTGTTCTGTGCTAAGCTAACAGAGCTGAGAATCTGGTTTGGGGTGGGGTGGGGGTAGTGCTAGAGGTGGAGAATGAGGCTGCTCGGCACCCCACTAGGTTCTTTGGCACCTGTCTCTCCACCCCACCCCCGAACCAATGACCAAGTTGGCTGCTGCAGTCCTCCCTGTGCTGCTGAAGCCCCCCACTTGGCTGTGGCCAAGGACTTAAGGCTCCTCCATGCTTGAGTCTGGAGAACCTGTTTCGTGGCCTTTATACTTTTCTGTGGCATCACAGTGCTGGGATTTGTATGGATTTATTTGATGTATTTGTTTATTGCTAATCACTTGTAAGGATATAGGAGGCTGGGCTGGAATTAAGGAAGGCCATTGCTTCCACCCATAGGGATTGCCTCCCTGCCTTAGGGAGCTGGGAAGGTGTTGAGAGTGGCTCCTGGCCACATCAACTGCTCTGGAGGGGGAACCCTTTGGAAAATCATAAACATTAATTGAATTTTGAGCTGAAAAAAACTTTTAAGATCATCTAATAAGATTATTAATGCCTCACGTTTACATAGCACTTCATAGTATATGAAACAACTAAATGTGACTCATTCCCTTCATTTTAAGTGTAGAAACTTTTGTTTATTTAGGAAGACCCTGACAACTGGATAGTAGATTGCTGTGAATTTCTTAGGTGTGAGAATAGTATTGTGGTTATGTAGGAATGTTCTAATTTTTAGGAGATGACTGATGAAATATTTAGGGGCTGAAATATGATGTTTGAAACTTTAAAATGGTACAGCATTTAGATATAAATAGGGGCTGGGGGTGGGGAGCTATTGTTTAATGGGTACAGAGCTCCTGTTTGGGGTGATGACAAAGCTCTGGAGATGAATGGTGGTGATGGTTTCACAACATTGTGAAGGGACCTAATTCCACTGAATCATACACTTAACAATGGTTAGGATGGTAAATTTTATATTATGTATATTTTACCATGATTACACACACACACACACACACACACACACACAGAGAGAGAGAGAGGGTGCAAAACTGGCCAAAATTTTAATAAATGTTGAATTAAAAAGGTGATTACAAGGCTGGGCATGGTGGCTTATGCCTGTAATCCTAACACTTTGGGAGGCAGAGGCAGGAGGATTGCTTGAAGCCAAGAGTTCAAGACCAAAACCCTGTCTCATTTAAAAAAAAAAAAAAAACCATGATTATTGTATTGGTCTTAAGGATACTTTAGCTGCTGTGTATATTTGAAAATATTCATAATAAAATGTAGGGAAGAAAAGAAATTCTTAATGTGAGCAGGCTTCTGGAGAAATAGACACCAGGCTATCCATAGCAGCCAAAGATTGTACCAAAGATGAGTCGCAGGCTCTAAGAGCATGTGGAAGATTGGAGTGTGGTGATGGAGAGGAGGCAATAGATGAGTCCCTGTGCAGTTGAGCATTGTTGATCCATTGATAGGTAAAATGGCAAAGCTGAGCCAGTCGTCAACTCTGACTGATACTTGGGATGAGTGAAAGTTGTTACATGGAGGGTACTTAGGTCACAGCATAACATAGCTCACAGTTACGTGTTTCTCAAGGGCTCTGAGTTACTCAGAAGCTGACTATGCAGTTTCTGCCTCATACCTCCTATGGGCCATGGTGGTGATTGTGGTTTCTATGTGTGAATGAAGCAGAGAGACAGTCGTTGCTGGCTGGGTGCAGTGGCTCACTCCTATAATCCTAGAACTTTGGGAGGGCGAGGCAGGTGGATCACCTGAGGTCAGGAGTTTGAGACCAGCCTGGCCAACGTGGCAAAACCTGTCTCTACTGAAAATACAAAAATTAGCCAGATGTGGTGGCGGGTGCCTATAATCCCAGCTACTCAGGAGGCTGAGGCAGGAGAATTGCTTGAACCCGGGGGGCGGAGGTTGCAGTGAGCCAAGATCACACCACTAAACTCCAGCCTAGGCGAAAGTGAAACTCCGTCAAAAAAAAAAAAAAAGAAGAAAGAAAGAAAGAAGGAAAGAAAGAAAGGAAGGAAGGAAGGAAGGAAGGAAGGAAAGAAAGAAAGAAAGAAAGAAAGAAAGAAAGAAAGAAAGAAAGAAAGAAAGAAAGAAAGAAAGAAACAGACATTGCTGAAACTATCACCAGTTCATTTAGATTAGCTTTGTGCCACCCAGCTTTACTCTCGAAATCTCATCAAACTACACATCTTCTAGGTGGGGGTCAGAAGGGCTCTCTGAAAGGTGACCCAGAATGGCTTGATAGCCCAAGCTTGGGTGAGAGGAAATGTCAAAAGGACGGACCTGTGACTCAGTCACCCGGACCTCCCTGTGTGTGATCTGTTGGCCATTTGAGGCTTTGCTGATGAGGGAGAAGGGGAAGATCTGCTCCAGCACTAGGGCCCTCCAGATATTCTTGCCTGGAGTATAAAGGTGCCATCCATCTCAGTGCTGGCAGGGCCTGAGAGTGAGTTCAGCACCAACAAACAGAGTCATTAGGTTGGAGTCCAGCTCCCCAACCACATGATGAACTGTAATTTGTAGGGATCCCTTTGTCCCCAATGTTGCTTTGCTAGACCTGCCCACCAGGGACTCATCCTTCCTCAGCAGATAGGCTTTTGACCCTCCTAGTGCACAAGGAAGAGGGACAGGGACTTAATTTACATTTTCCCTTGGCCAGCATTTGCCTGGTGTCTACATTAATCACCATAAAGGATAAATGCCACAAAGAAAATGAAGAGAGAGGGAGAGAGAGAGCAAGAGAGAGGGAGAGCTAGCGCTTGGGCAAGCAGCGGGGCCTAATGGAAGGAAAGAAGCTGGTCTGGAGAAGAGCTGGTCAGAATGAATCCTTGGTGAGCCCTCACCTCAACTTCTGAATCTGTAGGACTTCACCCTTCTTGAAAATTAGATCTCTTTCTAAGTCATGTTTGAGAACCATGTTCCAAAATAATTGAGGCTGGGTCTAAAAGAAATCAGGCTGTAAGCAAGGGTTAATGCAGTGTAGTTATAACACATGAATGTAGGTGGGAGATTGGATAGACTAGGATAGGCTAGAATGTTAGAGATTATTTACTAGTTCAATTTCCTTCCTAATTTTGCACATAAGTAAACCGAGACTCAGTGAGGGGAAGGGACTTAACCAAGGCTACCCAGCTAATTAGTCCAGGTAGAGCCCCCAAGTCCCAGTCCAGTCCTTTTTTATAAATCATGAGATACATTGTGCTGGCAAGCAAAACCCCCGTGAGCTGAGAGGTTTTTTTGTTTGTTTGTTTTGTTTTTTTCTCTCAAACATCTTTGCAAGGCGGCACTGACTGAAACCCAGTCTTGGAAAAGGCTTTCCCCTCCTCCCCCCGGTCTTCCCACAGCAAGGTGGCCATGCTCTGGAGTCAGGCCAAGCTCCAGTAGGTCCTCACTCTCTCTCCAGCCTGCTCCCCCTCCTTCTCCTTTGTCAGCAGAGGCTTACTGGAAAGGCCATTCCAAA
The DNA here is from genome assembly GCF_000001405.40 of Homo sapiens. Taxonomy (NCBI): domain Eukaryota; kingdom Metazoa; phylum Chordata; class Mammalia; order Primates; family Hominidae; genus Homo; species Homo sapiens. The sequence continues at coordinate 107,482,321 of NC_000023.11, forward strand.
ATGTAGATAATGTCAGTGAAGTGCTTGCTAGTAGGTAGCTGCTGGCTGAATAAAGGCTTGACCATCTCCCTTGGTCTCAGTCTGAAGCTCCTGATCTCAGTCTGTTACACCTGGCCCAACTCTTCTTACTTTTGACTTGGAGCCCAAGGGTCACCAGATTCTGCCTTGGGGCCCATGTTTTTCTTCACCCCAGCCTCCAGGGCCACATGATCCTCTGTTGGGTTGCTGGAGGGGAGGACTAAGGAGCAAACCTTGGGGCAGGAGGAATAGGGGCTCTTCAGAGTCACAAGACCCCAGAACAGGAAGGAACTTACTCCATATCCAATGTATATATAGGGAAATGGAGGATCACTATCACAATAATGTAGCTTAATTTTCATTTTAGAGCAGACTATGAGAGAGCAGAGTCACCAAAGAGTTTGCTTGAGTAGGAGTATCAACACTATTGAGCAGGGCAGTTAAGTGGCAGCTCTTGAAGAGGTAAGTGCAAGAGAGGTTGAAGGATGCAAAAGGCATGCATGATTTTCACAATAGAATAAAACACAGTAAAAACAGAAAGTTGCAAAGTTGTTGATGGGCAGAAGGAACAGGGCAGTTCTCAAAAAAACTCCCTCAAAAAGAAAAAGGCATCACTACCTCAACCCACTGGTCTGATGTCCCAGTCAGGCTCACCATTGTCTCCGTCTATAGACCCAGCTGTTTCCATGCTTTGGAACGAATGAGTATGGGATGCGAGCAAGGCATTGGCAGCTCAGTCTCTCTCAGCCTCAGTATGGAGTAGGAGGGGAGTTATTTGCTGCAGATAGGGCTACCATATATAGTTGTGCAGGCTGTGAACTGCATAAAGGTACTCAGCCAAGAGGGTTAAGTAGGAATGGAAATCCAGCCCATGTTCTGCTCCCCAAACCATGTTCCCTGGTGCAAGACTAAGTGGACCTGGATGAAGGGATACATTTTTCATCTGATAAAGCTATAGTGTTTGTGGGGCTGCATTCACCCAGAAGGAGTAACTTTTTCTGAGCTTTTTACACAAAGGCACTGAGTAGACTACTGCCATCAGCCAGTGCCCTATGGCAACCCATCCCTAGGCTCCTAACTTCCCCCACTGAGGCTCTTCCAGTGTACCCTGGACCCAGGCTGAGACCTTTTGTTCTTGGCAGCCACTTTCTGAGCACAAAAGCAGAAAATCCAGTGAGGCAGGTCTCTTGGGGTCTGGGGCTCACCCTCATGATGGCTCCCAGAATTCTGGGCTTTCTCAGCCCTGGATTTTCTGCCCTTGTGCTCTACCCACCTGTTTGGCTCAGCCACCACATCTTGGATGCTCGTTTTCTTCCTGGCAGAATGGTGCCAACTGTCTGTCTGCATCGTGACTCTGACTGCTGTGTCCCCTGTTTTCTGTGCTCTGCCCTCCCAGCTGCCCCTCTGTAATCAGCTGTCACAGCCAGAACACATCCTGGGTCTGTAGGGCCTAATGCGGGCGTGGGGTAGGGGTGGGGTTCGCTGAGCTCCCTCTCTTGCTCTCTGCCTGCCTATCTGGATGGAGGCCTCCTGTTGGTGCTTTTCACTGCAAAAGAACATATACACTGGGTGTGCAAGGGGGGTGACAGTGGCCAGGGGCTCTCAGCTGGAGAGCTTTGTTATGTCCACATAGTGCCCTATCAAGACCCCACCAGACACTCACTCACCCTCCCTGGGCTGCAGGGGAGGGGCTGTGGCAGGGCCAGGAACTGGCTGTAGAAACCCCCATGGGGTGGTGGGGGTGGGGAGTCAGGTGGGTCCTTGAGATCAGAGTAGCTCCTTCTGGCTACGCTCGAAGCCCACTGCCCCCACTTTCCTATAGCACAGGCCCAAAGCTTCCAAATGAGTTCACTGGGCCCTCCCAGGGGCTTGCGGATTATGGTGCCAGATGGGCCCAAGGCAAACTGCCCAACCCAGTGCTGCTGGGGAAGAAAGGGGCCTCCGGTCAGAACCAGCACTGGGCCAGGCAGCAGGGAGGTAACAGGGAGGGAGCTGGATTCCCTAACCCTCTTCTCTCTGAAAGGCTAGCGTCTTCTCAGCTGAGCTCCATCAAGTGAGGACTAGCAAAAGCCCTTGAATTAAGAAGAATGTGAATGGAACAGCTAAGCATTCTCCCTCTCTGCCTCCTCCCTCCTCCCCAAATCCCAGAAAGGGAGAGAGCAAGACAGTAGAAGAAGGGGCGGGGAAAGAAAGCAGAGGGCCTGCCATCAATCTCCTGCCCTGACAAGCTGCGTCATCGCTGGCTCCAGCTGGCTCCCCTGGGGCTAGGGGGAGGGGAGCCTGGTGTGGGTCTTAACTAGGAGGAGCAGGGGAAAAGAGAGATGAGAAGTAGTCCAGGTACTGGGTCTTAGAGCCAGGGCAGAAGGCTGAGGTGCCTATCCATGGATCGCCAAAAATAGAAAAGTCCAGTAACCTGGGGTCCTTTAGGGAGGGTACAGACCAGGGCAGGTCCAACTGGGAATAGATACTGGTCAGGCAGCCATGCTTTGTAGAGTCCAGCAATAGTCTCTGCTGCCTCTGAAGAATAGAAGCTGCTCGTTTTCCCCGTGCCTGCTTCAGCATCACCCTTCACCTCCAGGACTACTGACAGTTCAGTCAACCTCCCAGAGGTGGGTGTCAATCCCAAAGAATATGATTGGCTAATTGGGAAAGCCAAAGATCTGGTTGTGGCAAGATGCGAGACTTATGAAGGGAAGGGAACCCCAGATTCTGTTTGTTCTGTATCAGAAATGTCTGTTTCCTGGTTCTTCTGAACTCTCTTGGAAAGAACCGCATACCCTGAAAGAATGTTCCAATTTAGTCACGCCAGTGGGCTAGGCCAACCAAGTAACTTGGTAAGGGGGAAGGAAAGGGGAAGGCACACGAATGAAGTGAGCTTCTTGTGCATGGAGCTTGGGTTCCTCTGCTGGTGAGACAGTTCCTCAGGAAACTGATTTAGGACTGGGCGAGTCTTTGCAGGGACTGCAAAGACTGCAGGACTGTGCCTGTCAGGATTTTCTTTTCGGGAGAAGGGGTGGCTCTGGGGAAAAGATTGAGGCCAAGGAAAGAGTTCCCAAACAAGCATGTCCCAGCTACTGAGAAGGATCCTGGACCAAATTATGTTTCAGTTCTATTCAGATGTAGCAACAGTTTCAATTTTATTCAACCACGTTAGAAAATATGCAGGTTTCTTCCTGGGTTTAATTGGCTTCCTAGGTTTTAAAAAGCACCTCAGTGCTGTGTTCAATAAGATAGGTATCTGTGAAGTTCTAAAACGGTGTAACAAATTAACAGGTTTCATTCTGACTTAGAGCCTCATCTGATCAATTTTAGCTCCTGCCCCTGAGTAAATTATCTTGAGAAAGGGGAGCTGTGACCACCTGGTCCCTGCCAGTACCCTCTGAGGCCTCATTTTATCTCATCCCCTTAAGCCAGGCCATTACCCCAGTGCTGAGGGCAGGAGTGGAAGGAAGCAGGGATATAGGGAAAAGAGAACTGGTCCTTTTTGCTTGGTCCCATCCCACTTAATAGCTTTCCCACTGAAGAGCATTCATTTGTCACCTTTAGTTCCAGGGGGTAAGGCAGGATGATCCATCCCTCAGGCACCAGCCTATAAAAACCAGGGAATTGGCACCTGCAATCGGCCATTCTCTGCCTTTGTCTTCTCTGGCCGCGACTAAACTGCTGCTAAAATGCTGACTCCTGCCTTGTCCATGACGGAGTGAGCTTTTAACTGGTAGCTTGGCCTATCAAGCTTACTTTATTCAAGCTGCATAAAATGCTGGAAAAGTAAAGAGCTAGGAGGGACTGTGGAGGATTGGGGAGGAAGACACGGTTGGATGTGAAAAGAGCCCTGGAGGCCTGGGACACGCCTGACCCTTTCCTGGGTGCCATCTCCAGTGATCCCAGAAGAATGGGCTCAACTGTTCCAGATATTTCTCAGACTTACATCTTCAGTAATCAGCTTCATGGTTATCTACCCACATGGTGTGCTTTGAGGATCTCCACAGGTCCCTTCTGACCACAAAATATTTTCTCCATGCTTTGCCAAGATCCCTGAAAATTATTGCGTTGGGTCAAGGCATTGTCCTCCAAAGACCTTTGTTAAAATGTACATTTTTTAATTTACATCCATATTTTTTCTGAAGGTTTTATATTTTAGCTGTTATATTTAGGTCTTTGGTCCATTTTGGATTGAGCTTTGTATATGGGATAAAGGAAGGGTCCAACTTTTTCTTTGCACGTGGATATCCAGTTGTCCCAGTACCATTTGTTGAAGAGATTATTCTTTTGCCATTGAAAGTTCCTGCCACACTTGTCAAAGAATCGATTGACTGTAGATAAATGGGTTTATTTGTAGATGCTCATTCTTGCATATGTCCATTCTTATGCCTGTACCACAGTGTTTTTATTAGTGCAACTTTGTAGTAAGTTTTGAAATCTCTATTCCTTAAGAGGATGTGGTCATCTTGTGTTTTGACAGAGATTTCCTTGAATACCAAGAGCTCAAAAAAGAAATAAGTAAAAACTCTCAGTCTTTGAAAAAAAAAAGTACATTTTTGTTTTGTCTAAGGAAAGTTTTCATATAGCAGATTCACTGGGTTTTACCTGTCAAAGAGTAGGCTCACTGAGAAATGGGATCTAGGGCCGGGCATTGTGGCTCACACCTGTAATCCCAGCACTTTGGGAGGCTGAGGTGGGCGGATCACCTGAGGTCAGGAGTTCGAGACCAGCCTAGCCAACATAGTGAAACCCCATCTCTACTAAAAATACAAAAAAAAAAAAAAATAACTGAGCGTGGTGGCGGGCGCCTGTAATCCCAGTTTCTTGGGAGGCTGAGGCAGGAGAATTGCTTGAACCCTGGAGGTGGAGGTTACAGTGAGCTGAGATCGCACCGCTGCACTCCAGCCTGGGCAACAGAGCAAGACTCCATCTCAAAAAAATTTTTAAAAAATGAAAAAATAATTATCAAAAAGAAATGGGATCCAGGGAAAATAATGCTTGGTAAGAATGAAAGATAAGAGATGTTTGCAATGCAACATGGTGAGGCATAATGGGTTGAGTTGGAAGTCATAATTGCTTGGGTTGGGAGGCATTATGGACAGCCAAGAGGGAAGTCAGAGGTGAATGGCATCAGTTATGCCTGTAGTCTGGATATTCTCATGGTCTCCCCTGCCCTTCACATTGAGATAAGTTTCCTTCAAAATCCATGCTTTCCTAGATCTCTGCATTCCCAGGGAGGGCTTCCATTCTCCTTGCCCCCAACCCCACCACAGGCTTATTTATGGTTCTCTGAAAAGAAAGAGTTCCACGGAGACCAGAGTTTCTAAACTTCCACTTGAATATTGATGCCAGGCCCCATCCCACACCAGTTACACCAGAATCTCTGTGGGGACTCCCTGGGGGCATCCCCAGGTTTTAAATGCTTCCTGAGGTGATTCTAATGTGTAGCCAGAGTTAAGAAGTGCCGGTTGTCCATTTGTTTGTATCTTTTCATGTCACCCAAAACGTGGAGCTTCACTCTCTTCCTTAATCTCACCCGAATAACCATTCACCCAAGGAAATGTGTGTAGAAGGCTTAGGAGTGACAAAAGGATTTTCCTCGCAGCAGCACAAACAACTGAACATTTAAAGTTAGCAATCCTGGGCTGAAGAAGTCCCTTGGTCATTTTCTCAGTCAGGCTCTAGGCTCACACCCAGTGCCTCATTTCCCCTTTCTCCTCCTTCTCCTCCTCTCCTCTCTGCTCTCTCTGCAATCTCTGAGTCCTGTTTAATGTTACCACACAGCGTTAAGCTCTTTCCTCCGTTGCCTTGGCTCCTGCCTACCCATGCTGTCAAGGCAAGCAGCTTATCAAAACCTTTTCCTAAAGACAGTCCCAGTTCCCTCCCTAAGAAGGATTCTGGTGCCAGCTGGTAAGATGATTGAAATTTCACCCCAGATCCACATGGTTTTGACAAGGACCCTGAATGGCCTCATCATTATGTCTCCACTTGCTCTGAGAACCATCACAGCCGCATGCTCTGCTATTTCCGTCCAAAGAACCAGGGCCCAGATCTTGCAGGGGAGGCCCAAAGTTGGCAAAGCATTTGGAAAGTGACTGTCTGTGTATCCACTTGAGGGAGTCTTTGTGTACTTGTGGGTGTTTAGCCCTTATGGCTAATATTCAAATTTGGCCCATTTGCAGACTGACAGGACTTTCCCAAGTGCAGAGAAAAACATCCTTGATTCATGGCCTAAAACAATATAGAGACACCGTTACCACAAAAGTATTTTGAGATGAAAATGTGACGTTTTCTTCAGTGGATATGTACTGTGCATCATCATATGCCAGCCACTGGGCTAGGTGTTTTGGATTTGATTGCAACCCGGCACTTTCAGTCCAGTGGGTTTTATTAATGTGCTTTTTAAACTCCTCTTCTTGAACTAAAAAGCATTCTCTGAGGGGCAAAAAAACAAACAAACAAACAAACAAAAAAACACTTTAAGTCCTGAATCAAGAACTTCTTTTTTTTAATTTTATTTTATTATTATTATACTTTAAGTTTTAGGGTACATGTGCACAACGCGCAGGTTTGTTACATATGTATACATGTGCCATGTTGGTGTGCTGCACCCATTAACTCGTCATTTAGCATTAGGTATATCTCCTAATGCTATCCCTCCCCCCTCCCCCCACCCCACAACAGTCCCCGGAGTGTGATGTTCCCCTTCCTGTGTCCATGTGTTCTCGTTGTTCAATTCCCACCTATGAGTGAGAACATGTGGTGTTTGGTTTTTTGTCCTTGCGATAGTTTGCTGACAATGATGGTTTCCAGTTTCATCCATGTCCCTACAAAGGACGTGAACTCTTCATTTTTTATGGCTGCATAGTATTCCATGGTGTATATGTGCCACATTTTCTTAATCCAGTCTATCGTTGTTGGACATTTGGGTTGGTTCCAAGTCTTTGCTATTGTGAATAGTGCCGCAATAAACATACGTGTGCATGTGTCTTTATAGCAGCATGTTTTATAATCCTCTTGGTATATACCCAGTAATGGGATGGCTGGGTCAAATGGTATTTCTAGTTCTAGATCCCTGAGGAATCGCCACACTGACTTCCACAATGGTTGAAAGAGTTTACAGTCCCACCAACAGTGTAAAAGTGTTCCTATTTCTCCACATCCCCTCCAGCACCTGTTGTTTCCTGACTTTTTAATGATCGCCATTCTAACTGGTGTGAGATGGTATCTCATTGTGGTTTTGATTTGCATTTCTCTGATGGCCAGTGATGTTGAGCATTTTTTTCATGTGTTTTTTGGCTGCATAAATGTCTTCTTTTGAGAAGTGTCTGTTCATATCCTTTGCCCACTTTTTGATGGGGTTATTTGTTTTTTTCTTGTAAATTTCTTTGAGTTCATTGTAGATTCTGGATATTAGCCCTTTGTCAGACGAGTAGGTTGCATAAATTTTCTCCCATTTTGTGGGTTGCCTGTTCACTCTGATGGTAGTTTCTTTTGCTGTGCAGAAGCTCTTTAGTTTAATTAGATCCCATTTGTCAATTTTGGCTTTTGTTGCCATTGCTTTTGGTGTTTTAGACATGAAGTCCTTGCCCATGCCTATATCCTGAATGGTATTGCCTAGGTTTTCTTCTAGGGTTTTTATGGTTTTAGGTCTAACATGTAAGTCTTTAATCCATCTTGAATTAATTTTTGTATAAGGTGTAAGGAAGGGATCCAGTTTCAGCTTTCTACATATGGCCAGCCAGTTTTCCCAGCACTGTTTATTAAATAGGGAATCCTTTCCCCATTTCTTGTTTTTGTCAGGTTTGTCAAAGATCAGATGGTTGTAGATATGCGGCATTATTTCTGAGGGCTCTGTTCTGTTCCATTGATCTATATCTCTGTTTTGGTAGCACTACCATGCTGTTTTGGTTACTGTAGCCTTGTAGTATAGTTTGAAGTTGGGTAGTGTGATGCCTCCAGCTTTGTTCTTTTGGCTTAGGATTGACTTGGCAGTGCAGGCTCTTTTTTGGTTCCATATGAACTTTAAAGTAGTTTTTTCCAATTCTGTGAAGAAAGTCATTGGTAGCTTGATGGGGATGCATTGAATCTATAAATTGCCTTGGGCAGTATGGCCATTTTCACGATATTGATTCTTCCTACCCATGAGCATGGAATGTTCTTCCATTTGTTTGTATCCTCTTTTATTTCATTGAGCAGTGGTTTGTAGTTCTCCTTGAAGAGGTCCTTCACATCCCTTGTAAGTTGGATTCCTAGGTATTTTATTCTCTTTGAAGCAATTGTGAATGGGAGTTCACTCATGATTTGGCTCTCTGTTTGTCTGTTATTGGTGTATAAGAATGCTTGTGCTGAATCAAGAACTTCTGTACACTGGAAAGTCTCTTCTGAAAACAGGTGGGTTTCTTTTTGTGGGCCTGAATACGTTATTTCCCTGTGTGTGTGAAATGGTAACGTGTGGAAAGGTGTGTGGTATGTACATAAGCCTTTCATGGGCCTGTCCATGATTTTCAAATTGGACTGTGAGGGCACTTTTACTCCTGAAACTTTCCTTCCTGGAGCTCTCTCAAGTTCTCAGATGCTGGATGACTAGCTAGCTGGTTGATAGCTTTTGGTGTTTACAGTGCACCAAGCACTGGGCTTTGCTACCTCACATACATCATCTCATTTCATCCTCACAGCGGTGAGGTAGATGGTGTTATCATCTGCATTTTACAACTGCGAAAACTGACCACCTACTATTGGGTAGTAGAGTCAGGATTGAAACCCACGACTATCTGACCCCAGAACCTTTCAAATTACATCATCTCCTGATGCCAACCTCCAAAGCAGAGCTGAGGGAAAGCAAGCTCCCTTATCATCAATAACAGCAACATCATCACTGTTGTCGTGCTTGTTGTCATAATGTCATCATATCAGCTGTCATTTGTGAAGCACTTTCTTTGTGCTAAGCACTGTACTAAAATGCTTTTAATAATAATAAATAGTATTAATAGCCATTAGTAATTACTGAGTTCTTATTATATGTCAGGTATGGTCCTAAACCTCTTCCAGGGATTACATTAATCATTCCTCACCATGTTGCTATGAGATAGATACTATTCTTAGCCCTATTTTAGAGAAGAGAAGACTGAGGTTTCAAATGGTTAATTACCCCATGACCTCACAGCTAGTGAGTAGCAGAGCTGGGATATGACCTCTGTCTGACACCAGAACCTTCTGTGTTGTACTACCTCTCGTATTAGGGGCTCTGCCTACAAAGAGGTTTCTGTCTTTCCCTTTTTACACTTTTGGGAGCACTGTCTGCCACTGGCTTCTGATAATCGGAGAGCTCTCTCGGACCCATCTGCTAACTGGATAGGGGCTGGAGTGGCGGGCCACCATGGGCATGAGCAAATGCCCTCCTGAAGAACTGACAACCCAGACCCTTTCCATCTGGCAGCCAATGCAATGAGAATAAGGAATCTGCCCAGAGAGGGCCTCCTGGCCAAACAATTTGTACAGCAAAACAAATACAGTAGCTGAAACCTGTATAGGTGGAGACCAGGTAAACAAGATGACTCTTCCCTTCGTGGTTTTTTTCCTCCTCATTTGATAGAGTAGGACTTTACAGAGTAATTGTTCTCTCCTCATTACACCCCCGAGACACCCTGCCCACTGACATCCCTTGCTGATGCCTCCTTCTTTCTCCTCACCCCAGCTAACCTGAGTCCCTTACCTCCTGTCTAATTTCAGTATCATTTGCTCATTGTCTTGTTTCATACCTCCTTTGAAAATGCCAGGCTCCTCTCTGCTCCAAATCTCTTCCTTTTTTCCCTGCTTTCATTTCAGTTCAAGCCACATTAAGGTTGTAAAGCACTTTGGAAAGTAGTGAATGTGGCAGGATAGTAAGTAGAGTTTTATGATATTTTGCTGTCATTGAGCTTGGAGTCTTTGAAAACCAATGGCAATTCACAGCCCTCGCATCCCTATGTCTCTGCAGAGCTATTAACTAGCTGTAGATGAGGTCTATGGCCATGACCCAAAATGTACATTTCTCAGATGATGCAAAGTCACTCCAGGTAGAGTAGTATTAGCTTGATTAGCATTTCCCAAATTGGCTTTCATGGTACCCTGAGTGTGAGAGATTAATAGGTACCATGGGGAAAAAAGGGTTTCTGGGTACCAATGAGTTTGATGAATGCTGGGTTAGATAAGCTAAACTTTACTGCAGAGCCCTTAATAGTCTAATGAGGATCATGAATATCCAAGAAGACATTTCGAGCCTTGCCAAAGTGTGGTCTGAGGATGGCAACATAGGCATCACCTGGGACCTTGCTAAAAATGCAGAATCTCAGGCCTCTACCTCAGAGGTTCCAAGTCAAAATTGGCATGGTAACAACATCCTCAGGTGATTTGTATACACATTAAATTTCGAGAAGCACTGATTTAGAGTACATCACATTTCTCAAACGTTTTTGCCCATGGATCCCTCTTATGAAGACTAGTGTTCCCTGGAACACACTTTGGGGAAATACCACAGCTAGAAACCCTTTCATGGGAGTTTTCATTGTTTGGAGACTATAGAAAGACACTAGCAGCAGGGCATGGTGGCTTACTCCTGTAATCCCAGCACTTTGGGAGACCAAGGCAGGAGGATGGCTTGAGCCCAGGAGTTTGAGACCAGCCTGGGAAACATAATGAGACTCCCATCTCTACAATAATAACAAAAAATTAGCCTGGTCTGGTGGTGCATGCTTGTAGTCCCAGCTGCTGGGAAGGCTGAGGCGGGAGGATTGCTTGAGCCAGGAAGGTTAAGGCTATAGAGAGCTGTGATTGTATCAATGCACTCCAACCTGGGTGACAAAGCGAGACCCTGTCAAAAAAAAAAAAAAAAAAAAAAAGACACTAGCCGAAGCAACATTTAGAAATTGGGGAACTGATTCATTATATGTTACCCAGAGACTCATTTTACAGAAGTTTCAAGTCTTCTGAATCTTGTATTACCAGAAAGTCTTCCCATACCCTCTTGCTCCCAATTAACTCATTTCCTGGGGCATTTTAAAGCAGTGTCATGTCTGTGCTTCCTGGTCTGTTCTCTGGTCTGGATTAACCTGTTTGTTTCTTAAACCCAGCAGCTTCTCCAGAGTGCTAAAGCTCAGGATTTGAGCAGCCAAAGAATATTGCAAGATCTCCTGCTGTAGAACATTAGAAAGGCAGTTTTATAGAAACTGGGCAACTTTTCAGTCCAGTGTGTTCTGTTCGGTTAAGCTGTAATTGTTTTTCTTTTAGGCCTTTAAGCTATTGTGCCAAACATCAAAATAACGTTAGCTATTTTTTATTCAGATCTTGCGACTCATTTGGGGGCATTGTTAATATTTTATAAGAAAATTTTCATTTTTTCCATTCACATTTGTGATTTTCAAGTGTGTTGCTGCATTGCATTCATAAATATGATTTTTATTAAGTCTCAGGGCCCCATTTTTTTGCCCTTGGAGAAACACATCTCCAATTATATGTTAAAAGTTAAATGGAAAATAGTCTTTGATATGTGAAAATTTGATTTGCAAGAAACTTGTCCAGGATGCATCCATTCTGTACAGTAAGGTGCTCTTGTGACCAAGCTCTGCCATGCACAAGCTCAAGAAAGCTCTCAGAAAGGTTTCTTGGAGATTGTCACCACACACCTTCTCAGTGGCCACTCTCTGTGGTTGGCCAGGATCATCCGTTCAGAGTGCAGGCAGAAGAGGAAGATGAGCCAGCAGGAGGGTACCTAGAGATATGTGAAAGTGAGGAAGACTACACCATTAGGCCCCTAGGGCTGGAAGGTCTACCAGTCCCAGAGGTTGCCTGCTATGCATTTATGCATTTGGAACAGTGATTCTTACCTCTCCTACATTCCCATCGGAGCAGAAGCAACAAAGTATAGGGGGAAGAGACTATGTAAATACTTTCCTTGAGCTGGATATGGTGAGCCAAGCCTTCACTTGAATTTCCTACCTGTTCAGTGATGCTGGAAATGATACCACTCAGAGGCCCAATCAGCTTGAAGCTAAATGCAAACCCACCTAGAAAAGGCAACCATTGATGCCAATGGTTTCTAACCTTTCTAAGTATCAAAATCCATTTGTAATGTTAAACATTTAGGACACTTCCCACAATAATGATTCTACTTGATTTTTTTTCTGTCTACTGACAATCCACAATTGGCGTGTTCAAGAATTTTCCTTATACAAAATCCACAGGCTTTTCGGGGGACTGAAGGTGCACAGATTGTTCTCTATAACTCATGCTTGGGTGTAGATGAGTAATAGCTATAATTTCTTGAGCAGTTATTAAGTGCTGGGTACTGGGCTTAGCACTTTACATACATTACCTCAATCCTCACAATACTTTATTATTTCCATTTTACAGACAAGGAAATTGAGGCTCAGAAAAGTAGATGATGTGCCTACCCAAAGAAAGTCACAGAGCTAATAAGTAGTGGAAACTGGAAGCAAGCCCAGATCTGTGGAACTCCCAATTGTACTCTTTATTCCTTAGGCTGGGGACTGGCTGTGATGGCAGAGAGCACTGCAGAGGCCCTGAATTCTGAGGAGGCAAATTGGCTCCTAGAGAGACAAAAAGGAAGGACTAGGGGGTTGAGGATCAACAGGCATGCACATTTGCCTCATAATTTCACCTAAGACTAGTCCAGCAAGCAAGTGTCGTTAAGGTGGGCCTCATAGCCCACTTGGAAATCTAATGACACAGCCTACTGCTGAATCGCTACACACACAACCATTCACATACATTGTCACAGACAAACTCTTTCAGCAACACTGGACTTCTTCACAGTCCTTGGTCTCCCCAGGCACATTCCATCTCTGGACCTTTGCACGTGCTACTCCTTGTGCCTGACAGGCTCTTGCCCCAGAGATCAACATGGCTGGCTCCCTCTCTTCTTCAGCTCTTTGCTCAGTCATCACTTTCTCAGTGGGGCCTTTCCTGACCACCTTTTTAAATATTGCAGCCAATCATCTCCAAACCTGTACCCTCTTTCCTTGCTGTATTTTTTCCAAACCACTTATTCTCTGAACTGTCTCATAATTTTGCCCATTTATTTTTTTACTGTCTGTGTCTTCTCACTAGAATGCAAGCTCCATTAGGACAGGAATGTTTTTTAAAATCTATTTTGTTCACTGAGTATCCCTAATGTATAGAACTGTTTGGCACATCATAAGATCTCAGTAAATATTTGCATGACAAGTGACTGAATATGCAGATAGCTGTAGACATGGCTTCCTACTCCTGCCGTATATACAGAGACACATGGGGCCTTTGAGATAACATAGAAGATGAGCAGATAAGAGGAATGAATGTGTGACTTCATGGGTAAGAAGACATAGGGTGGGCATACTGTATGCACAAAATGTTCCTGGTTCTCAATCCAGCCAAAGCCACGGACCCATAATCTGGATTACTCTTCACAGCAACTTTACTCTTAGTAAACACATAATGACCACAAACTAATATGAATGCAGTGATATTTTAAAATAGAAATGTATTTTTTAAACATTATGACATCTGCCTAAAGTTTGGTAAATAGTGATACATACATGTGTGAGATGTTTCAGGATAGCACTTAAATGCCCGGTCTCTGGCATCTGTCAGCTAGGAGTTTGATTTCCAGTGTTGCCTCTTCCTTGTGTGATCTTTAGCAAGTTTCTTAAACCTTTGCCTCAGTGTCCTTGTCTGCAAAAGGGGGCTAATGATAGTATCAAGCTGACAGAGTTGTGAAGATTCAGTGAGATACTTCATGTAGAGCTCATGTAAAGTGACTGACCTGTAAATGCTCCCCAAATGGAAGCTGTTCTCATCATCGTCATCATTATTGTGGGTTATTATTTGAGACCACAGACAATGCTTCCAGGTGTATGGATTTGCATCCCTCTTGCAGTACTGTGTACTCTGCAGTCCCTGGGGTCCTTGGCTTATACTTCTGGGAGATGGTGCCACAGACATTAAGTGTTGCTGGGAGTCAAAGAAGGTGGGTTGGAGCCTGGGTACATAGGGGCCTGGGCATGGTGAGAATGGGAAGGTAGACAAGAGTTGAGAGTGGCCATAGGCAGCAACTTGGAATGACGGCTCCATGTACACATTCAGAGAAGAAGCCAGCAGCTGCATGGGAGGCCTTCTAACACTTTTGAAATCCTGATTTAGCTAAAGGTTAGTCAGGAAGACAGATAAAGATAGTTATTACCTAATGGCTCTAAAGTTTCAAGTGTTTTATCACCTCTGAGTGTTAGCTTTTTAAGCATGGTAAAGCCACTGTGATCACCACTGTGTCTGACTGTGCATTCCAGAAAGCGCTCTGAGTTCTAGGTGGTAACCTGTTAGTGGGGGCTTTGGGTCTGGGTGACTTGAACAGTTTCTCTGCAGTATTTCCATGCACAGAGAGCTCCGCAGCTCTCCCCTACCCTCAGTGAAGACTCAACAAAGCTGTTCTATGGGGCTGCAGCTGAAAAAGCCACAGCCACCTGAGGTCCTGGGGAGAGCTGAGCTGGGCAACAGCAGTGGGTTGCCAGTGGGCAAGAATGATCTCCTCTCTGGCACTTCATTGCTGTGCCCTGCAGAGCAGGAAACACAGGGTGGATTTACCAGGGAGTTCAGCGAGCCCTGGTGGTTTAAGAGATCAAACAAGAATGAGGTCAAGGATGGAGCTCAGTGTGGGAGTGGGAGGAGGAGTGGCCACCCCCTGAGGCTACACATTATTAGACAGGAACCAGTCCACCCGCAGAGAGAGCACACAAGCTGTGCCCATAGGCTGATTGATTTGATGAGGGAGTTGAGTACGTTCTGTGATTTTTGCTCAAAATGGGCAACAGAGCCAATTAAACTTCACCTTCCCAGGGAAGAAACTGGGAACCCCAGCTTTTGGTTTTATTTTAGGAAGCTGATCTTTCTGGAAAAGATAAAAAATTCTAGTGGCACTTGGCAGTATGCCACAAAGAGGCTGCTTCTTCCTGACCTTCAGGTGGAAAACCCAAATTCTTGTCCAAGTAAGGAGTTTTCATGCTCAATCCATGGACCTTAAAGAAATAGCTGTCAGACCTGTGCAAATTGGCTGGGGCCCCCTCCCCATTTCTCCTGGAAGCCTTGACTCCATTCTCATTGCCCTGCAGCAGACCATTTGTAACTGTCCAGTACCTTTCCAGGCCTGATGGGGAGTTCTGCTCAGGGGCCTCATTTGCATAGACGAATGCAGACTGGCATCTGTCAGCTTAGCACCTCAAGCCAATGATCTGGAGTGGCGATGGGCAACCTTCTGGGCAAATATCCTGGATATTGGATTCAAAAATGACAGTGTCAAACTGGGGCTAGTTTGCATAGGCTTATTAGGTTAATTACTACAGTGTCTCCAAGAACTTAAAAATCCTTGAATTCTTACAACCAGAATGCTCAGTCTGTTGCTATGAAACTTGGAGTGTAAATTACCATGAATACCATTAATCTGTTCACTAGGAGATTAATTTGCAATTTGTTGGCAAATCACATGTGGGTCTTGTAGCAAGAGCGTGGGTGGTGTTTTCGTGCCAACGTGTGGCCCTGCCTGTGTTTCTGGATGTGTGTGTGTGTGCATGCACGTGCATGTGGCATTGGGATTGTCACTCTATGGGAACTCATGTCCTGGGTTTTCTCACTGCTCCCCGATCTTACCTGGCTCCCCTAGCATACCCTGGGTCCTTGGTCACATTCTCATAGTTGGAGGCTGCTATCAGAACACTTCTCGGCTCAGTGCCAGCCAGTTTAAGAGACATTAGCTCTTTCTGAAACAGGATTGCAAAGGTGTCCACTAATGCCTTAGAATCATCCGGCTTTTCAAAAAGATGCACTTTCCTGTTAATGGCTCTCAAGTTGTTTTTGCACGCAGGCAGGCTGCTCCTGGCAAAGGAATTCAGATCGCCTGAAGGAAACATGACAGGGAAGGTGCCATGACATAGGAGATGGTGACCAGGACCACATTAGGTAGCAGTGGAAGGAGAAAGACTGCTAAGCAGGGCTGAGGGGCTTCCATGGCTACCCTGTGTTGTTGTTAACAGAGGTGGCAGGATTGCTGATACAAATCTCACCCATCTGTTTTAGCCTAGTCTTCCACACAAGACTGGTACTTACAACGACTTGAAGAAAATCCTCTCCTAATTTAGGGGGCAGACTGTGGGATGTGACTGAAGGAGCACTGGAACCTCACTCACCCAGAAATAGCTCCCCAACTAGCATCCCAATGCTGGAAATCCCCTTCAGATAGAGGCATTGGAGATCCAGATATTTTGGGAAGGAAGACCTAGTGAGAGAGTAGAGCTCAAGGGAATGGGGACATAAAACATCATTTTGATGCTCAGGAGGATCCCCAAGAAATTCTCAGTGCTTTGGGGACACCCTGCAAAGCCTGGGGAATGAGGAGCGCATGGATCCATCACAATGAGAGGCTGTCCAAAGGAGAAGGGGCATGCTGAAAGTGGGAAAAGGCTCTGCAAATGGTCACGTCCACCTATTCTACAGGAGAGACTTAGAACAGGTGCAGGAGGAGTGCAGAGAATCTATGACGTTAGTTTGAAGAACTTGGGGTGCCAGACAGAAGCAGAATTAGGAGGTTTGCTGGGAGCCAGAGAGACCCCAACCAAAATGTGGCTGCTAGGGTGTCATCTTGAACCTTTCTCTTCCCCACACATCCCTCTCCCCTCCGGTTCATTCAAAGAGCACTTATCGAGTACCTATTCCTGTGCCAGGGATACAGTGAACAAGACATATGTCCCACTAAAAAAAAAAAGAAAAAAGACATATGTCCCACCCTGTCCTCAACAAACTCACATTCTAGTGGAAGGTAGCCTTTAAAATTAACTCTGCCTAAGGAGGCAGATGAGGTTCAGATAGGGTTTCGCAGATAAGGTGACTCTTGAGCTAAGTCCGGAAGGATAAGTAGGAGATTGCCAGGTAAACAAGGTAGCAGAGGGCATTCTGGGTAAAGAAACAGCAAGTGTGAAAGTATGGAAGTATGAAAGCCTGGTATGGTCCCCATGAGAAAGGCAAGACTACCTTCTCTCTAGAGTACGAAATGCCATCCTCTTAATAAAATGTCACCCAGAACCTCCATGATTGGCTCTAGAAGGAGTCTGTTTCAGTGGGAAAAAGCATCCATAATATTCCTGTTTCCCCATAATAGTGACTCATCATGGGAGTCCATTAATAATCCACAGTATCATTTAGATCCGGCTGAAACTTTCAGACAAAACCATATGTTAAAGGCTAAGGGATGACAAAAGGGAAATCAACATGGCATTTAATAATAATAAAAATAGCTAACATTTGTTAAGCACTTCCTCTGAGCCAGGCATGATTCTAAATATACATGTATGTGTACATATACTCATTTAACCCTCATAATAACCATAAAGTAGACATAGTGCTGTTATTGTTACTATGCCTGTTTTACAGATGAGGACCAGGAAGCCAGACTAGACAATTGGTCTTAGAAAGTGTAGTTCAGTTATCTTCTACTGCTGAGGTCCTCTGGGAACCTATTCCTCCCTCCCAACTCTGGGCCTGCCTCCACAAGCCAGAGACTGTCTATAACCTCAGCCACCTATAACTGCCCTCCAAAACACCAATACTCTGGGAGGAGCAGGCCAAGAGTGGGGTGCCCAGCTTTTCCTCTCACCATGTTAAAGAGGCGGTGGAAGGGAATGGAGGGGAGGGATTATGTACTCACTAGGGGAAGATCAAATGTATGCCGTAGAAATGTCCCATTTTCCTCTTTATTATTCTTTTAATAAAAACGGCAACACAACAGTACAAATACAATATTAAATGCCAGCTGACACTTGGCCCCATGATGAGGGTATGGAAAGAGTGGCGAGGACTGGGGTGACCTGGAGATCCCATCCCTCATCCATAAGGGGTACTGCTACTTAGCGTCAGCTAATTATTGTTGGGTGGGCCCTTCAGGTCCAGGGTTGCCAGGTAGGATTTTTCAAGAGAAGACAAACATCCAGATTCTTATATAAAATCTGAGGATTTTAAAGTGTTAACAATGAATTAAAGTGCTTTGAAAACACTGTGTAGGTCAAACAAAACACCCTTCCTTCCTAGCCGGGAGGCCTTTGGGCAAGTAACTTAACCTCTTGATCCTAAGTTTCCTAATATGTAAAATAGATATAATAGTAATGCCTACTTCAGGCTGGGCGCCGTGGCTCATGCCTGTAATCCCAGCACTTTGGGAGGCCAAGGCGGGCGACTCACCTGAGGTCAGGAGTTCAAGACCAGGCTGGCCAACATGGTGAAACCCCGTCTCTACTAAAAAATACAAAAATTAGCTGGGTGTGGTGGCGGGCACCTGTAATCTCAGCTACTCAGGAGGCTGAGGCAGGAGAATTGCTTGAAAGAATCGCGTGAATCTGGGAGGCGAAGGTTGCAGTGAGCCAAGACTGTGCCATTGCACTCCAGCCTGGGCGACAGAGTAAGACTCTGTCAAAAAAAAAAAAAAAAAAAAGCAATGCCTACTTCAGAGACTAATTATGAGGATTAAATGAGGTACTATAACTGAAATGCCTGTCACATAGTAAGTGATTAATACATGATAGCTATTAGGATGATTATTATTCCTAAAAGTTTATCTCTTACCTGAGGAGCACCTCTTTCTAGTTGATTGACAGCAAATATCTATCCTTCACCTCTAGTTAGACCCCATGGCTTCCTTAATCAGGGCAATTTAGCTCCACCCTTGCAGGCAGAAAATATTAAAGATACACTTACACAGCAATTGGCAAGCATGTGCATATGGGGAGAGAGATGTGTTTCTTTCTTTATACCCCTTCCCACAGCAACCTCAGTGATGTCTAATTTATTAAGCTAGTCCACAGCATGGGGGAAGGATTGCAAAGGCCTGCAGAATGGAAGAAACTGAGGCATGGAAGCTAGGGCCATAGTTCACATCCACTCTACCTTCAGTTCCTATTGGGGAGGCCAAAGGTTTTTAAAGAAAGCTCTTGGCCACTAAAGCCAATTCTCTTGTCTCCTATTTTTTTTTTTTTTTTTTTTTTTTTTGAGACGGAGTCTCGCTCTGTCGCCCAGGCCGGACTGCGGACTGCAGTGGCGCAATCTCGGCTCACTGCAAGCTCCGCTTCCCGGGTTCACGCCATTCTCCTGCCTCAGCCTCCCGAGTAGCTGGGACTACAGGCGCCCGCCACCGCGCCCGGCCTGTCTCCTATTTTTATATCTTCTTTTCAGGCAGTGGTGCTCACCCCTGGCTGCACCTTAGAATCACCTGGACAGCTTGTAAAAAATACTGACATAGGGGCCTGACCCTCAGAGGTTTTATGACTGCTTACACAATAGTAAGCAAAATATATATGTGTCTGTGTGCGTATGTACACTTTTCTGGGGACTCAGTTGGGGCCTCAAAGGGGCAGTGCAGAAGATGAATGACATAAGCGTGTGGGGTGCCATGGGAATGAGCTGTGCTTCTAGGCCAGCTTGGACATCACACAGTAGCTATCCATGCAAAAAAGCCTTCTCACCTCTCCAAGCCTCAGTTTCCTCACTCATTCCACAGGGATCAGGAATCACTCCTGCCTCATATCCTCTGGTGATTTTGAGGATGTGGTGAACTTACTACATAACATATAAGAAGTGTTTTCAAAAGCCCAGCCCCCCTCTCCACAGGGGAGGGCACATTATTACAAGGTTAAGGAGGGTGTGGGTGGGGAGGCAACAGAGGCAGCAGGGAGCAGCACTACACATTGAGAAAAGGCCATGCACGTTAACAAAGCAGCTCACAAATGAGAGCAAATTAATACCGGGCCCAGCGAGAACAGAACATTCGCACCACAGGGGCAAAGCACCCATTGGAGCAGCTAGGCCTTGGCAGGGAGAAGGATGTGGAATTGCAGAGGGAGGAAAGAGAGGGGCCAAGTGAGGGGGATTTTCAGTGCTAGGGAGGCTTGCTCCGGCTACGAGCAGAAAGGAAGAGGTTAGCTATGAAGGAGGGAAAAAGAATAGCAGCAAGTACCCCAGGTGGGCCTGGGGGTCAGTCAGGAACACCTGACAGCCCTTGGATGAGGAAACCAGTTGTTGCAGGGGTAATAGCAAGAAGGAATATCCCTGCAACTTCAACATATTTGGCCTCATCCCCTGGCAACTGGATCCAGGACACAGGGCTGAGGGTCACCAGGGCAGCTGCACTAACTACGGAGCCAGTCCCCTCCCGATCCTCCACCCCTGCTGCCTACTTTGCCTTCATTCTGTGAAACAACCAGGGTCCATCTGACTCAGAGGCAGGAAGTCGGGCACCAATTCAAAAAAGCCCTTAAAAAAAACCAAAACAATGACAACAACAACGAAAGGATCCCCACCAAAAAAAAGCCCTTGACAAATCTTCATAGAGAAATGGCCTGGGAATGGAGAGGGGCATTGAACTAGAATGGAATCCTGGACTAGAGTGATATTTAAAATCTTGTATTGCCTATATGGCAGGTGCACTGACGAAGCAGTGTTCTGGAAGGCCCCTATGGGGCCAGGCATTAACCCCTAAGCTGCCGGATCTGAAGCAGTGTTGGGGGTGTGCCAGGACAATTAGGGACACTCAGAGGGGTTTGAAGCAGCAGTTGTTTACCCATCACTAAGTAAGGAATGTAAGATTTGAACAAGTGGGATGGTGGTATAGGTGCTCATGGAGGGAATGTCAGCCCTCATCCTAGGGCAGATATAATTAGTCATGGGGGGAATGGGGGGGTTTCACAGGCACATAGCTACCACTGGGAGGCTGAGGGGTACAAGAAAGAGTGGAGGCAATGAACGAATTCTCCCTTTGCTCTCATAGCAAAGGGTGGGTCAGACACTGGCTGCACTGTTGAATAGCAGCACCAAGCCCATGTCCATAGTGCCAGCCCTGCCTCTCTGTTTAACCCCCATGCCTACACAGTGCCATGGCCAGAGTCCTGGAATCAGGGCCCACTCTTGGAGGAACATCACTCCCTTTCCATGCCACACAGCTTAGAATGTGAGCTTATTAAAACAACAAGGAACCCTGGAAATTAGCTAAGTCAGTGATCTCTTGATATATGGGGGAAACTGAGGCCTAGGAAGGGAAGGTGTGGGGTCATACCTCTAATTAGTGTAAGAGCTGGGATGAGCAGCAAGATGTCCCTGTTCCCAGCCTGGTGTATTTTCTATCGCCTTCTTTGCTATTATCTATCCCAAGTCTTCGTTATATTTGAGGGAAAATACCAGAATATCCTCAGGGCCAGCCTTACACATAGATAAACATGATGTGATCAAATGTCTCCTCAGTTGCCTGTCATTGTGCCTGAAATTTCACCATCAGTGATTCATTCATTTGGATCTTGAAGCTTTCTGGTCTTTCATGGGGGCACAGATCCCCTGACAACCACTGGGAGAAAGGCTTCGCAAATTAGACACAGGTTATACAGTTGGGGAGAGCAGTGGCAGCTGGTCCAGTGAAGAAGTTGCAAGCTGGGGTAGGCATGGGAACTTAGGGCAAAAGTGAATCCAGGGTTCAGGCCACCCTGATGGGCAAGGAAGGAGTATTTGATACGCCCACATCCAAAACTTCCATCAAACCCTAGCTTGAGCACTCAGAAAGCATTTCCCCAGGAGACCGCACAGTGACCTGGGAGGCCTGAATCACTGCTGTGTGGCCCATGCTGGGAAGAAGGGCAGGAGAGTGAAGGATAACATCAGCCTGTCTGGAGTGGCCGCAGTGGCACTTTATTAAGAGGAACAGCCTGGATGAGATGGATGTGACAAGGGAATCTATGAAGACATTGAGAGGAGCCTCAGCCGCAAGAGGAACAGGCTCTGAGACTGCCAAGGGAGGCTGGGTGTGGAGTCTGTCTGTTCCACACTTCCCCCAGGGACTTGCTGACTGCAGGTGCCTTGGCTCAAGGCCGGGTGCTTTCTGTTGCTCCCTCTGACTTCCATTCTGGTTCTGCTCCAGAGCTGTGCAGTGCAACTCCAGGCTTGCCTGTGGTTCCCAGGTTCCTTTTCTGCTCTGCCATCAGTTCTAGCGTTTTTATATCCAAGGGGCTTCAGGATTACAAACTAGTGGGAAGGAGAGGGGAAGGGAGGAGGCTAGTGGATTTGTCTGGAAACTGGTTTTGTCTGGCAAGACCCTATATTTCCTTACAGTGTGAATTTACTTGGGGTAGGAGAGAGTAGAAAAGAGTGCTTCTGGAAATTTGGGAAATTGTCTTGAAGCTATGTTTGCATAGCAAGCATAGTACTGTAATTTAGATTGTACGTATACTTGGGGTGGCTTATAGGGGGTGAGAAGAGCAAGCTAAAGACCTTCCCAAAGTCTCCACTAGTTCTGTTGTATATCTCAGCCATCTGGGCAGAATACAGAACCCCCAGCTTCCAACAAAATAAAGCATCCAGCCCCATGGCCAACCTCTGCTGTCTGACATGAGCCCTGTGCTTTCTGAAATGGGTGTCTTTGGAGGCCTCAAGTGGTTTCTACCCAGACACCTGCAGTCCTTGAGTTGGGTGGGCTCAAGTGGGAAGAGGAGATTGCCATTGCCAATAATCAGAAAACCAGAGCCAAGTCTGCCCTGCTGGTTCCATTCACGTCCCCAAAACAATCTCCGAGGTTTAAGGCCAAGTCATCACTAACTCGTGTGTCATGGGCACTGCTGAGGGAGAACGGTATTTCACAGAGCAGAGACTCCCACCCAGGTGCAGGCTGAGTGATTCAAGGAAGATGGAATTTAGTGCAATCAATTTGGGACAGTCAGCCAGGATTTCTTTTAAGCTTTACTTTCCAGCAGCCCCCTCCCACCTTGGAGACAGACTAATCCCTGACATTTGTCTAGTGGCTTTATACTTTTCAAAGCTCCTTCACATCTATTATCTCCATCGAACCACACAAATACTCCCATGAAGTAGGATAAGAAGGTGTTATTATCCCTGTTTGACCAACAAGAAAACTGAAGTCCCCAAAGGATACATGACTCATCCAGGGTCACACAGTTATGTAGTCAAAGAACTAGTGATTCAAATGTGTTTCCTAACTTCCAGCCCTGTAATTTTTCCACCTCCATGCAGACTCCCCTCCATGGAACCACAAAGGTGCCCTGCTTCTAGCACAGTGCCTAGCGTAAAGTAGATGCTAGTAAATATTTGCTAAATGACCAGGAGGCAGAGGTTGCAGTGAGCTGAGATCGTGCCACTACACTCTAGCCTGGACAATAGAGACAGACCTTGTCTCAAAATAAATAAATACCTAAATAAATATTTGCTAAATGAATGACTGCATGAATAAGCTGGGGCAAAGCTGAAAGAAATACGAGTTCTAAAAGTGCTCTTTTTAAAATTATCAAACTAAGAAGGGGCAGGAAATGTTGTGTTATTTCATCATTTTGACCAGAAGGAAGGCATAAGATATCTTTCTCATTTCACAAATGCCATTGCCAAGGCATGAAGATTGGGGTAGCTCCCATACAGAGGCCATGGAGCTTAATGTCCCAACAAAGCTGCCTTCCACTCATCCTTTAAAAAGGAATGGGTGGTGTGAGTCCTTACTCCAGTAGCAGGAAGGAGTCAGAATCAGCCCCATGGGACGAGGATTCTCTCCACGTTGTCTCTGCAAGCCCTGTCTCTCCCCATGTCCCCTAACAGTGGCTCCAGAAGTTCTGCCATGGAAGGGGTGTCTGAGAACACTGGTTGCCTGCTCCTTTAGGACTGCTGCACCGTCACCCCCTAGACACTTCTAGCATAACCCAGACCTCGAAGACTCAGTGACTGTCTCCTGGAATGCCACCTGGACTGAGACTTCTTCCTTTTCTTTTTTCTGTCTCCCATAGCGTCTGGCACATAGTAGGTCCATAATAAATATGGGATTAATGAATTGTCTGAGGTAAAGAGGGATGGCCACTCCCTGGCTCTAGGCACTGCAGTCAGGATCCTGCCTGCCAGGGCCCCATCTCCACAGGCAAACTGACTTAGAGTTGCCGTTTGTTCCCAATCCAGTCAGAAAAAAATGGGGAAAGTGGAGGTAGGGACACAGGTATTCAAATGCTGCTTTGCAATAGCACAAGGTAGCTTTTGAGACAGGTAGCCCGGAATTTGAGATCCTTTGGGGTTTAAATCAGTCCCACCACATATTATTAGTGCTTGTACTGGGGGCTCTTTGCTTTGCTCCTCTGAGCCTCAATTTTATTTTCCGTACAATGGAGAGGATGCTGGAATGAGAAAATAATGGATGTAAAGCACAGTGCCTGGCACTTAGTAAGTAAGCAAGTGGCAGCTGGATTGTCTGCATATCTATGTCCTCCCAGCCTATCCCTTCCCAGGTCCCCCGAGTGGGCTGGTCCCCGGTGGCGAGGGGAGGGGTCCTCCTGGGGGCGCCGACTGTCCCGGGCGGCGGCCGGATTGCGGGTGGGTGAGAGGCAGCAGACGCCGTGTTTACAGCTCTCTCGCTAGTTCGCCACCTCAGCCGCGGCTCTAGGGCTGAGCCAGTCGCCTCCTTCTTTAAGATTCTGGTCACAGCAGGGGCTGGGTTTCTAAGGCAGGTTTCTAAGGTGTCTTCCTACAGACACCGCTGCTGCTACCTTGCTACCTTCAGCGCTGGGCACAGCCAGGGGCAGCGCGAGAGGGAGGCAACGAGAGGGTTCCCGGGCCGGGCAGCAGCCCAGCCCCGGCCCGGAGGGGGGCCCGACGGTAAGTACTGCGCTCTGAGCAGCCGGGTTGGGGGGCACCTGACCATTGAGGCAGGGGTCTGTGGGGTTAGGGGGTCGGCAGTCGAGCGCTAGGGTCCTTACCGGCCCCTCAAAGTGACTTGAGGGCGGCGCTGGCATGGGCCCCCCTCCACCTGGTCTTTGGAGTGAGTTGGCGCGTCGGAAGCAGACATCCATCTCCGTCCCTCACCCCGAGATCCCAAGGATTCGTTTGGGTTGCCTGGCAGCCCTCCGGTCCTTTCGAGGCCACGAAAGAGGAAATTGGAAGGCAAGATACGCGGGGATGAAGTTTTGGACGCTGTTGGAAAAGTGGCGGCGCGAGCGGGAAGTTTTCCGCTGCGGGGTGCGGGGGATCGGGGAGATAAGGGGCGAGGGGAATCAGAAGCTGGGAGGGAAACCACCCGAGTGGAGCAGGGGCGGAGGCGGCCCCTCTGAGTGCTAGGACCCCACTCTCCCCGCCGTTACGCTTCGGAAGTGTCCGGGACTTCTAGCTGCCTCTCCCACCCCTGCCCCTCAGCGCCTCTGCTTCCATGGGGCCGGGATACCCTAGCTGGCCTGCCCTCCGGTAGGGCGGGTTGGAGCCTCAGCGTTCGCGAAGCTCCGCGGGGTGGAGAAGCAAGACCACCCTTCGAGGTGGTGCACCAATCACAGAAATGTTAGCAATCGGGAATATGCAGGAGCATACCTATCACTTTCCTTTCTTAAGCTCTGTAAAACTCAGGGGAGAGGGGCCTGAGATCCTAAAGGCGAGTTTATCCTAACTCAGTCCCTTCTCAGAGAACACCCAGATCTTCCTTCTGTTCCTCCATCCCCAGTCACTCATTTTACTTAGAGTACTGATGATCCTAGTAGCTACTATTATAACTATGTGCCCGACATTGTGCTAAGCTCTTTACCTAGTCCATGTACAGTAAGAGCAGTAGCTGGCATTCACTCAGTGCTTTCTGTGTGCCAGGCACAGTTCTAAGTGCTTAATATGCATTGCCTTGTTTAATCTTCACAACATCCTTATAGGGTAGATACTATCCCCATTTTACGGATGAGGAAATTGAAGCACAGAGAGGTCCACAAGCCCAAGGTCCCACAGCCAGTGAGATGCAGACCTGGGATCTCAAAACAGTTTTACTTCAGCCCTCTCACTGTTAACTACTAGAAATATGATGAGAATTTGGCTTTAATGAAATAGTAAAATCGAGTTTGCTGTCCCTACAGCAAAGTGTATTTATTCTGTAGATCTAAAGTCATGGCCCAGGTGCAAAGAGTTTTGAATCAATTTTCAAATCATCCCCATTATTTCTCCTGTAGAGAAAGGCAAACCGAGTGCGCTATAACAAGACAGCAGAATGTATTAGTAGGTGCCTAGTAATAATGATAACAGTAATTGCTAATAGCAGTTACTGATTGAGCACTTACTTTGCACCAGCACTTCATGTATATTTAATCTTCACATAGGTGCTTTGAAGTAGGCACCCCATGAACCCCATTTTGTAGATGAAGGAACTGAGGCTCAAGAGGTTAACCAATTTGCCACAGATTTGGGATTCCAGCCCAGATCACTAACTCCAGAGCTCAAGTTGGAACTACCCTTTAGAAGATCTGTGCATGAGACAGAGATTTGTCTTCCCTACAGTCCCCTCCTCCCCCAAGCCAGTTGCCCAGAGCTCTACACTATGCTCTCCATTCCCCAGCCCCTCTTTGCACTAAGGAAGTGATTGTACAGGTTGGCGGAGAGAGGGCTTCCTAGAGAAGATGGAGTGTTCTGCATGGATTTGGGTTTTGTTGTTGTACTAAGTGCCATGCCTGTAACATCAATAAGTTGTTCTGCTTTATAATTTTTATTAATTAGACAAGTGTCTGGTCTGCTGGCTTGGAGTTGTTAATACGATATTATGGCTCTATCTGAGTACCTTTATTAGGAATTATTTTCTGAAAAGTTTTTAGAGCCTTACTTGCAATACTGGGCAAAGCCATCTTCCTACCTCCTGGGGAGGGAGGGGGGACTTGTTTCTTGGATATAAGTAATAGTATTGCTGTGCTCATTGATATTCGCCCCGCTCCCCCCAGCTTGGCCTCTGTGAGCTGAAACCTGAAACCTGAATGTGGCCAGGTCCCTTGCTGATGTTCCTGTGTCACATCTGGCCCTGCAGCTGGGTTATTTATAGCTCCTCACTGTTGGCCCTGGCCCATTCATAGAGCTGGCTCCGCAAAGACCCTCTTCAATGTGGGCATAATGGGGTATGTGAGCTTTATAGCTTTGGTCTCTATTACTCTGGCTGGATCTCAATGCATCTGCTGGTGGTCCACCCTTCCTGCCTCCTCTCATGAGAGGGAGACCTTCCATGTGTAGCTTTGGGGTGGTGCGTTAGATATGTGGCTGGCAAGTCCAGTGCTGGGCTGTGCCCCGGTTGTCTCTGTGGCCTCTTCAGAGTGCACTGTACCATTTCATAAGGTGACATGAAAGGAGTCAGTGGGTAGCATTACTCCTTGAATTAAACATTCCCTTCAGTTTTGCCTGAATTTTTTCTATGATTTCTTTTTATGATTGTAGTGACTTAAACACCTAGAGGTTTCCCTCTTTACTGAATCTTCTTAACTTTTCATTTGCTGTCAGGTTTGACATTCCTTTCCTGGAATGTCCTTCTCACCTTTGGTGAGAGGAGGGAGTGGTGGTCTTCTGCTGGGAGTCACAGCACAGTTGGGGCATAGTCTCTTCTGTGCTTACATAGCATCCTCTGCTGCCCTCTGTGGTACCAGGTAACACATGGTTTTATATTAGTCTGTTTACATACCTGCCTCCACCTTAGACTGCAATCTCCCTAAGGGAACAGACTGGGCCTTAATTTATCTCCATATCTCAGCACTATGCTGGGCACATAGTAGGTGCTCAGTAAACTTTTATTACATATATTAATGAATGAATGAATGAATGCTATCTAAAAGCTGGTGGAGGAAGCCCTGATTCACAGTAAGGGACTCTGCTATTATTACCCTTATAAGAAGGGAGACATCAGAGCAGAGCTTGCATTCTTCCATAACAGAGAGCCCCAGCTCTGTGGATTTTAATTATTGAAAGAAAAAAATAAAACAAAAAACAAAACAAAAATTGTAATCCCCAAACCTGAATACTTAGGGAATGGATTTTCTGATTAATAGATTGTTTCTGAGTAACTGAAGGTTGGGCCAAAAAAAAAATCGTTTTTCCTACTCTTTTTGATTCTTCCTAAAATGCCTGGGTCTGCTTTTCTACCTTAGTGAGTCAAGTCTGGGGTCCATCATCAAATCAGTGTTGCCAGATAGAGAGCTTGTGGGTTCTCAGGATTCCTTAGGATTCTGTTTCTCCCAAGCCTGGTTGTATAGTAGGATGCAATCTTCTTCCCCACCCACTCCCTGCCTGTCCCTGATGCATCCAAAGACGAGCCCACAGGTGCTCTGAGGTTTGTAATTTCTCTGTCACTCACCTTCAGGAAACAGACAGGGTTTTCCCAGCTACCAACGTGGGGGAGGTACAGAGTGTTTTGGTGCTAACTCATGCCCTCTGTGCTAATGGTTCAGCATAGCACGTGCTCTTGCCCTTGGTTTTTATTCTTAGGTGGAGGGTTCACCAACTTCATTCCCCTTTTCTGACCACTGTTTAAGAAAGACCTTATAATTCTTCCCTCCCTCTCAGCAGGAAGATGCAATTAGGCAGAATAAAAGGTGTCTCATTGTCCTGAGGCTGCTGTTGGTGTTTCTGGCTGCCTCCAGACAAGGTGACATGAGTTTACCAGGCCTCTGTTCATGTACCTTCCTTTGATCACTGGCTTTTTGGCCTAATTTTTGCCCTGTCCCTGGACTGTGCTCCTGATTGGACAATTCAGAGATGGTGCACTGGAAGGAGTCAGGGGTTGCTCCCTCACAGGAAGTCAGCTTGGCAACTGCTGGGCGTAAGTCCTTGGCTTCAGATACAACCTGCATCATCTCAGGCAAGAGGGAGGAGCAGGTAGACATCTAGGCAAAGCGTTGAGATAGATGTGCCTTTCTCTGTCCAGCTCAGGCTAGACTGGCCTGCCCCTCTCTTCACAAGTTCCCCAAAGGGGCATGGGAGTTGAGGATGGAGGATAGAACCTAGAGTCCCAACGGAGCCAGACATGAGAGAGGGAGTGAGAGAAAGGCCTACTCATTGTCTATGCCGGGTCAGCTATGCTTCTTGCTTCCCAACTCATCTTTCCCCAGCAACCCCCTCATCTACTCAGGCTATTGTGTTCATGCCTCGTGCCACATATGCCTGTTCCCTTCTGTCTCTGGGCCTGTTCTCAGTGCCCTCCGTCTCCACTTGCTCAAATCTGGCCCTTCCTGCCATACCCAGCTGCAGTCATCTTCTAGAAAGCTTCCCCCTGCTGCTTCTGGAAATCAGCAGAGGGTGGGCAAGGGGGAAGTCAGTAACCTCCAAGCTCCCTGCCAACTCTGAGATTCTCCAGGAGTTTGATGAGCATCAGGGGTTGGGGGCATGGAAGGCTGGTGGCCCAGGCCATCGATGCCTTAGTAGCCTCACAGGAAGGAAGCAGATGGCACAGCCAGCCAGCTGAGTAGGCCCACATTTGGCTTCAGGAGGCTTTGCCCAGAGCCCTGTGCAGCAGGCACCTGCCAAACAGCCCCCAGAGGGGTGCTATTTGAGCCCTGGGTCTTTGGCTGCTGGAGGCAGCTACTTGTTGGGAAGTTCCCAGAAGCTCCTGCCCACACCTGCTCCCCCTGTCTGCCCTCCAAGGTTTGTTTACAGTTCGGCCTTTGACAGGCTGAAGTCTGAGATCTAAGAGGAGAGAGAGATCTGGGTGGCCGGGGACCCTCTTCTGGCTTAGCATTCTGTGCCAGGGCTCTGCAGCCCAGCTTGGCCTCGGAGAGATGTGTTCACTGAGGGGAAGAATTCAGGCCTGCTGATCTTTTCCCTGCCAACTCCACTTTTCCCATCATGACCATTCCCTCCACCTTCTGGAATTCTCTCCACTTCCTACTTTCTTTTTTTTTTGATCTCCTCTTTCACACACACACACACGCGCACACACACACACACTCACACTCACACTACAGCCTCCGGTGAGTGGGAAATTGGCCTAAGTCAGGAAGGTGTCCTGGGTCTCTTCCTCATGCCGTTTCTGATTTGCCCCTTGCCTGCTGCATCCCCATCTGTGAGATGGGGAGGGTGCAGTTAGGCTCTCAGTATGGCAAAATAGCAGTCCCCTCCCCTAGAGCTTCATCACCCAAGGTCCTCTACCAGAAGACTGTCATTACCATGTGGCCCTTTAGCAGTGGTGGGAGCCCTGAGGGCAGAGCTGGTGGGGGGCAGCTCAAGAGCATTTTTAAAAGAGCAGGTGAAGAACTGGGGAGCACCTCCAAAAAGCCACGACAATCAGAAGTGGCTGCATAGCTTCTGCAGTGCTTGCCTTCCCCAAGCCTAAACTTTCCTCTTCACCGTCTGCAAGGCCCTCCTCTTGTCTCATTTCTCCTCTTTGTCTTGTTTTCATGGCCTCTCTTTTCCTCTCCTCCTTTGCTCTGCCTGGTCCCCTTTCCTGCTCAGCTGTCTTCCCCTCTTGACTGTGTCTTTCCCTTCATTCCTCATCTCTCCCGTTCTGGCTCAGTCAATCCCTATATATCTCTGCCTCTTTCAGAATTAGTTGGTGTGGTACATGGAGGGTGGGGGCTGGGGTGCCCAGGGCTCCTTGGTGTGACATGACAACTCCTTCAAGCTCCTATGAATATTTCATTGCTCCAGTTCCCCCTTGCTGCCTCTGCCAGTGACAGGTGAGTGGAGGCTAAAACGCAAGGATCTCCCCACTAATTCTTCCACAGCTCAGTGGCAGCAGCTTCAGACCTTGTGACACACAGTGCCATATGGCAGCAGCCTCACATCTGGCACAGCCCTCACATCTGTCACCTGGCTGGCAGCCCCAACAGGCAGGGTTTAGGAGCATGTCTGGACCTATTAGACAACATGTCTGAATTTATTGACTATAGCTTCAGGAGGGAGGAGGGGACAGGGGAGGGGACAGCTGTATAGAGGGTCCTCTGCAGTTCCCTCTTTGAAGCATTATGGGGTTGGTCTTTTGCAAGGTGACTCCAGGTTTCCAGGTATTTGTGAAAGGAAAGATGACCTTGGTCTCTCCCCCTGCTCCCTCCTGACCTGCTAGAATGGGTGACAGGTGTCTCCATTCCAGCCCACTGGGGAAAAGCAACTGTTTGGACAACCAGAAAAAGAATCCAGATACCACCATGTTTTCCAGACGATGCCTCTCCAAGCTCAGCTGAAGAGGAAGTTGCAGGGCCATGAAGACCTGCAAGGGAAATAGAGAGAAAGCCCTAGGAAAGTAACCAAATCATCTACCCAGAGACTCTCAGAGTGGGAAGGACTATTCAAAGTCACCCTGCCCATCCTCCTGCCCCTTGCCATTCTGAAAGGATAGTTGTCTACCCTTAAAAAATTCCTTCCCTGAGAAGGAATAGCTGTTGGATTTCCCACTGTCACTCCCCTAAAAAGGCTGGAACCATGCCGTCTCCCATTCCTTCTTAGCTTGTAGCCCTCCCTGTACTCTTTCTTTGACTGCATTCTCTCTCTGACTTTGTCTTTGCACAGAGATGTTGAGGGGTTTCTCCCATGGGCCAGACTTCCCATTCAGAAACCTGCCTTTCACAGGCTGAGACACAAACCGTAGGCATTTGATAATAAACTGCATGTAAAGGCCAGAGGATTCTAATCTGTATGCCTCAAATTCACTTCTATTCATTCATTGGTTGATTTAAAAAATACTAAGCACTTAATTGTGTGCCAGGTATCATATCAAGTGGAGGAGATATACTGTTGTACAAAAAAGACAGAGTTCCTACTTTTATGGGGTTTAAAGCCAAATAATCACACAAATGAATATATAACTACAAATCGTGATGAGTCTGCAGAATGAAATGAACAGGTTGCAATAGTAGAGAATAACCAAGGTGAAGTTTCCAGGGAAGTTCTCTGTGAGGAGGTGATATTTAAGTGGAGACCTAAAGGATAAATTCAGCCATATGAAGAATGGGAAAAGAGGTTTCCAGGAAAAAGGAAGACCAAGTGGAAATGCCTTAAGGTGGCAAAGACCTTGGTGTGTTGAGAAACTAAAAGGAGGCCAGGAGGGCCAGATTGTAGGCAAGAGGAAGAGTAGCATGGAGGGGTGGGGGAGTTGGCAGGTAGGGCAGAAAGAGATCACGCAGGGCCTTATGGGCCACACAAAAGGAGTTTGGATATTATTCGCTTGCAGTAGGAAATGTCTGAAGGGTTTTAAGCGGGGGAGTGACAGGATCTGATATGGACTTTTTGCAATATCTGTAGAGACCAGACTTGGAAAGGGACAGCAGTGGATACAGGGAGACCAGTAAGGAGGCTGCTGCAGCAACTCACAGGAGAGATGATGGTGGCTTGAACTGGGTGACAGCCATGGAGAGGGAGCGAGCTTGTCGGATCCCGGATGAGCTTTCTTTTTTCCTTTTCCTTTTCCTTTTTTTTTTTTTTTTGACAGAATCTTGCTCTGTCACCCAGGCTGGAGTGCAGTGGTGCGATCTCGGCTCACTGCAACCTCTGCCTCCTGAGTTCAAGTGATTCTCCTGCCTCAGCCTCCCGAGTAGCTGGGATTACAGGTGCGTGCCACCACGCTCAGCTAATTTTTGTATTTTTAGTAGAGACAGGGTTTCACCATGTTGGCCAGTCTGGTCTCGAACTTCTGACCTCAGGTGATCTGCCCACCTCAGCCTCCCAAAGTGCTGGGATTACAGGTGTGAGCCACTGTGCCCGGTCTTGGATGGGTTTTTAGGTGACAGCTGACAATACTTATACAATACTGAGGGACTAGGTGGGGAGGTAAGGGAAAGGGAGAGACAGGCCTCAAGAATGACTCTCAGGTTTCTGGCTTAAGTAATTAAAGAGATGATGGTGCCATATGCTGAGATGAGGAAGGCTGAGGGAAGCCTAGGCTTGAGAGGGAAAATAAATCAAGAGTTCAGTTTTGGACATGATAAGTTTGAGATTCCTGTGAGGCATAAAATTAAACATGTCAGAGTATATGAGTTTTGGAGCTCACAGAGGAGGTGTGGTTAGAATGCAAATTTGGGAGTTGTCTGAATATAGATTGTATTTAAAACCAGGGGACTGGATGAGATCACCTTAGGAAAAAGAATAGAGAGAGACTAGAAGGCCTGGAACTGAGTTCCAAGGAACCCCAATATCTAGTGATTAAGTCGGGAAGGAGAAACCCACGAAGGAGACTAAGAAAAAGTGGCCAGAGAGGTTGGAGGACAGTCTGGAGGTAGTCCTAGAAGCCAGGAGAGGAGAATGTTTCGGCAAGGATGAAGTGGCTAACTGTCTACAGCTATTGAGAAGTTGAGTAGGTAAGGACCGAGAGATGACCATGGAGGCCAATGCGGACCTTAACAAGAGCAACTCTGCAGAGTGATAGATGTGGAAGCCAGGGGATAGTGGATTGGGGAGCAAATAAGAGATGAAGAAGTCTTGTGTCCTTAATGCAATGTCCTTAAAAGAAAAAAAAGAGATGAAGTGGAGACATATGTGTAGAAAACGTTTTTGAGGAATTTTGTTGCCCAAGGGACCAGGAAAATGGGGCAGACACTGCAAGGGAATTGTGGAGTAGAGGGAGGTGTATTTTGTTTGTTTTCTTAAGGATGGATTATTTCCATCAGCATGCTAGCATGATTCTGGAGCGGTGGAGAGATTGGTAATTTAGGAAAGAGAATGAATGCCCAAAGGAGTAAAATCCTTGAGAAGATAAGAGGGGATGGTACCAGAACATAAGTAAGGAGATTCGCCATGATAGAAGAAAAGAAACATCCTCCATTTTTTTAAATTATACTTTAAGTTTTAGGGTACATGTGCACAACGTGCAGGTTAGTTACATATGTATACATGTGCCATGTTGGTGTGCTGCACCCATTAACTCATCATTTAACGTTAGGTATATCTCCTAATGCTATCCCTCCCCCCTCCCCCCACCCCACAACAGGCCCTGGTGTGTGATGTTCCCCTTCCTGTGTCCATGTGTTCTCATTGTTCAATTCCCACCTATGAGTGAGAACATGTGGTGTTTGGTTTTTTGTCCTTGCGATAGTTTGCTGACAATGATGGTTTCCAGCTTCATCCATGTCCCTACAAAGGACATGAACTCTTCATTTTTTATGGCTGCATAGTATTCCATGGTGTATATGTGCCACATTTTCTTAATCCAGTCTATCATTATTGGACATTTGGGTTGGTTCCAAGTCTTTGCTATTGTGAATAGTGCCGCAATAAACATACGTGTGCATGTGTCTTTATAGCAGCATGTTTTATAATCCTTTGGGTATATACCCAGTAATGGGATGGATGGGTCAAATGGTATTTCTAGTTCTAGATCCCTGAGGAATCGCCACACTGACTTCCACAATGGTTGAAAGAGTTTACAGTCCCACCAACAGTGTAAAAGTGTTCCTATTTCTCCACATCCCCTCCAGCACCTGTTGTTTCCTGACTTTTTAATGATCGCCATTCGAACTGGTGTGAGATGGTATCTCACTGTGGTTTTGATTTGCATTTCTCTGATGGCCAGTGATGATGAGCATTTTTTCATGTGTTTTTTGGCTGCATAAATGTCTTCTTTTGAGAAGCGTCTGTTCATATCCTTCGCCCACTTGTTGATGGGGTTGTTTTTTTTTTTCTTGTAAATTTGTTTGAGTTCTTTGTAGATTCTGGATATTAGCCCTTTGTCAGATGAGTAGATTGCAAAAATTTTCTCCCATTCTGTAGGTTACCTGTTCACTCTGATGGTAGTTTCTTTTGCTGTGCAGAAGCTCTTTAGCTTAATTAGATCCCATTTGTCAATTTTGGCTTTTGTTGCCATTGCTTTTGGTGTTTTAGACATGAAGTTTTTGTCTATGCCTATGTCCTGAATGGTATTGCCTAGGTTTTCTTCTAGGGTTTTTATGGTTTTAGGTCCAACATTTAAGTCTTTAATCCATCTTGAATTAATTTTTGTATAAGGTGTAAGGAAGGGATCCAGTTTCAGCTTTCTACCTATGGCTAGCCAGTTTTCCCAGCACCATTTATTAAATAGGGAATCCTTTCCCCATTTCTTGTTTTTATCAGATAGTTGTAGATATGCGGCATTATTTCTGAGGGCTCTGTTCTGTTCCATTGATCTATATCTCTGTTTTGGTACCAGTACCTCCATTTTAATAGGGAAAAAATAAAACATGGGTACAGATGTAGACAGGGTAGTGTATAGATTTGGTGGCGGTAAGATGAAGGAGCTCTCATCTGATAGCTTCTGTTTTTTTCAGTAATCTATGGGATGAGGTCGTCAGCTGAGATTTCTTGGGGAAAATGGGAAAGTGAGGAAGATGGAGGAGAGAGGGCGAGTGATGAAATAGTCATTTTAGAGACAGAGAAAGTGTTGACCATGGCCGGGCGTGGTGGCTCACGCCTGTAATCCCGGCACTTTGGGAGGCCAAGGAGGGCGGATCACCTGAGGTCAGGAGTTTGAGAGCAGCCTGGCCAACATGGCAAAACCTTGTCTCTACTAAAAAGTACAAAAAATGGCCAGGTGTGGTGGCAGGTGCCTGTAATCCCAGCTACACAGGAGGCTTAGGCAGGAGAATTGCTTGAACCTGGGAGGTGGAGGTTGCAGTGAGCCGAGATGGTGCCATTGCACTCCAGCCTGGGCATCAACAGCGAAACTCTGGGAAAAAAAAAAAAAGAAAGAAAGAAAAGAAAAGAAAAGAAGGAAAGGAAGGAAAGAAAGAAGGAAGGAAGGAAGGGAGGGAGGGAGGGAGGGAGGGAGGGAGGGAGATAAATGGCCAGACAGAATTGAGAGCATATACCCATGGATTTTAAAGTGAAATCCAGCTACCCAGTTGTGTGATTTTTCTCCAGCACCCTTCAGCTACTCCAATGCAGGCATGGAGAATTGAGTTCATCGAGGGATGAGATATAGCAGGGGGAGAGGAAGTAAGGAAGTTGAAGGTGTTTGGAAGGGAATGATCATAATGATAGACCAGGAACTCTAAGCTGGACATGAAGAGAAGTGAAAATAAAAAGGAACTTGAAGGAGAGTAAGAATGGTAATAAGTAGGAGAAAGTGCTGGCAGATGGGCATCTATGAAAAGGTGACATTTAAGCTGAGACCTAAAGGATGAAGAGCCAGCTCTGTGAAAAATGAGGGAAGAGATTTCTAGTAAAAGGGAATATCAAGTGGGAAGTGAATAGGTGATCATGACGCGTTCAGATGCTTCCTGCAGTGGGAGCCCTTGTGGAGGTAAACTGGAAGAATGGATGGTGTCGTAGAGAGTGGGATATTGGGCATTGAGATTTGGGGGTAGTGCAATATCTGATAACCCAAAGTCTAGGTAGGTGATGATGGAGTGAGTGAAGCGGAAGAAGCAATTGTTAGAGGTCTCCTCGTCACCCTGTGAATGTTGAATTCACCAATAATGATATCAAGAGTTGGAGTGGACATACCCATTAGGAAGGCTATTATAAAAAAAAATGAAAAACACAGAAAATAATAAGTATTGGAATGTTGGCAAACTGTGGAGAAATTGGAATCTTTGTGTATTGCTGGTGGGAACATAAATGGTACAGCTGCTGTGGAAAACAGTATGATGATTCCTCAAAAAGTAAAACATAGAATTACCTTACGATTCAGCAGTTCCACTTCTAGGTATGTACCTGAAAGAATACAGGGGCTGCAACAGATATTTGTACACCCGTGTTCATAGCTACATTGTTCACAACAACCAAAAGGTAGAAACAACCCAAATATGCATCAACAGATTAATAAAATGTGATACATACATACAATGGACTATTAGTCTTAAAAGGAAGGAAATTCTGACACATGCAGCAATATGGATGAACCTTGAAGACATTATGCTAAGCAAAATATGCTAGTCACAAAAAGACAGATATCGTATGATTCCTCTTATATGAGATACCTACAGTAATCAAATTCATAGAAACAGAAAGTAGAATTGTGGCTTCCATGGGTTGGGAAGGGAGGGGTAATGAGGGATTACTATTTAATGGGTACAGAGTTTCAGTTTGGGAAGGTGAAAAAGTTGTGGAGATGGATGATGGTGATGGTTGCATAATAATGTGAGTGTACTTAATGCTGTAAAACTGTACTTCTAAAAATGGTAGGCTGGGCATGGTGGTTCACACCTGTAATCCTGACATTTTGAGAGGCTGAGGTGGGTGGATTGCTTGAGCCCAAGAGTTCAAGACCAGCCTAGGCAATATGGCAAAACCCCATTTCTACAAAAAAATATAAAAAATAGTCAGGCAGGGTGGCACACGCCTGTGGTCCCAGCTACTTGGGTGTCTGAGGTGGGATTGCTTGAGCCTGGGAGGTCAAGGCTGCAGTGAGCTATGATTCTGCCACTGTACTCCAGCCTGGGCAACAGAGTGAGACCCTGTCTCAATCAATCGAATCAATCAATAATAAAAATGGTTAAAATGGTAACTTTTATGTTATGGATATTTTACCATGATTTCTTTTAAGGAGTGGAAGGAAAAATCACATGTGACTGGGAACTAAAGTCCTCAGTGAATGTGGGACCAACTTAGGAAATCTGTAGATAACAATGAGGAGAAAGAGAGTGGTAGAGGTGGGCGGCAGGCAGGTTCCTCAAAGACGCAGGATATTTTGCAGAAAGAAGGAGGAGTAATGGCCTGGAGGCAGCATTGGCAAGCAAGGAGGATACTTATCTCACCTGCAGGTCCCGGAGGACTTGAATTTTGCAAAAGAAAAACAAAACAAAGCAAAACCAAAAACCCCAGTTTCCATTTGAGAGGGCTGGTGGGGAAGTGGTGCCCTCAAGGAATACACAGGTCTGAACCGGGAAAGAAGGTGAAGGACACTTTCCAAGAATAAATTGAGGCTATAGGAGAGTTTGTTGTTGACTGAGAGTTCCAGTGGACACACTGGAAGGATTTGAAAGGGAGGAGAAAAATGGGATAAGAGTGTAAACAGACTGCTATGGGGAGGAGAGTCAGGGTTCTAAGGACCAGAGGCAAGTAGACTTCTTTCTGGTGGTGACTGAAGTGAACAGAAAGGCAAGGCCTTATGGGATGAGTCTCACATATGGGAGGGTGGGCTTAGAGGCATGTAGAAAGCCAGTTCTGGGGCTGGAGTCTCTAATAGGTGAGCCGCTGGGTGTGGGGGCTTCAAGGGAGGCTGCTCTTACAGACAGCATTGAAGTGGCCCTCAGCTCACTTAGGGAAGAGTAGTCTGCCAAATCCTCCTACGAAGCCTATCTCATTGCCTTCTAGAAAACTACTTTAAGCTGGGTGTGGTGGCTCATGTCTGAAATCCCAGCACTTTGGGAGGCTGAGGCTGGCAGATCACTTGAGCCCCAGAGTTCGAGACCAGCCTAGCCAATATGGCAAAACCCTGTCTCTACTAAAAATACAAAAAAAAAAAAACACACACAAAAATTAGCCAGGCATGGTGGCATGCACCCGTAGTCCCAGCTCCTGGGGAGGCTGAGGTGGGAGGATCATCTGAGCCCAGGAAGTCGAGGCTGCCTTGAGCTGTGATGGTTCCACTGGACAATGAGAGTGAGACGCTGCCTCAAAAACAAAACAACAACAACAACAACAAAACCCCTACTTTATGCACAGGTTCTTGGCACAAATTGTGGAAGATGATTGGCCCTGGAGTTAGGCAGACCTGGGTTCACATTTTGGTGCCACACAATATATATAGTTGTATATCCTTCAGCAAATTACTTAATCTCTCTTCCCAAATCTCAGTTTCCTTATCTGTAAAATGGACATAATACCACCTAGCTCATGAGGTTATAGTGAAAATGGGGTGACATAATTTATGGACAGCACCTGGAGCATAGTAAGTCCTCAATAAATGGCAGCTGATATTATTGTTTTCGGCACTGTCCCTTTTTTCAGCATTTTCCTCACTTTCCTCCCAGATGCCAGTGTTCTCAGGCTGTCCTTTTGCTGACCAAACTCTTCAGCTGGACTTAAACAGTGCCCAGTCTTTCAGATCTTCTCTCTACTTTTCCTCAGTGCAACCATATCTGTCTTATTTCATGTCAGTTTAGAGCCCTCCCTGTTCTCTCCTGGGGTAAATCTGATTCAACCAGCAAGTCCTTTGTTTGCATGAATTTATGTGTCCACAAAAGATAACATTTATGTTTTAACCCAGGCCTTCAATGCCATAACCCAGTGGAATAAAAGCACCTCAGTTTTCCCACCTGACTGTAGCTCTTCCATTGTCTAAAAATAGCACTCTTTTCAGTCCTGGCTTTTCAAAGTGTGGTCTGTGGACCAGCAGCTTGGGCACGACCCTGGAATTGTCAGAGTCTCAGACTTTGCTCCAGACCTACTGCATCAGAATCATTTTAGCAATACTCCCAAGTGATTTGTATGTACTTTAAAGTTTGAGCAACACTACTAGAATAAGGAGCAGCTAGCCAAAATAACAAGCAAGTACTCCTTTACAGGAAGAAAGGTTTGTGCCCAAGCTCCTTACAAAAGGGCACACAGAGCAGCTACTTCACAGCGCTGGGGATGGGCTGCCATCTCTGCCACCAGGGGAATGTTGCATCTCATGGGGGCCCAGCTGCTAGCCTGCCATGCTGGATCTCTAGAGCTTCCAGTAGAGTCAGGCTTCTGTTACCGGAATCAGAGGGCTAATTGGCCCCACATGGTTCCAAATCCTGCCAGTCTTGAGGGGAGTGACAAGACTCCCCAAGGAGCCAACCAAATGTAAAGAAAAAGGAGCCAAAGGCAAAGAGGGCTGGAGAACTAAAAGTGGATGCCTGGAAATTTAGCTGTTACATTTCCATCTTCCTGCATGAGAGCACAAGTAGGGAGAGCATCAGCTTAGAATCATTCCATATTCTTCTCGGTTCATTTGTCCTTTAGCCACATCTGCCTAGCAACAGTTGTTAGCATGAGCTCGAGCTACCAGTCCCTCTTTGGACAGTGATGGAGGGATCAGTTTAGCCCACGGAGGAATCAGGGCATCTAGAGGGAGCCAGGTTGTCTCGTAGTTGGGTCAGGGAAAGAGCTGCTGGGAGAATGAGCGGACAGAGTACGTTGCGGGGCTGTCTCTTAGAGGCAAGGAGTTGGGGGTAGGGCTTCGGCTGTGTGAAGCGGGTGAAGTTTATATTTGGCTCCCCTTCTCTGCTCCTCCAGCCACCCCGAATAATGCTATCAATAACATCGCCACCTCTACATTTGTGTGATATGCTTAACCTTCCTAAGTGCTTCTGTAACCATGATCTCATTTCATTCTCCCAACAACACGGAGTGAACAGGCTCAGAGACAGGTTAATTATGATGTGGGCTGAGCATACAGGCTGGGCTAGGACGTAGAGTGCTGCTGACTGTAGGGTTGGGGCAGCTTGCAATGGAGACTCTGGATAGCCAGAGGGTCCAGGACCGTGAGTGGGAGCAGGTAGGGGGTGCTGCAATTGTGGGTCCTAGCATAGAGATGTGGCCCCAGCTGGGCCACCAATGTGCTTAGCCACTGTGGGTCTGTGCCTCTTCATCTCCTACCTAGAAGGCTGGGATGGAGGAGGAACAGTCACCTAGCGTATTTGGCAGGACAGAGGAGATAATGGATGTGAAAGCATCTTTTCTCAAATGAAGTAATGAGTGTAAAAATGAAAAGAACCACACGAATATAAAGTGTTGTTATCATTAGGCAGAAGAGAAAGGCTAGGCCTTTACCCAGGTCACTAAATAGAGAGGGCAAGCCTGGCACAAGGTGAGGGAATGCCTTTGGGGACTTTGGTAAGAAGGGGAGAGAATGAAGGCACTACATACTTTGGGGCAAATAACAGAAGCAAATAGCAGGCCTCAGAAACAAACCTCGTGGGGTGGCGGGGGGTGGGGGATAAGCATTGGCTGCTTCACAATTTTGTTCAGGGATGCCCTATTTGAAGGGACCAGAAGCCAAACATCTTTCAAAGTCAAATTGCCTGTTTCCCCCAGGAGGATAGTCATGTGACCCATGGACAGCTGAGCTCCTGTCATCCATCACTGCTTGCCTTCAGTGTCACTCCCAAGTCTCCAGGCACTTAGCAAATTTCAGAGGGACTGAGCTGCAGACACTGAAAAAGGCAAACCCCAGGAGGGAAGGAACAACTTCCATTTGAATTGTAAAATGGCCTTCTGGTCTGTTAATGGAGGTGTTTCTCCCCTGTCCCAAGATACCTGGGAGTGGTGTGAGGAAAGGGCTGCTTGCAGAATTGAAGGCAGTTAAGGGCAGTTAGTCCAGCTCAGTTAGGGACAACCCAGGGATGAATGTGCTCCAGCCACACCTGGAGATATGCCTGCACCTATGAACCACATAGCTGGGCCACCTGCAGGAAGATGGAATGCACCTATGGACAGAGTTTGGTTCTTGCCTCTCTCCCCAACTCTGCCCTTTCTTGGCCAGTGAGTACAATCCCCACTTCCTCCATGGAGTCTTCTCCAG
This sequence comes from Homo sapiens, assembly GCF_000001405.40. Classification (NCBI taxonomy): domain Eukaryota; kingdom Metazoa; phylum Chordata; class Mammalia; order Primates; family Hominidae; genus Homo; species Homo sapiens. The sequence continues at coordinate 107,523,524 of NC_000023.11, forward strand.
CTTCTCTGCCCCATCTTCTGAACACCCAAGTTGGAACTTAGTTGTAGATCTCATCTACCAGTCTCAGTTAGCACTGTAATTGTCTTGTTCAGTATGCCCACTTGTCTTTTCTCCCCCAGCTAGACTGAAAGCTCTTTGAGGGCAGAGACCTGTCACTTCTCCTGTGTCCCCCAGAGTGCTGGACTGTCTGAGTAGGCACTTGATAAATACTTGTTGATTAATTAATATGAGTCAAAAGAGTAAAGCAAAGCACTTGTGTCACAAAACGCTGTTTGCTTATTGATTCCTCTGGCTCCAGGAGTGCCCATTTTCTTCAGAAGTGGTAGTACCTCAAGGCCCAGTGGAAACTGAGATGTCCTCTGCTTCAAAAAAGGAAAAAAGGGCAAAGGGGAGGCTGCAGTGGCAGGGATCAAGGGGGAGCACTGAGCGTAGGACAGTATCCCAAGTGCTTCTGCAGCACACCTGTGTCTGTCTTCCTTGCCGGAGTTCCTTCTCCCCACGCCACAGTCTGCAGAGCCTTCCCTGGCTGATGCCCATGTCGGAAATGAGCTGGTGCCATCCCAAGAAGTCCTTTTAGCGCCAACAAGTCCGGGTGGCAGGAAGCAAAGGGCTCATTTTCCAAATAGCCCTAGGGGTGAGGCAAGACGGCAGCTGCAGGAAGATGTTCTCTGGCTTCCTTCAAGGACGAGCTCCTGCCTGCCACCAGGAGCCAAAATGAAAGAGGCGCCAGCCTGTGGCCACCCTCAGAGGGTCCCTGTCCTAGGAGTGTGCCTGTCCAGGACACTAATCAGCCACATTCCAGCTTCGGAGTGACTTTCTATTGAAAAGTGACCATTTATCTTAGTGGTGTGAGAGGGAAGGAGCAAGTTTCTGAATTTGCCTTCCAGAGACTTGACCTCATCCTAGCATCCCCTTCCACCTCCCGAAGGGGTGACAGACAGACTCCAAGCCAGTGTGAGGTGTAGCCAGAGAGATCTCATATGATAGAGACAACTTCAGAGTTCTTTGCTGGACTATGAATTTCTCTTTTATACAATTATTCTAAATCTTTTCCCCTTCCCCTATAAATAGTCCTAAAGCTTCTCTCTATTACTGAAACTGTGTCCTGATAAATAACCTAAATGGTTTGAAGCATTTGCTACTGATGAATTTGATATTCTTAGCTAATAAAGAATTGCATTGCTCTCGGCTAGGCGCGGTGGCTCACGCCTGTAATCCCAGCACTTTGGGAGGCCGAGGCGGGTGGATCGCCTGAGGTCGGGAGTTCAAGACCAGCCTGGCCAACACGGTGAAACCATGTCACTACTAAAAATATAAAAATTAGCCAGGCAGGGCAGCACACGCCTGTAATCCCAGCTACTCTCCTGGAGCCTGAGGCAGGAGAATCGCTTGAACCTGGGAGGTGGAGGTTGCAGTGAGCCGAGATCGTGCCACTGCACTCCAGCTGGCGTAACAGAGGGAGACTCCATCTCAAAAAAAAAAAAAAAAAAAAAAAAAAGAATTGCATTGCTCTCAGAATGTCAAAACCTCCTACTTCTTTTACAAACCTTATACTAGTTTCATTAATTAGCTACTGGCCCTCTGTATCTTGTTCCAAAGGGCTCTGCCTGGAACCATAATTTTAGCAAATACACATACTGAGGCTAGAAAACTTAAACCCGTCTATCTAGAAGGCCTAAAATTCTGGGGCTGTAGTGGTGCCAGATGAGTGAGCTAAGGCTCTGGGCCACTTGGCCCTGGCCCTCTCTCCTCCATCTCCACCTGCCCTGCCCTTCTCCTTGACCATCCATTCCTCCTTTTACCTTCTTCCCTGGCCTTGGCACCAGTGCTATCACAGGCCTCAGTGTCTCTACACCCTTATCCTTCAGTGCTCTTTGTTTGAATACTACACTCAGACCCCTTCTTGCCTGCAGTATGCCTCCCCTGGCCCTTGATGGAGAACATTTATGAAGCTTTTGTGGAATTCCTAAGCTTTAGTTACTTAAGTTGTGGAAATCGGGAGAACAATGTGTAATCTCTCCCTGGAGTTAGGGCAGTAATTTCTCTTCTCCCAGTTCCTCTGGGCTTTCAGGCCTGCTGGCAGCCCCAGGATGCAGCTCCCCTTCTGGCCAACAGGAACTCTTTTCCAGGTGTCTCATTAACTGAAAGAAGTTGGCATTATGGACAATTTTGGTCCCAGACATTAGCACATTTATTTATATATGCTACTTAAATCATTTATTTTTGTATACAACTTAAGATGTATTCAAGTTTAAAATTGCATCAAGATGAGCCAGGCATGGTGGCTCACGCCTGTAATCCCAGCACTTTGGGAGGCTGAGGTGAGAGGATCACTTGAGGCCAGGAGTTCGAGACCAGCCTGGCCAACATGGCGAAACCCCACCTCTACTAAAAATACAAAAATTAGCCAGGCGTGGTGGCACATGCCTGTAGTCCCAGCTACTCGGGAGGCTGAGGCAGGAGAATCGCTTGACCCCGGGAGGTGGAGGTTGCAGTGAGCCAAGATCGTGTCACTGCACTCCAGCCTGGGTGACAGAGTGAGACTCTGTCTCAAAAAAAATAAAAATTAAAAAAAAAATTTAAAATATTGCATCAGGGCTTCATGAAGATGCTCCATCTTCTGGAACAACTTTACATTTCTTCCGCCACTTACTTGCCTGTCTTGTGGTCTCTTCCTGCAAGGCTTTGGTTTCCTTTACGGAGTTAATAGCTAAGTCAGTGGAGGATGACAGTTAACTTCTGCAGAATATTTGCATTGGGTTCCTTCTGGAGTTCCAATATCTGAGAGGAAGGGTCTGACTCTAATTTCAGGCTCATGACGTCAGTTTCTTCTATTGGCTGTAGCCCTGAAGACAGTAGCTTCTACTTTCTAGATTTCTCTTTCTCCAATCTGAAATATGAGGCAGTCATCATCTCTGTTGGCTCCAGAGGATGTAGGAAGCTAAGCTGTAAACTCCTGGGTGCCAGGGCCAGAACCCTAACTGGCATCTCTCCCTGCTGGTTCTGAGGCTTAGTTCCCTGTGCATCTTGTTTTGCTCCCACCTTCCCTTTTCCCCAGTCATGTGATGCAGGAAGAGAGCGCAAATGATATGGAATGTGAGCAGCTGCCAGCAGAGATACTGCGACAAGTGACCGTTCACCGAGACCCTATATATGGCTTTGGCTTCGTGGCTGGCAGTGAGAGGCCTGTGGTGGTTCGATCTGTGAGGCCAGGTAGGTGTCCCTCAGAGTGTTCCCCTAGCCCTGACTCCTGTCTCCCAACACCCACATATCTTCCCAAAAAGCAGAGCTTCCAAGCATTCTAACTGTCTTGCTGAAGAATTCATGAAGACTGGTTGAAGACTTGCCAACCAATAACTGTGTGAGGGAGCTGGCCTTTTAAGACTGATAGACACAACAATTGAGGCTGTTTGGGGCCCTAGAAAAAGGCTGCAGTTGATTGTTTAACAGTGTCTGGGTCTTAATAAAGCTTCCCTTTGCATAGAACATTCATAAAAGAACCATAATGTCTTGCAAAAAAAAAATGTACCTATTCTATTTAATTCAACAAGTATCTATAGATTGCCTACTCTAAGCCCAGCAATGTTGTCGGGAAGTACAAGACACAGTTCCTGTTCTCAAGAACCTAACCATCAGGCTGTGGAGACATGTATATACTCATGAAACAGGTCAGCCATTGAAGACCAGAATCAAGATACAGACCACAGGTGGGATAGGAGAGGAGAGGATAATGGAATCTCTGAATGCTTGAGTGGCAGTAACAAACATCTACCATTGATTAAGCATCTACAATGTGCTTTACATCATATTGTTTAATTCTCACAGCCACCCCTGCAAAGTAAATAAGTAATATCATTCCCATTTTGCAAACGAGGAAACTGAGGCATAATGAAAGAGAAGTGGCTTGTCCAGTGTCACTCAGCTATAAAGCAACAGAGCCAGGGTTTGCACCTGGGCCTGTTTGATGCCATGCAGGGGAAGTAGGGCCTGAAAGGGACCATGTGGGATGGAACAAGCAAAGCCCCACCTAAGCTATGAAGCCCTGCTATCATGAATGAAATGGAAAAAGACTGAAGTACTGTTTTGTTTCGAATCTGCTAGGCATTGACAAAAAAGACAGACGGAATGGAGCTTTATTCCTGACTTGCTGGGCCTGAGGCTTTAGATGTTTACAACAGTTTCTCGCTCAGTCAAGAGGAGCAGCCAGAGTACAAACTGGTCTTGCAGAAATTTGATGAATTTTGCAATCCTCCAAGGGAAAGAAAAAGATTTTTGTAAGCTCTCTCTTCAACTAGAGGGCACAGAGGAAAAAAAACACACACACACACAACAACAACAATTTAGTACAGGAGTCCGTGGCTGACCTAAGGCTCTGGAGTCAGCCATGCAGTTTGGCAAAAAGGTTTTGAATCTCTGATCAGAAATCAGAGGAAAGGGGGACCAGCTAACATTCAGTAATAGACCACCAGGAGCCCCTACTTTAACTTCAAATGAGACAGAATCTGCACAGCTGAAGGAAGCCCCCAGGCCTAGAGGGGTTCAGCTGCCAAAGGTATAACAATGAAGAAGGAGTTGGAGGGGTCAAGAGAAGAAAATCCCCAGGCACGAACCACAAAAAGCCATGGGGCTGGCATGCATAGCCCTATAAAAGCCCTATAAAAAGCTGATCCGTAGTGCTGCTTCTGGCCCAGGTGGCTCCTGAATGCACAGGACTTGTTTGGTTCTTTATTTGAGGCCGTAATAAAGACAAAAAAAGTGTCCTACAGAGGAGCAATTATGGTTGATCAAGCCAACAAACCATTTGTGAAAGCAGTAGTAGACTGATGTTACCGGTACCATCAAAGGGCCAAGGCCCATAAAGGAGGTTGAGTTCCATGAGGACCTCTTCTGTTAGACGGAAGAAAGGGAGGGGAGGGAAGGGAAGAAGAAGATAGATAGAGTGGCCTCCACCTAAGAGACTGACATTTTTGGCAGAAGTAGATAGAAGGAATGAAATGAGTTGAAGGAATTGTCCCTTGGATGGTATAATAACTACCATTTATCCAATTCTTAGCAATGTCAATCAGCTGTTTTAAGTGCTGTATATTTATCATCTCATTCATCCTCCCAACATTTCTATGATGCATATGTACTGTTATTTTCCCATTTTATAGATGAGGTAAGAGAGACTCAGAGAGATTAAATGTCTTGCCCAAGGTCACACAACCAGTGAATTGCAGATTTGGAGTTAGAGTCCAAGTCTGTCTGGCTGTAAAGAGTGTTCTGTTAGCCACCACACTTTGCTCCTGAAGCCAGTGCACTGTCAGGAGACTTGGCCTAGTGTGTTTAGGGCAATTGCTCCTCGAGCAATGAATCCTGCTGCCTGTGCTGGCACAGCCATCCTCAGCACATAGGCTCTACACTCCAGAGCCATTGAGCTGTGCTCAAGTGATGTATTTGTTGTGTATGTTCATGTTTTTGGAATTTGGGCAGCCCCCTTCTTTGGAGAGAGAGGGAGAAGTTGGGATCTGGCCCTTCAAAGTGGACACAAACTAGAGTCAAGGCTGGTTTGATACTGGGTAATGTCAGTGAACATTTCTTTCAAATTTGAGTCAGGCTGGTTCTGACTTCTCATTCTCTCCAAGTCTCTGAGAAGCTTTTCTCCAAGAAGATCTTTGCTAAACATCAGAAGCAGCATAGCCTTGTGGTATCCCTCTACCCTCACCCTTTGCCCCAACCAAGAAGGTACAGCCCTCAGATAGGTCTGCTTTCTTAACCTTGCAGTAGAAATGGGAAGGAGAGCCAGGCACAGTAGCTCACGTCTGTAATCCCAGCATTTTGGGAGGCTGAGGTGGGTGAATCACCTGAGGTCAAGAGTTCAAGACCACTCTGGGCAACATGATGATGTTCCATCTCTACTAAAAATACAAAAATTAGCTGGGCATGGTGGAGTGTACCTGTCATCCCAGCTACTCAGGAGGCTGAGGTGGGAGAATCTGTTGAACCTGGGAGGGGCAAGTTACAGTGAGCCGAGATCACGCCACTGCACTCCAGCCTGGGTGACAGAGTAAGACTCCATCTCAAAAAAATAAAAAAAGAAAAGAAAAGAAATGGGAGGGAGAAAAAACAAATATCCAACTGCCCAAAAGTATGTGCTTTGTTCCCCTCATTTATTGGACAGTGGCATTTCTCAGTGTAGAAAAAAAAATAACCCTTTAGGTCTTTTTCCTCTGTCTTCAGACAAGTGAATGCCTAAGTCCTTCCAGACTAGTAAGTATGAATAATATTCAAGTAAGAAGATCCTTCCTCGTCCTCCTTTCGCCTGACCACCTCCAGTAGTCTGGAAGTCATTCCTTGTACCTAAGCAAGTCCCGCCTGTGAAATGGAAGTCTGCGTTCCTCATTAAGAAGCAAGCCAGTAAAATGTTTATTGACCTTATCTGAGTTTGGTACCTTTTGCTACCAAACCATACCCAGCTAAAGTGTTTTCACCCCACTTATCTTTCTGGGGCTCCCAAAAGCCCACCTGGTTCTAGAGTACCTCCCTTGCCTTCAAAGGCAGACTTAGCATTCTGTGTTTGGAACAGCATCCTCTAACTAGCTCTGGAGGGCTTTGGAATGCTCGCTTCTGAAGTCCAGAGCATGTCTTTCTTGGCATGGAACTAAAGGAGGTCCACTCCATTCTCTGTCTTCATTCCTCTGCCCTCTATCTGCTTATAGGCAGCAGCAGCGGCAGCAACAGCAGCAGAGAGCTCGAATAGCACCCTCTACACCACCACAGCTCAGCCTGCACCATCTCCAGGCCTCAGCACCTGCTTCAGCTCCTACAGGCACAGGGGACTTGCCCAGACCTGGACTTTCCCAGCAGTAACCCTAAGCCCTCACACCTCTCTCCTCTCCTTTGCAGGAGGCCCCTCTGAGAACAAGCTCCTGGCTGGTGACCAGATTGTGGCTATTAATGAGGAAGACGTGAGTGAAGCCCCGAGGGAGAGACTCATAGAACTTATCAGGTAACAGGGGCCTTTTGGCAGGAACTGATCAGTATCCCCACCCCTGACTCACCAGTGACATGGGGCCACCACTATCCCCCCCTCGCTCTGAGAGCAGAATCCTTCCAGGCAGAGAAGCCCTATAGAGGGCTCCTGGCTAACCCAGAACTTCAGGGGCCAGCTATTCAGGGTCAGCAGGAGCCTTCATACACACTGGCTTAGCATCTCCAATGATGTGAACAGACGCAAAGAACTCCCTGCTGGAGTCTCACCCCTACCTCCTTCCACCCAAACAATCTCTTCACCCCAGCCCCTTTGTTTTTTTCCAGCGGGACAGACCAAGTGACAGATGAGAATCAAGCCATTAAAAGAACATCCTAGATATGCACAGTGCAAGCAAGATATTGACCAACTCCCCAACTCCAGAAAAAACTCAGAATCCCTGGCCAATGGGTTGAGGAAGAGAACCTCCCAATGTGGATACTGTCCATAGTGTTTGTGTCCCCTAAATGCCCTCCGCAGATGGGAGCAGATGACAAAAGGAACATTGTGGGATTACCACTGTTTGTACATGGAGAGTAATCACATTGTCTTTACCTATCCTTTACCCCTGTGCACATTACACACACACACACACACACACACACACACACACACCATACACACTCTCCTACCCCACATTCACACCACATACACACACCCTGGCATAGATTTGTTGAAAAGGAATTAGAGAATAAGAGGTAAAGGCTCCAAATTGCATGGGCTAACCTCAGTTTGGGGGAGCTTGGCTATCTCACTCCAAATGGAACCATGTACATGCTCGCTCTTTCTCTCACTCTCCTTTTCTCTCTCCCTCTCTCTCTCTCTCTCTCTCTCTCCTCCTCTCTCTCACCCCCTTGCTTAGTCTGACTTCATCTCTGCCACCATCTCCTTCAAGTCCTCCTGGTTCAGAGTGTTTTCATCCCACTCATCTTTCCAGGCTCCCAAAAGCCCACCTGGTCCCAGAGCTCTTCCCTTGCCTTCAAAGGCAGACATAGCATTCTGTGTATGGAACAGCACCCTCTAACTAGCTCTGGAGGGCTTTGGAATGTTCCCTCCTGAAGTCCAGAGCATGTCTTCCTTGGCATGCTCCTTCCAGCTCAATACCATGAAATGTGTCTGATCCCTAATGACCTTTTCTTTGACTCTTCTCCAAGTTCAGTTGTCTATTGCATTTCCCTACCCTCCACCCTCCACCCTCTGCTACCACACCAATATGAGGTGAGTTCTTTCTATCCTATTAGGGCATGTTGGGTTTTTTTCAGCCTGGTCCCTCAGAAGTCACTGCTTTGTTTTTAGTAGATTTCTTTGCCCTCTAGAACAAGGTATGCTGATTTCGTGAGGGGTTCCAGAGCTCCTTCAGGGTTAAAGCAGAGCACACTCTTGATAACCTTGGGAGCCAGTGGATTATTCATTCATTCATTCAGTCAGTCAGTCAATCAACCAGTATTTATTGTTGTCCTCGATGCACCAGGCACTGTTCCACACACCGAAGATACAGCAGTGAATAAGACAGACAAAGATCCCTGGCTCACTGGAGTTTACATTTTAGTGAAAGGAGACACATCATAAGCAGAAAAGATTATAAGTAGTTCTACAACATATTAGAAGCTGATAAATGTTATTAAGAATAGAAAGTAGATCTAGGTAAAGAGGATCAGGAGTGCTGGGCACAGGGGTGCAAAATGCAACTAAACAGTAGGGTCAATGTTGGCCTCATTGAAAAGGTGACATTTGAAGAAAGACTTGAAGGAGGAGAAGGTGTTGGACAGAGAACAGCCAGTGCAAAGGCCCTAAGGCCAGGAGTGTGTTTGGCACGATTGTGGAACAGGGGAGAAGCCAGTAGGACTGGAGTTGGTAAGGAAAGAGGAGAGTTGTAGAAAATAAGTCCAGATAATGGAGAACCTTTGAAGCCACCATAGGGACTGTGGCTTTGTTATAAATGAAATGGGGAGACATGGCAAGGGGCTGGAGGAGACGAGTCACATAATCCAACTTATGTTATGCCCCTTCCCTGTTCAAGATAAAGGATTTTCTTTAGTATTTTTCCTGGAGAATAACTCTTTACTTCTGGTAACTTCCCAAACCCTGGGGCTGATTAATCCCTGTAATTTGCCTCACCAAATGTGGGAGATGTTCAAAGTTCTTGAGCTGCGGGCCTTGGCATTTCTTGAATATCCAGAATCAAGGGCAGCTTGACTCTACTTCTTAAATGACTTTGTTCACATAAACATTTGAAAAGGGCCAATAAGGAGAGGGGAAGCTCCTTCAGGGCAAACTATTTCCATTTCTTTTAGTTCTTTTAAAAGATTATGTATTCCTGGGAGAGAATTTTCATACTTCACAGCCTGTTTGATCACTGGCATAATTCTTGCCAGAAGAGTTTCATATTCTTCATTCTTTTGAATATTTGCTATCTGGAGAGTTTTGGCTTCCATCTGTTGCTCCCTGGCTCTCTTTTTTGGTCCCTCAATTAAAACAAATCTGATGAGTATGAGTCATGGTGACCAAATGACCTCCTTTGGGTTTTTCCTTTGAATTTCTCTTCTCACTTAAATACCAAATTACCAATAATCATTGTACGTGGTTCCCAGGACTCTCTGATTTTGAGTTCCATAATGCAGGCTTTTAGTTTTCCTTGAGAATTTTGTAGTCTACAGATAAAATTGCTACTAAGGTTTGGAGATTTCTACAGAGAGTATGTGAGAAGGAATATGAAAAGAAGACCTAAAAAATGACAACCCCAGAGGTAATGATTATACCATCTTCGGATACCTGTGTGAATTAATATGGATGGTTTGTGTCAGCCTCCACAAATGATGGGAGGTGAAGTGTCCATGCAGACACTCAGATTGCCCTCTATCCTAATCCATATACCTGAATAAAGCCAGGGGAAGATTCTGGTGTTGCTTCTTGTACTAGATGAATACCTAGTGCATGATACACTACTCTCCTATTCCCTCTTTTCTCTGTAGGAGCGCTAAGGAATTCATCGTTCTTACAGTTCTGCACACTCATCAGGTGAGTGAGCCTCTTTGCCATCTGCCCTTCCTCCTGACTGAGAAGAGATGACATTTCCATATTGGAAAGCAACAGTGATGGGGTTGGGGGTTCAGAGACTACAACCAACATATGAGCCAAGGATTTAGGAGTGAACTTAAAGAATACCTTCTGAACAGCATGTCTCTGCTCATGTCCAAAGCTGAGGACTTTGAAGGGCTGTGCTGTGCTGTGTTCTGTCCTGTGCCTTCTTCTTTACCCACTTAAGCTGCCCACTGCCTCAATTCCAAATACAGTTTCCACTTCTTTTTGGCTGTACTCCATTAAAATGTATCTGTCCAATGTGAACTCTCATAAAGTCCTGGACGATGATAGGTGCCAATCTTATTCATTCATATAAGTTACCTACAATGTATGAGACACAGCACCATATGTGAGAGAATTTAATATAAATTTGCTGGGGGGTACCCTTGGACAAACAGATTCATTTTTGTCCTGGTACAGTCACTTAACTGGCTGTGTGACCTTGAATGAGTCAGTTCCCCATTCTGGACCTGTTTCATCATCTGTACATTGAGAGATTTAAAGTATAACAGTGTTACCTAAACATGCCTGATCATAATCGTTGCCAGGACTACTTATTAAAAGTAAAAATTTCTAGCCCCCTCTCCTCAAGAGTTGGATTTAGAAAGTTCAGTGTCCATTATTAGTTGTACCCTTATAGCAATCTTAACTTAAATGCACAAACCCAGGTGCACAACTTCCATGTGCAAAATTCAGAGCCCTCACTCTACCTCCAGCCTACCTGTCCCCTTATTAATGTCCCCAACAACAGTCCTCTGCACCCCAGCATGGATGCCATACCCTCAATATATAGCCACAGGAGAGATCACATCTGTTGGGGGTGAGGGACATGAAATCAGGGAAGGCTTCAAGGAGGAGGCTGCACCTGAGCTGGACCTTGAGGGATGGGGCAAGATTTTCCATAGAGAGATGACACAGCGAGGGATGGAACACAGGTGCACAGCATGGGCTCACCAGGCAAGAGCAAGATTCAAATCAATCTTGGTTCAAACTAACTGCCTCTCCCCATGGCCCCCAGCTCCCAGACCTCTTCTGCATCAGTGTGAACTTCACTCACACACTCATACACTCACACACATATACAAACACACTGACACACACACACAATACACTCACACATTCATTCACAACCTCATGCATAATAGACTCACACATATCCTCACACGTACACTCACACACATACACTCACCCACTCATACCCATACATATACACACACTACTCACATATACACGCACTCATGTGCTCTCTCACATATGTACACACAATGGTCCCAGGCAGATAGGCCTTTCTCAGTTCCAGTTCTCTTGTCTCTGGGCAGGCAAGCCCCACCACTCCATTGTTGTTACCAATAGTCCCCTCCCCACCACTTTGCTGCATGTGTGCAGTTGCCTAGTGGGCAGTAGGCAGTCAGTCCCAACCTCCCAACCTCCTGTCTTGAAAATGACCACCAGTTCTCCCACTAAAACATGCTTGATGTGTGGTTAGAATTTACTACTGCGATCAGAGACCCAATGTGGGTTTACTTTGTTAGTCAGTTCTTCTCAAATCTCACCTTGCAGAAGCCTTCCTTGAGTACCCTTTCTAAAATAGCATCTACCTTCACTATCTTCTGATATGGCTTACTTTTTCATCAGAGCTGAAATATTATATTTTTTAACTTTTCTTTTGAAATAATTGTAGATCACAAGAAGTTGCAACGATAGTACAGAGATATACCATGTACTGTTACCCTGTTTCTCCCAGTGGTTATATCTTACATAACTATGTGCAATAGGCTGGGTGCAGTGGCTCACACCTGTAATCCCAGCACTTTGGGAGGCCGAGGCAGGTTGATCACTTGAGGCCAGGAGTTCGAGACCAGCCTGGCCAACATGGTGAAATCCTGTCCCTACACAAAATACAAAAAAAATTAGGCTGGGATGGTGGAACGCACCTGTAGTCCCAGCTACAAAGGAGGCTAAGGCACGAGAATCATTTGAACCTGGGAGGCAGAGGTTGCAGTGAGCTGAGATTGCACCACTGCACTCCAGCCTGGGTGACAGAGCGAGACTCCATCTCAAAAAAAAAAAAAAAAAAGGCAAAACAGAACAAAAACTATGTGCAATAGCAAAACCAGGAAATCAACAATGACACAACGTATGTATATGATTCAATATGAATTTATCACATGTGGGTTTATGTCTCCACCAACACAGTAAAGATACCCCATTTACCATAATATTGTTATTATACGTTGCATGCCTGTGTCAAAGTATCTTATGTGCCCTAGACATACATATATCTACTATGTACTCACAAAAATTTAAAACTTAAAAAAATCACTGGACAAGTCTGTCACCCAAAGGATTCCTCGTGTTGTCCTTTTATAACCACACTCACTTCACCGCCTACACCCAATCCCTGTCAACCACTTTACATTTCCCTAATTTTATTTCAAAAATATTATATAAATGGAAGCAAGGCACTGTGGCTCCTGTCTGGAATTTCAGCTACTTAGGAGGCTGAGATGGGAGGATCACTTGAGGTCAGGAATTTGAGATCAGCCTGAACAACATAGAATGAGACCTCGTCTCTAAAAATTTTCTTTTTAATTTAGCTAGGTGTGGTAGGGCACACCTGTAGTCCCAGCTACTTGAGAGGCTGAGGCAGGAGGATTGCTTGAGCCCAGGTGTTGGAGACTGCTTTGAGCTATGATAGCACCACTGTACTCCAGCCTGGGCAATAGAGCGAGGCCACTTCTCTAAAAAACAAGCAAAAATAATATATAAATATAATTATATAATATGTAACCTTTGGGGATTGACTTTCTTCACTTAGCAAAATGTCCTCTTAGCAAAATGTCCTCGAGATTCATCCAACTTGTTGCATGTATCAATATTTTGTTCCGTTTTATTGCTGAGTAGTACCCATGGTATTCCATGGTGTGGATGTACCAGTTTGTTTAATCATGTACCCGTTGAAGGGCATTGGGTTGTTTCCAGTTTTGAACTACTACAAATAAAGCTGCTATAATATTTGTGTACAGGATTTTTGTGGGCATAAGTTTTCATTTCTCTGAGATAAATGCCCAAGAGTACGATTGCTGGATCAAATAGTAAGTGTATATTTAGCCTATTAAAAAACTGCCAGACTGTTTTTCAAAGTGGCGGTGCCATTTTACATTCCCATGAGATATTATATTTACATGTTTATTGTCTCTGTCCCTCATTAGAATGTCAGCTCCATGAGGGTAGAGACTGTGTTTTGTTACTGCTGTATCCCCAGCACCTGGCACAGAGTAGGTGCTAATAAATATTGGTTGACGGAAGGAAGGAAACCCAGTTTCTAGCCAACAAAGCAACCTAAACAAAACTCAAGTGTCCAAACTTAGGTGCAGAATAAAGGGCGTAACACTCACCCCAATCTCTATCTCGACTTTCCCATCCCAGTGCCTCCAACATTTTCTTACCCCCTGTTCTGCTTACTCTGCAGGTCCCAACCCATGGCCCCTTTGCTGCGGCCAGGCTGATTTCCTTCTCCTTCTTAGGTACATTTCCTTCTTAGGTCTTACTGCCCCGTGGACTTTTGTCCTTTTGCTATTCCACATCTCTTCTAATACATGTCTGTTTCTTTTAAGACCTTGTTTGATACTCATGTTCTCCAAACAGCTTTGCCTGACTAATCTCAATGAGCATTTCCCTAATTTTTTCATTCACTCATCAAGCATTTATTAAATACCTACTATTCTGGACACTCTTCTAGGCTGGGAATATAGCAGTGCACAGGACAAACATAGTCCCTGCCCTCACAGAGCTTACATTCTAGTTCTCAGTCTTGTGCTCTCTAAATCCTTGGAGCATAGAAGTGGACGAGTACACACACACGGGGCTAATTGTCAAAACATTTAATGACCTGTACAGTAGGAGCCAATCCAGTCAAAATATAAGCCAGTAATAACACCGGAGCAGAATCTTGAAGGCCTCCTAGTTGTGCCAGATGTTAACCCTGTAGTTGATCTACGTTTGTAAGGAGGTCCAGGGGGAGAGGTCAGGTGGCATCCAGGAAGCATAGGGCAGTGCCTATTTACCAATCAGTGTGAAAGAATCTCTCTGTATTTTACAACTGGTATGGCCATCCCAGTGCATGCCAATTGAATGTCAGCCTTACCTACATGTGCAGTCGATCCTCATTATTTGCAGATTCCCTATTTGCAAATTTGCCTACTCCCAAAAATTTATTTATAACCCCCAAAATCAATAATCACGGCACTTTCCTGGTCATTTGCAGACATGTGCAGAGTGTGAAAATTTTGATTTACCCCATGCACACGTTCCCAGCCGAGGTCGGACAAGGTGATGCTCTGCCTTCTTGTGTCAGATCTCATACAGAGGTAATCAGAGGATGAAGACGATAGGGGGCAGTGCAGTGTAGTGCAAGAAAGAAACTGCAGTTCTGGGGCCAGTTGGACGGGGTTTGAATCTTGACTCTGGCACCTGTGAGTGGAGTGGCCTCAGGCAAGTCACTTAACACTTTTGAACTTCATTTTCTCTTTGTAAAATAAAGAACATAGAAGCTACTAGGATGAGTTGTTTTTACATTTTAACACCATAATTTATGTGAAATATTGGAGCAACAGTTCAGTATTCACTAATTCAGTGTTTATGGAAATGTCATAGAACGTAACCACCTTAACAAGTCTCCATTGACAGATCTTCTCTCTTTAGCTATACTGAAAGCTTCTTGAAGACCCCCAATATGTGTTTAATGTTATACCCCCTACATCACAGAAAATACTACTGTGTTCACAGCAGGCACTTGGCATCTCATGGGTGCAAGGAGACTGCTACCTATTACAGAACTCTTGTCATGTTAAAGTTTGATTACCACTACTTCCAGAAGACAACCTCCTAATAGGTCCAGGATGTGGCCTAGGAATCTATATTTGTTAAAAAAAAAAAAAAAAAAAAAAAAACCACTGGACCAGACAATCTGCAAGTCTCCTTCTATTAATAGCTCCTACATTATGTGGCTGATAATGGCCTAATACCTACTCCTACATACTGTGGCTGGTAATTTTATTTTATATATATAGAGTCTCACTCTATTATCCAGTCTGGAGTGCAGTGGTGCCATCTCAGCTCACTGCAACCTTTACCTCCTGGGTTCAAGTGACTCTCCTGCCTCAGCCCCCGAGGAGCTGGAATTACAGGCATGTGCCACTACACCGGCTAATTTTTGCATTTTTAGTAGAGACGATGTTTCGCCATGTTGGCCAGGCTGGTCTCGAATCCCTGACCTCAAGTAATCTGCCCGCCTTGGCCTCCCAAAGTACTGGGATTACAGGCGTGAGCCACCACACCTGGCCTGGTAATGGTTCTTGACCCTGTTTATCCATTATAACCATCTGAGAAGCTCTGAAAACTATTAATAGTCACTTCTGATTCATTCGAGCAGCAGAGACAGAAAAAAAAAAAGAAAACATGAAAATATTGATACTTGGGCTCTTGCCCTGACTCATTGAATTAGAAGCTCTGGAGATGAGGCCCTGGTATTGGTCTTTTGAAAAGGCTCACCAAATGATTCTGATATGGAGTCTCTCTCAGATGACATTTTCCTTGTAAGAGTGACTCATAGCATGGCAGACAATTGGGGAGAGGGGTCACAGGAGTTCTTTCCCAGGGCCCCTCAAACCATACTGCATAGATAGCCACTTAATAAGCTTCTGTGTACTTAAGGGTATTCCTTAATCTTTGAATTACCAACTAGTCCTCATGACTGACTGGATATTTATTAATCTTGAAATCTTTAGACCTTGGCACACAGTAGGCACTCAGTAAATATTTTTAAACGGATAAAGTACCGGATTATGACCAAGAATGACCCTGATAAAGCAAGTACAGACAATCTGTTTCAAATGAAACCCAGTTTTCTGGTTCTGAAAACAGCCTGTACTTAAAGAACTGGAATCCCTTCTGCTTGGAGCCACCTGCCCAGAAAAAGAAAGCCAAAATAATGGGAACCACCTCAGAGAAACTGGTTTTCTACAGAGCTTCCTGACGTATAGTGTTTGTCAGATGGTAGATACTCCAACCATATATGCTGAATTAATGAACTAATTCATTACTAATTTTAGCAATCAACTAATATATTTTATGCCATGTCTACTATGTGCTTGGTACTAGGGGGAGACATATTAACATAAAATGGCATCTCTGCTTATACAGCCTGGTTGGGGATGTGAGCAATGGCAGTGTGGATTAACAGGAGTACTATAGGAAATCCAAGAAGGGGAATTGAGGAGTTGGGGAAGGATTGAGGATAAAGGTAGAGTTTGAACTAAGCTGTAAAGTGATGGCATTTAGCTAGTCAAAGGGACACTCTAGACCCTGAAGGATGGGGACAGGGAGGAAACAGCGTGAGGTGGGTCCAGGAATGATAACAAGCCCAGTGTGTGCAGGGAGCTGTGGATAGAACTACCAAGTGCAGCAAAAGGTGATCTTGGAGAGAGGTGGTTAGAGAGTCAGGTGTAGTTTGTGGCGGGCTTTGGAAGTCAGGCAGAGGATATGTTCATGTCCAGGCAGTCTTGAGTGTGGGAAGGAAGGCCCCCTGGTTCCCCTAGTAGTGATCTGGTGAAACCAGGATGGTCCTCCATTGTCCTAGGCTCCCACAGTGGTTGCTATAGGAATTGGTTATAAGTAGGCTCAGGTGTCAAAGGCAGTGTAGCCAGAAGGGCAAATCAGTCAAAGCTTCAAGAAGCTGAGTTTCGTTTTTTTTCAGTTACCAAAGCGGGGCCCTATCTTGTTCTAAAATATTTGGCCCTATATCTGACTTTGGTCAAGATTTGAGTGATCACAACCCTGACATCTGTACTAATACAGACAACAAATTTAAAAAATGGTCAAAAAATAACCAGCTGCTGAATTCTGCACTGAGGGAAAGGCAGACTCTCTTCTATTCCTTATTCCACCAAGCTGCTGGCTTCATATTTGCTTCAAGCAGCTTGCAGTGGCCCCAGAGGTACTTAGCAATTCTAGTCCCATGTTTCAAGCCAAAATTCATTTTAGCCAGAAAGGGTGCCTGTTGCAAAGTGAGATTCCCAGCTGCTTGGAGAAAAAAATAGGGTCAGTGAAGAGCTCAAACATTCCAGCCTTAAGGTGCTCAATTAATCTATGCTTAATGGATTGGGATCTCTTCAACAATGTCAATTTCTGGGCCCCACTCTTCCAGAGATTCTAACTTTTAAAATCTGGTGTGAGCCTAGGCATCTGTGCTTTAACAAGCACTCCTCAGTGATTCTTATCATCAGGCACGTTTTAAAAACAGCTGGTTAGTGCATGGTTATGAATTAGTGCAGAGGTTGGCAAACTGTTTCTCTGAAGGGCCATATAATAAGTATTTTAGGCTTTGCAGGCCATATGTGGTAGCACAAAAGCAGCCATAGGCAATACATAAATGAAGATCACGGCTGTGTTCCAGTAAAGCTTTATTTACAAAAACAGGTGGTGAGCAAGATTTGGCCTATGTAGGCCTGTAATTTGCTGGCCCCTGAAGTGTATTATGCCTTCCTGCTACCGCATTCACATTTTGACCCGGGCCTTCCCAATTCTCAACATTGTAATTCAAAGGAGTGCCCCTAATATTACGAACTTCAAGCCCCAGAGCTGAGCTTTGAAGATGCTTTGGGACACGGAGGCCTCTGAGAGGCTCCTCATATCACACTGCAAAGCAGGCCTCACCTGTGTCTGAGCATAAGGCTAGATGTGACTCCATGACATCTAGCACAGACCAGCTGGCAATGAATGAGTCACCAGCATCAAGGCTGAAGACTGAGAATAGGATGGAATCTTAGAGACCAACAGGACAAGGGTCAATGAGGACTGAAGTATAAACAAGCTGAAAATAACTCTGAAACAGACACCTGGAAATGATTATAATCCCTGAAAATATTGGCAATTTCATTTCCTCCTTTGTGGTTTGTGCCTATAATTAACTGAATCTTTGGTTTTCAGTGGTACAAACAGAAACTCTCTAGGACAGGATCTAATCTTGCATCTTTGGTAGGGATAGCAAGGATGCCACCCTCTTCACTGTGGTGAATACATAAAAGGATACCAGTTGGGGTTCTTCATTTGTTTGAGTCCATTACATAACACCAAGGTAGAACCAGAACCAGTGGATGAAAGATCAGGAAAGGACTCCCAGCTTTAGCCTGCTGTGGGGGAACAACCACTAAGCAAAGGCTCAGGAAACCTGGGTTCTGGTTTCGGCTCTGCTACTCAATTATTTCAATACTTTGGGTAAAGTATATCCTCTTCCCAGGCTTCTGTTTCACATGTGAAAAATGAAGGTTGAGCTGCATGGCCCATTCAGGTCTCTAGAGATGCCTCGTTCTACACACTGTGCCATGCAGGCATCTGAGGGCAGATGATGGCAGAGAAGAGAGGTGACTGTCAGGTAGAAAGATTCCACTTGCCTCATGTTTGTGGCACCTTGGTGGAACTTTGGATGACTGTGGAGATGGAATCAAACACAGCTGCCTGAGCATAGCTACAGATCTTTCTATCTTGCCCCTTTCTCTTGCTTCTGCCTCAGCCTGCAGCCCCTGCTCAGGATTGGAGCACCAGGCTGTGCAACACACAAAGGCATTTATCAACTCCATGTATAATCAATACTGTAATCACTTTCTGCAGTGATCTCCAGCTCTGGATTTCATTGTGCTATATTGTCTGCTGCCAACAAATTGCCCCTTTGGCTCAGGATGAGAAGTCTAAGGTTCCTTTAGCTCAATGGTTCTTAATCTTGGCTGCATTTGGAAATCATCAGAAGCTTGAAAAAAATACTGATGCTCAGACCTCACCCCCAGGAATTCTGATGTAATTGGTCTGTGGTGGGCCCTGGGCTTCAGGATTTTTAAAAGCTCCTCCCAGCATTTCTACTATGCAGCCAGGACTGACACTCACTGCCTGAGTTCCTGCTGGACTCAGGTGAAAGAAGTGGTTTTTTGCAATCTCCCCTCTGTGGGAATGAGATTGCTGGCTCTGACAGAGCCAGCTGGGACCAGGGCCCAAGACACAATGAGGACGTTTGTTTCTGATGTGTATCTTAGGGCCCTGCCCTCCTGTGGCTGATTGGGTAAATGAATCTCAACTGCAGTGTAAATGGTAGATAATAGCTTAACGTATTCCCAGCTGGCAGGGACCTTCAGGGCCTTAACACAAAGAAATTCCTGATTGTAGGACTCAGGCTCCATGGCAAGGCCCATAGGGGTGGTGGTTTGAAGTAGCCCCAAACCTGATTCACTCCCTAGTCCTCTTCATCTCAGTAAATGGCAAGTCCATTCTTTCAGTTGAAGTCTCTCTTTTTCTCACTCTCATATCCAATCAGTCAACATATCATCCTAATTCAGTATTCAAAATATATCCAGAATTCATTCACTTTTCAACTCCATCAGTACCATCCTAGCCCAAGCCTCCATTATGTTTTAACCATATTATTGCAGTTACAAATATTGTACTTAGAGACCCCCAACTGGTCTCCATGCTCTTGCCATTGCCCTTCTACACTCTGTTTTCCACACAGCAACCAGAGGCTTCCTTTTAAAATGCACATCAGACTCTGTTCAATCAAATCCCTCTAGTGGAGTGAAATCCAAAGTTCTCACCGTGGTTTACAAGGTCCTACATGACCCAGCCCCCAGCTGCCTCTCTGAGCATCTCCCCTCTTGCTCCCCCTCCATCACGCCACTCCAGCCACCTTGGCCTTCCTTGCTGTTCTTCATACACCTCAATTCACTTCAGGGCCTTTACTGTAGTTTCTGCCCAGAAGCCTTTCTCCAGATAACCTGGTGGCTGTCTCTCCCTCACTTCCTTAAGTTTCTGCTTAATGTCTCATCCTCAGAGAGGTCTTCCCTGACCATCCTGTCTAAAATAACCTCCCCCAGTGGCCGGGCGCCGTGGCTCATACCTGTATCCCAGCACTTTGGGAGGCCGAAGTGGGTGGATCACTTGAGGTCAGTAGTTCGAGACCAGCCTGGCCAACATGGTGAAACCCCGTCTCTACCAAAAATACAAAAATTAGCTGGGCATGGTGATGCCTGCCTGTAATCCCAGCTACTCGGGAGACTGAGGCAGGGGAATCACTTGAACCGCGGAGACAGAGGTTGCAGTGAGCCGAGATCGCACCACTGCACTCTAGCCTGGGCGACAGAGCAAGACTCCTTCTCAGAAAAAAAAAAAAAAAAAATTAAAAATATAACCCGCACAATCCTACTTGTGGATATATATCCAAGGGAATTGAAATTAGTATGCCAAAGAGCCATCTGCATTCCCATGTTCGTGGCAGCACTATTCACCATAGCCAAGATAGGGAAACAACCTAAGTGTCTGCCATCAACAGATGAATGGATGAAGAAAATGTGGTATAAATACACAGTGGAATACTATTCAGTCTTTAAGAAGAAGTAAATCCTGTCATTTGCTACAACATGGATGAACTTGGAAGACATTATCCTAAGTGAAATAATAATAATAATTATTATAAGCCAGACACAGAAAGACAAATACCACATGATCTCACTTACATGCGGAATCTAAAAAAGTCAAAATCATAGAAGTGGAGCATAGAATGGTGATCACTAGAGGCTAAGGTTGGGAGGGAGTGGGGAGATGCTGTTCAAAGGATACAAAGGCTCAGTTAGACAGGAGGAATAAGTTTTTGAGATCTATTGCACAGCATGATGACTATAGTTAATAATAATGTATTATGTATTTCAAAATTGCTAAAATAATACCCTCACTACTCCCACTCTAACTCACTCATTCTCTTGTGTAGTCCTTTACCCTGCCTTATTTTTCCTCAAAGTCCTTCTTTGCTACCTAAAAGATATTTATCGTCTGTCTATTCCTGCTGGAATGGATGCTCCATGAGGCCAGGGAGTTTTGTCTGTCTTATTCACTGCTCTATCCCTCATCACCTAGAACAGTGTGTGGCATGTAGTAGGCCCTTGCTAAATTTGTCAAAAGAATGAATAAACGCCCCCCCAAAGACAATGAGGATGCCCCTCAGCACGACTCCTGTATTCCTAATTGCTGGGCCTTACAGAGCTCAGCAGGGAGCTAGAATCCAAGGGGCACCCAGGAAAGGCTTAGTTTCCAGTGTTTGCTAATCATGCTTCTGATAAAATTGTGGGAGAGTTTTCAAGAACTAAAAAGCCAGCCAGGCATGGTGGCCTGTAAGCCCAGTACTTTGGGAGGCTGAGGCAGGTGGATCACCTAAGGTCAGGAGTTCAAGACCAGCCTGGCCAACATGGTGAGACCCCATCTCTACTAAAAATACAAAATTAGCTGGGTGTGGTGGCACATGACTGTAATCCCAGCTACTCAGGAGGCAAGGCTGGAGAATCGCTTGAACCCAGGGAGCGGAGGTTGCAGTGAGCCGAGATTGCACCATTGCACTCCAGCCTAGGCGACAAGAGTGAAACTCCGTCTAAAAATAAATAAATAAATACAAGCCTGGCTGATTTTTTGGGCATTTCTTACAGAATTGGATAAACAAAGTGGTGCAGAGCCCAAAACTAGAAAGCCAGAAGACTTGGGTTAAATCTCTCACATCTCTATTCCCCAATAGTGTAGTAACTGTGGATAAATCCTTTTGGAGTGCTAGGTCTCCTTTCTCCCACATCTAAAATAGTATTTATTATGCAACTCCTTCCTAGGGGCAGGACATGTCTGTGAGGTGAACAAGATCATTTCTGTAAATTATTTGGGATGCTTATATTCAGATATAATAATAATAATAAAAAGACACCCTTTAGGTCTATCTCACTGTAAGAAAACCAAATATATAAAAACTCAATGTATGTTATTACTAAAGAACTTTTGCAAACTCCCCTAGGCCTAGAGTATTAATAATGGGGTTCAATCTACCCAAATTCAATTCATGCCCAGCTGTTTCAGAACACACCAATTACATAGGGAAGCATTTAGCACATTGCCTTGCAACTAATAGGTAATTAATATTTGTTTATTGACTCCTTGATCAGTAATGCAAAGTGTACCTGTACTGGGACATCTTAACTCTGACGTGACAAAGGTTAGGCTTTCCCTAGATATGGAGAACTCACCATCTCTCTGTTCTTTTTCCAGTCCCCCAAATCTGCTTTCATCAGTGCTGCGAAGAAGGCCAAGTTGAGGTCCAATCCTGTGAAGGTTCGATTTTCTGAGCAGGTGGCAGTTGGAGAAACAGATGCAGTAAGTGTAGCTTTGGCTCCCTCTCCTCAGCCCCTGGCCATAATCTGCCTGGCTGTCAAGCTCTCGCTCTGGGGCTTCTTATAGTGGACAGCTTTCCGAATGGGTTAGAGTGGGAGCGTCCAGGTGCTGGAGGGGGAAAAGTAGTGAGTGAAGAGGGATACGTGACATCCAGAGAGGCCCCAGGCATTGTGGGGAGAAGGAATATATATTGATTCACTCAAGATCCTTCTGATGCTTAGAGAAATTTCCATCCCTAACACAGTAGCTTACACTCAAAGCAAGTGCTCCATAAACATCTTTTGCTACTTGATAGAAACAGGAAGGAAATAATGGCTTCCTGAAGACTCAGGGAATGAGTGGCTGGTGAAATTGAGCTCTCTTCACATTTAAGTGATCTTGCAACTCCACATCTTGACCAGAAAAGGCCATGCAGTGGTGAGTAAAGTTGCCTAAAGGAAATGATACAGACTCTCATTAAGTCACCAAGTTTTTATTAGGCACCTGCTATGTTCTTAGCACCAGAGGGGAGGCAAAATAAATACCTGTTCCCTGCTACCAGATACCTCTCAGCAATGTTGAGGGGGACAAGAGGTTCAGATTGAGACAATACAAAATCTACTACGGGGTGGTATTGTTTCGAAAGACAGGTAATATTTGACAGCCCATGCCATGCAGCTGCCAATTTGGGGAGTCTTGGCCAGCCACAGTGTTTCTCACTGCTTTGGGAGGTTTACATGCAGTGAACTGTCGGCTCCAGATGTGCAAATGAGAAGAGGCAGGTGAAGAGCAGAAAAGAAGTGTGTTAAGCAGTCATGCATTCTGGCCGAGTCCTTCAGGAATCTGCAGAAGTTAGTGATAACCTGGTGGGGACAGAGGGGATAGCTAGAGCTAACAGGCACTTGTGTGCTTTTGATAGCTGTGATGGGCAGAGCTGTCTGGAGGCCCTTGGCATTTACGTACTGAGGAACAGCCACAGTTGTTGGGAGAAGATAGCAGGCCCAGAGCAGGGAAATCAGCAGGGTGCCAGGCGCTTCTATATTATTTAAGGCAGAATTAGTGAGAAGAAGGTATAGAGGACACAGGTGTCTTCCATCTCCATTTCCCTGACTCTCATTCCCAAACTCAGTCTATGCCCTCCTCCATCTCTGCATGAGGAAGGCTGGCAAACCCAGGGGACTACAGGACCCCACTGGGCAAGCTGTCTGAATAATTGATGGTTGGGATCTGTGTCAATCCTAGAAGAAAAGTTTTAAGAGAAGTGATCATTGATGAGCAGAGGGGAAAAGGAGTAATATGGAGTCCCTGCAAATCAGGGTGAAACAGACCCCGAGGTCCAAGTCACCAGGAGGATATGTGTGTCCTGAATGCTTGAAAACCCAGAGGACGTATGACTTGGATTTGGTAAGTATGAACAGGCTTATCCTATGCCATCTCAACATTGCAGAGTAATCAGTCAAGGGCAGGCCACCCAGTGAAGAACTCCTTCCCTTCCTCCCCACTCCCCTCCCCTCTCTTCTCTTCCTCTCCCTTCTACTTCCCCTTCTCCACTTTCTCCTTCTTCCACCATGATTCCCCTCTCCATACGTCACAGCTAGGTTACAGGCACAGCTAGTCTACAGGCGTAACGATGCCCCCCACTCCAGTCTATTCTGAATGCAAATGCCACAGAGTAGCTAGGACCCACCTAGAGTGACCTCATTCTCTCGGACAGGCCACCAGGCATAGTGTGAGGCTCTTGTCTGGGTGAGAGACAGACATCAATCTTCCAACTCTCACTGCACTCGTGAAATTACCTGGTGTTACAACATCACCCTCCTCCATGCTGCCGCCAGTATGGACCATAGCAGCCTCATCACAGGTCGGGAGCCGGGGGAGTCCAGGCCCAAGTGACTCCAGGCTCTCCTATCAACCCTTTCCTTTCGTGTTCCAAGGCTTTATTAAGCAGCCAGAGCAAAAATAAATCCTGTGGGTGATCCTTGCCAGCTCTATTTTTAAGCAAATTCAATTAAGTAATTATCTGAGTCCAACCCAGTGTGCTAAATAAAACCTGCCACCACTGGGATCCGGGGCCGCTGGGCCTGGCAGGAGCAAGGCATCTCAAGATCAGGGAGGGGACCAGGGAGTCACACTCTTCCAATTTTATATCCCACCACTTCCCACCTTGTTTCCACAGCCAAGCTTGTCTCTTGGCTCCTCACCACCATCAACCATACCCCAACCCAGGAGGATTTGCTTGTTCCTCTTTCCATGCTTTGTCCATGATCCATGACAGTCTCTAGGTCTAGACTGTTCTCATCTGGCTTCTCAAATCATCCACACCCACTGTCTCCTTCAAAATCAAAATCCAATTTGCCTTATCTAGGAAACTTTAGCCATCTTATACCTGTTGGTTTGCTTTGGTTTTATAATGTGTATGTGTGCCAAGTCACTACAACAAGAATTTAAGACTGGATTTAAATCTCCTGTAGCTCTCATAGAGACTTAGCATAGTGTTGGGCATACAGTAGAGGTTCAATGAATGCCCAGTGAATTAAGGAATCTGGTTATCTCTGCAGCTTTTCCATTCCTATAGAACTGATGATGATGTTGGCCCAGGGAAATGGTTGGGATGAGAGTGATCATTCAGTAAGTGCACATCAAGCACCTACTGCCCATTCATTCAGCAGCCATTTATTGCGCACCAAATGTGTGCCAGGAACTTTGTTTAGTGTTGGGACTACAAAGATAAATAGGACATGGTCTTTGTGCTCTCATTTCACCATTTGATTGTGAAAGACAAATATCCTTCAAAAATATGATAAAGGTGAGTTTCGGCAGCATAGTGAGACCCTGTCTCTACAAAAAGTAAAAAATTTAGCTAGGTGTAGTGGCACATGCCTGTAGTCGTAGCTATTTGGGAGGCTGAGGTAGAAGGATCACTTGAGCCCAGGAGTTTGAGGCTGCAGTGAGCTGTGATTGCACCACTGCACTCCAGCCTAGGCAATAGAGCGAGACCCTGTCTCAAAAAGAAATCAAAACAAAACAAAATACGGTAAGAGCATTGTGAGAAGCGTGCATAAATTGCTATAGGAATGCATGGAAAGACCAGGTCCAAGTATCTGATGATATTAGACCAAGGCTTTACAGAATACATATTTGAGCTGGGTTTTGAAGGATAAATAGGAGTTTGCCAAAGAGGAAAAGAGAAAGGCAGAGGGAACAGCTTTTTTTCTTTCTTTCTTTTAGAGTCCTCAGAGAAAGAGAACAGTCTTTATTTAATGAATTTTTATTAAGAATGTCTCAATCAGAGTCAGTACCTCCCATTGCTAGAGAGCTTTTGAAAATGTCTGAGGGCCAGGCATGGTGACTCTCGCCTGTAATCCCAGCTACTACTAGAGAGGCTGAGGCAGGAGGATCACTTGAACTCAGGAGGCAGAGGTTGCAGCGAGCCGAGATCACACCACTGCACTCCCACCTGGGCGACAGAGCGAGACTCTGTCTCAAAAAAAGAAAAAGAAAAAAAAAAGAAAATGTCTGAGGGTGTTTCAGGTCATCCCAATGCTTTGGTGTGCTACTGGCACTTCATGTCTCAGGGTCGGAGATGCTAAGTGTTGTGCAGGGAGGGGGACATCCCTGAATAATGAAGAATCATCAGAGGTATGGAGGTGTGAAAGAGGTGTGGGTACTAGGAATAGCAAGACGTGACTCTGGAGACTAGGCAGGGGCCAGGTCAGAAAGGGCCTAGGGAGGGGAAAAGGCAGAGCAAAGGCCTTGACAGGACGTGATCTTGGCTTGTGAAGGGCCTCAGGGAAAGGGAGGTATCAGGAGATAAGATCAGTCTAGAAGCTTTGTAGAAGGTGTTTAAAAAAATGTCAGAGATAAGATCAGGTGGGTGAGGTAGACTCCAAAGGAGGCCTCTCATCAGCCCTTCAGCGGGTGTGTGGTGATCCCTTTGCTCTGATCTGTGGAGGTTTGAACTACAGTAGAATGTGGGTGCTCCGTGATGTCAAATGGAGGCGGGCTTTTGATATGGCTCAGTGTCTTGTTGGGGAGTTTGGTTCTGGTCCCCATGTATTATTGATCTGCTCTTTCCTCTGTCTCTGCCCTCCTACACCTTTGGCTCTCTGTCTCCATCACCTTTTCTCTCTCCTTTTTCACACCCTTCCTCTGGCTTCCTACTTCCTTCTAAATGAGCCGGTCTCCTTGTCCTTTCCCTGCTTGTTCACAGAAAATGATGAAGAAGGAAGCTCTCCTCCTCATCCCTAATGTCCTGAAGGTTTTCTTAGAAAATGGGCAGATCAAGTCATTCACATTTGATGGTCGGACCACTGTTAAGGTACATACAGTCTCCTCCCCCTGGTCAGCATTGCCCTCTCCAGAGTACATGCAGTTGTGTGTCCTGTGTTCCTCTGAGTCTGCACATAGCTGCTTGCCACTGGAGTAAGGTGGCCTTTAAGCTCTGGATGCTTGTTAGCACAAGGCTGCAAAAATGCACAGTCCCAGATGAGAGTGGTGGTAGAAGTTTGCATGCCCAACTGTGTGCTAGTAATTGTTAAACCGTGTGTGTGCACTTATACTTGTGAACTGCTCTGTGTTTGCGTTACATGGGGTCCTTCAGGACTTTTAAGAACTAAAGAATATGAAGATCATTAAGCCATTTATAAAGCAAAAGTGATTTATATTGATACCATAACACCTACACAAGTTTATGCACAGAAATAAACACAGTCTCTTGGGAGATTAGCTTAGTTATGGCTTGCTTTTTAAATAACAACCTGATCTCAAGCACTGAACCAAGATTTGAAATGTCCAGCCACAGCCTCTTTGGCTGTTCTTTTCACAGGAAGAGCAATTACTGAGCTGTGATTCTTCACAGCTCAGCCAGGTGTCAGAAAGTCCTAGTGACTTTCCTCTAATCCTTAGGAATAGAAGTGATGATATGATTCACCCCCAGATTCAACTCTGCTCTGGGACAGAAATATCCATTCCTGCATCTTCTGGACTCTCTCCAGAAAGAGAATGCCATCCCCAGAATGAGTATTTTAATGCAACTAATGCCGCCCAAACTGCTGGGCAGCTACGGTGTCTACCCAGAAAACCTAGGTTGGTCCACAGGTACCCTGTGGTTCCCATACTGGGACCAAGGCAATCCTATAAGTAAAGAAACTCTTGGACCAACAAACGTTTGCTAAGAGGAGTTATCAGGTACTCAGAATGGGTCTTGCCAGTGATTTTCAACCAGGATTCCTACTTCCCACTCTTAGAGAGCTTTTGGAAGTGTCTAAGGGTGTTTTAGGTCATCCTAATGATTTGGTGTGCTACTGGCATTTTGTGTTTTAGGGTCGGAGATGCTAAGTATTCTGCAGGGAGTGGGACAGTCCCTGAATGGAGAATTTTTTTGAAAGGCTTAGGCCTAGGTGGGTCCCCCAGGGGACCTAGGACCAAAACATACTACTTAGGGTGCCAT
Organism: Homo sapiens; assembly: GCF_000001405.40. Taxonomy (NCBI): domain Eukaryota; kingdom Metazoa; phylum Chordata; class Mammalia; order Primates; family Hominidae; genus Homo; species Homo sapiens. The sequence continues at coordinate 107,551,288 of NC_000023.11, forward strand.
AGAATGTTCTTTTGGCTATTGAAGGGGGCATGGGAGGGGGCATTGAAACAGAACTAGACCACCCAGGAGGTGTCCAAATGTGCCTTCTCCAGATGTGAATATCGCTTTGTGTCAGAATCCTCCTTGGTGGTTTATTCATGGGTTGGTATGTCCATTGTGGACTCTGTCTCCATACTGGAGTGTTTAGTGCCCTCTCTTTCCCTTTGGAGTCTTCTCTGAAGTTCTCCCACCTCACATCATCAGCGCCATTGTGGCTTCCAGGTAGCCCCAGCCTTCCAAGACAGCAGTGTTCCCCTCGCTTGTGATCTCAATCTGACTCCAGGAAGGGTGTGCTGGCGACTTATTGGAGCTTTGACAGGCTGCCAAGCCACTTGTCCCAGAGAGGTACCTGGGTGAATTGACAGCCTGGCACAGGGGCTGTTACACTTGTAACACCAGTTGGCAATCGCCGGATTGGCTGTCCACAATCCCAGTGCAGCCAAACTGCAAAGAAAACCTCATCTGTCCCTGACAGAGCTCCAGCAACACTGGCGCCTCTGTGACTACTTGGACAACACAAGAGATGCTCTGAAGTACCCACCAATTTCCAGCTTAACATTTGAATAACTGAACGTCTTTCAGTGTTCATTGAGGGGCTTGTTTGGCAACTGCGGTTGTAAAGATGTTTTATATTCCCAAGCTTGATTCTTTCCAGCCTTTGGGGGCTGAGAGATGCTGACTCCATGAACACACACATTGGAGCCCAGTGTATAAGCCAAAGTCACAGCAAATCAGTGGCAGAAGTCTCAGAACTGACATTTGTGCAGCCCCTTCTGAAATGTTTTCAGACACCCTAATATTAAAAGTAGGGCAGCAGAGCAGATGGAACCCAGAAGTAGTCAGATTTATGACTGTACACAAAACACATGACATAGTTCCTCTGCATGGATACATTTTTCGAGTTGCTAAATTGATCATCTATAAAATCCAGTTATGGTCAAAAATGAACATTTTGCCAGTAACTCAAGTCATTTGATTTAAATTATGAATCCAGAAATAGTATGCTTTTTAATCATATAAATGTCACTTTTGCTTTTGTTCATTCCTAAGAGTTGACAGACTATCCCAAGTGGATATTCTGACTTATAAGAGAAGGTGAAGGGAGAACCAACACAGTGCCTGGCACTTAGTAAGCATTTAAAAGATAATTTTTTGAGTGGAAGGAGAGAGGTAGGGAGGGAGAGACATGACCTTCTTTTGCCATAAGCCTCGCCAGGTGAAATTCAGAAACACCTACCTCTAACCCCCTGCACCTCTCCCCAGGGCCCAGGCCTCTGAGCAGCACTCATGGGTCACTTTACTCATTGTGGATCACAGAGCCTGGGCTACTATAAAGGCCAGTGTTGCAGCCTTCTCCCCAGGACTATATTTCTTTTCTTGGTGTTTAATCCCCCCTCCCATGTTTGATGCTTAGAATAGCTTAGGGCCAGAACTAATCTCCCTCTCAAGGCTCTTTTCTGTCCCACAGGATGTGATGTTGACATTACAGGACCGCCTTTCCCTGAGGTTCATTGAGCACTTTGCTCTTGTCCTTGAGTATGCCGGGCCAGAACAGAATCACAAGTTTCTGCTTCTTCAGGACAAGCAACCCCTGGCTTATGTAAGTAACTCTTTTTTACAGATAGCTTTGCATGTGGCCTCTAGTAGAGAAGACCCAAGGCACTCCCTGTCTGGAAAATTTATAATGATATGCTCAGCCGGTTCCCAGAAGTCACAGTTCTCACCCAAAGCTGGTATTATCCACCTCCAGAGGGCTTTTGGCAGTGGCCTTTGTGAGCTGAGAAGAGCATGAAGATCATTAGTCTTGGTCTCTAGGGGGAAGAGTATGGGGTGATTCACCACATGGCACCCAGAATGCTGAGATAAGGAGCAGTTGCAAGTCTCCTGTCTCCTGGAAACCCCACATGATAGATTTTTCTGCTTTCTGGGAGAAAACTTGGCCTTTTGCATGAAGGCTGTTATGGAAGGGTCAGGGAGTGGATCCTACTCAGCCAATTCCCAACTCCCACTTATCCTAGGACAAGTGGGAGTTGGGAATTGGCTGAGTAGAGCCAAAAATAGGCGGCATGTCACCCACATCAATTTACAAGGTAGAGTAGGAAAAAGTATCCGGTCTTCCTAGCCCTCACCATATGGAAAAGGGCTGGGGAAATCCAGGATTCCTGGATAGCATTTCATCTACAGTGAAGCACCAAGAAGTGTCAGAGATGCAATCAAAGCCAATCAGTACTACCAAGTAGGGTGGGACAGAGTTGGAAAGGAACAGTGGAAGAAATACCTTTTCAGAGCCTACATGAAAGCCAAACAAAACCCCAAATCAGACACAAAAAGATGAAAGGATTTTTGGAAAGAGAGATTCAAGTTTAGCTCTCAGCCAAATGCAATACAGAGACTCACTGGTGGGAAGGAAAGGTTGTGGGAGTCCTGCCTGGAGGGAGGCCTAAGCACCTCCCTCACCCCCAAGCAACCCTTTGAATTCAGTTGGTCTGTTGTTCCAAATGGGATTTTAAACTTTTTTATTATGAAAACTTTCACACATACACACAAGTAGGAGGAATATAGTATCATTAACCCTATTACCCATTCCCAGGTTCAACAATTATCAATACAGTGCCAAGATGTTTCATCTGTACCTTGAAATAATATTTTAAACCTTTGATTTACTCTAATCAGCAATTTACTCTGCTTGAGGCTGAGCCCCTCTGTAAGGTAAAGGCATGAATCCCACAGCAAGAAAAGAGGAGTCTGAGCCATTGCCAGGAGCCCTCCCTTCCTGCCTAGTGTCTTGGGCTTTAGACCCAATGGTTGATAAAGGTCATGTCCTAGATAAGTGATTTGAAAATTCCTCTTATTTTGGGTCAGAAGTGTAGAAAAGACCTGACTCCTCACTACTTTCCTCTGAGGGTAATTAGAATCAGCCAGGTCGGAGACAGAGTAGGAAACAACAGCTTAGCTCTGCCCCAAGCCCCACCTTAAAGAGCCACTGAGCTGCCAGCCCAACACCCCAGCCATTGATTCCAGATCTCTTTTCTTCTCCCCTTTCATCCCTGGAATTCAGGTGGTACAGCGGACACACTATCATGGAATGAAATGCCTCTTCCGAATAAGCTTCTTTCCCAAAGACCCTGTGGAGCTGCTGCGTCGGGATCCTGCTGCTTTTGAGTACCTATACATCCAGGTAGAGTCTGGCTTGGGGATACACAGACAGACCAGTGGACAAAGAAGCAGGCAGGCTGTTCTGCCATCACAATGAAATAGCTATGTAAGTTTTTCCAACCTCCAGGTAGCCCTGAAGGCCCTTTCCTTCCTTTTCTGCTACCATCGTAGGCCATGGCCAAGTTGGCTGGCCTGGTGACCTGAGCTGGCTGTGGCTCAAAGTCCTGTCTATTTGTCCACTCAGATCTCATCAGTTTTCAGAAACAAGCAATCCCAGTAACTCTGGCATCCTCACAGGATCCTAAAGTTTAACAAGCCCATTTCGGTTTCAACGGGTCCCAACCCCCAATACCTAGCTCCAGTATGAGATGATTCCCAATTCAGTTTATCCAGAAACATTTACTAGACACTTACTCTGGGTTAAGCCCTATGCTAGGTACTAGCAATCAGAAGTGAATGAAGAACTGTCCTGGCTCACTAGAGCTTATATGTGCCTGAATAAATATGACAGCAGCAGGGTGCAATGAAGATGAGGGCACTCAGGAAGCATTTTTCCAACTCTACACAAGAGAGATGGTGCAGGCTTCATGGAAAAAGTGATATATGCATGCTCTTAGCCTTGAAGAATGAATGAGAGTTTGTTGTGTAGAGAGATGGAATGGAGGGGGCATACTCTAAGCAAAGGGCCTTGCATTTACAAAGCCATGGTGGCATGAAACAGCATGGGATCATGAGAGAAGCATGAGTGATTTTTTATGGCTAGAGTACAGGATGTGAGGTAAAGAGGAGTAGGGAATAAAATTGGAGAGACAGGAAGCAGTGATCAAAGGCTTTTGGTAGGCCAAGGCAAGCATAGACTTTATGATTGAGCCTGGGCAGCGGTTCTTAAAGTGTGGCTGTTATAGATTCTTTGCAATTTCATGCTTCCTGGAGTGGTAGCATCAGCATCAACTGGGACCTTGTTAGAAATGCAAATTCTTAGGCCCCAGCCCAGTCCTACTGAGTCAGAAACTCTGGAGGCAGAATTCAGTACTCTGTGTTTTAACAAGCCTTCCAGGGGATTCCGATGCCCAAAAGACTTTGAGAACCTCTGCTTTATGATGGTGGTTTAAACCTTAGATGCACATTAAAATTATCTGGGAGGTTTGGGAAAATGCTGTGCCCCATCCAAGACCAGTTGAATCAAAATCTATGGGAGTGGGGTCCAAACACTGGTATTTTTTTAAATTCCTCAAGTGATCCTAATGTGCAGCCAAAGTAAAGAAATTCTGTGGGAGAGTAGGAGAGCAGAAATTATTAAAAGAGAAGAATAGCCTGGTCAGATGAGCAAATTCAAAAGACCACACAGTGCTAAGGAAGTACACCAGCTAGGGAGCAATGGCAGTTATCCAGAAGAAATGACAAGGGCTAGAACCAGGGCCATGATGAAGGAGGTGGGATGGGTTTCAAGAGAGATTTAAAGGGTAGAATGGATAGGCTTTAACTTAACAAGTGTCTTGTAGAGGTGGTATCATTCCCCAAGTTAGAGAATACAGACAATGGAATGGGTTTAGGGTAAAGATGAGTTCATTTTGGGAAATGTTGAGTTTTAGGTGCCCATAGGACATACAACAGCACTTAATGAGAGAAAAAAACCTCAAACTTCATCTGTCTCTGATGGTGATATCCAGGGAGGTGCTATGAGACATTGTCGTTGTCCTTTTTGACTGTTCTGACAACCTAAAATGTTAGGAACGTTTCCCAGACAGCCTCAGGTTCATTTACCAACCTTCTAGGAGGCAATGAGTTGTGGTTGCTCTGTGAATTTTGTAAGTTTAGTTCTCATTTTTTTTTTTTGCCCTGAATTTCTTAATTCAAGCTTCCAAGGATTACCTTGGTTTGAATATTTTAGAATTTAGTGACAAGATCATGTCCATCCTATCCTTCTGCTTCATGATGATATGGACTTCAGCTGTATTCTTTCTTTTTTACATGTAACAGCTTTATTGAGGTCTAACTGACAAAAGATAAACCGTACATGTTTACAGTACACAATACCATACGTTTTGACCTATGTTTATGCCCATGAAACCATCACCACAATCAAAATATTGAACATATCCAACACACCTAAAAGTTTATTCAGGCCACTTTGTAATTCATCCCTCCCAGCCCTAGGCTACCACTGACCTGCTTTCTGTCACTATAGATTAGTTTGCACTTTTTAGAGTTATATAGAAATGAGATCATATGGTATGTATACTTATTTTGATCTGACTTATTTGGCTCGGCATACTGATTTTGAGATCCATCTATGTTGTTGCGTGTATCAATTATTTCATTCATTTTTATTGTCAAGTAGTATTTCATGGTGTGGATATTCCAGAATGTGTTTATTAATTCACCTGTTGATGAACATTTGGGTTGTTTCCAGGTTTTAGTTATTACAATAAAGCTTCTATGAACTTTCATGTACCAGTCTTCGTATGGACATATGCCTTCTTTTCTTTGGGGTAAACACTTAGAAGTGGAATGGTCTGAGCATATGCTAGATCTCTTTCTTTAATTTTGTAAAGAAACTTTACTGTTTTCAAATGTAGTTGTACCATCTTTCATTCCCACCAGCCATGTATGAGAGTTTCATTTTCTTACATCCTTATCAGCACTTGGTATTTTCAGTATTCTTTTTTTACTTTAGTCATTCTGATAGTGCGTAGTGGCATCTCATTGTGATTTTCATTTGCATTTTCCTAATGACTAATGATGTTGAGCATCTTTTCATGTGTTTATTTGATGCTACGCATCTTCTCGGGGGAAGTGTCCATTTAGATCTTTGCCTGCTTTTTTATTGGGTTGTTTTCTTATTGAGTTTTGAGAGTTCTTTATATACTCTGGATACAAGCTGTTTGTTAGATATATTATTTGCAAATATTTTCTTCCAGTGTGTAGCTTTCCTTTTCAGTCTCTAAACAACGTCTTTCACAGAGCAAATGTGTGAATTTTGATGAAGTCCAGTTTGCTAATTTGTTCTTTTATGGACAGTGCTTTTGGTGTCATATCTAAAAAATCTTTGTCTAACCCAAGGTTACAAGAATTTTCCCCTATTTTTTTCTAGATGTTTTATCATTTACAGTTTTATATTTAGGCCTATGATCCATTTGAATTAACTTTTGTATGTGGTGCAAGGTATCCATCAAAGTTTCGTGTGTGTGTGTGTGTGTGTGTGTGTGTGTTTTTTTTTGCATATGGATATCCAATTGTTATAGCACCTTTTGTTGAGAAGAGTATCCTTCCTCCACTGAATTGCCTTTGTACTTTTGTTAAAAATCTGTTGTCTATATATATATATATATATATATATATATATATATATATATATAGATCTATTCCTGTACTCTCTATTCTGATCTGTTGGTCTACTTGTCTGTCGTTATGTCAACATCACACTCTTGATTACTGGAGCTTTATAATAATTCTTGAAATCAGGAAGTATTTGTTCTCCAACTTTGTTCTTTTTCAAAGTTGGTTTGGCTATTATAGGTCCTTTGCATTTTCATGTGAATTTTAGAATCACCATGATAATTTCTACCAAAACCTGCTGTGATTTGGATTAGGATTGTGTTGAAACTATAGATCAATTTGGGGACAATTGACATCCTAACAATATTGAGCCTTCCAATCCCTGAACACAGTATTTCTACATTTAATTATACCTTCTATAATTTTCCTCAGCAGTATTTTGTAGTTTTCAGTATATAGGTCTTTCATATGTTTTGTCAGATTTGTCCCTAATTATTTCATATTTTTTGATGCTATTGTAAATGATTTTGATTTTAATTCCAATTTTCAATTATTTCTTGCTAGCATATACAAATAGAGTTGGGGTTGGGCATGTTGGCTCACGTCTGTAATTGCAGCACTTTGGGAGACTGAAGCAGGAAGATCACTTGAGCTCAGGAGTTCAAGACCAGCCTGGGCAACATAGTGAGACCCCCATCTCTATACAAAAAGATTTATTTTTAAAAGAATAGAAATACAATTGATTTTTGTGTATTGATCTTATATCCTGAAACCTTGGTAAACTCACTACATTTGGCCCTTCATATCTACAGGTTCCATATTTGTGGATTTTGAAAATATTCAAAAACAATAAAAAATAACAGTGCAATAATAAAAAATACAAAATTTAAAAATATAATATAATAACTATTTGCATAGCATTTTTATTTTAGTTTAGTTTGAGACAGAGTCTCGCTCTGTCACCCAGGCTAGAGTGCAGTGCCATGATCTCGGCTCACTGCAACCTCCACCTCCCAGGTTCAAACAATTCTCCTGCCTCAGCTTCCCAAGTAGCTGGGACTATAGACATGCACCACCACGCCCAGCTAATTTTTGTATTTCTTAATAGAGACAGGGTTTCACCATGTTGGCCAGGCTGGTCTCAAACTCCTGACCTCAAGTGATTCACCTGCCTCAACCTCCCAAAGTGCTGTGACTTTAGGCATGAGCCACAGCATCTGGCCTACATAGCACTATAGCAATTTTTTTTTTTTTTTGAGATGGAGTTTCGCTCTCGGCTCATTGGAACCTCCACCTCCTGAGTTCAAGTGATTCTCCTGCCTCAGCCTCTCAAGTAGCTGGGATTACAGGCGCCCGCCACCATGCCCAGCTAATTTTTGTATTTTTAGTAGAGACGGGGTTTCACCATGTTGTCCAGGCTGGTCTTGAACTCCTGATCTCAGGTAATCCACCAGTCTCCGCCTCCCAAAGTGCTGTGATTACAGGCATGAGCCATTGCACCTGGCCTTATATAGCATTTTAATTGTATTAGGCATTATAAGTAATCTAGAGGTGATAGAGGTATACAGGAGGATTTGCATAGGTTACATGCAAATACCACAGCATTTTATATAAAGGACTTAAGCATCCACAAATTTCAGTATCCATGGGGGTCCTGGAAGAAATCCTCCATGGATACCAAGGGAAAACTGTAGTTGTAGTAGTTTTTTGTAATAGAATCCACTGAATTTTCTACATAGATGATCATTGATGATGTATTCCTTTTCCACTCTCTCCTATATTATAGTGATATCACTGTGGCTTCCTAGTCCCTTAGTCCATACTGGTTCCACTTTAACAAAATGGGAAACTGGTCTAACCAAGGCTGACTCATTGATAGCTGGGGCTGTGACCCTCAGGGTTTGGGGGTTGTCATACCCTTGGCCAGTAGTTCCTGGAGACCTCCTCTAGGATAGCATAGGGAAGATTGACTCATCAACATTTTTGTCCTTCAGACACCAAGAAGAAGAATGCCTCCCCCATCCCTGCAATTCAGCTCTCACCCTGGGCTTCTGGGCCAGGGCCCTGTGGAGAGTCCCTCCCAGTATCTTTCTCCCCTTGTTTCCATCTGAGCTAGTAAAGGAGCCTTGTATGGCTTGGGGGTGAGTATAACCCCCATGAAAAAAAGTAGGAAAGTCTCTTATAAAAGGAGGAAAGAAAGGGAGTGGTGCCATGTCTCACTTTTGCAGTGAACTGGACTGTCTGCTTGTACCTTGCCATTGTGTGCCCCTGTCACTGAGAAGGCTATCTAGTATCTGCTGAATAAAGTGAACAGTGTCTATGAGACCTGAGCCTCCTCTGTTGTCTCTTCTCCAAGGGGAGCTCCTTCCTCTGTCCCTTGATCTAGCATGCCTTACTGATACTATGAGTATTGTCTGGGATGTAAGGGAGTAGATCAGGGGGTGGGGAAGGAATGTCTCCTTCAGCTGATAGGTTTGGACTGCCCTCTCTCACAGAGTCGGAATGATGTTATTCGAGAACGCTTTGGAATGGATCCCAAGCCAGAGATGCTTTTGGGCCTTGCTGCGCTCCACATCTATATCACTGTCTCAGCCACTCGACCTAGTCAGAAGATCTCGCTCAAGAATGTGGAGTGAGTTGTGCTGCGGCCCGTTGGGATGGGGGGCGAATAGTTGCGTAGGGAAAAGGTACACTGGTTGAGCTATGCTATGCTTTTCAGAAATGTAGGACATGGGATGGGAGTGAGAATTGGAGTCCCTCATATCTAGACTATGAAGCCCTAGAGCTACAGCTTCTACTAGGGAGCTGTGGCTAATGTTATTTTCCTATCCCTGTCCCTTTTTCTTTCTCCCAGTCTCTATTCCTCCATCTCTACCTCTCAGATTCAGTCAATTTCTGTCTTACCATCTTCTCTCTGTCCCACTTTGCCTCTCTCACTAATCTCTTACTTTTCTTCTGCTTTTAGGAAGGAGTGGGGCCTGGAACCCTTTCTTCCCCCCTCCCTCCTGCAGGTCATCAAAGAGAAGAACCTCCGGAAATCTCTCTCTCAGCAACTGAAGGCTCACCAAACACATCCTTCCTGCGGCACCAAGGTATCCAGAGTAGACCACTGGGCATGGTGCTCCAGGCACTACTGGCCACAGGGAGATCCTGGGTGGTTTCCCAGCAGAGTCTGGTCCTCTAGGGATCCTCACCACTGCTTTTGACTCAGGTGCACATACGGCTTGGCCAGGTGTGGGGCAGTTGTGGAGAGGAGTCTTCCCCAAGCCTGAGCATCCCAAAGAGACAGCTGAGTGACACATCACTGAGAGAGCTCAGGGTCCTCAAAGCAAAGGGGCCAAGATGCAGGAGATAATTCTCAGGTCCTTTTCACCAATTAGTCAGTGCCGACTGAGCATGTATCATGTGGAAAGCACTGGACCCTAGGGAGGCACATGTTTTCCATGGAAATGACTAGGCTGGTGTGGTGGCTCATGCCTGTAATCCCAGCGCTTTGGGAGGCCAAAGCAGGAAGATCACTTGAGCCCAGGAGTTTGAGACCAGTCTGGGCAACATAGTGAGACAGCGTCTTTACTTTTAAAAAAATAATTTAAAAAAAATGTAAAAAAAGGAAATGTACCTCTGTACCTCTAATTCATCAGTCCTAGGGTGTGGAATTCTGGGAGACAAAACCCCAGCCCAGGGGAAAGTGGGAGAGTTGGGGGCACAAGACCTGACCTGGAGAATGGGTCACTGGGTGGAATGGTGAGGGATCAGGTTACTGCCTCCACTTTCTAGTGCTCTGAGGGACTCCCACTGTCTGCTTTCCCAAGCCCCGCAGCAGCTTCTTAGCTTTGTAAGATTCAATCTGCCTGTGCTTCCTGCCCTAGAAGCAGGAGAGTGGTGAGACGCACTAGAATCAGCATGCAGATGTACATATGGGACGCAATCGCCCCATACATTCCTCCCATTCCAGATTTCTTGCATTACCAACTAGCTTCTCTTTTAAGATGCAAATTTCCCCGGAGAGTTAAGCCATTCCCACCTTGCTGTGAATATTTAATCAGATTGTTTTCTTCTCAACTGAGAGCATCAGTGCTCACCACCATCTCCTCAGGTAACATTTTTTTCGAGGCACCCCAGTGCTTGGGTTGGAAATATGAAGATGAAGAGGGCCTGGTCTTGGCCCCTGAGTCAGGCACAGTCTAATGGGGAAACACATTAGTCAGTCCCAACACAGTGCATTAGGCACAGGTGCTCTGGAAGCACAGAGGAAGAACACTAAGCCCAGCCTGAGGGAGGTGGAAAAGGCCAGAGCTGGGTCTTGAAAGACAGATAAGAGTTTGTCTAGATTAATCCGTGGGCATGGGTCATGGGAGGAAGTGTTTCCCAGGCAGAGAGATCCATCTGTACAAAGGCCCAGAGATATGAGAAACCATGGTGCAAGGACAGAAATGCAAATCATTCAGCCTAAGCAAGTACAGAAAATGCAAGCTGTGTGCAAGGGGTGAAGATAGGGGCAAGAGAAGAGGCCAGAGAGGTTGGCAGGAGCCAGTTCATGGAGGGCCTTGTGTGCCAAGGAAAGAGGTTGTACTTCATCCTCTAGGCAGCTGGGAGCCATTGAAGGGTTTAAAGCAGGGAGCTGATGTGATTAAACTTATGTTTTAGGATGCTCCCTCTAACAGTGTGGAGGCACTTGAGGGAAAGAGGGAAACAAGTGTCAGTCCTGAAGGTAACCTGGCTGTCACCCTGACACAGGTGGGAATGTCAAGGCAATGACTGGCTAGAGAAGAGGGATGGATAGATTGGAAAAGGAGCTAGGGGGTAAGTATCCAGATGATCTGGTAACTGCTGGCTCTCACATGAGGCGATTAAGGAGGAGTCCAGTGTGACTCACAGGTTTCTGGCTTGATTGCCCAGGGGATGCTGATATAGACCAGGAATGCCTGAAGTGCAGGCTTGGGACTTAGGAATGCTTAGTATGAACGGTATTGAGTGGGACCCCCAGCTGGGGAATGACCAGCATGTACATGACTCTAGGGGTCTGAAACATCTCAGGAGAGAGGTATGGATTAGGTGGGGCGTCAGTTAGTTGGAATTAAACCAAAAACAAAATGAGTAAGCTGGATACTTTAGGAATGAAGATCAGGAGGTAGGACAAGATTTTAGAAAGGGAGATGAGATACTAGAGGGAAGAGCTGTCCAAACTAGAACCTTGCTGCTGTTTTAAGAAGGGCATCTTCACATCTCCACAGTGTCACTTGCTGACTGGTGCCTGTCCTAGGATGTTGAGACTCCTCGTTGAGAACATGGGTTTGCTTTTCCTGTGCCCCTCAGGCTTCTCATATTTCTGGATGGGTTTTTCCACAGGGCTCTGCAATTCAGGCAAAGCTCCAGTATCTACGAATTCTGAATGAACTTCCTACCTTCACGGGCGTTTTGTTCAACACTGTAGGCCTGGTCAGTGGCGCAGGATTGGGGGATGTGGGGAGGGAGCCCCTTGTTGGCTCTTGTCCTTGGGTGTGGGGGCAGGAGGGGCAAATATTTCTAAAGGCCTTCGTTCCTCTTCCTCCTCCTTCTACCTCTTACCTCCCTGGCCCTGCCTCTGCCAAAATGATAAAGTGGGAGGAGATATTTGTTTTGAGTATCCCTCCATGACCTTTTTTTGTTCCTCTTCCTCGATTTGGGGGCGCAGCATACTTTTTCCATAAAGGGCCAGATAGTAAATATTTTAGGTTTTGCAGGCGGGCCATACTGGCAACTGTGGCAACTACTCAGCCCTGCTGTCAGATTATGAAAGCAGCCACAGACAATGCATAAACAAATGGGTGTGGCTGTTTACCAATAATTATTTATGGATACGAAAATTTGAATTTCATGTACTTTTCACATGTCACAAAACATGCCTCTTCTGATTTTTTTTCCCTACCATTAAAAAATCTAAAAACCATTCTTAGCTCCTGGGCCATAAAAAATAGGTGGTGGGTGGTATTTGGCCCATGGGCCATGGTTAGGCAACCCCTGCTCTATTTCATTTTTGTTCCACATACTCCCACAGTCCCCTACCCTAGGTTTCCTGAGTCCTTCTACTTCTCCCCCTGCTTGCTCAGCACCTTTGCTGCAGGAACAAGGCTCTGGGGCAGGGCACAGCTGGTCCCACCCTAAGACTGTGCCCCAGGCTAGTTTACCCTGGTGAAAGGAAATTCAAATCACCTTGCTAATTGGATCCAGGTGCTTGTCTTGCTCCCAGGAGCACATTGTCAGCTAGTGCGGCACATCGGTGGAAAGCCACTTATCAAAGTGCCTATAGACAGGCACAAGAGGTTCCTCAGGGTGATGCTAATACCAGGGAATGGGCCTCCAGACGACCCAAGCTTGATTGCTCCAAGGAATCTGTCAAGACCTCTTAAGGGAATCCAGTCCTTCAGGCCGAGAGGTAGCCATTTACATACTGGGATTTGCAGAACACTGAAAGCCCACTGTCCCCTCCCACCTCCTTCATACACTGTCAAATCTTTCTTCCACCCACCTACCACTGCTAAAATTTCTATTGGCCATACCTGCTGGAGTGCCCATTAAAAGGCAAATCTCTGCTTAACGAGGGAGGCTGCCATGAAGTACCCAATCAACCCTCAACACCTTAGGCAGAGTTACTGTGCCAGTTTAGTTTTTGGCCTGGGTGAGAAGTGCAAGTTTGAGTGGCTGTTGGTGGGGGGAGGGTAAAGACCAGACACAGGATGCCGCCTTCTCAGGCAGAGCACTGGGTGGGGGCCTCAAATGGCCTGCAGCAACAAATGGAAAGCCCCTGGGGCTTGGAAGGGGAGGGTGCTCCAAAGGCCCCCAAACAAACCTCACCTACTTCACGGTTTTGCTTGAGCTAGCCCTTCTGCCTGTGCACTTTACTCAACCTGCTGCTGAGGCTAAGGTGTTCATTTGGACCCATAATCTGGGGCTCTATCCCAGGAACCATTTTCTGTCCCAGACCATTTTCCCCTCCAGGTTGTCCTACTGTGGCACTGAGCCCCAGATATTTTCAGACCCCACCAGAGAGTCCAATGCATGTTTTCTATTTCCTCCTCCTGCCTCCTCTCCCCACCTCCTCCACCCTTCCTTCTGTGAACGTTGCCTGCCATTCTTGGGCACCAGGATGAGAAGCAGTCGGCCACCACGCTCCTGGTGGGACCCCGTCATGGCATCAGCCATGTTATTGACCTCAAAACCAACCTCACCACTGTGCTGTCCGAGTTCAGCAAGATCAGCAAGATCCAGCTGTTCCGGGAGAACCAGGGCGTGGCCCGGGTGGAGACCAGCATCATGGATGCCAAGGTAAGCCCTGCTTTGAGGGCCTCCTTCTGTTTAGGAACAGGCCTTGGGAATAGAGGAAGAAGTAAACTTGAGAAAGAGAATTGGAATCTGTTAGGTGAGGTTCAGTAATTCTGAAGTGGTTCAACCCTGGGACTCTTTGGGCTAATATGTCTCTTCTCAGCCCTCTGGGACATGCCATTTTGACCACATAATAAGGTCAGCCAGCACTAAGGAATGCTATGGAGAGTCAGATCAGCCTGAGACAGTTCTTCAGCACAGGGCAGGGAAACTGGAGAACTTGGAGCTACCCCCAGACCACTGCTTCCCATTTTTCTCATATCATAGCACACAGAAAATTATATTCACAGGCCGGCATGGTGGCTCATGCCTGTAATCTCATGCTTTGGGAGGCCAAGGTGGGCAGATAACTTGAGTCCAAGGGGTTTGAGACCAGCCTGGGCAACATGGTGAAACCCTGTCTCTACAAAAAATTACAAAACTTAGCTGGGCATGGTAGCACACACCTGTGGTCCCAGCTACTCAGGGGACTGAGGTGGGAGGACTGCCTGGGCCAGAGAGGTCAAGGCTGCAGTGAGCTGTGATTGCACCACTACACTCCAGCCTGGGCAACAGAGTGAAACCCTGTCTCAAAAAAAAAAAATAAAATAAATAAAAAGTAATAATAAAGAAAGAAAAGAAAAAAGAAAAAAAAATTATATTCATGTGGAACACTGGGGTAAATGTAGCAGCCCCAGAGACTCTGTCCACCCCAGGTTCTGCCTGGCTGCCCCAGAAACTATAGGAATGAATATCTTGGCCCATCTTCACCCATTCCATGTGCACAGCAGTTGGGGGGCCCTGCCATAGGGACACGCACCTTGAGTCATTGAAGAGAGGGTGTCTGAGCATGTGAACAGAACAGAGGGGGCCTGGGAAGAAGGGGAACATGCAGAGCCTTGTCCTTATTTCACCTCCCAGAGTCCAGCCCTTCCAGAACCTTAGATTCATTCCCATAGATCAACTCCTTCGGACTGGCAAGCAGCTGTCGCCTGTGCAAAGTCTGGCAGTCTTGGTCAGCCACCCCCTCCACAGCTCTCCTGTTTGAATACCAGTGACCACTGTGGGTGGGGGGCAGGCCTGCCTGCCAGCTGGCGGAAGCTCTTAGAGGAGTTGCAACTTTCCTTTCTTAAACGATTTCCCAGGGGGAGATATTGGTAGCAGATTAAGAGGTGGAGTGTTTGCTGTTTCTAAAAGAGAAAATTATTTGCTTTATTTTTGTCTTTGTGAAACCCAGAAAGCTTTAATGTGTTGATTTTTCCACCTGTGATTCACAGGATTCCCATTGGTTTAGGAACTGGCTTGGAGCCGATGTTTAATTGGCTTGCGGCTACCTCCTCAACCAATGGTTGCTGCACTCCTCAGATGTTGTTGGGTAAAAAGCCAAATGGACGGGCAGAGAAGGGGGCAGGGAAGACAAGGCATGCAGGGGAGATGTGGCTTCCTGAGAAATAAAAGGGGTTTAAAATAGAGACACAGCTTTCCAACTGAGTCTTCTATGTTCTGAGTGATTCTCAACATTGACTACACAATAGAATGTCCTTAAGTGCTTTAAGAAAAAAACAGATGCCTGGGTCCTACTCTCAGAGATTATGATTTCTTTGGTCATGGGTGAAACCCAGGCATCAGGATTTATTTATTTTTTTCAGTTTCCTAGGTGACTGTGTAATGCAACCACTTTGAGAATGCACAGGCTTGAGACCTGTATTACCAGAGCTCTGGGAGGAAACAGGCTGAACAGGGGATCAGTGGGTGTTGTCTGAGTGAGGAGCACTATGCTTATTTCTAGGGGTGATCCAGCCACAGTTGTGGGAATGAATGCTGCCCTGGAGAGGCTACATTGTCATTGGGGAGACTAGATTCACAAAGACACATGACCTGCCTTTAAAGCACAATATCAGAACATGTATAGAGCTCTGGAATCAGACAAGGCTCAAATCCCAGCCTTCCTGTGTGACCTTCAGAAAGTGTCTTAACCTCTCTGAATCCCGATTCCCTCAACTGCAAAATGGAATGCCTATCTCAAAAGGTTTTTATCAGGATTATTATTATTATTTTTAATTTTAGAGATGGGGGTCTTGCTATGTTGCCCAGGCTTGTCTTGAACTCCTGGGCTCAAGCAGTCCTCCCAAGTCGGCCTCCCAAAGTGCTGGGATTACAGGCATGAGCCACTGCACCCGGCCTGTTGTGAGTATTAAATGAAAAAATGTACATAAAATGTCTTAGCATACTGCCTGGCACACAGTAAGTACTCAATGAATGAGACCTGTTATTTTTTCAAAAGCAAAACATCAGTAAAGAAAAAGTAATATGAAGTAAATGTTACAGACAAGTGTGATGTGGAATATGGAACAAAAGAACAGGAAGGAGTTAATCAGATCTGGCTTCCCACAAGAGGGTGTTTTAAGCTGGATCTTGAAGTGATAGGCATGAATTAGCAGAGAGAAGTGGGATGTGTTCAAAGGCAAGGAGCAAGCACAGAAATAAGCAAGCCATATGTGCAGGTCGATAAGCATAGTTGCTTGGCTGGAGAGGAGAATAACGAGAAAAGAGATTGAAGAGATTGGGGGTGGGCAGAACAAGTTGGTTAAAAGCCTCAAAGGCCAGTCTGTGGAATTTAGATTCAATGTGGTAGAACAGTGAGAATCCACAGTAGGTCTTTGAGCAGAGGGGTGATCAAATAAAAGTTGATTTGGACCAGGGTGCAAGATGGGGGAGAGCAAAGCTAATGTCGAGCTAGGGCAGTGAGGAGGGGATCATGGCACTAGTCCAGGAGTGAAGGGACAAGGGCCTGTGCTGGAGGGACAGCAGTGGTAATGAGAAAAAAAGAGGAGATGTGAAATATGCAAAATCAGTAAGATGTGGGTGCATATTCTCCCCTGCATACCACTCTTGCACAGACAATGCACGTGTCTTATTATACCTAGCCCTTCTGCCTACTTCATGGGTCCCAAGTACTCTGAAGAATGGTACTATGTGCCCAGCAGAAGCAAAATGGATGATATTGTAGTGAAAAGAGAAAGGGAAGATTGAGGGAGAAAAAAAGATCAAGGTTTAGATTTGACAGTCATTTAGTATGAACTTGCTGTTGCTGGGAAGCATGCTAAACACAGAATTTATTTTATTTTATTTTATTATTATACTTTAAGTTTTAGGGTACATGTGCACAATGTGCAGGTTTGTTACATATGTATACATGTGCCATGTTGGTGTGCTGCACCCATTAACTCGTCATTTAGCATTAGGTATATCTCCTAATGCTATCCCTCCCCCCTCCCCCCACCCCACAACAGTCCTCCAGAATTTTTTGTTTTTTAAATAAAGAGGCTGGGCACAGTCGCTCATGCCTGTAATCCCAGCATTTTGGGAGGCCAAGGGAGGCAGATCACTTGAAGTCAGGAGTTCGAAACCAGCCTGGCCAACATGGTGAAATCCTGTCTCCACTAAATCTCCACTAAAAATGCAAAAAAAAAAAAAAAAAATCAGCTGGGCGTGGTGGCACACACCTGTAATCCCAGCTACTTGGGAGGCTGAGGCGGGAGAATTGCTTGAACCTGGGAGGCAGAGGTTGCAGTGAGCCGAGATCATGCCACTGCATCCCAGCCTGGGGGACAAAGTGAGACTCCGTCTCAAAAAAATAGAAAAAAAATTAAAAGACAGAAAAAAACATGGCTTGCTGGGTGCAGTGGCTCATGCCTGTAGTTCCAGAACTTAGGAAGGCACAAGTGAGAGGATAACTTGAGCCCAGGAGTTCAAGACCTGCCTGGGCAATATAGTGAGACCCTGTTCTCCACAAAAATGAAAGAGAGAGAGAGAGAGAGAGAGAGGGAGAGAGAGAGAGAGAGAGAGAACCATGGCTCCTTGCCTTCAAAAAGCTTACCTAGCTTGTAGGATAGAAATGGACATATACAGCCCTGCACGGTGGCTAATGCCTGTAATCCCAGCACTTTGGGAGGCTGAGGCGGGCAGATCACCTGAGATCAGGAGTTCAAGACCAGCCTGGCCAACATGGCAAAACCCTGTCTCTACTAAAAATACAAAAATTAGCCACGCATCGTGGCGCACACCTGTAATCCCAGCTATTCTGGAGGCTGAGGCAGGAGAATCCCTTGAACCCAGGAGGTGGAAGTTGGAGTGAGCCCAGATTGTGCCACCACACTACAGCCTGGGTGACAGAGCGAGACTCCATCTCAAAAAAAAAAAAAAAAAAAAAAAGCACAAATACATGGCACACAGAAGGAAGTGCCATAGGAGAGCTACCAAGAGCATGTTAGGGGAGTACAGGGAAGGACAAAATTCTGGCTGGGGGTATTAAGGAAAGCTTCTTAGAGGTGCTTATATCAGCAATATTTGTGTTTAGTAAGAGGTGGCTCTGGGAAGGAATTGGGAGAGCAGGGTTGGGAAGCTTCTTACTAGAGAATGGCTTCCCTGGGCTCAGTAAGAATCTACCCACCGAGCCAGTGGTGTGCTGGAGCTGGCTCACACAGTGCATCAGAGCCAGCTGGGCACATCTCTCCCCATCTCTTTGTTCAGTGCCATCATGTTAATAGTTTGAAAGCAGCCATGGTGGGTGTATGTACACCAGGGAAATTGGCCAATGCTACAAATTACTACTTGAAAGAACTGGCTGTGGGCTGGGTGCAGTGGCTCACGCCTGTAATCTAGCACTTTGGGAGGCTGAGATGGGTGGATTGTTTGAGGCCAGTAGTTTCAGACCATCTTGACCAACATGGCGAAACTCTGTCTCTACTAAAAATACAAAAATTAGCTGGGCATGGTGGCTTGCGCCTGTAATCCCAGCTACTCAGGAGGTTGAGGTGGGAGGATGGCTGGAGCCTAGGAGGCAGAGGTTGCAGTGAGCCGTGATCATGCCACTGCACTCCAGCTTGGGTGACAGAGCAAGAGACAGTCAAAAAAAAAAGGAAAGAAAGAAAGATGAAAGAAAGAAAGAAAGAGAAAAGAAAAGAAAAGAAAGGAAGGAAAGAGAGAAAGAAAGAAAGAGAGAGAGAAAAAGAGAGCGAGGAAGGAAGGAAGGAAGGGAGGGAAGGAAAGGAAAGGAAGGAAGGGAAGGAGGGAGGAAGGGGGGAGCGGGGGAGGGAGGCAGGAAGGAAAGGAAAGAAAGGAAAGAAAGAACTGCTTGTGAAATGTTTACCAGCACACAACTGCATAGGTTACACTGAAGAAGGACTGTCTGAACATCCTTAACAGGGGACATGGAAGTTAGAAACCAGACTTGGCCCATTTCCCCCTAGACAGGCCACTCTGGTCTGGTAATATTCTGTAAGGGTCTGGTGAAATTAAGATGGTTCATTTAAAGTAGTTCTCAGCCCTGACTGCACATTAGAATCATATGTAGAGATTTAAAAACCACTGGATGCCCAGACTCTTCCTCCCAGACCATTTAAAATAAGAATTCTGGGGGGTTGGGGCCCAGGGGTATACAGGTCTTTACCACTTCCAGGTGATTCTAATTTGTATCTGGCCTGAGAACCACTACCTTAAGTGATATTCTGCCTTGCCCCCAAATTGGCTGGCTGTGCCCAATTAGCCTTTCCCAGTGCTGTGGAGGCAAGAACCAAATATACTGATCCCTTGGGTCTCTAGACCATCATCTTTTACCCTTCCCCTCCAGGCCCCTTGATTCCATCCTTTTCCTGTTTTCAGGGATGCTAGAGTGAGCGAAGGCTACCCCAGGGAAAATCCTTTTCCTAGTTGGCATTTCAGAGTGCTAAGTGCCTGTTAGCTCCCAGGGCACCCTGGGAAGGAGATGTAGCTGAAGCATGTCAAATTAATCCCTGCTGTACCTTCTTCTGGCTGGCTCATGCCTCCAACTCCATTCTCCTTTCCTCATGCTACATTTGAAGATGGCCTGGGCATATTAATTAGTTTTCACTCAGCTTACTTGCTCTTAGTGGAGCAAACATGAGGTAGTATTCAAATATCTTTCTTCAAGAGATGGCAGCCTGGGACTGAGGCATACCTGGGCCATTACCATACCCCATTACCACAGAAGCACATAAGGTGGAAAAAGAAATCATCAAAGGAATGTCCCAAGGGATATCTTGTGGCCCAGTATGTGTCCTATTCTCATGTTTGAGCTTTATTTCTCTAGTGATCTCTGTAGGGACAAGCGTTACATTACACGTCATGATCATTAAAATCCTATCTAAAATAAAAAATTGTTTTTGAAGGTTTCTAAGGAACCTGTCCAACCTTTTTGTTTGCCTGCTTTTGATTTCATTTTTACCTGTTGGCAAAAATTTCATTTTTCTCTTGGCAAAAATTTCATTTTTCTCTTGGCAAAAAGTGCATTTGTGTTCCTTTTACTGCGAGCTGCATTTGGCCCATGCTGGGGCCAAGTTGGCTGTCTGGGGATGACAAGGAGAGGCTCCTGATGAGCTGTGCTGTGCTGAGCCAGCTGGGGTTGTGCTTGGCCCTCTCTGTGCACGGGATTTTGCTTTCGTGCTGTTTTATTACTGGCACTGGGCTATCTTGGGGGTAAGAGGGGAAACTGAAGTGGTCAGACAATGAAGTCAATCAGCCATTCTCCCAGCCTCCAGTCAGTAATTCTGTCCATTAGCCAGCCAACCAGCCAGCCAGGCAGCTCAGCGGTCAGAATGTGAGGCTGTTAGGCATTCTGTCTGTCCTGAGCTGGCTTGTCAACCAGGGCATGAGTGAGTCAGACTGCCCTGCAGCCGGCCAGCTCATTAGTCAGCCAGCCATTCAGCCTCTACTTTGGTCAAATGGTCTCACATTATATTTGTCAGCCAATGCTATTTTCTCAAAGCTGTCTCCAGTGTCTGAAACCAAATTAGTCACACACGCACACATTCACACTTACCCACCCACGTACCACTCCAGGACATTCTACGTTTGGGTAGCTCTCTATACGTTTTCCTCAAAGTACTTATCACACCTCGCAATCATATTTATTTGCATGGTTATTTGATTTGGGTTATGTCTTATTTCCTGCTCGATTGTAAGCTCCATGAGGGCAGGAACTAGGTTGGCCTAGTCCTGGAATGAATGGATGCATCTTTCACTTGGTCATGTTCTCCAGGAGGCATCTAGCCAGTTTATGGCAGCTTGTTGGGTGGACAAAGCAGGGCACAGGAGCATTTCAGCCAGAGGGAACAGCATAGGTTAAGGTATGAAGATGTGAAGGAACATGAGGAACTGTATTTGTAATTGCTGGAGTATAAGGTGAGGGACAGTGATGGGAGGGGAGCACCAGTGGAGTTAATGGGAGATATGGTTGGAGATGGAGGTTGGGTCCAGGTCCTGAAGGGATTTGTATGCCATTGTAAGGCAGTTGGATTTTCTACAGGTGATGAGCTATTGAAGATTTTAAATAACAATGAGACTTGTGCTTTAGAAAGAGCCTTCAGACTTTGGGAGCCTGAGACGGGTGGATCACTGAAAGTCAGGAGTTCGAGACTAGCCTGACCAACATGGTGAAACACCATCTCTACTAAAAATACAAAAATTAGTCAGATGTGGTGGCACACACCTGTAATCCCAGCTACTTGGTAGGCTGAGACAGGAGAATCGCTTGAACCCAGGAGGCAGAGGCTGCAGTGAGCCGAGATTCTGCCATTGCACTCTAGCGTGGGCATCAGAGTGAGACTCTGTCTCAAAAAAAAAATAAAAAAGCCTTCAGGGTCATTCAGGGTGTCTCATGCCTGTAATCTCAGCACTTTGGGAGGCTGAGGTGGGAGGATCACTTGAGGCCAGGAGTTTGAGACCAGCCTGGAAAACATAGTAAGACCACATCTCCACTACTACTACTACTACTACTACTACTACTAATAATAATAATAATAATAAAGTAGAAAAGAATCTTCAGGCAACAATATGGAGGTGAAGTGGATTCAAGTGGGTAGAAACTAGAGGGAGAAAGGCCAGTCAAGAGGTTATTGGAGGTTCTTGGGTTAGTGTATCCCAACCTTTTCCATATCATGAGAAATGTCACAATTTATATAACAAAACATACAAACAAACGAGGCATACATATATACCAGATGAGGCAGCTTGCGGCCAAAGGCAATAGGACTGAGAAGCCGAGAGGCTCAGTATCTCAGCACACAGGCCACCCACTCACAAGTACCTTGAGGAGTTTTGATCTGGCAGGAAGATGATAAGGTCCTGAAATGAAGCAGTGGCAGTAGGGATGGCCGCGATGTGAAAACACCTGAGGCAAGCCTAGTGAGTCTTGGGCCCTCGTGGTAGCCGCCATTTACACTCAAACCTCTGTATCTGTATATCCTTCTGCCATCAGTGGCAGGGCTACAGTGGCAGCAAGACAGCAAGAAGGGGTATCTGACTCCCTGCCCCCCAAGTTCATTTCCTTTCCATACTTTTTTGTCTTTATTTTGTTGTATGCAAGTTTGGCCATTCTGTTGTGACTGAGAAACATTCATTAACTGGAGGTACGAAAGTCCCTTCTACCCCTTCCTAATAATGACTAAAAAGTAATACCTGTCTCTGGCCCCTTTCTCACTGGAAAAAAAAGCCATTGCTCCTCAAGGTACAAACTGTTCCTTTTTCCTCCCAATGGTATTGCATGAACTCCATAGGAGCATCACTAACTTGTTGCCTTAAAGTTGGGGCAGAGTCCAAATGCCTTATTGTGGCATGCATTGTAATTGAATGTACAACAACTATGAAAGAATTCAAGTTAGTATTTGATCCAACACAAGACTGTGTGGTATAGACATAGCACCATATGATTTCTGCAATAGGAAAAGAATTTAAAGGAGTAGACTGGGCATGTTGATTTTTGAATCTCCAGCATAGAGGTTAAAGCAGACACCCTGATGGAGAAGAATTGAGGGCTGTAGACTGAGCCTAGGATATAGCTAGGGCGAGGAGGTTGCACATGAAGAACCAACCAAAGAGAGAGATGAAGATGGTCAGATTACAGAACCGGAACACATCTCACAGAAACAGAAGCCAAGAGAAGAATTTCCAAAGAAGGTGATTGCTGTTAGCAAATGTAATAACTTGAGATGTGTGATGAATGAATACAGTTGTTTCTAGCTGTAAAGAAGTTTCACTTCAGCGAGCGCTGTGGCTCATGCCTGTAAATCCCAGCACTTTGGGAGGCCAAGGAGGATCACTTGTGCCCAGGAGTTCAAGACCAACCTGGGCAACATAGTGAGACCCTGTCTCTATTGAAAAAAAAAAAAGGCAAAAAAGAAGTTTCACTTCTAGATCAGGTGGCTAACTATGGCCCATGAGCCAAATCTGACTCACTGCCTGTTTCTGTAAATAAAGTTCTGTTAGAACACAGTCATGCCTATTTGTTTAGTTTACAGATTATCTGTGGCTATTTCCACACTATGTACAATGGCAGAGTTGTTGTGACAGAGCCCGTATGGCCCACAGTGCCTAAAATATTTACTCACTAGCCCTTTATAGAAAATGTGTGTTGACCCCTGGCCTATATGAACTACAAAATATTCAACTCAGGCTCTGTGTTGGAATCCTGGGAAAAAGAAAACCACTGCAACTTTAGCTAACAGCTGAGCTGGTTTGGAATCAGAATTGAGCCCAAGGTAATGGTGATTCAGCCAAGGAAGGCTAATCTAGTTAGTGATCAAGTTCTGTCAGGTCTTCATAATGTCCCTTCCTTTTCACTGGACCAGCCACCACCCTAGTGGAGGCCCTAACCACCTCTCTCCTAGACTGTTGCAGTAGCCTCCTCATTGGTCAGAGAAGGGCCTCATTTCCTCTGCCTAATTCTCCTATTTCTTAATGCCTGGTCTGGGTGACCCACAGCCCCATGGCTCCCTCTTTAGCCAGTCTTCAGTGATCTTTATCTGGAAACCACTGCCCTATTCCAAGGAGAATGTTCCCAAGGCTGACTTCAGTCTGACTCAAACTTGGTCAAGCCATAGTTAAAATTACAATACAGATACTAGGAGGTTTTCTTGAAATAGTGCTGATTTTCTTGAATAGCATTGCCTGGTCTCTGAAGCAGTTAACCAGTTAACCCCAGGACTAATCTGACTGATTTAGAGTTAGGAACAGAAGTCAACAATGTATGCTAGTATTTCCCAAGGTGGGTTAACAACAACAACAACCTTGTTACCATGAGATTTTCTATAAAAATAGATCTTTGTGGTCTAATAAATTCAGAAAACTTAGAATATTAAAGCCTTTCTTTTGAGGTTTCCCAGTGCACAACTATATATTAAAGGGTCTTATGAATTCTCATAGTAAAACTATCTGCATAGTGTTATTTAACCCAATGTCACAAACATATTTGACTAAGGAGCTCTTTTAATAAGCACCAATTAACAATATCTCAAGGACACAGGGAAATAAAGGAAAGGGGATAGAGCATGACTCTTTTTTTTTTTTTTAGACGAAGTCTCACTCTGTCACCCAGGTTGGAGTGCAATGGCGCCATCTTGGCTCACTGCAACCTCCACCTCCCTGATTCAAGCAGTTCTCCTGCCTCAGCCTCTGGAGTAGCTGGGATTACTGGCGCCTGCCACCACGCCAGGCTAATTTTTGTATTTTTAGTAGAGACGGGGTTTCACCATGTTGGCCAGGCTGGTCTCGAACCCCTGACCTCAGATGATCCTCCTGCCTCGGCCTCCCAAAGTGCTGGGATTACAGGCATGAGCCACCGCGCCGGGCCGAGCATGACGCTCTGAGCAGAGCTGCAGGCCAGAAAGACTTTGGCCCAAAAGGCAGAGTTACAACTTGATTCCACAGAGATTCCTCCATGTCCAGGGAGGTGTTCTGGGTGTTACAGGGGCATGTGAAGATGAGCAAGACATAGCTCTTGCACCCAAGGGACTTAGAATCGAGGGTGTTCTAGGCCATTCTGAAGTCTAATCTAAATTCCCAGCTTTACCCCGCTCTCCCGGCTGGCCTGTGTATCTGCTGAGCCCTGGCAAACACAAATACAGCTACACAGCAGTCACATGAGGTTATATAATTTTAGTCCTTTTCAGCAAAGGTGGTTCATTAAATGTATAATTAAAGGTTGATTTAATTTTGATACCTGGGTAAGAGGTTATTACAAAGAAATTCTCAAATCAGAATAAACTATTTGTCAAGCCATGTGCCTCAATTTTTGGTTCAGACAGTATGGTTCCTTTAACTATGCAAGTCATCTTTTGCTAGCTACCATGCCTCTGAAAATGCATCTGCCTCCCTCCTTCCCATGTCTTCATGTTTCTTCCCTTCTCTTCTGCAGCCTCTGGTGCTGTTGATGGAGTGGCCTGAAGCCACCAACTTTGCCTGCCTGATCGCGGGGTACTGCCGCCTCTTGCTGGATTCCAGGAAGATGGTCTTCTCCAGGCCTGCCAGCCAGCCACTTCCACCTCCAATGATCAAGGCAGGTAGGGCTCAACCTCGGTTGGTTTTTGCTGTGCCAGAGGCCCTTTGGACCCTGAAGACATGGAGGGAAGAGCTTCTCTGCCTTAGTGCTCACCCCGTGCCAACAGTGCCTGATTTGCCAGGAGCCAACACTGTACCACTATATCCTAGCTGGCACAGCCCAGTGGGAAAGACAGCTGGCCTTCACATGTACTTGTTTCACAAAGGATACCTGTGACAACATTGTGATTGAGTCAGCCAATGAATGTATTATTAAAATAGCAAACATGATAAATAGAGCCAATTAAATGGCTGCATTGGATCTAAGGCAAACTTAGCGGTGCAGAGATCTAGAGGAAACTTACAGGTGTTCTGGCTCAGTTGAAGTGAAGATGAAAATGAATATAAAGGTCTGATGAAAAGGAGGTGGCTCAAAGAACAGGTACTTCACATATTAGACCTAAGGCTCATGTAGATGCAGTAAGTGCTCCCCAACCCCAGCACCCAGAAATAATGAGTGAAGCTGAGACTGACATCCAGTAGTTTGCTCTCCTCACATGCTGAATACTCTCAACCCACTTGCCCTTGCTGCTTGACTATTTCTTTCTTCAAGGCTGTGGTTTTCTGAGTAGTCATATCACACTTTGGGAGGCTGAGGCAGGCGGATCACTTGAGGTCAGGAGTCTGAAACCAGCCTGGCTAACAAGGTGAAACCCTGTCTCTACTAAAAAAAAAAAAAAAAAAAAAAAAAAAATACAAAAAATAGGCCAGGCATGGTGGCTCACACCAGTAATTCCAGCACTTTGGGAGGCTGAGGTGGGCAGATCACCTGAGGTCAGGAGTTTGAGACCAGTCTGGCCAACATGGTGAAACCCCATCTCTACCAAAAATACAAAAATTAGCTGGACGTGGTGGTGTGGACCTATAGTCCCAGCTGTTTGGGAGGCTGAGGCAGGAGAATCACTTGAATCTAGAAGGCGGAGGTTGTAGTGAGCTGAGATCACGCCACTGCACTCCAGCCTGGGTGACAGAGTGAGACTGTCTCAAAAAAAAAAAAAAAAAAAAAGCCAAGTGTGGTGGTAGGTCCCTGTAATCCCAGCTACTCGGGAGGCTGAGACAGGAGAATCGCTTGAACCCTGGAGGCAGAGGTTGCAGTGAGCCGAGATCCCGCCTTTTTACTTCAGCCTGGGCGACAGAGCAAAACTCCCTCTCAAAAACAAACAAACAAACAAACAGTAGTCAGATCAGATCTCGATCGAGGTGTTTGAGAGCAGACACATACTCCTGATGGATGGCCCAGACCTAGAAGGCTGTGGACACCCCCCACCCACACACATCTTCTCACCTCTTGTCTCTTCATCACGATCATCATGACATGCCTGAGTTTACATCTCATGACATTGTCCATAGGAACTAAATGGCAATGCACCAAACACAGATTTGGGAAAGGATAGGTGGCCCCAAGGCATATGAAGGAGATTCCACATAGAAAAGCAAAGGAGCTGACTTAGGATAGTAAGAAACCAGGGGGCTGAGTTGCTTCAAGTCTCCAGGTGAACAGCTCTGAAGGGGCGGCCATACTAGCAAACCTACAGATGGCCGAATGATGAAAAAGCCAGCATTAGCATTATCACTGTCACTTCTGCTCTTCCTCTCTCTAATCACATCCAAGTAAACTATACCTCCTACTGAACAGGCTAGA
Organism: Homo sapiens; assembly: GCF_000001405.40. Classification (NCBI taxonomy): domain Eukaryota; kingdom Metazoa; phylum Chordata; class Mammalia; order Primates; family Hominidae; genus Homo; species Homo sapiens. The sequence continues at coordinate 107,578,139 of NC_000023.11, forward strand.
GAGGGAGAAAATGAAAAGGGAAGATAAAGTGAAGAACCTGGAGCCCAGCCAAAGACCAAATGTGACAGTGAAGATTATTTGGAGGGAATCCACTTTCAGAAGGCACTGGAGGTGGCTCTGTAGTCCCACCCTACCTAACAAACAGTTTTTTGTCATCCCATCAGCACCCTAGCCAATGCTGGCCCCAAGTATTCCCCTTGCTCTGGGGATAGTGGCACCAAGCACAAGAGGGATATGTGCTTCAGTGCAGCCTCACTGAACACATTCCAACATGCCATGTTGCTTTTCCAAAGGCAAATCTGTTTTCTTGCATTCTCTATGGGCTAGGTGTGGCTTTAAAACACCCCACCCCCCACCACCTTCCTGACTTCTGAGATCCGCCTTCGGCCTGCAGAATGATGGGGGCTCATGTTGCCTCTAGCACAGGGCCTCTGTGTCCATGCGGGAGCCAGATGGACCACTGTGATGTCTCTGTTTTTGTGGTACTTCTCCCTCTTGGGGTAGAAATAATCAGCTTAGGGGCAGAGACCTACAGAAAGTTCTGCTCTTCCTTCGCCATCTCTTCTGGCCAGAAACATGAGAACTTGAACTAGGCATCATCTCCCTAGGTACATGGTTTAAATCTTGGGCCCTGTTACTTAGCTTTTTGAACTGTTAGGTGCTCTTGGTGGGTGGAGTGGGGCAGAGTGAGCCTCACAGCTCTACCTGGGTTCACTGAGCTGCCACTGCCCCAGCAAAGTTCTAGGACTTGGTGTGCACATTTTGTCTCATGGCCGCTAAGAAGGGAAGGGCACAACTGAGGAGACCTCAGCTCAGGTTACAGTGAAGGGATTATCCGTTCCTGATATTGTAGACTTTTAGGACCAAGGTCCGAAGTTGAGATCAGTTTCCTACACCAGCCCTTACTTTCATCCCAGAACAGAAGCCCCAATGCCAACTGTTGTTCCTTAACAAAGGCCAATAGGGAATAGGCATCCTCCCAACCTTATCTGGGCTTTTCCCCCAGGGTCCAAAGCCACAGCCTGGTTAGGTCCTGGTCTCTCAGAAAAGGGAGGAAGAGGTCTGGCCAGCTCTATTCTTGTCCCACAGCAGCTACTGGCTGTCAGCAAGTCCAACTCAGGGCTCAGCCTATTGGGCCTAAAGGATGAAGTTAAACCAGCAACTGGGAAAGTGAAAACATCACCTTCCTTCAAGTCTCAGAAAAAAAAGGAGAATGGGGACATGGTAGGGAAGGGACTCCCTCTTGGGCTTTATCAGTAGCTTCACCAAAGGTACTACACTTATTCACTTAACAAATCAAGCACTCATCATGTGCCAGGTGCAGAAGCAGCAGCCATGAATAACAGACATAGTCCTTATGATCCTTGCCCTCACATAGGTTACAATCTAGTAGAGGGGAAATACTGACAGATGATTAAAAGGATAAGGCTAATAACGTAAGTACTTTTGCATTTATATATAAGAGATTCAATAGATACAACAGAGCAGCGCCTGGGTTTGAGGGCCCAGAAAGGCTTTGAGCTTAGAGAAAGGTCCAGAAAAATGCCAGTTCTCTATCTGTAATGAGGTTGTGGGCAATCTAAAGGCAGCTACCATCTTTCTGCAGCCCTGAGCTCTCTGTATCCTGGGGTAATCCAGGAAAAAAAGGCTTTGAGGGCCTCAGTTGGAGGAACTCACTCTACGTTTTCTACCATGGTTAGAAAACAGTTTGGTCTGATGAATTGAATATTTTGGTTAATGGCTACTATATATCCCATGAGTGGCTTACCAATTTTCATGTAGTTAAAACCCAGCAAAATGTACAGAGTACTAAAGTAAGACTGAACGTAGTAGACTTGTTTTGGGTGATTCAGAAAGAACATGAGATTCTTGCAAGGCCTCTAGGTCGTCATTATGACCAGTGATTATTGGACTATAGAATAGAGCAGGGCCAAGTACTAGAATGCTGGCTGAGTCAATGTCACACAGACCGTATGTTTATATATATAAAAATAAGCTGCATATATTTTCAAACATAACTCCAGTTGAATCACCCTCCTGTTCTTTGCAAGCATTTTTTTCTAGTCAGTCTTCTGAGTGACTGAGTACAGAGGGATAGACTAGGGCAATCCCCTTGGGGAAAGCTGATGAGCAATTTACAACATATTTGCAATATGGGAGGCATACTGTCCTGAACCATCAGCCAGCCACACCTGGCATTTTACTGGCACTTCTAATCTTCTGCCAGGAGGAGATTTGGGATTCTTCAAGCACATTTTGTCCTCTGATCTGGAAGTCATGGTACCAAGTGGTGGACAGGGCATTACCTGGCCTTGACAGTCTAGTGCTTAGAGATGTTTCCATCTTGCAGGGAGGGAAGCCACCCTTAGAACTCCAGCCTCTGCCTGAGAGGAGTCACCATCTTCTTATTGGGCATGCCACTGGGAGCCACCTTTGATGGCAGCTTATTGCCAGGCTGGCTATCCTGATTGCTCAGCTGTCTCATACGTAGTTAGCACCTGGTACATCCCCAGGACCTGTGGACAATGTCTTGGTGTAGAGAGACATAATGAACTTATAGTTCATACTCCTGGCTGATTGCTCCTCCGGAGCACTTATTCCCTAAGTCTCAGAGGCCTGGATGGAGGGTAATTAAATAATATTTCTCCAACTGACCCAGAGTTCCCTAGATACAGTAAAGCCCAGTAAGGCCTGAACCAACCCCACTCATTGATTCTGTATTTAAAGCGGCAACATGGTCTATGGAAAATTGCAAGAGAGATCTGAAGTCACAGAGACTTGGGTTCCAGTCCCTGTTTTGCCATATCTTAGCTATGGGATCATAACTAAATGCCAGAAACTTAGTCTCAGTTTCCTCATATGTAAAATGAGGATAATACTATTACCTACCTCATGAGGAATTTGACAGGATTGTGTGAGATAAACCACCTAAAGTCCCTTCACAATACAGAGTACCCTTTTTTGCTCTGTTTGTTTGTTTGTTTGTTGAGACAGAGTCTCACTGTTGTTGCCCAAGCTAGAGTGCAGTGTCATGATCTCGGCTCATTGCAACCTCTGCCTCCTGGGTTCAAGCTATACTCCTGCCTCAGCCTCCTGAGTAGCTGGGATTACAGGTGGCCGCCACCATGCCCGGCTAATTTTTTGATATTTTTGGTAGAGACAGGGTTTCACCATGTTGGCCAGGCTGGTCTCAAACTCCTGACCTCAGGTGATCCGCCCACCTCGGCCTCCCAAAGTGCTGGGATTACAGGCATGAGCCACCACGCCTAGCCTTTTGCTGTTTTTTCAAAGACTGAGAGTTCATCATGTGCCCAGAGCTGTGCTTTAAAAAAAAAAAACAGCTTTGTTTAGATATAATTTTGAAGCCATAAAATTCACCCATTTGAAGTGCACAATACAATTTTGTTTAATATATTTAATATATTCACAGGGTTATACAGCCATTATCACAATCTAATTTTAGAACATTTTTTGCCCCTCCCAAAACAAACTCTGTACCCATTAGCGGTCACTCCCTATTTCCCTCCTAATCACCTCCCAGCCCTAAGCAACCATTGGTCTACTTTCAGTCTATAGCTTTGCCTATGCTGGACATTTTGTGTAAATGGAATAATAAAATATATGGTCTTTTGTCACTTGCTTTTTTCACCTAGCATGTTTTCATGGGTCATTCATGTTGCAGCATGCACCAGTACTTCATTCCTCTTTATTGATGAATAACATTCTATTGTATGGATATACCACATTCCTTTATCCATTCATCAGTTGATAGACATTTGTTTTTTTCCCACCTTTTGACTATTATGAATAATGTTGTTATAAACATTCATGTTTATATGGGGACAGTTTTTATGGGGACATATGTTTTCCTTTCTCTCCAGTATATACCTAGGAATGGAATTACTGGTCAAATGGTAACTCCATGTTTAACTTTTAGAGGAACTGCCGAATTGTTTTTTAAAGAGACTGTACCATTTTTCACTTCCATCAGCAATATTGGAGGGTTAAATTTTAACCGTATCTTCACCAACACTTGTTACTGTCCATCTTTTTTTTTTTTTTGGAGACAGAGTCTCACTCCGTCACCCAGAATGGAGTGCATGTGCACAATCTCAGCTCACTGCGACCTCTGCCTCCTGGGTTCAAGCAATTCTCCTGCCTCAGCCTTCTGAGTAGCTGGGATTACAGGCATGTGCCACCACACCTGGCTAATTTTTTTGTGTTTTTAGTAGAGATGGGGTTTTACCATGTTGGCCTGGCTGGCCTTGAACTCCTGACCTCAAGTGACCCACCCGCCTTGACCTCCCAAAGTGCTGGGATTATAGGCGTGAGCCACCACACCTGACCATCTTTTCATTTATTAATATGTCTGTCATAGTGTGTGTGAAGTGGTAGCTCATGTTTACGATTTACAGTTTCCTGATGGCTAATGATGTTGAACATCTTTTCATGGGCTTATTGGCCACTTGTATATCTTCTTTGGTGAAATATCTATTCAAATCATTTGTCCATTTTTTAATTGAGCTATTTCACCATAAATGTGAGAGGTTATTTGTGAACTCTCAATTCTACTGCCTTGATCTATACGTCTATCCTTATGCCACCACTTTATGGTCTTGATCACTATGGCTTGTAATGAATTTTGAAATCAGAAAGTGTGAGTCATCCTACTTTGTACTTCTTTTTCAAGACTGTTTTGGTTATTCTGGGTCTCTTGTGATTCTATATTAATTCTTGAATTAGCTGTTAATTTTGACAAAGTCAGCTGGGATTTTAATAGAGACTATGTTGAATCTATAGATCAATTTGGAAAGTACTATCATTATAACAATATTGATTGAGTCTTCCAATCCATGAGCAGAGAATATATTCCAATTATTTAAATCTCCTTTAATTTCTTTCATAAATGTTGTATAGTTTTCAGTGTACAAATTTTGCACGTCTTTTTTTTCTTTTTCTCTTTTTTTCTTTTTCTTTTTTTTTCTTTTTACTTTAAGTTCCGGGATACATGTGCAGAATGTGCAGGTTTGCTACATGGGTATACATGTGCCATGGTGGTTTGCTGCTCCTATTCACCCGTCCTCTAAGTTCCCTCCCCTCGCTCCCCCACCCCCAACAGGCCCAGGTGTGTGTTGTTACCCACCCTGTGTCCATATTTTCTCATTGTTCAACTCCCATTTATGAGTAAGAACATGCGATGTTTGGTTTTCTGTTCCTCTGTTAGTTTGCTGAAGATGATGGCTTTCAGCTTCATCCATGTCCCTGCAAAGGACATGATCTCATTCCTTTTTATGGATGCATAGTATCCCATGGTGTGTATGTACCACATTTTCATTATCCAGTTTATCACTGATGGGCATTTGGGTTGGTTCCATGACTTTGCTATTGTAAATAGTGCTACAATAAACATACGTGTGCATGTATCTTTATAGTAGAATGATTTATATTCCTTTGGGTATATACCCAGTAATGGGATTGCTGAGTCAAATGGTATTTCTGGTTCCAGATCCTTGAGGAATCATCGTACTGTCTTCCACAATGTTTGAACTAATTTTCACTCCCACCAACAGTGTAAAAGCATTCCTATTTCTCCACAGCCTCACTAGCATTTATTGTTTCCTGACTTTTTAATAATCGCCATTCTGACTGGCAAGACATGGTATCTTATTGTGGTTTTGATTTGCATTTCTCTAATGATCAATGATGTTGAGCATTTTTTTCTTTTTCTTTCTTTTTTTTTTTTTTTTTGAGACAGAGTCTCACTCTGTTGCCCAGGCTGGAGTACAGTGGCGTGATCTCGGCTTACTGCAACCTCCGCCTCCTGAGTTCAAGCAACTCTTGCCTCAGCCTCCCGAGTAGCTGCAACTACAGGCGCCTGCCACCATGCCCAGCTAATTTTTGTATTTTTAGTAGAGATGGGGTTTCACCATGTTGACCAGGCTGGTCTCGAACTCCTGACCTCAGGTGATCCACCTGCCTTGGCCTCCCAAAGTGTTTGGATTACAGGTGTGAGCCACCACGCCTGGCCCTGTTTTGTTTTTTGTTGTTGTTGTTGTTGTTGAGCATTTTTTCATATGTTCGTTGGCCGCGTAAATGTCTTCTTTTGAGAAGTGTCTGTTCATATTTTTTGCCCACTTTTTTATGGGATTGTTTGTTTTTTTTCCTTGTAAATTTGTTTAAGTTCCTTGTAAATTCTGGTTATTAGACCTTTGTCAGGTGGATAGATTGCAAAAATTTTCTCTCATTCTGTAGGTTGCCTGTTCACTCTGATGATAGTTTCTTTTGCTGTGCAGAAGCTCTTTAGTTTAATTAGATCCCATTTGTCAATTGTGGCTTTTGTCGTAATTGCTTTTGGCATTTTTGTCATGAAATCTTTGCCCATGCCTATGTCCTGAATGGTATTGCCTAGGTTTTCTTCTAGAGTTTTTATGATTTGGGGTTTTACATTTAAGTCTTTAATCCATCTTGAGTTAATTTTTGTATAAGGTGTAAGGAAGGGGTCCAGTTTCAGTTTTCTGCATATGGCTAGCCAGTTTTCCCAGCACCATGTATTGAATAGGAGATCCTTTCCCCATTGCTTGTTTTTATCAGGTTCAATGAAGATAAGATGGTTGTAGATGTGTGGTGTTATTTCTGAAGTCTCTGTTCTGTTCCACTTGTCTATATGTCTGTTTTGGTACCACTACCATGCTGTTTTGGTTACTGTAGCCTCGTAGTATAGTTTGAGGTCAGGTAGCATGATGCCTCCAGCTTTGTTCTTTTTGCTTAGGATTGTCTTGGTTATACAGGGTCTTTGATGATTCCATATGAAATTTAAACTAGTTTTTTCTAATTCAGTGAAGTACATCAATGGTAGTTTGATGGGAATAGCATTGAATCTATAAATTACTTTGATCAGTATGGCCGTTTTCACAATATTAATTCTTCCTGTCCATGAGAATGGAATGTTTTTGCATTTGCTTGTATCCTCTCATTTCCTTGAGCAGTGGTTTGTAGTTCTCCTTGACAGGGCCCTTCATGTCCCTTGTTAGCTGTATTCCTAGGTATTTTATTCTCTTTGTAGTGATTGTGAATGGGAGTTCATTCATGATTTGGCTCTCTGCTTGTCTATTGTTGGTGTAAAGGAATGCTTGTGATTTTTGCACATTGATTTTGTATCCTGAGACTTTGCTGAAGTTGTTTATTAGTTTAAGGAGTTTTTGGGCTGAGATGATGGGGTTTTCTAAATATACAATCATGTCATCTGCAAACAGAGACAATTTGACTTCCTCTCTTCCTATTTGAATACACTTTATTTCTTTCTTTTGCCTGATTGCCCTGGCCAGAACTTCCAATACTATGTTGAATAGGAGCGGTGAGAGGGCATCCTTGTCTCGTACTGGTTTTCAAAGGGAATGCTTCCAGCTTTTGCCCATTCAATATGATATTGGCCGTGGGTTTGTCATAAATAGCTCTTATTATTTTGAGATATGTTCCATCAATACCTAGTCTGTTGAGATTTTTTAACATGAAGGGATGTTGAATTTTATTAAAGGCCTTTTCTGCATCAGTTGAGATAATCATGTGTTTTTTTGTCTTTGGTTCTGTTTATGTGATGGATTACATTTATTGATTTGCATATGTTGAACCAGCCTTGCATCCCAGGGATGAAGCCAACTTGATTGTTATGGATAAGTTTTTCGATGTGCTGCTGGATTCGGTTTGCCAGTATTTTATTGAGGATTTTTTCATTGAAGTTCATCTGGGATATTGGCCTGAAGTTTTGTTTTTTTGTTGTGTCTCTTTCTAGTTTGAGTATCAGGATGATGCTGGCTTCATAAAATGAGTTAGGGAGGAGTCCCTCCTTTTCAATTTTTTGGAATAGTTTCAGAAGGAATGGTACCAGCTCCTCTTTGTACCTCTGGTAGAATTTGGCTGTGAATCCATGTGGTCCTGGGCTTTTTTTGGTTGGTAGTCTATTAATTACTGCCTCAATTTCATAACTTGTTATTGGTCTATTCAGGTATTCAACTTCTTCCTGGTTTAGTCTTGGGAGGGTGTATGTGTCCAGGAATTTATCCATTTCTTCTAGATTTTCTAGTTTATTTGCATAGAGGTGTTTATAGTATTCTCTGATGGCAGTTTGTATTTCTGTGGGGTCAGTAGTGATATCCCCTGTATCATTTTTTATTGTGTCTATTTGATTCTTCTCTGTTTTCTTCTTTATTAGTCTAGCTAGTGGTCTATTTTGTTAATTTTTTCAAAAAACCACCTCCTGGATTCATTGATTTTTTTTTTTTTGGAGTGTTTTTTGTGTTTCTATATCCTTCAATTCTGCTCTGATCTTAGTTATTTCTTGTCTTCTGCTAGCCTTTGGATTAGTTTGCTCTTGCCTCTCTAGCTATTTTAATTGTGATGTTAGGATGTCGATTTTAGATCTTTCTAGCTTTCTGATGATGTAGGCATTTAATGCTATAAATTTCCCTCTTAACATTGCTTTAGCTGTGTCCCAGAGATTCTGGTACATTGTCTCTTTGTTCTCCTTGGTTTCAAAGAACTTCTTGATTTCTGCCTTAATTTCATTATTTACCCAGGAGTCACTCAGGAGCAGGTTATTCAATTTCCATGTAATTGTGCAGTTTTGAGTGAGTTTCTTAATCCTTAGTTCTAATTTGATTGCACTGTGGTCTGTGAGACTGTTTGTTATGATTTCAGTTCTTTTGCATTTGCTGAGGAGTGTTTTACTTCGAATTATGTGGTTGATTTTAGAATAAGTGCCATGTGGCACTGAGAAGAATATATATTCTGTTGATTTGGGGTGGAGAGTTCTGTAGATGTCTATTAGGTCCACTTGATCCAGAGCTGAGTTCAAGTCCTGAATATCCTTGTTAATTTTCTGTCTCTTTGATCTGTCTAATATTGACAATGGGGTGTTAAAGTCTCCCACTATTATTGTGTGGGAGTCTAAGTCTCTTCGTAGGTCTCTAAGAACTTGTTTTATGAATCTGAGTGCTCCTGTTTTGGGTACATATATATTTAGAATAGTTAGCTCTGCTTGCTGAATTATTCCCTTTACCATTATGTAATGCCCTTCTTTGTCTTTTTTGATCTTTGTTGTGTTAAAGTCTATTTTGTCAGAGACTAGGATTACTACTCCTGCTTTTTTTTTCTTTCCATTTGCTTGATAAATTTTCCTCCATCCCCTTATTCTGAGCCTATGTGTGTCTTTGCACATGAGATAGGTCTACTGAATACAGCACACCCATGGGTCTTGACTCTTTATCCAATTTGCCAGTCTGTGTCTTTTAACTGGGGCATTTAGCTCATTTGCATTTAAGGTTAGTATTGTTATGTGTGAATTTGATCCTGTCATCATGATGCTATCTGGTTATGTTGGACACTAGGTGATGTAGTTTCTTCATAATGTCATTGGTCTTTATATTTTGGTGTGTTTTTACAGTGGCTGGTACCGGTTTTTCCTTTCCAAATTTAGTGCTTCTTTCAGGAGCTCTTATAAGGCAGGCCTGGTGGTGACAAAATCCCTCAGCATTTGCTTGTCTGGAAAGTATTTTATTTCTCCTTCACTTGTGAAGCTTAGTTTGTCTGGATATGAAATTCTGCGTTGAAAATTCTTTTCTTTAAGAATGTTGAATATTGGTCCTCAATATTTTTTTTTAGACAGGGTCTCACTCCATTGCCCAGGCTGGAGTGCAGTGGCACAGTCTTGGCTCACTGCTACCTCTGTCCCCAGGGTTCAAGTGATTCTCCTGCCTCAGCCTCCTGAGTAGCTGGGAGTACAGGCACATGCCACCACACCCAGCTAGTTTTTGTATTTTTAGTAGAGAGAGAGTTTCACCATGTTGGCTAGGCTGGTCTTGAACCCCTGGCCTCAAGTGATCCACCCACCTCGGCCTCCCAAAGTGCTGAGATTACAGGTGTGAGCCGCAACGCCCAGCCTGGCCCCCAGTCTCTTCTGCCTTTTAGAGTTTCTGCTAAGAGGTCTGCTGTTAGTCTGATTGGCTTCCCTTTGTAGGTGACCTGGCCTTTCTTTCTGGCTGCCCTTAACATTTTTTCCTTCATTTTGACCTTGGAGAATCGGAGAATCTGATGATTATGTGTCTTGTGGTTGATCTTCTTCTTCTTTTTTTTTTTTTGAGACAGAGTTTCACTCTTGTTGCCCAGGCTGGAGTGCAATGGCACAATCTCAGCTCACCACAACCTCCGCCTCTCAGGTTCAAGTGATTTTCCTGCCTCAGCCTCCCGAGTAGCTGGGATTACAGTCATGCACCACCACACCTGGCTAATTTTGTATTTTTAGTAGAGATGGGGTTTCTCCATGTTGGTCCAGCTGGTCTCAAACTCCCGACCTTAGGTGATCTGCCTGCCTCAGCCTCCTAAAGTTCTGGGATTACAGGCGTGAGCCACTGCACCCAGCCTTGCGGTTGATCTTCTCATGGAGTATCTTAGTGGTGTTCTCTGTATTTCCTGAATTTGCGTGTTGGTCTGTCTTGCTATGTTGGGGAAGTTCTCCTGGATAATATCCGAAAGTGTGTTTTTCAACTTATTTCCATTCTCCCTGTCTCCTTGCAGTACTCCAATCAATTGTAGGTTTGGTCTTTTTACAGAGTCCCATATTTCTTGGAGGCTTTGTTCATTCCTTTTCATTCTTTTTTCTCTAGTCTTGTCTGCATGCCTTATTTCAGCAAGGTGGTCTTCAAACTCTAATATCCTTTCTTCCACTTGGTTGATTCAGCTATCGATACTTGTGTATGCTTCATGAAGTTCTTGTGCTGTGTTTTTCAGCTCCCTCAGGTCATTTATGTTCCTGTCTAAACTGATTCTAGTTAGCAGCTCCTCTAACCTTTTATCAAGGTTCTTAGCTTCTTTGCATTGGGTTAAAACATCCTCCTTTAGCTCAGCATAGTTTTTTATTACCTATCTTCCGAAGCCTACTTCTGTCAATTCGTTCTTATCATCCTCCATCCAGTTCTGTGCCCTTGCTGGAAAGATGTTGTGATCATTTGGAGGAGAAGAGGCACTCTGGCCTTTTGAGTTTTGAGCTTTTTTTCACTGTTTTTCTCTTATTTTCATGAGTTTGTGTAGTTTCGATCTTTGAAGCCTCAAAGACCCTTGGATGGGGTTTTGGTGGGAGCTTTTGTTGTTGTTGATGCTGTTGTTATTGATGCTGTTGTTGCTTTCTGTTTGTTTTTCTTTCAATGGTCAGGTCCCTCTTCCGTACGGCTGCTGCTATTTGCTGGGGGTTCACGTCAGGCCCTATTCATCTGGTTCACTCCTGCACCTGGAGATGTCACTCAAGGAGGCGCCTCCCTTGGCTGGGGGATGGGGGCTCCTTTGCCTTGTGTGGCTCTCAGGTGGGCCACCTGACCACACTATTCTTCCTTCCTCTCCATGGATCATGCCAACCTACTAGTCAGTTCTGATGAGAGAACCTGGATATGTTGGTTGCCGTTAAAGGATTCACATGCTTATGGTTCTTTTCCATGGGAAACTTGATTGCCGCTGTTTCTAGTCAGCCATCTTGACCCTGCGCTGTCCTCCTTTTTAAATTCATAACTAGTTAAAAGACAAAGTCAAATTTTAAAAAGACAAATTATTAAGTAAAATAAGATTTAAATAATAAAAAATAAGTGTATTTATAACTATTTGTTCTTTTTTATGTTATTGTAAATAGAAGGGCTTTCTGATTTTATTTTCAGGTTGTTCATTGCTAGTGTATAAAAATAGAATTGAGGTCGGGCATGGTGGCTCACGCCTGTAATCCCAGCACTTTGGGAGGCCAAGGCAGGTGGATCACTTGAGGTCAGGAGTTCAAGACTAGCCTGGCCAATATGGTGAAACCCTGTCTCTACTAAAAATACAAAAAATTAGCTGGGTGGGGTGGTGGCGTGCGCCTGTAGTCCCAGCTACTCAGGAGGCTGAGGCAGGGGAATCGCTTGAACCAAGGATGGGGAGGTTGCAGTGAGCCGAGATCATGCCACTGCACTCCAGCCTGGCGACAGAGCAAGACTCCATCTCAAAAAATAAAAATACAAAAAAAACTGATTTTTTGTACATTGAGCTTGTATCCTGCAAGAGATAGTTTTACTTTTTCCTTTCCAATCTGGATGTCTTATATTTCATCTTAATTCCTAATTGCCCCAGTTGGAACTTTCAGTCAGTACAGTTTTGGATAGAAGTGGTGAGAACATCTGGACAGACCCCAGACTAAAAAGAAAAGAAAGAAAGAAAGAAAGAAAGAAAAGAAATGGTGAGAACAGACATTCTGGTCTTCTTCCTGATCTAAGCTTTTATCCTTTCATTCAAATCAAGTATGATGTTAGCTGTGAGTTTTTTATAGGTAACCTTTATCATATTGAGGAAGTTCCCTTTTATTCCTAGTTTATTGAGTGTTTTATTATGAAAGGGTGTTAGATTTATGTTTTTATTTATGTTTTTGTGCATCTATTGAGATGATCATGTAGTTTTTGTCCTCTAGTCTATTTACATGGTGTATTACATTGATTTTTGGATGTTAAAGCAACCTTGCATTACTGCAATAAATCCCACTTGGTCATGGTGTATAATTCTTTTTATATGTTGCTGGATTCAGTTTGTTAGTATTTATACACTGCTGGGTCATGGTGTATAATTCTTTTTAGATGTTGCTGAATTCAGCTTGCTGGTATTTTGTTGAGGGATTTTGTGTCTGTATTCATGAAAGACATTTGTCTGTAGTTTTCTTGTGACATCTTTGTCTGGTTTTGGTATCAAGGTAGTACTGGCCTCATACAATGAGTTAAGAAGTGTTCTCTCCTCTTTTGATTTTTGGAAGGGTTTGTGAAAGGCTGGTATAAGTGCTTCTTTCAGCATTTGGTGGAATCCACTAGTGAAGTCACCTGGGCCTGGACTTTTTTCGGGGGTGAGGGAGGAGTTTTAATTCCTATCCTAATTCAATTTCTTTTCCTGATACTGTCTATTCAGATTTTCTATCTTCTTGAATCAGTTTTGGCAAATTGTATATTTCTTTCTTTCTTTCTTTCTTTCTTTTTTTTTTTTTGAGATGGCGTTTTGCTCTTGTTGCCCAGGCTGGAGTGCAATGGTGCAATCTTGGCTCACTGCAACCTCCACCTCCCGGGTTCAAACTATTCTCCTGCCTCAGCCTCCCAAGTAGCTGGGATTACAAGTATGTGCCACCATGCCCAGCTAATTTTTTGTATTTAGTAGAGACGAGGTTTCACCCTGTTGGTTGGGCTGGTCTTGAACTTCTGATCTCAAGTGATCCACCTACCTCGGCCTCCCAAAGTGCTGGGATTACAGGCGTGAGCCACTGCACCCAGCCTAAGTTGTATATTTCTAAGAATTTGTCCATACCGTTTAGGTTATCCAGTTGATATATCCTTATTCATATTCCCTTATAATCAATTCCATATCTGTATGGTCAGTAGTGATATTCTTTCTTTCATTCCTGATTTTAGTAATTTGAGTCTTCTCTCTTTTTTGTTTGATCTTTCCAGCTAATCTGTTCAAAACACCAACTTTTAGTTTTATTGATTTTCTCTATCTTTTTTCTATCCTCTATGTATTTCCTTCCACTTGCTTTGGGTTGTTTGCTCTTCTTTTTTTGCCTTTATTTTTGTTTTGTTTTTAATTTTTGTGTGTACATAGTAGTTGTATATATTTGTGGGGTACACGAGATGTTTTGTTACAGGCATGCAATGTGAAATAAGCACATCATGGGGAATGGGGTATTCATCCTCTCAAGCATTTATCCTTTCTTTGTGTTACAAACAATCCAATTATACTCTTTTAGTTATTTTATTTTATTTTTATTTCAATAGTTTTTAGGGAACAGGTGGTGTTTGGTTACATGGATAAGTTCTTCAGAGGTGATTTCTTAGATTTTGGTGTACCCATCACCCGAACAGTGTACCCTGTACCCAGTGTGTAATCATCTTTTATTCCTCACCCCCTCCCGCCCTTCCCCGCAAGTCCCCAAGGTCCAGCCTATCATTTTTATGCCTTTGCATCCTCATAGCTTAGCTCCCACTTGTAAGTGAGAACATATGATGTTTGGTTTTCCATTCCTGAGTTACTTCACTTAGAATAATGGTCTCCAACTCCACCCAGGTTGCTGCAAATGCCATTATTTCATTCCTTTTTATGGCTGAGTAGTATTTCATTGTATATATTTACCACATTTTAGTCTACAGCCATACCTCCCTGAATGTGTCCAATCTCATCAACCACATTAAAAAAATTTTTTAATATTCATTTATTAATGTTTTTAGATGGAATCTCGCTCTGTCACCCAGGCTGGAGTGAAGTGGTGCAATCTTGGCTCCAAAAGTGCTGGGATTACAGACATGAGCCACTGTGCCCAACTGTACCACATTTTTCTTCATCTGCTCGTTGATTGATGGGCATTTGGGCTGGTTCCATATTTTTGCAGTTGTGAATTGAATTGTGCTGCTATAAATATGCATGTGCAAGTGTCTTTTTCATATAATGACTCTTGGATCAAATGGTAAATCTACTTTTAGTTTTTTAAGGAATCTCCATACTGTTTTCCATAGTGGTTGTACTAGTTTACATTCCCACCAGCAGTGTAAAAGTGTTCCTTTTCACCATATCCACACCAACACATATTTTTTTTTTATTTTTAAATTATGACCATTCTTTTTTTTTTTTTTTTTTTTTGACAGAGTCTTGTTCTGTCACCCAGGATGGAGTGCAGTGGCACAACCTCCACCTTCCGTGTTCAAGCCATTCTCCTGGCTCAGCCTCTTGAGTAGCTGGGATTACGGGCATGCACCACCATGCCTGGCTAATTTTTGTATTTTAGTAGAGACGGAGTTTCACCATGTTGGTCAGGCTGGTCTCGAACTCCTGACCTTGTGATCTGCCCACCTCAGCTTCCCAAAGTGCTGGGATTACAGGCATGTGCTATCGCGCCCAGCCATTATGGTGAATTCTTGTAGGAGTAAGGTGATATTGCATTGTAATTTTGATTTGCATTTCCCTGATAATTAGTGATGTTGCACATTTTTCCCTATGCTCGGCCATTTGTATACCTTCTTTTGAGAATTGTCTATTCATGTCCTTAGCCAACTTCTTGGTGGGATTGTTTGTTTTTTTCTTGCTGATTTGTTTGAGCTCCTTGTAGATTCTGGATATTAGTCCTTTGTTGGATGCATAGTTTGCAAAGATTTTCTCCCACTCTGTGGGTTGTCTGTTTACTCTGTTGACTGTACCTTTTGCTGTGCAAAAGCTCTTTAGTTTAATTAAGTCCCAACTATTTATCTTTATTTTTATTGCTTTTGCTTTTGGGTTCCTGGTCATGAAATCCTTGTGTAAGCCAATGTCTAGTAGGGGTTTTCCAATGTTATCTTTTAGAACTTTTATGGTTTCAGGTCTTAGATTTAAGTCCTTAATCCCTCTTGAGTTAATTTTTGTGCAATGTGAGAGATGAGGATCCAGTTTCATTCTCCTACATGGGGCTAGCCAGTTGTCCCAACACCATTTGTTGAAAAGGGTGTCCTTTCCCCACTTTATGTTTTTGTTTGCTCTGTCGAAGATCAGTTGGTTGTAAGTATTTGGGTTTATTTTTGGGTTCTCTATTCTGTTCCATTGGCCTATGTACCTATTTTTATACCAGTACCATGCCTCGTAGTATAGTTTGAAATCTGATAATGTGATGCCTCCAGATTTGTTCTTTTGCTTAGGATTGCTTTTGCTATGCGGGCTCTTTTTTGGTTCCATATAAATTTTAGGATTTTTTTTTCTAGTTCTGTGAAAAATGATGATGGCATTTTGATGGGAATAGCGTTGAATTTGCAGATCGCTTTTAGCAGTATGGTCATTTTCACAATATTGATTGCACACACCCATGAGCATAGGCTGTGTTTTCATTTGTTTGTGTCATCTGTGATTTCTTTCAGCAGTGTTTTGTAGTTTTCCTTGTAGAGGTCTTTCACCTCCTTGGTGTTTTATTTTTTTTGCAGCTATTGTAAGAAGGGTGAAGTTCTTGATTTGATTCTCAGCATGGTCACTGTTGGTGTATAGCAGTGCTACTGATTTGTGTACATTGATTTTGTATCCTGAAACTTTAATGAATTCATCTATCAGATCTAGGAGCTTTTTGGATGAGTCTTCAGCATTTTCTAAGTATATGATCATATCATCTGTGAACAGTGACAATTCGACTTCCTCTTTACCAGTTTGGATGCCCTTTATTTATTTCTCTTGTCTGATTACTCTGGCTCTTTTAGTTATTTTTAAAAGTACAATTAAGTTATTATTGACGGTAGTCACCCTATTGCGTTATCAAATAGTAGGTCTTATTCATTCTTTCTACTTAGTTTGCTCTTGTTTTTCTGGTTTCTTAAGGTAGAAGTGGAAGTTTATGGTAATTCATATGAAATCTTTCCTCTTTTTTAACGTAGGCACTTTCAGCTACAGATTTCCCCTTTAAGAACTATTTTAGGCCGGGCGCGGTGGCTCACGCCTATAATCCCAGCACTCTGGGAGGCTGAGGTAGGCAGATTACTTGAGGTCAGGAGTTCGAGACCAGCCTGACCAACATGGTGAAACCCCATCTCTACTAAACATACAAAATTAACCAGACATGGTGGCACATGCTTATAATCCCAGCTACTTGGGAGGCTGAGGCAGGAGAATCGCTTGAACCCGGGAGGTGGAGGTTGCAGTGAGCTGAGTTCGTGCCATTGCACTCCACCCTGGGCAATAAGAGCAAAACTCCATCTCAAAAAATAAATTAATAAAAAATTTAAAAAAACGACTTTAGCTAGATCCCATAAATTTTGGTATGTGGTATTTTCATTTTTATTCATCTCAAAGTATTTTCTAATTTCTCTTGTGATTTTTTTCCTTGACAGCCTGGTTATTTAAGAGTGTTTTGGCTGGGCACGGTTGCTCATGCCTGTAATCCCAGCATTTTGGGAGGCTGAGGCAGGCAGATCACTTGAGGCCAGGATTTTGAGACCAGCCTGGCCAACATGGTGAAACCTCATGTCTACCAAAAATACAAAAATTAGCTGGGCGTGGTGGCAGGTGTCTGTAATCCCAGCTACTTGGGAGGCTGAGGCGGGAGGATCACTTCAGCCCAGGAGGTGAAGGTTGCAGTGAGCCAAGATTG
This sequence comes from Homo sapiens, assembly GCF_000001405.40. NCBI lineage: Eukaryota > Metazoa > Chordata > Mammalia > Primates > Hominidae > Homo > Homo sapiens. The sequence goes on from NC_000023.11 coordinate 107,595,273, forward strand.
CACCACTACACTCCAACCTAGGTGACAGAGCAAGACCCTGTATCAAAAAAAAAAAAAAGTGTTTTGTTTGATTTCTACTTGTGAATTTCCCAGACTCCCTTCTGTTACTGATTTCTAATTTAATTATGTTGTGCTCAGAAAATATATTTTGTATGATTTTATTCCTTTTAAATCTAGTAAGGCTTATTTTATATCCTAACATACGGTTTATTCACAACAGTGTTCCATATGCACTTAAGAATAATGTATATTCTGCTGCTGTTAAGTAGATGGTTCTATAGATTTCGGTTAGGTCTAGTTTGATTTATAGTATTGTTCAGGTCCTCTGTTTCCTTGTTGATATTCTGCTTAGTTGTTTTATCCATTATTGAAAGTGGAGTATTGGCCGGGTGCGGTGGGTCACGCCTGTAATCCCTGCATTTGGGAGGCCAGGGCAGGTGGATCACTTGAGGTCAGGAGTTTGAGACCAGCCTGGCCAACATGGTGAAACCCCGCCTCTACCAAAAACACAAAAAATTAGTCGGGCGTGGTGGCAGGCGCCTGTAATCCTGGCTACTCGGGAGGCTGAGGCAGGAGAATCACTTGAACCCAGGAGGCAGAGGCTGCAGTGAGCCGAGGTCGCACCACTGGACTCTAGCCCAGGCAACGGAGTGAGACTCCGTCTCAAAAAAAAAAAAAAAGAAAAGAAAAGAAAAGAAAGAAAGTAGAGTATTGAAGTCTCCTACTACTGTTGTTGAATTGTGTATTTTTCCCTTCAATTCTGTCAGTTTTTTCTTCCTGTATTTGGGAGTTTTGTTGTTAGGTGCCAGTGCTGTACTTTTGTCATAGATGTAATCTCTAGTGAAAGGCAACACTGGCATATTGACTCTGTCAAACTGGAGTTTGAGTGGCATTTTGAAGGCTTGTTTTCCAGCATCTTGACCACCATGATGAGTTATAAGGGTAATGGCTAAAAACATGGGTTTTGAAGTCTTTCAGACCTAGGCGGAAATCCAGTCTACCACTTGGTCTATGTAACCTTAGGTGAGTCAGTTTCTTTATCCTTAAAATGTGAATAATGATAATAACTACCTCATTGGGTTGTTATGAAGAATAAGTAGGATCATGTATATTAGGACCTTAGCCTAAGTTAGTGCTTGTTTGTTATCTGTCTGTCTGCTGTCCGAGTATATTCTCACAGATAAAATGGGGAAGAGCTCCAAAAACAGTGAGAGAAGGTATTCACAGATAAAGCATTTGCTATAGATAATTCTCAGATGCACACACCTACCATCATTAAGAGCGGTTGACGAGAGCATTTGCCATATGTATGTGTAGCAGGTAGGGCTGGCCCTGCATGAATGCAGAAAAGAATAAAATTTGAAGAATTATAAGAATGCTTCCCCTGCCCTCCTCCCACATATGCACATCCCAGCATATCTCCCATATACTTTACACATTCAGACCCCGGAATTCTAATATAGAGCCTTATTCTTTTAGGATCCCTCCATCAACAGGCCTCTTTGAAATGCAAACTCTTCGGCATTATATGTAGCCTGTTTAACAGGTTCTGACTAAAGCATTAGTAACTTGTCAGATTTATTTCCTTCTGCTAGAAGAGATTCAAGATAACAAGAACAACAGAGCACTGGTGGAAAAGCTCTGAAAAGGGGTGGGGACAGGGGTAGGAACAGTTCCAAGTGGGACATACGTTTACAGCTGACTTTCAGATAGAGGGTATCCATGTAAGAGTCCAGCTGTGCCCAGATACCAGGCCCTAAACCAGGGTGTTCACCCCGACCCCTACCATACCCCATGCCTTTTCCCATTTCAGAGGTGATGGGGCTATTAGCAGCTCAGGTTATTAGACTCTATTCACTCTACTTTCAGGGTCAGCAGTAACATAGCTCATCAACTTCCCTACCTCTAATCTTTGGCAGCCAGGTAATGCTTTGTCTTGGGACCTGCCACTTGATTGTGCTACAGAGACATGGGCCAGAGACAACAAGGGAGCTCATTCACAATCCTTGGCACCAGGGCTCATCTGTTGATTCTCTTTCTGGGTTTAGATTACATGCACAGCGCCCACCGCCCTGTCACTGGGGGCCACCTGGGGAAAAAGGAGAGTAGTTATGTGGGCAGCGTGGGCACCAGCCCCAGGAAATCGAGCCGCTGCACGCCCCCACCTGCCGACTCTGAGCTTGTCAGCTTCTGCTACCTCCATATGCGGGAACAAAGGAAGGAGCAGGAAAGCCGGACAGATGTCAACGAGAACCTAATCTTCTTTGAGGAGACCAGGCCCCGAACCAAGTCTGACCCCACATCCAAAAGCTCTGGCCAAGGTTATGAGGTAGTCCCTGATGACTTTGATGCAGCTAGCCTAGACCACGAGCCTTGTGCCAGCAGGGCCCGGTCCTACACCTTGGACAATTCCCTTGGGGCTGAAGCCCTGAATTTCTACTGTGACTCTTGCAAAGCCAAACTTCAGGAGCAGCTGGGCCCTCGCAAAGGTGGGAAGCCTGGCTCCTCTCGTGACAATATAGTAGATTTGATGTCCCTCCCACCACCTGGGAGTGAGGAGGAGGAGGAGGAGGAAGATGAGACAACTTCTCTGTTGCCAGCCATTGCTGCCCCACCCCCTGGTTTCCGAGACAACAGCTCTGATGAGGATGACCCCAAGCGCCGGGCTGTCCAGAGCCAGGAACAAGGACGCCACCTGCGTGGGCTTCTGTACGATGAGATTCCAGTGACATTGATTGACAGTGTGCAGACCCGGACAGTTCGAGATCATGCCCAGGAGCTAGATGATGCCCTGGTGTCCACTCTGCAGGCTCTAGAAGCCCTGGCTGCATCCGAGGATGGACCACACCCACCACCCCCACAGACTGCAGGTAATGACCGATTCCTTCTCCCTCTTTCCACCCCCTTCTCTTGTCCAACAAGGGCCAGTAGGTAACATTGTGTCTTCCCAAATAGGTGTCAGAGTCACTGAGGTATGTCAGGGCAGTGGATGTACCAAAGGTTCTTTAGATAGGGTCAGAGGAGCAATGATGTTACAGCAGGGAGCAGCTGCTCAGCTCTAGCTAGAGTTCTGGCTCTCGTCATTGCATCTCTTTGGAAATGCCTTACAGATAGATCCCAGGGATTGGGGTCATGACAGCTATGGATGCAGGCCAGGATAGAGGATCAGAGAAAAACTGTGAGAGATGTAGAAGACAGGTGAAGAACAGAACATCCAGCATGCACATGATTGAAAGAAAAGGAAAACGACCAACTCACTACCTAGTGACCTGGGACCAGGGGAGCCAAGGGCCATCACTGCTCATGGCTGAGGTCTTTATCCTGCCTAAGAACATGGGCTCTGAATCAGATGCACCGAAGTCCTGGTTTCTTCAATCATTGTCAGTGTAACCTTTGGCAAGGCACTTACTCTCTCTGAACCTCATTCCATCATCTTAAATGGGTTTTATAAAAGTAGTTCTATCACATGGGGTTGTCACAAGGATTGAATGAGATCATTCATGCAAAGCATGTAAGCACTGCCTAGCACACAGTAAGGCCTCAGTAAGTGGTAGCTATTGTAACTAAGTATTAGTTCACAGGAAAACCGTACAACATGCATGCTGTTCCCTGTTATAAACACATGTATGTCCATCTTGTAGACAAACACATGTCAGACACATACCCATAGTCACACATATGTCCCTCCATATACATACACCTTAAAAAAAGAGAAGAGAGCTGGGCGTGGTGGCTCACACCTGTAATCCCAGCACTTTTGGAGGCCGAGGTGGGCAGATTACTTGAGGTCAGGAGTTCGAGATCAGCCTGGCCAACATGGTGAAAACCTGTCTCTACTAAAAATACAAAAATTAACTGGGTGGGCTGGTGCACACCTGTAGTCTCAGCTACTCAGGAGGCTGAGGCAGGAGAATCGCTTGAACCTGAGAGGCAGAGGTCGCAGTGAGCCGATACTGCACCACTGCACTCCAGCCTGGGTGACAGAGTGAGACTCTAAAAAAAAAAAAGAAGAAAAAAGAAAGAGAAGAGGTAAATGACACAGCAACAGAAAAGGAATAGGGAGGAATAGGGACCACGAGGGATTGGGGTCAGAGAGAGCCTGCCTTTTCCATGTGTGAGGACACCCTTGACATTGGACAACCCCCATGTATTTGGCCCCCAGGGCTGGCATTTCTCTTTGCTTAGAGTCTGGAGAGAGTGCTAGTTGCTCCCAGGCTTGAGTCCCACGTGGCTGCTGGAGAGAGGACAAGCTCAGCTAAATGGCCTCAGCTGCAATGACTGTAGGCGGGCCTGGCCAGATGAGGAGGGATAGAGAGAGACCTCTCTTTGCCAGCCCCTCTTTAGGACAATTAACAAAAATTTCCTAGCTGTTGAATCTAAAAATAGTTGTGATTAGCATGCTGTTTTGCATGTGATTCACATGGTAATTTGCCATAAAACTGCCCAGATCCTCTCGCCACCTCTTTTGTTTCTGTTTTGGATTCCGGCCTTTCATCCCCTTCTTATAGCTTGCCCCTCTTTGTCCCCTCCCCTCCACTCTTCCCACCCTCAGCCCTGCATTCTCGCCAGGCCTGTCTGTTTTTCTCCAGCTGGAAATACTGCTGGCTAACCTTGGCTTCTATGCACTTCCTATATAGTCAGCCCTCTGTATCTGAGGGTTCTGCATCCACTGATTCAACCAACCGCAGATCAAAAATATTTGAAAAAAAGAAATATGTCTATACTGAACATGTACAGATTTTTCTTGTCATTATTCCCTAAACAACACAGTATAACAACTATTTACATAGCATTTACATTGTGTGAGGTATTATAAGTAATCTAGAGAGGCTTTAAAGTACATGGAAAGATGTACATAGGTTACATGCAAATACTATGCCATTTCGTATCAGGGACTTGAGCATCTGCAAGTTTTGGAATCTTCAGGAGTCCTAGAGCCAATCGCCCATGAATACCGAGGGACAACCGTGTAGAGCTGGAAAAGAACTTGATTTCAGTAAGCATAACAAGCCCTATCCCTGTTCCTCCAGGTCTGATTGTGCTGGCCACAATCACTCCTGAATCATCGCTGGACTCAGGTCATGAAACCAACTCTTCAGAGCTCACAGACATGTCAGAGATGATGTCGGCCATGAAGCAGCACCAGAACACCACCTACTTCCTGGCCCAGCACCTCAACAAGGACAGCCTCCTTGCCCGCAAGGACCTGCCCTTCCGGATCCAGAGCTGTGCAGCCCAGGCCGTTCTTACGGCCCCTTACTCTCTTGGGCGCCCGGATCCCAACCCATCTCTCCAACCCATTGCCACAGGCCAGAGTCCTGGCCCCCCTGGCGCTCGGAGGAAGCTGCCCCAGTCAGAGGGCCAGGTACAGGGAGAACGAACATACTCCTTGGCAGTGCACCCAGCACTGTCCCCACAGCTTAGTGAACAGAAGAATCTGAGTCTGCTGTCCCCAGTTCCTGAGGACAAAGGGCCTGGCCACACTAGGGCAGGCCTAGAAATGTCACTGAGGGCAGCCACATCATCCCTCAGTGAAGAGCAGGTCTCTGAGCTGAGGGACAACCTGCCCAAGGAGGTCAGGTTGAGCCCCAAGCTTATCCTCGACCCAAAGAGCAGTGTGACCCCTGCCATCATCTCGGCCGCCCTACAGCAAGTGGTTCACAATAAGAGTCTAGTCACTGCTGGTGGGGCTTTGGGGAACCCCCCCAGCAGGGGTGAGAGAAGGCTGGAGGCCAGCATGGGGAGGCCAGAGGTTAGCATGATGAGCAGCAGTGCCAGTAAGAATCTGAAGTTCAAAATTAGCCCCAGTGCTCCAGAGACCTCATGGAATTCTCAACATCAGCTGGGTGCAGAGGTCTCTTCCAGCCCCAGAGCACCCACAGGCAGCCGGGCTGACAGCCTGCACCTCTCCCAACAAGAGGACAGTCTGCCTGTTCAAAATTTCCCTCCCAAAAGCTATCTTTTGCGAACAAGCCGAGAGTCAGTGGGCAAGCAAGCTACAGGGGAGGTGGCAGGCAAAGGCGGGCCAGTGGGTGGTAAGCCCACCCTGCAGAAGCAGGGCACCATCTCCAGCCAAGGGGAGAAGGCGCAGCTGGAGAGCACACCCAAAAGAAGCAAGCTCGAAGAGACCAGCCTGGTTCCCCGAGCTACCTACCCCATGGCTCTGCAGAGCCCCAGCTGCCAGTCAAGAAGCCACAGCCCCAGCTGCCAGCCTCATGGCCACAGCCCCAGCAGCCAGTCTCGAGGTCAGAGCCCCAGCTGCCAACCTCGAGGCCAGAGCCCACTGAGGTCTCAGGCTGCCAGCCGGCAGGTGAGCACCATGCCCTCTAGGAAGCTTGAAACAACTCTCAATGGAGCCCACTCGACCTCTGAAGGCCCTGCCAAACCCAAGTCATCCCGAGGTCCTTTCCGGCTACGCAATTTATTCTCTGCCACCTTCCCAACCCGCCAGAAGAAGGAGACAGATGAGCGGCAGGCCCAACTGCAGAAGGTAAAGCAGTATGAACTGGAGTTCCTTGAGGAACTTCTAAAGCCACCAAGCCAGGGGGAGCTGCCAGGCACCGAGTACCTGCAACCTCCAGCACCTGGCCGCTGCAGCTGCCAGCTCCGCAGCAGCCCTGTGCAGCAGGGGCCTGGCATGTCCCGTGAGCAGAGGCGCAGCTGTGACTGCAAGCGCATCTGCCGGGGGGGCCGGCCACAAGCCACCCAGACACCAGTGCCCAGCCTCCGGGGGAGGGAAAGGGACAGAGTCCTCCCTAGCCAGAGGCAGCCAGAGGCTGGCCCAGGCGTGAGCCTCAGCAGCCCCATCAATGTCCAGCGCATTCGTTCTACCAGCCTGGAGTCCCGAGAGTGCCGATCGGACCCTGAGAGTGGTGTTTCGTGCCTGACCACGTGTGCCTCGGGGGGCGAGTGTCTGGGAGCTCCCAATTACAGGAAACTGATGCGCCGCTACAGTATCAGTGAGCTGGACCAGGGTGACAGGGCCTCGCTGACCTCGGATGTCTACCCACATCCTCCCCTGGGCATGCTGCCCAGGGAGGCCAAGGAGGTAGAGGCAAGCCTCCCCATAGCCTTGGGTCCCAAAAGCAGGTCTCTGGAGTCACCGACGCTGGGAGACCCCTCCTACGTCCAGGTTGCCCCAGAGACCAAAGGCCCCAGACAGATGGCCGTGTTCTCACTGCCCGAGGAGGTGTACCGGAAGCCTGCCGAGCTAGACGAGGACAGTGAGAGCAGCAAGTGCTGCTCCATCCGCTACTGCTTCTACTACCGCAAGTGTGACATGGCAGATGATGCCAGTGATGGCAAGGATGAGCTCTCCTACTCTATCCCCATGAAGATCCTGCCTGGCATGAAGCTGGACGAGCAGGTGGTGCCTGTGGTGAGCAGGACCCTGCAGGTGCTGGATGCTGCTACCTGCAGCAGCAGCAGCCCTGAGGCCTCCCGCACTCAGGAGATTGACCTCCGTGTGTCCACCTTCGAGGGGAGCCTGGCCAAGATCAATGCCCTGCGGGCCCATGCCTATGGCCTCCCTGATGGCTTCCTGGCTGCCCGGCTGGACACCAACGAGCTGCTGACAGTCCTGCGGCAGTGTGTGGCCAGCCCCGAGGCCCGTGCCCCCAAGCCCTATGTGTCTCAGATCTCCGAGTATAAGCTTGAGCTAGCTCTCAAGTTCAAGGAGCTCCGGGCCTCCTGCCGCCGTGTGGCCAATGTGGACAAGAGCCCAACTCACATGCTGGCAGCCATCACGGGCAGCTTCCAGGTGCTGAGCAGCCTCATTGAGACCTTCGTGCGGCTGGTGTTCATTGTGCGCTCCGAGGCCCAGCGCCAAGAGCTGCTGGCCAAGGTAGAAGAGGTGGTGAGGAACTACACCTTCCTGCTGCGTGCAGCTGAGGAGTCCACAGCCCGTAACCTTAACCAGCAGCAGCAGCAACAACAACAGCAGCAGCAGCAACAACAACAGCAGCAGCAACAACAACAGCAGCAGCAGCAGCAGCAGGTGGCAGCAGCTGCAGGGGCAGCCACAGAGCATCCACCAGGCTCCCCAACTTCGGCGACTGTTATGAGCACATTCACCCACTCCTTAAAAACCCTTATTAAGTAGGGCATCTGCCCACACCTGTCCCCCTTCCCCAACCATGGCCCCAGGTTTGAGCTTTGTGGTCCTTGCATCTTGTGGTGAGTGTGTGTGTGTCTGCTGGGCCAGTCAGGGTCCAAGAGCCCATCAGTCTCCGGGGAGTGGAAACTCTCTTGATTGAGGCTCTCTCTTAAGGGCTGCAGGCTTAGCTGCCGCCCTGGGTGTCCTCACCCCTTCCCTGGCCTCTGGGCCTCACTGTGAGGGCAAAGGCCCCTCTTCACTCTGCTCACAGCAGAGCTGTATTTTATCTCTTCTCTGGGGCTGAGAGGTGACATCAGGCTCACTTCCTGCTCAATCCGTGTTGGGCGCTGGGGGAGCCAGGGCCTGAAGCAAGCGGACCCTCAGGCTTTGAGCTCCTCGTGGCATCGGCTCCCCTGCTGGGAGCAGTGGCAGTAGCAGCAGGCCACATTGCCGTGCCGAGGGGAGAGGGCGCTCAGTCCAGATGTCCCCATCCACCTTGGGCTCACACTCACCTGGTAGATGCCACCCTGAGGGCCTGTGCCTGGGTGAGATGTCTGCAGAAAACAGCCACACTAGGCTGTTTGCAGCGGCCCAACTGGCCGGCAGCCTGGTGAGCCCTCACCTCCAGGTCCAGTAGCTCCACACCAGCCATCCCCAAAGTGCCCTGCCCCTCACTGATGGGCAGGGCAGCTCAGTCCACTAGGGAGCAAGCATCTGGGATCACCCCACTCATTTTGGGTAAGGTACCTGATGAAAACGTCTGCCTGGGGAGACCCAGTGCAGGCCTAGGAGCCCGCCTAGCCCGGCCCAGCCCAGCTCAGGGGCTGTTGCTGCAGGCATGAGGCTTCTCTCTCAACATCTCTCTACCAGACAGACTGTCCTTGGGAGTTTGACTTAGCTGTGGATCGGGGAGGGGGGTGGGGGGAGGGGGGAAAGGGGTAGGGGTGGGGGGTGTTGATGACTATATCTTAAACTTCTGGAAGCTAGCGTGATATGTTAATCCTGAGTATATGCTTTTGGCTGTGTATTGACCCTGTGGATTTGTCTCTCTAAGAAAAGAAGCTGAGCGCCTTACCCGGTGCAGTCCTGCACCTTTCTCCCTCTCTGGAGCCATCTGGAAGGGAATTCACACTGTTTAACATCCACCTTGACACACACCTCCTATTGCCACCACCGCTGCCACCACCACCGCCACCACCGCTGCCAACCCTCCCCCCACGCCCCCCACCCCCGCAACCTTCCTGGGAGTGAAGACACGGAGTCCCTACCAACTGTCCCACTGTAGGGAACAAAGAAAGCCAATGTTTCTTCTGTATAGATTGCTTCTCGTCCGCCTCTCCATATCTCCCCATTTCCCACACCCTTGTGCCCTGTGTCTGCCTCTGTTTCATCACTGTGTCAGAGGCCCATGTGAAATCTTTCATTCTGATGTGAGTTTTATAAAGATGTACACTGTGCTTAATCCCTGCCCATCCTTGGTAGCCCCTAGTGCAATAAAGTCTCCCTGAGTGGTGAGTTCTCCCGGCAAGGAGGAGGGGAGTTTCTTCTGCAGAATCCAGCCCCTCACTTCCTTGCTTCTCCTCCCCCAGGACCAAGTTGTTGAATGGGCCAGAGATGCAGCCAGTGGGGAATCCTTTTCCCCTCAGCCACTGCAAGCTGGAGTGCTGATATGGTCTTCTTTTTCTCCCAACTTCGCCACTCAGCCCCTGCCTGTGTCATTCCACCGCCATCCTTCACCTCTCCCTCAGCCTCATGGAGAGGAAACATTTTCTAATGTCTGTATATAGTATATATACTACATAAAATATATAAATTATATATATACTAATTTATGTCTTGTTTTTCAAACAAGAATGATTAAATCTATTCATCTTACTATCCCAATAAGTCTTTGCGGTGCCTCTTTGTGGGTGTCCTTGTGTCCTTGAATTGTTGGTTGGTGGTGGCCCTTTGTGTGCTCATCCTGGGCCCCTGCTCTTATGTACTGGGCACTGGTGGGTGATGAGAGCTAAGGACCCTGTTCCTCCCACCTCCCCAACACACAGGGGATCCCCTTTGCTCCTCTTTGAAGCCTACTGTTTCTCATGGGAGTTGGAAATTGTCTACCTCTTTCTCTTGACCACGAGGCTTCTGGCTCACCTGGCCCCCATGGCTGTGACCTCAGAGCTGAAGGGCTGGAGGTGGTGTGGGGGGTTGTGTGGAGAAACACAGTGTGCTCTGTGCCTAGTGTATCAGATGGCCTGGGAATTAGGATTTTAGGCCACTCCTCAGACTGGGGTTGGGAAATGGGGCCTCTCCCTCTGAACTGTGCCTTCTTGCTCTCAGAGTGCAGCCTGACTGCCTCGCAGTTTAGGCTATGGAATCCCTTGCAACAGCCTCTGGCCATGTAGTGGGGTGGGAAGGAGGGATTGTTTCCATAGTATGGAAGCATTAGGACCCTAATCAGAGCTAACCCTTCTGGCTCTTCAGAGTTACCCAAGGGTGAGAAATTATTTTGTTTCTCCTGTTTCCTAACTTTCTTCTGGTACTTACAGTTCTTCACTAGCCTGAGGCATCTTTGTCCAAATTAGAAAAAGGTTCTTCCTGCTGCCCATGCCCCCACCATGACACCCTCTGTGTGATGGGCACATGGCTTGGTAATTTCAGCCCTGTCCAGCCCGACTTGCCTCATTGGCTATGTATACAAGCTACCCAACTGTGTACAGTGATCCTACTTAGTCACTTCCAAAGATTGATAACAGACTCTTTTTTTTTTTTTTTTGAGACAAAGTCTCGCTCTGTCACCCAGGCTGGAGTGCAATGGCGTCATCTCAGCTCACTGTAACCTCCGCCTCCAGGGTTCAAGTGATTCTCCTGCCTCAGCCTCCCAAGTAGCTGGGATTACAGGTGCCCACCACCACGCCCAGCTAATTTTTTTTTTTTTTTTTTTTTTTTTTTGCAGAGACGGGGTTTCACCATGTTGGTCAGGCTGGTCTCGAACTCCTGACCTCAGGTGATCCACCCACCTCATTCTCCCAAACTGTTGGGATTACAGGCGTGAGCCACCACACTCGGCCTACAGACTCCTTTTTTTCCATGTCTGCAAAGGTTATGGCTAAAGAGGTTTGGAAGCAAAGCATTGAAGAGGAGCCAGGGGCAGCACAGTCAGGGGCAGCACAGTCAGGCTGGGATTCTCTGCATGTTCCTCAACACCAAGCCAAAGCTCCTCTTTAAACATGGGAGGGAACCACAGGCAGCAGCCCTTGGACTACAGGCAGAGCTCTTCTGGGTGCTGCCTGCCAGGCATACTGTCCCACAGCACTAAGGTTGGGATTCAGTGCGAGTCAATGCCATGATAAACTGAAGCCCACTGCCACTCAAAATGACCCAACTGGACAGTCTGAAAACTCAGGAGCCCTAAGGCCCTGCACTAACTACACTGGTAGCTCCTTAAGGTCAGAAAACATTCTTATTTAGTTTTACACCCTGGGTACCCACCCACACAGTATCTGGCACATAGTAGTATTCACATATTTGTAGAATAAATGAGTGTTGAAGGAGATGACTGTCATGAGAGAGCCATCCCAGACTTGTGTGTGAGTGAAAAGGGCTCTGTCTCCTCTGGGAGTGGTTGATTTGGGGCAGTGTAGCTGGACATGGCTAGACAGCCTGGCATCCTCCTATCAAAAGATGAGGAGTTGGGGCCATCATTCCATGCCCCACCAACTCAGCTGAGTTTCACCAACTACTTTCCAAAAGCTCCTGAAACTCTCCTGAGGTGACTGACAGTCACCTCAGACCCAGGGTCATTATCTGCAGTATCTGGGAGTGCAGGGAAAGGCCATATTCCCACCAGTGTCTTCCTTGCCATCTTTGGCCTCAACCTGAACCTGAAGCTGATGCTCTCCAGTCACCCCATCCAAGTGTCCCAGAGCCTGATTCCTGCCTTTCTGACTTCAGCCACTTAAAGGAAAATGGGTTCATACTGTTGGCGTGGACCCAAAATGCCAGTGGGTGCTGGCACAATCACATTTTTTTCAAGCTGTTGTGAAGGCACTGTGGATAATAGGTAATTTCATCAGCAATGAATTGAAAGAACCTGCCTCCGCCAGAATTTTTGCTGCCAAAGAGGTAGGGGAGGGTCAACTGCCAGCATTGGGAGGGGGCATACATTTATGTCTTAGGATCGAATTCCTCCGAACAGCCAGTAGGGTAAGGGTAATAACCACATCTGATTCCAAGGTAATAGCCACATCCCATTCCTCATCCTGCAGCCTGGAAGCCAGACTGTGGGTGTACATCTGGAGCGAGAAGGAAGTCCTCCATGGAGTCGGAGGAAATGACCTCTGAGGATTCAGTCCTGGTCCCTGGAGAAATGTCCTGGACTCCAGGCGGGTTTCTTGGGTTCAATGTCCTGACCGGCTGGAAGCCACTGTAAAGTGGAAATGATGAAGGCTGCCTTCTTGCAGGTACAGAACTTCTTGTTTCACATGAGCGTTTCTAGTGACACCCACAAAGGCCTACGCATCCACGCACCAAGTCATTGGTTGATGCCACACCCCAGCATAACAGGGACATGTTCTGGTGTCTGTGTGATGTTTTCAGCTGCAGGATTTTTACCTACCACTTAGGAATAAGCTCGGGTTTAGCTTTTCCTGTTCTCCTGTCTGTGATGTCCTTCCCTCTGGGTATTGATACCTCATTCTCATTTTCAAGGCTTTGGCTAAAAGGAATATGCATCTGTACTATGTTGGGAGTCTTCCACAACACAGAAAAATTGAACCTTGCCCTTAAATAGGCAAAAACAACTGTGTATGAACACTTGCCATATGCCAGATACCTTGCTAAGTACTTTACACACATGATCTCATTTAACCTTCACAATAATCCTTTGAGAGAGGTACTATTATCATTTCCATTTATCAGAGGAGGAAATTGAAGCCTAGACAAGTCACTAGCCCAAGGTCACACAGCTGGTAAATGGTAAGCCTATCAGTTTTCAAACCCAGCCCATCATGCTTTCAACTACTACCCTACAGTACTTAGCCTGACCCCACCTTTCTGTGGACCCAGGGTCATTCTCCGCAGCATCTGGAAGTGCAGGGAGGAACCTACCTTTGTGGGGTTTTTGTTGTTGTTGTTAAACAGGTTCTCACTCCGTCACCCAGGCTGCAGTGCAGTGGCATAATCACAGCTCACTGCAGCCTAGACCTCCTGAGCTCAGGTGATCCCCCACCTCAGCCTCCCAAGTAGCTGGGACTACAGGCACCCACCACCACATCCAACTGATTTTTATTTTTATTTATTTATTTTTTTGTAGAGACAGGGTTTTGCCATATTGCCCAGGCTGGTCTCAAACTCCTGGGCTCAAGTGATCTCCCTGCCTCAGCCTCCCAAAATGCTGGGATTACAGGCATGAGCCACCACTCCTGACTTCAACCTTACCTGCTAATCACTTCTCCCGGAAACAGAGGCATGGATGCAGCCACACTCATCAGAAGATGACCTGTAATTGCTGCTCAGGGTCCAGGCGGCCTGTGTGTAACAGGTGGCCTGTGACATTGAAATGTGAGTGCAAGCCCACCTGTCCCCTAACCTATCTTCTCTGGTCTGCCCTTGTGCCTCATGCCTCTTTGAGGGAGCCAGGGATGAAACAGTATATGTGCATGGAAATTTGTGGGCTGAGCGTTATGTCCAAAAAGCAGCCTTCAAAATATGCACGTGGCTCTCAGGTGGTCCCCTCATCCTCTACCATCTGCCCACTGATATGGGACTCCCTGTGCTCCTCCACCTGGGGTCTGAGCCCCCCAGAGTATGTGGCAATGTGCTGGCAGACACAAAAAGCCACAGTTACAATGTGGCCCATACTCCTGACACATTTGAATTTTTCTCCAAGATTTTGGAGGAAAATATCATTCTGATGACTCATTATTATTTATTTATTTTGAGACAGAGTTTCACTCTCACTGCCCAGGCTGGAGTGCAATGGCGTGATCTCGGCTCACTGCAACCTCCGCCTCCTGGGTTCAAGCAATTCTCCTGTCTCAGCCTCCTGAGTAGCTGGGATTGCAGGCATGCACCACCACGCCCAGCTAATTTTGTATTTTCAGTAGAGACGGGGCTTCTCCATGTTGGTCAGGCTGGTCTCCCGACCTCAGGTGATCTGCCCACCTCGGCCTCCCAAAGTCCTGGGATTACCGACGTGAGCCACCATGCCCGGCCCACATTAAATATTTTTATCTAAAAGCATCATGTGAGGAATGCAAACATGAATGCCTTTTAAAGATACATATCATTTCAAAGACACTTGAGTCTTATGTCTGATACTTTTGGTGACATTCCCATAGCCATCTACCCAGCATCCAAGTTCACTCTCTTCGACTAATAGACATGCTTGGATGGAAGTATTGACACACTTGGGGCCCATCAGATGAGCCAGCTGGTTGCATAAGCCTTAAGGGGAGGATAGCTGGGACCCGTCTATTTCCGTGGATCTGGGCACAGGGTGGGGGTCAAGTGCTTGTTCAGGGATATGAGACCTGGAATGGCCAGGTAGGGTGGCTCATGCCTGTTTTCCCAACACTTTGGGAGGTAAGGCAGGAGGATCGCTTGAGCCTAGGAGTTGGAGACCTGAGCAACATAGCAAGACCCCATCTCTTTAAAGAAAATTAGCCAGACATGGTAGCACACGCCTGTTGTCCTAGCTACTCAAGAGACTCAGGTGGGAGGATCCTTTGAGCCCAGGAAGTCACACTGCCACTGCACTCCAGCCTAGGCGATAGAGCAAGATCCTGTATCTAAAAAAAAGAGAAAGACCTGAAGTGACAGGGTGTCAGAAAGGGACCCCAAGAGGAGATGGGGCAGCATTATCAAAGGCTCCCTCCCCTTCCCTGCCCCTGCCCCCCAACTGTTGCCTATTACACACTTTAGCAGCAGGTCAGCCCCAAGCCCAGACTGAGGGGAACCAGCCGGAGATTTCTGCATCTGCAATGAGCAAGCAAAGCAGGGAAGCTGTGTGGGCTAGGCTGAGCAGCTCACCCTAGAATCAGGGCTCACTTCTATTTTTCAGCCCAGCCACTGACTTGCCATATGATGGGGTATACGTCATTTTACCTCTTTGGGCCTCTCCTCTAAAACGAAGATGACTGAGTCTTCAGCCTCCCTCTATGGCTGTGAGGATTAATGAGGTGGTGCTGAAAACGCAGCTGTAAAAATCCTGAGTCTTAGCTGTACAACTTAACAAGTACAAATAGAACTGCCCCATTTGCAGCTGGTCCACAGAAACTAATTAAGCTTGCACCAAAGGCCTGGAACTAGAAACTTGGCCAGCAGAGCTTTGGGGGACTGTTTTCTCCAAATATCCATTGCTCCCAGGCAAAGCCATTTTCAGTTAGTTTCCCTCAAAAAGGACCTGCAAGACCTCTTTTTCCCTGGGCCTTTTTTTCGAAATTGCTAAGCCAGCTCACTTCCTCAATGGAGAATCCCTGTCCTCAGTGGACACAGTCTGGTGAACACGAAGCTCATCTTGGCCTTTGGCCAATACCCCTCACATGTTTCTCTGACATCTTCCTGCTCTTCCTCCATCCTCATCCTCCTTGCTAAAAGCAGCTGTAATAAAGGGAGCTTGAATTTCTAATTTTTCCTCAACATTTAGGCTTAATAGGAAAGGGTTTTGGTTTTGGTTTTGGTTTTTTTTTTTTTTTTTTAAAGAGAATATTCATTCCAGGCACGGTGGCTCACACCTGTAATCCCAGCACTTTGGCAGGCCAAGGCCGATGGATCATCTGAGGTCAGGAGTTCGAGAGCAGCCTGGACAACATGGCAAAACCCTGTCTCTACTAAAAAGACAAAAATTAGCTGGGCATGGTGGTGCATGCCTGTAATTCCAGCTACTCAGGAGGCTGAGGCAGGAGAATCGCCAGAACCTGGGCAGCAGAGGTTGCAGTGAGCCGAGATCGTGCCACTGCACTCCAGCCTGGGTGACAAAGTGAGATTCTGTCTCAAAAAACAAAAACAAAAAAACAACAACAACAAAAACCCACCTTTTTCTCTTCCTCTCCCCAAGCAAAAACTGGTAGCATGGACATGTTACATGTTGTACATTAGATCTCCAGACTTCATCCTACATCCTACATCCTACATATTTGCTACTTTGTATCTTTTGAACTACATCTCCCCATTTTCTCTGCCAGGGCAACGTAATGAACTTCAGCCATCTGATTAACTGAACAAAGCACTTTGTGCTGGGCATAAGGGCTTCCTACAATGTCAGATATACTCATATCCAATGCAGAATGCAATGAATCTGATTTTTTTTTTTTGAGATGGAGTCTGGCTCTGTTGCCCAGGCTGGAGTGCAGTGGCACGATCTCAGCTCACTGCAACCTCCCCCTCCCGGGTGCAAGTGATTCTCCTGCCTCAGTCTTCCAAGTAGCGGGGACTACAGGTATGCACCACCACACCCAGCTAATTTTTGTATTAAAAAATGAAAAAAATTTTTGAGACGGAGTTTCGCTCTTTTCACCCAGGCTGGAGTGCAGTTCTTTCTCTTAATGGCACGATCTCTGCTCGCTGCAAACTCCACCTCCTGGGTTCAAGCAATTCTCCTGCCTTAGCCTCCCAAGTAGCTGGGATTATAGGAGCCCACCACCACACACAGCTAACTTTTGTATTTTTAGTAGAGACGGGATTTCACCATGTTGGCCAGGCTGGTCTCGAACCCCTAACTTCAGGTGATCTGCCTGCCTCAGCCTCCCAAAGTGCTGGGATTACAGGCGTGAACCACCATGCCCGGTCATGATTTTTTTTTTTTTTTTGGAAGCTAAATTTATTTTTATTTTTATTTTTTTTTTAATTTTTTTTTTATTATACTCTTAAGTTTTAGGGTACATGTGCACATTGTGCAGGTTAGTTACATATGTATACATGTGCCATGCTGGTGCGCTGCACCTACTAACGTGTCATCTAGCATTAGGTATATCTCCCAATGCTATCCTTCCCCCCTCCCCCGACCCCACCACAGTCCCCAGAGTGTGATATTCCCCTTCCTGTGTCCATGTGATCTCATTGTTCAATTCCCACCTATGAGTGAGAATATGCGGTGTTTGGTTTTTTGTTCTTGCGATAGTTTACTGAGAATGATGGTTTCCAATTTCATCCATGTCCCTACAAAGGACATGAACTCATCATTTTTTATGGCTGCATAGTATTCCATGGTGTATATGTGCCACATTTTCTTAATCCAGTCTATCATTGTTGGACATTTGGGTTGGTTCCAAGTCTTTGCTATTGTGAATAGTGCCGCAATAAACATACGTGTGCATGTGTCTTTATAGCAGCATGATTTATAGCCCTTTGGGTATATACCCAGTAATGGGATGGCTGGGTCAAATGGTATTTCTAGTTCTAGATCCCTGAGGAATCGCCACACTGACTTCCACAATGGTTGAACTAGTTTACAGTCCCACCAACAGTGTAAAAGTGTTCCTATTTCTCCACATCCTCTCCAGCACCTGTTGTTTCCTGACTTTTTAATGATTGCCATTCTAACTGGTGTGAGATGATATCTCATAGTGGTTTTGATTTGCATTTCTCTGATGGCCAGTGATGATGAGCATTTCTTCATGTGTTTTTTGGCTGCATAAATGTCTTCTTTTGAGAAGTGTCTGTTCATGTCCTTCGCCCACTTTTTGATGGGGTTGTTTGTTTTTTTCTTGTAAATTTGTTTGAGTTCATTGTAGATTCTGGATATTAGCCCTTTGTCAGATGAGTAGGTTGCGAAAATTTTCTCCCATGTTGTAGGTTGCCTGTTCACTCTGATGGTAGTTTCTTTTACTGTGCAGAAGCTCTTTAGTTTAATTAGATCCCATTTGTCAATTTTGGCTTTTGTTGCCATTGCTTTTGGTGTTTTGGACATGAAGTCCTTGCCCACGCCTATGTCCTGAATGGTAATGCCTAGGTTTTCTTCTAGGGTTTTTATGGTTTTAGGTCTAACGTTTAAATCTTTAATCCATCTTGAATTGATTTTTGTATAAGGTGTAAGGAAGGGATCCAGTTTCAGCTTTCTACATATGGCTAGCCAGTTTTCCCAGCACCATTTATTAAATAGGGAATCCTTTCCCCATTGCTTGTTTTTCTCAGGTTTGTCAAAGATCAGATAGTTGTAGATATGCGGCATTATTTCTGAGGGCTCTGTTCTGTTCCATTGATCTATATCTCTGTTTTGGTACCAGTACCATGCTGTTTTGGTTACTGTAGCCTTGTAGTATAGTTTGAAGTCAGGTAGTGTGATGCCTCCAGCTTTGTTCTTTTGGCTTAGGATTGACTTGGCGATGCGGGCTCTTTTTTGGTTCCATATGAACTTTAAAGTAGTTTTTTCCAATTCTGTGAAGAAAGTCATTGGTAGCTTGATGGGGATGGCATTGAATCTGTAAATTACCTTGGGCAGTATGGCCATTTTCACGATATTGATTCTTCCTACCCATGAGCATGGAATGTTCTTAAATTGATATGCATCCTGTGTTACCTTGGTAATGTGGCTTCAGAAATCCCTTCTCTCAATTATGTGATTATGACAGTGGGGAGTGCCCAAGCCACTGAGGTAACATCTGTTCTCTCTGCCTTCTCTAGAGCCCTACTCACTCAATCCCTCGGCCTGCTCCCTTATAAACTAAGGATCCCAACTGCCCCTCCCTGATTCACTCATATAAATTTGAGAATAAATCTGCATTATGGGCAAGCCGTTTGCAGTTTCTTGGAAGTAAATGCAATTCCTGCTTCTTAGTTTGACTTATAGACAAAAAAGCCGATATGGCCTTGGTCACCAAGGACAGAATTGGTAGTAAAGCAAGGCAGCAAAGACAAGCATCCCTGCCCCTTCCTAACCTGGCGCAGCAGGAATGTACAATGCCTCCAGGGACCTGAAAAGACTCAAGGAACTAAGAAGAAACTGGACAGATTTTCTCCTGCTGAACAATGAAAGAGACTTTTATTTGATTTGCAGTTCCTGCGGCCCTGAGCCCATATTAGCTTGGCTCTGTAACAAAGCTGCAAGCGAAAGCCCTACACCATGAGCCAGAAGACTTTGATTCGACTTGCAGCTCTTCCAAAAACTAGCTGTGTGACCTTGGGCATTCACTTCCCCTCTCTGGCTATCAATTTCTTACTATATAAAATGAATGGGTTGAACTAAAGGGTCTATTAGCTTTTAAAAAGCACCTTTTCTCATCATACTTTCACTTAAGCATTTTTAAACAAAGGCAAGTACTTCCAGCATCACCAACATTCCCCCAAGTCAGTAATTAAACTGGGAGAACTCCCCAGTTCATAAAACTTAAGCACCAGAACAAACTACAAAGCTCACTTGGCCCTGCTGTTTTTATCTAATCACCTGTCAAGAAGGACTGAAACCTCCCATATTTTAAATCCCTACATGATTCTAGCTCCCTGTCATACTGTCCTTGTACAATAACACCTACATTCACAAGAAACCAACTCGAGGGAACCCTTGAAGAGTGAGACACATCTAAAGGTTTCAGCCAAATCCTATCTAAGGTAAAACAAGCCAGCTTCACTTTATGAGATAAATAAATCTTCCAGAACAGGACTCATTTTAAGATAGACTTATATTAATAAAACTATGATTTACATGTATAAGTCCTCTGCTCTTTCAGAGGACTCCTACGTTGAAGTCTTTGGAGAAACCATTAATAGTCACCTCCTGGCAGGGCATGGTGGCTCACGCCTGTAATCCCAGCACTTTGGGAGGCTGAAGCAGGCTGATCACTTGAGGTCAGGAGTTCGAGATCAGCCTGGCCAACCCCGTTACCCCTGGTGAAACCCTGTCTCTACTAAAACAAAAATACAAAAAGTACCCAGGTGTGGTGGCACGTGCCTGTAGTCCCAGCTACTCAGGAGGCTGATGCATGAGAATTGCTTGAACCTGGGAGGCAGAGGTTTCAGTGAGCTGAGATTGTGCCACTGCACTCCAGCCTGGGCGACAGAGCCAGACTCTGTCTCAAATAAATAAATAAATATATATATATAAAGTCACCTCCTGAGATATCTGTCAGTGTCAATCCAGATTTTCAATTCAAATCCTTAAGTGTTTAAAATGCATCTTCTCTGAGGCCGATCTATGCTAGAGACTGTAAGAGCTATATAGCCTCTTCCCTCAGACAGCCTGCACTCTTGCTGAAGACTCAGAATGTAAGATTGGGAGTCTGTCAGGAGATCGAGACCATCCTGGCTAACACAGTGAAACCCCGTCTCTACTAAAAATACAAAAAATTAGCTGGGTGTGGTGGCACGTGCCTGTAGTCTCACCTACTCGGGAGGCTGAGGCAGGAGAATCGCTTGAACCCAGGAGGCGGAGGTTGCAGTGAGCCGAGATCCCGCCATTGCACTCCAGCCTGGGTGACAGAGCATGACTTCGTCTCAAAAAAAAAAAAAAAAGATTGGGAGTCTGTGCCCCAATAGAAGGGCCAACTCCTGAGAGGCGGTGAGGTCGGCATGGGCTGCAGCGTGGGCAGTCTCTGTATCTGTGATAGACTTTGTGGTGGCCTTTGAAAGCTCACCACTTGGCATTGAATTGGGGGTTGGCTGACAAGGCCAAGGAGGGAATATGAACAATGAGAGCAGGTCACACTAGCTTCGAGAGGGAAAAACTGGAGCAGACATAGGAGATAGAAAAGAGAAAATACCCTGAAAGAAATGCTAATACCCAGGAGTGGGCCAGGTTGCTTGAAGATGAAAAGGAAGCCCAGCTAGTCAAATCTTCCACTGGGCTGCAAGAAGCCCACTGTGCTAGGGATCAAAGTGGCAGGCTCAGAAAAGGATGATTTGGTCCTGCAGGGAGGAGAGGAGGGGGCTTCTTTCTCTCTGTCTGCTGTTAAAGTTAGTGCTCGACAAGTCTGTTTGTAAAGCTTCTTGGAGGTAAGGGCCACATTTTATTCATTTCTGTAATCTGGAAGCTGAGCACTGTACAGTACTTTGTCCACAGTTGCTGCCCAAGAAATGCCTGCAGAAGGCCGGGCGCGGTGGCTCACTCCTATAATCCCAGCACTTTGGGAGGCCGAGGCGGGCAGATCATGAGGTCAGGAGATCAAGACTATCCTGGCTAACATGGTGAAACCCCGTCTCTACTAAAAATACAAAAAAATTAGCCAGGCGTGGTGGCGGGCGCCTGTAGTCCCAGCTGCTTGGGAGGCTGAGGCAGGAGAGTGGCGTGAACCCGGGAGGCAGAGCTTGTAGTGAGCCGAGATCGCGCCACTGCACTCCGGCCTGGGTGACAGAGCGAGACTCCCTCTCAAAAAAAAAAAAAGAAAAGAAAGAAATACCTGCAGAATGCTGGGTGCGGTGGCTCATAACTGTAATCCTAACACTTTGGGGGGCTGAGGTGGGTGGATCACTTGAGGCCAGGAGTTCGAGACCAGCCTGGGCAACATGGTGAGACCCCCGTCTCTACAAAAAAATACAAAAAATTTTACCTGGGTGTGGTGGTGCACGTGTGTAGTCCCAGCCACTTGGGAGGCTGAGGTGGGAGGATTGCTTGCGCCCAGGAGACGGAGGTTGCAGTGAGCTGAGATGGCGCCCCTGCACTCCAGCCTGGGCAACAGAGTGAGACCTTGTCAAATAAATAAATAAATAAAAATTATCATGCCCCAGCAAAAAAAAAAAAAAAAAAAAAAAAAAAAAAAAAATGTAAATAAACAGCAACAAAAAGAAATGCCTGCAGAAGAAATGACTGACTGGAACAAGTGGATGAATTTAGACTCTCCTATAATGCCTGGGATCTCAAAGGGAGGTACAGCCAGCCAGACCGAAACACCCCATGGGGTGGGGAGAGGGTGGGAGCCCTTCCACTGAGAAGGGTGTTTACATAATTTTCCCAGAGGCCTTGAGCTTTGGAGTTAGTTGGAAATATGAAATATGGGCAAGAGGGCATCCCTCAGCATTTTCTAGAATTATCAATGCTCTTCCCTTCCCTTTCCTTCTAGGTCTTAGATCAGAGCTCCCCTCATCTGGACTGCACTCAGCACTCTCAAACTGGCATTCAAAGCCCTCCACAATCTGGTTTTATATCAGTCAGGGTCAACTAGAGAAAGAGAACCAGGCTGGGCACAGTGGCTCACACCTGTAATCCCAGCACTTTGGGAGGCCGAGGTGGGTGGATCACCTGAGGTCAGGAGTTCGAGACCAGCCTGACCTACAAGATGAAGCCCTGTCTCTACCAAAAATACAAAATTAGCCGGGCGTGGTGGCACACGCCTGTAATCCCAGCTACTTGGGAGGCTGAAGCAGGAGAATCGCTTGAAACCGGGAGGCAGAGGTTGCAGTCAGCCGAGAACGTGCCATTGCACTCCAGCCTGGGCAACAAGAGCGAGCGAAAATCCATCTCAAAAAAAAAAAAAAAAGAGAGAGAGAGAAGGAGAACCAGTATGAGACATATATTAAGAAATTTATTGTAAGGATTTGGCTTACATCATTGTGGGGGCTGGCTAGGCTGGTCTGAAATCCGTGGGGCAGGCCATCAGGAAGGGCAGGCTGGAATTCTGGGCAGTAGCTGAAGCTGCACTCCACACGTGAAATTTATTTTTCCTTACAGAAACCTCAGTTCCACTCTTAAGGCTTTTCAACTGATTGGATCAGGCTCACCCAGACTAACTAGGAAAATCTCCTGTACTTAAAGTCGACCCATTATGAATGCTAATCACATTTACAAAATACCTTTACAGCAACACCTAGACCAGTGTTTGATTCAATAACTGGGACCACAGCCTACTCAAGTTGACACATAAAATTCACCATCAGCTGGGTGCAACAGCACATGACTGTAGTCCCAGTTACTTGGGAGGTCGAAGCAGGAGGATCACTTGAGCCCAGGAGTTCGAGACCAGCCTGGGCAACATAGTAAGCCCCTGTCTTAAAAAAAAAAAACTGACCATCACAGGCTTCTAGCTGTCTTTCTTGCCTGAGCTCTCAACACACCCTTCCTTGCTTCACCCCACACATACATTCACCTGCCCATGGCCTTTGTTAAAGCTCTTCTCCCTGCTCTGTATCCTCAGGTTAATATCTTTGGTCTTACCTCACCCATTTTCTGCAAGACTCTTCCCAGATTCTTTCAATATGATCATGTTTCTCATGCCCCCATTATTAACCTTATTTCTGTAAGTATCTGTCTTGCCTGCTTCACTCAAGGGAAAAGATAGTGTAGTGTTAATTCTCTGTAGGCGCACCCTCCAGAGGCCCTGGTATATAGGTACTCAGCATATTTCTTTTGAATGACAGTATATCAAATTTACAGAACTCACCATGATTTACATGTAACTCAGCCAGTTTTTAAAAACCTCTTACGAACTTAATGTCTACCTGACACATACATTGTTCTTATTCTGATGGTCTAATTTGTCCATGTTCATCCATCCCTAAAGGTTTGAGGAGTTTTTTTTCTTTTTCGTTCTTTCTTTTTTTTTTTTTGAGACAGAATCTCGCTCTGTGGCCCAGGCTGGAGTGCAGTGGCGCAATCTCAGCTCACTGCAAGCTCCACCTCCCAGGTTCACGCCATTCTCCTGCCTCAGCCTCCCAAGTAGCCAGGACTACAGGTGCCCGCCACCACGCCCGGCTAATCTTTTGTATTTTTAGTAGAGATGGGGTTTCACCGTGTTAGCCAGGATGGTCTCGATCTCCTGACCTCGTGATCCGCCTGCCTTGGCCTCCCAAAGTGCTGGGATTACAGGCGTGAGCCACCGTGCCCGGCCGTCTTTTCTTTTTCTTTCTTTCTTTTTTTCTTTCTTTTTTTTTGAGACGGAGTTTAGCTCTTGTTGCCTAGGCTGGAGTGCAGTGGCACAATCTCAGCTCACTACAACCTCCACCTCCTGGGTTCAAGGAATTCTACTGCCTCAGCCTCCCAAGTAGCTGAGATTACAGGCATGCACCACCACACCCGGCTAATTCTGGTTTTTTTTTTTTTTTTTTTTTTTTTTTTAGTAGAGACGGGGTTTCACCATGTTGGCAAGGCTGGTCTCGAACTCCTAACCTTAGGTGATCCACCTGCCTCGGCCTCCCAAAGTGCCAGGATTACAGGCATGAGCCACCATGCCTGGCTGAGGACATTTTTTTTTCCTAAAGTATTTTAATTCAAATCTCCTCAAAGAGATTTAAATTAAATCTCTTGCCCGGCGAGGTGGCTCATGTCTGTAATCCCAGCACTTTGGGAGGCTGAGGCGGGTGGATCACTTGAGGTCAGGAGTTTGAGACCAGCCTGACCAACATGGCGAAACCCTGTCTCTACTAAAACTACAAAAAATTAGCCGGGCATGGTGATGGGTGCCTGTAATTTCAGCTACTCAGGAGACTGAGACAGGAGAATCGCTTGAACCTGGGAGGTGGACTGAGGTTGCAGTGAGCCGAGATTGCACCACTACACTCCAGCCTGGGTGACAAGAGCCAGACTCTGTCTCAACTAACTAACTAACTAAATAAATAAATAAAAATAAAAAATTAAATCTCTCAAAGAGTAATTCCTTGCCCACATACCCTGATTGTGCTTATCTTTCTAGAGAGAAATAAGGAGCAAAGATAACATTCTTTCCACACACGTTTACATTCTACAGTTAGCAAATCAGATTACAGCACTTAGTTTTTGCCGTAATGGAATGTTTAGTTCCCAACCCGCCCCACTGCCCAGACAGAGTCTTGCTCTGTCACGCAGGCTGGAGTGCAGTGATGCAATCTCAGCTCACTGGAACCTCTGCCTCCTGGATTCAAGCAATTTTTCTCCTCGGCCTCCCAAGTAGCTAGGATTACAGGTGCATGCCACCATGCCCGGCTGTTGGCCAGGCTGCTCTTGAACTTATGACCTTGTGATCCGCCCACCTTGGCCTCCCAAAGTGCTGGCAGTACAGGAGTGAGCCACTGCATCCAGCCTGTGTTTAGTTTTAAACTAATGAGTCCAAGCTTCTATGATAATTTACAGGCATACCTTGGAGATATTGTGGGCTCAGTTCCAAACCACCACAGTAAATCAAACATTGCAATAAAGCAAATCACATGAATTTTTTTGATTTCCCAGTGCATATAGAAATTACGTTTACACTATACTGTAGTCTGTTAAGTCTGCAATAGCGTTATGTCTAAAATAACAAGTACGTGCCTATATTAGGCTGTTTTTTTGCATTACTATAAAGAAATACCCGAGTCTCGGTAATTTATAAAGAAAAAGAGATTTAATTGGCTCACAGCTCTGCAGGCTTTATAGGAAGTGTGGTGCTGGCATCTGCTCCTGGTGAGGACCTCAGGAAGCTTCCAATCATGGCAGAAGGTGACAGGGAGCCAGCATGTCACATGGCAAGAGCAGAAGCAAGGGAACAAAGGGGAAAAGTGCCACACTCTAAAACAACCAGATCTCCCATGAACTCAGAATAAAGAACTCAATCACTATTGCAAGTACAGCACTAAGCCATTCACGAGGGATCTACCCCAGTGACCCAAACATCTCTCACCAGAACAATTTCCAACTGGGGATTACATTTTAACATGTGATTTTGAGGAAACACATATCCAAACCATATCAATACCTGAATTAAAAAATACTTTATGGTAGGCTGGGCATGGTGGCTCATGCCTGTAATCCTAGCATTTTGGGAAGCCAAGGTGGGCAGATCACTTAAGGCCAGGAATTTGAGACCAGCCTGGTCAACATGGCAAAACCCTGTCTCTACTAAAAATACAAAAATGAGCCGATAGTGGTGGTGCGCACCTGTAATCCCAGCCACCCAAGTGGCTAAGGCATGACAATCGCTTGAACCCGGGAGGCGGAAGTTGCAGTGAGCCAAGATCATGCCACTGCACTCCAGCCTGGGTGACAGAGTGAGACTCTGTCTCAAAAAAAAAAAAAAAAAAAAAGCCAAAACCAAAAACAAACAAACAAAAAAATTTTATTGCTAAAAAATGCTAATGATCATCTAAGCCTTTAGCAAGTAGTAATCTTTTTGCTGGTGGAGGATCTTGCCTCAACACTGAGGGCTGCTGACTGATTAGGTGGCAGCTGCTAAAGGGTGGGTTGGCTATAAAAATTTTCTAAAAAATACAACAATTAAATTTGCCACATTGATTGACTTCCTTTCACAAAAGATTTATCTGTAGCATAAAATGCTGTTTGATAACAT
Organism: Homo sapiens; assembly: GCF_000001405.40. Lineage (NCBI taxonomy): Eukaryota > Metazoa > Chordata > Mammalia > Primates > Hominidae > Homo > Homo sapiens. The sequence goes on from NC_000023.11 coordinate 107,621,517, forward strand.
TTTAGCCACAGCAGAACTTCTTTCTTTTTTTTTTTTTTTTTTTTTGAGACGGAATATCGCTGTGTCGCCCAGGCTGGAGTGCAGTGGCCCAATCTTAGCTCACTGCGACTTCCACCTCCTGGGTTCATGCCATTCTCCTGCCTCAGCCTCCTGAGTAGCTGGGACTACAGGCATCCACCACCATGCCCGGCTAATTTTTTGTATTTTTAGTAGAGACGGGGTTTCACCGTGTTAGCCAGGATGGTCTCGATCTCCTGACCTCATGATCTGCCCGCCTCGGCCTCCCAAAGTGCTGGGATTACAGGCGTGAGCCACGGCGCCCGGCCGAACTTCTTTCAAAGTTGGACGCAATCCTCTTAAACCCTGCCACTGTTTATATAATGTTCTAAATCTTTTGTTGTCATTTCAACAATGCCTACAGCATCTTCACCAGAAGTAGATTCCACTTCAAGAAACCACTTTGTTTGCTCATCCATAAGCAAAGGAAAAAAAAAGAGAGAGAGAGAGATGACTGCTCATCCATTCAAATTTTATCATGGGATTGCAGCAATTTAGTCACATCTTCAGTTTCCACTTCTAATTCTAGTTCTCTTGCTATTTCCACCACATCTGCAGTTACTTCCTCCACTAAAGTCTTGAACTCCTTAAAGTCATCTGGGAGAGCTGGAATCAACTTCCTCCAAGCTCCTGTTAATATTTTGGCCTCCTCCCATGAATCATGAATGTTAATGGTATCTAAAATTGTGAATCTGGTGTGCCTATATGAACTGAAACTTTCTATGGGGTTAATCCAGCAGCAGCATGTACCCTGGAAAAAGGAGGAGGTGACAACAGGAAAAAACTCATAACATGGAAGGCTTATGAATATTTTTATCCAGTTGCCATGTGGGGAAGCCCAAGCTAGTCATGTAGAGAGAGAGACAGAGAGGTCCCAGCCTCCCAGCCAACCCTACTAAGACCCTAGATTTGTGAATGAAGCTATCCTGGATATTCCAGCCCCAGCCACCATCTGATTATGACCAACACCAGCTACACAATTTGTGGAGCCCAGTGCAAAATAGAAATGAAAAATCCATTGTTCAAAAGTTATTTAGAATTTTAAGATGGCAATAGCAGAGCATTAAACTAACTGCAAGGTCCCTCTGAGTGTGGGACTCTCTGCAGCTACACAGCTTGCATGCCTGTGAAGCTGACCCTGACTGCAACCTTATAGGATATCCCAACTGACACCACATGAAGCATAAAAACATTTCAGCTGAGCCCTGCCCAAATTCCTGACTGCAGAATTGTGAATAAATAAAATAGTTGTTGTTTTCAATCACAAAAATAACTGAAATAAAATGGTGAATCCTTTCCAGAAGATTTGCAATTTACTTAGCTCAGATCCATCAGAGGAATCACTATCTATGGCAGCCTTACAAAATATATTTCTTAAAAAATAAGATTTGAAAGTCAAAATGACTCCTTGATCCATGAGCTTCAGAATGGTTGTTGTGTTGGCAGGCATGAAAACAATTTTAATCTCCTTGTACATCTCCATCAGAGCTCTCGGGTGACCAGGTGCATTGACAATGAGCAGTAATATTTTGAAAGGAATCTCTCTTGTTTTTAGCTGTAGGTCTCAACAATGGGCTTAAAATATTCAGTAAACCATGCTATAAACAGATGTACTATCATCCAGGCTTTGTTGTTCCATTTATAGAGCACAGGCAGAGTAGAATTTAGCCTAATTATTTAGGGCCTTAGAATTTTCAGAATGATACATGAGCATTGGCTGATGCAGTCAATGGCTGCATTAGCCTCTAACAAGAGAGTCAATCTGTCCTTTGGAGCTTTGAAGCCAGGTATTGACCTCTCTAGTTGTAAAAGTCTTAGCTGACATTTTCTTCCAATAGAACGCTTTTACCATCTACATTGAAAATCTGTTGTTTAGTATAACCATCTTTATCAATAATCTTAGCTAGATCTTCTGGGTAACTTGCTGCAGCTTCTACATCAGCACTTGCTGCTTCACCTTGCACGTTTATGTTACGGAGATGGCTTCTTTTCTTTCTTTTTCTTTCTTTCTTTCTTTCTTTCTTCCTTCCTTCCTTCCTTCCTTCCTTCCTTCCTTCCTTCTTTCTTTCTTTCTTTTTTTTTGAGACAGAGTCTCGCTCTATCGCCCAGGCTGGAGTGCAGTGGCGTGATCTCCGCTCACTGCAAGCTCCGCCTCCCGGGTTCACGCCATTCTCCTGCCTCAGCCTCCCGAGTAGCTGGGACTACAGGCACCCGCCACCACGCCCGGCTAATTTTTTGTATTTTTAGTAGAGACGGGGTTTCACCGTGTTAGCCAGGATGGTCTCAATCTCCTGACCTCGTGATCCGCCCACCTTGGCCTCCCAAAGTGCTGGGATTACAGGCGAGATGGCTTCTTTTCTTAAACCTCATAAACCAACCTCTGCTAACTTCATACTTTTCTTCTGCAGCTTCTTCACATCTCTCAGCCTTCATATAAATGAAGGGAGTTAGGGCCTTGCTCTGGATTAGGCTTTGGCTTAAGAGAATTTTGTAGCTGGGTTGATCTATTCAGACCACTCAAACTTTCTCCATATTGTCAATAGAGCTGTTTTGCTTTCTTATCATTCATGTGTTCACTGGAGTAGCACTATTCATTTCCTTCAAGAACTTTTCCTTTGCATTCACAACTTGGTTAACTGGCACAAGAGACCTAGCTTTCAGCCTATCTCAGCTTTTGACACGTCTTCCTCACTCAGCTTAATCATTTTTAGCTTTTGATTTAAAGTAAGAGATGTGCAACACTTCCTTTCACTTGAACTCTTAGAGGACATAGCAGGGCTATTAATTGGCCTAATTTCAATAGTGTTGTCCCTCAGAGAATAAGGAGGCATGAGCAGAGACAGGGAAATGGAGGAATGGCTGGTCAGTGGAACAGTCAGAACACAGAAGACACACAACATTTATCATTTAAGTTCCCTGTCTTATATAGGCATGGTTCATGGCACCCCAAAATGATCACAATAGTAGCATCAAAGACCACTGATCATAGATCACCATAACAGATATAAAATAATAATAATAAAGCTTGAAATATTGCAAGAATTACCAAAATGTGACAAAGAATCACAAAATGAACACATGCTCTTGGAAAAATAGCATCAATAGACTTGCTCAATAGAGGGTTGCCATAAACCTTCAAGTTGTAAAAAATGCAGTATCTGCAAAGCACAATAAAGCAAAGTGTGATAAAATGAGGAATACTTGTGGCTGGAGAGAGGATCTATAGTGGTCATAAAATTCTCAAAGGGGTCCATAATCTCTAAAAGGACCCCTTTTAATTTAATCTGAGATTTTAATTTAATTAATTTAATTTTAATTTAATCTGAGATTAGTGAATCTCAGATTCACAATGTCTTTATCATTCCTCTTCTTAAACCCTACAGCTACTGGCATAGTTAATGACATTACTAACTTGCTCTCCCAATCTGGTTTGCCTGCCTCCAATCTCTTCTCTATTCTTCACCCCACACAGAAAAGTTTACCTAAAGCACAGTTATGATCGTGTCATGCTCTTACTCCAGAACAGTCAATGGCTTCCTATTGCCTGCGGAATGAAGTCCCAATATGGTACTTGATATTCCAGCAAAACTAAACTATTTTCTCTTCTTCAAAACCTCTCTCTGCTTCCTCATCTTTTCTTCCTGCCTGGGAGATCCACCTCCTCTCAATCATTGCCTGTCAAAACCCTACTCATCAATCAAGGCCTAGTTCATGTGCTTCTACCTCCAAAAATATTTCCCAGGATACTCCATGCAGAGGTGATATCTTCTACCTCTGGACCTGCAGAGCATTTTGTTTGGGCCTTATGGGAGACTTCTAGTTGCATACCCAAAATTCATTCTCTCTTCTTTCTGGGAACAGGGCCACCTAACAAAACATTTCCTAGTCTTTCTTGCAGTTAGGTGCGAATTGTGACTGAGCTCTTGCCAAAGGGATGTGAGAGAAAGTGGGATGGATAAATTTCATCTCACTTGCTTAAAAGGAAATCCCTTGCCTAGACCTCTTCTCTGAGCTAGAATGTGGATGTGTCCATGACCTAGCATGGAGCAGAATCATCCCACTGGCTTAGACCAGCCAGCCTGTTATGCAAGAGAGAAATAATTTGTCTTACTAAAGCCGCTATATTTTAGAGTCTCCTTGTTACAGCAGCCTCCACATTATCCAAGCACAGGCTTCTCTATGGTAGCGTATTACATTGTCTGTGCTTTGTAATTATTTGTATAAATGTCTTATCAACTTTCTTTGGAAGTTAACTCCTAATCGGTCTTCCTGCTTCCTATCTTGCCTCCTACACTCTGTTCTCAGTAGCTGGGGTGATCTTTTTAAAAGGGAAGTTAGATTATGTCACTCTTTGCTAAAAATTCTTACTCAGTTAAAGCAAAAACCCCTAAAATAACCTATAAGGTTCTGCATGATCAGCACTCTCCCCACAATCCCTTTTTTTTTTTTTTTTTGGAGACAGGGTCTCTCTCTGTCACCCAGGCTGGAGGGCAGTGGCGCGATCTCGGCTTACTGCAATCTCTGCCTCCCAGGCTCAAGTGATCCTCTCATTTCAGCCTCCCCAGAAGCTGGGACTACAGGTGCTTGCCACCATGCCCAGCTAATTTTTGTATTTTTTGTAGAGATAAGGTTTTGCCATGTTGCCCAGGCTGGTCTGCAAATCCTGAGCTCGAGTGATCCGCCCGCCTCGGCCTCCCAAAGTACTGGGATTACAGACATGAGCCATCGTGCCCACCTGAGTCCCCCAATCACTGTTTTGTTTTGTTTTGTTTAGACAGAATCTCACTCTGTCGCCCAGGCTGGAGTGCAGTGGTGCGATCTCCGCTCACTGCTGCAACCTCTGCCTCCCAAGTTCAAGTGATTCTCTTGCCTCAGTGGGACTACAGGTGCCCACCACCACGCCTGGCTAATTTTTGTATTTTTTGTAGAGACGAGGTTTCGCCACGTTGCCCAGGCTGGTCTTGAACTCCTGAGCTCAAGTGATCCGCCCACCTCGGCCACCCTGAGTGCTGGGATTACAGGCGTGAGCTACCGTGCCTGGCCGGCCTCCAATCACTCTTATCTCATTGACCTCACTTTCCTCCTTTTCTCTTATAGATACATTCCACCTCCACCACACAACACTCGTCCCGCATTGGTATTCCTCAAACAAGCGAGATACATCTGCCTTAGGGTATTTGCCCTTTCTGTTCTCTTTGCTTATCGAGATATCAACATGGCTCATTTTTTTGTTTTTTTTTTCCTCCTTCAGGTCTTTGCCCAAATGTTACCTTCCAAGACAGGTCTTCTCTGACCACCCTACTTAAAATTGTACTCCTCTCCTCTACACTCTGGCACATTATCCCACTTTCCTTGCCTGATTTTTTTTTCCACAACACTTATTGCCATTTGACATACTATGCATTTTGCTTATTTACATGTTTATTGTTTGAGAATGTAAACTCCATGACAGCAGGGTATTTTTAATTGTTTACTAATGTATTCTTGTGCCAATACACAGGGCCTAGCACATAAAGAATGTTCACTAAATATTTATTGAATGAACGAATCCCTTGGGGCAAATACTTTGTAGTCCCCTCAACGCCTTGCACACTGCCTTGCATGCAATAGAACACTCAGTAAATATTTGATGAATGGCCTATGATGGAAGACTACTAATATTCTGCCTTGCAGTTTACTTCCTTCTCCAAGTATTCCTATATACATGGGCCTACATTAAATTTCTGAGCTTGTAAAAGTGCAAAAAAGGTCAGAAGGAGAAGTCCTCCATGGACACTGCTGAAAATAGCAGTAAGACAAAGACAGGATGCTGCTTTGAGTATTTTCTGCCTTTGCCACTTAGATAAATCCCTCTCCCACCTCCATCTCAGTTTTATCATATGTAAAACGACTATATGATCTCTGAGGTCCCTTCTATTTTTACATTTGGTAGTTATGAGCACTATGGTCACTTTTGATTCCAGAATTGTATGATTTTTATCTTCTCCTAACCCATGCTTAAAATATGCTTAATGGAAACATGGTGCAAGAATAAAGGCTCACTTAGGTCCAATTAACAAGTATCGCTATAAAAATAATAAAACATGGTGTAAAAGGCCACATTAGCAACATGTAGCTGATGACATTGAGGCTTACATGAGGCAGACAGGACTAAAACCCAGGTTTTTTCAAATCCCTTCAGGGCTCTTTATCTGAAGTCCCATAGAACACTATACTTTCTTTCCTTTCCGAGGGCTATAAAAGTTAGATCTTTATTGTCCAGATAGTTTGGAAAATCCATCTTCCTTCACTTGTTTCAACATACTTGGTTCCAGCACTAGAAACAAAACAACTTTCTCTTGCAGTGTCTCTTGGATGATTCAGGTGGCATGCCTTCAGTCACTTCCCCCATGTAAACTGTCTTGCAGGCAAAGGCGACACTGCAATTACAATGGGCAAGCAAACTCCTTGCATGCACGTCTGTGATGTAAAAGTGTTTTAATTCAGCCCCATCCTTATAAAGAGATAAAAAATGTGTTCAGAAACATGCAAACTCGTGGCTGTCATCCTGATAAACAGATTTTCTTAAAGGAAACTGTAAACCAGAGCCAGACTTACTTTCCTGCGCTGAGGGAGGGGAAATAAAAAAGCAGGCATGGTTGATTTCCCGCTAGCGGGAACGATCTGGCCTCAGACGTCACCAGCATCCCTCCACCCCCAGTCCAACGTCTCCTGTCCCCAACAGCCTAGCTACAGGGGGCCGGGCTATGGGTTAGTCTCGCCCCCGTTCATGCTCTTCACCCAATACCTGAGAGAATCGGAAGGAGGCAGAGCTACACCGAGGACCAAACCCCGCCCTTCGCTCCCTCTTAGCTAATCGTTGCCAGCGGGGTGTGGACTTCGCCGCTGACCCCACCTCCGCCGCTTTGGGTAATTTAGAGCCGCGCGCCGGGCGGGAATGTAAGATGGCGGAGTAGCAACGCAAAGCGCTTGGTATTGAGTCTGTGGCCGACTTCGGTTCCGGTCTCTGCAGCAGCCGTGATCGCTTAGTGGAGTGCTTAGGGTAGTTGGCCAGGATGCCGAATATCAAAATCTTCAGCGGCAGCTCCCACCAGGACTTATCTCAGAAAATTGCTGACCGCCTGGGCCTGGAGCTAGGCAAGGTGGTGACTAAGAAATTCAGCAACCAGGAGACCTGGTAAGGACCAAGTTGGGACCCTGACTAGACCTCACCTGCCCAGGCGGCAGAGTATAGGAGGGATGGGGTCGCCGCTTGAGCTCAAACAGACTGGGGGTTGGGGGGAGAGGGTGCAGCTCTGTGACTAGCCTACCCCACGGGCTGTTTCCGTTATTTTACCTCTCGCGGGAGGGTCACGTTCATTCTTACCGTGCGGTGGGGTGGAGTCAAAAGATGGAGTGTGAGGCGAAGCTTCTGCGTTTGAGGGCAAGGGCTGGGGGACCCAATAGATAGTGGCTGCATAGAGCGACGAGAGGGGACCGACGCTTAGCCAGGGCGGTAGGGACACGTGGCTTGGCTTTGCTGTTGAGCCACCCAGGCTGGACTGGGTTGCTTCAGCTCTTAGACTAGCTTGCATTTAGAGAGCCTACCTGCGTACTGAGCTCTCCTGGTCTTTCTTTTCCTAGAGTCCAATAAGCAGCTTTTTGATTCGAAATGGTGTTGGTCCGTTCGGCTTGGTGTTGAGGGAAACTGACATTATATACTGCAGGCGCCAAAATTATTACGACTTCCCTTAGATCAGCAAGCGTTGGCTTTTCTCATCTTATGAATCATCTACCTGAGTAATTGGAGCCATAAATCTAGTTGATTTGTTAAAGTGATGCGTTGACTCTGCATCCTTGATAGCCAGCATCTCAGCTTGAGCCATCCAAAAAATCTTGGAAATCTCAATTCTGGAATGTTTGACCTTCCCCAGTGCAGCTAGTGGTACAGATAATGCAAAAGCGTATTTTTCAGTAACCGAGTCCATCCTGGACTTGGCTCCTTCTTTAAGCTCTGTGTAGGGAATTTAGGAAACAATTTTATACCTGAATGTTAAAGATAATTGAGGACAGGCAATGTAGTGGAAGACTAGGATTGGACAGTGCATTGCAACTTGCGTTTTTTCCATTGCCTTGCCAGTAAAACTTGCTTCCTCGACTCCGACTTACACCCTCTACCGGCACCATGGGACTGTTTTAGAGATGACTTGGTTACCTGATTATTTCAGTGCCCCTTCCACCTAAGTGTGGGATCTTTAGTTTCTGATAGGTGTAATTTGTATTTTATTGTTACCCTATCGATTAAATCAGAGCCCTGCCCACAATCTTACAGATTTGTTAAGGGGAAAGTTTTCACCTAATAATCAGATAAGAATATTTCGAATATTTTTTCCTAAATGTTTTTGCTTACTTTTTTGCTTTCTTTGGACTGATTTCCAAGTTTAACTCGCCTTATCTCTTTTAGACCCAGCTGATAAAGTAATGTCACCGATAATGGACAGCTTCTTCCCGAATTATTGTGCTACTGATTGTGATGCAAATGATAGTGTAAACATTGCCATCTGTAACCAGGCAATACCTTAGTTAAAAGAGGCTTACAAACTGCTGTCTTTAGATTTTTCCAAACCATTATGGCTCATGGGCCTTAATAAAGAATACAAAACAGGACTAGACTTTGTGATTGGCAATATAGTTAGGGGACAAGAATGTTTTTCATTTAGAGGTTTTCTTTGGCCCCTGTGGATATTTAATCCTTTTCCTATGCGTCTAGGAAAAATGTGAAGGCATGAAAGCTTTATTTTCTCCTTGTGTTAATCCTTCTGCCCTCTGCATAATGCAGCACCCCAGAACCTGAGGCTATATTGGGAGAGGAGAGGGGGAGGACAACTTAGTTTTCTACTGATTGATTTCTATTAAGTCCAACATGGATAATTGCTGACTGGTTAGATTTTCTTGTTTCTGGCTTAATCATTAGCTTCTTGTTTCCTAGATATTCTGAAATCTTCATTGAACATAATCACATTTTTTTTTATGGAGTTCCCCCTATCTTTGTTTTTCCTATACTGAAGAAATGGTAACTGCTCCCTATAACTGCTCCCCCAGGTGACTCTTGGTTGATGCTCTCTTGAGCAGAGTAGCTTTTCTTCTAACATAAGGATCATCCTTGGCTGTCTGGTTATTTAGGAAACACACACACACACACACACACACACACACACACACGGAGGGGGTGGGTGTTAAAAGTGCTGAAATCAGAGAACTTGGATCTGAATCCTTAACCTTTCTTTGCCCCAATAATCTAATCTGTAAAGTAGTACCTACCCATACTGTTGTTATGAGGATTAAATGAGATAGAAGTAAAGTTCTTAGGATCTTGTCCAAAACATAATAAGTACAACAGTAAATGTTGACAAGAAGGGGTGGTGATAATATTGCAGAAAATGTGGAAAATTTAGAACACGGAAGGGAGAAGATATGCCTCTTAATTCTGCCACCTGACATAAATGTCACATTATCATTTCTGACCTCCCAGATATTTGTGTAAGATACACTTTTTCAAGAATGTTTAATACATTTATAGCTCTCTTCACTTAGCAATATATTTTGAACAGTTTCTCCCTTTAATATTTAGTATATATGATTTTCTTTTTTTATTATTAAAGATTTTAATTTATTTTTTAGAGATGAGGTCTCACTATGTTGCCCAGGCTGGAGTCCAATAGCTACTCACAGGCACAATCATAGCACACTGCATCCTCAAACTCGCGGGCTCAAGTGATCTGCCTGCCTCTGCCTCTCAAGTAGTTGAGAATACAGGCATGCACCACTGAGGTGGGCTAGTTCATGTAATTTTAAATAGCTATATAGTCTTACCTTATGGTTATGCCATAATTTTATATAACCAAATTCTTATTGGACATTTCCAGTTTTTGATCTAATGCTTTTATATGAAAATCCATGAACATAAATCTTTGACCATTTCTGATTATTTCCTTAGAATAAATCCCTAGGAAGGTAATTATTAAGTTAAAGGGTAGATACCATTTTTCAGGCTTTTGATACCTGTTGCCAAATTATTCCCCAGAAAAGTTGAACAAATCTGTCTCATCAGCAGTAATACAATATTAATAATATTTATTTATGTATTTATTTTTTGAGACGGAGTTTCACTCTTACTGCCCAGGAGTGCAGTGGTGCGATCTCAGCTCACTGCAACCTCCGCCACCCAGGTTCAAGCAGTTCTCCTGCCTCAGCCTCCCGAGTAGCTGGGATTACAGGCACGTGCCACCACGCCCAGCTAATATTTTGTATTTTTAGTAGAGACAGGGTTTCACCATGTTGGCCAGGCTGGTTTCAAACTCCTGACCTCAGGTGATCCCCCACACCTTGGCCTCCCAAAGTGCTGGGATTATAGGTGTGAGCTACCGTGCCCGGCTATAATATTTAATGTATAGTGAATGCCTAAGATGTGCTAGTTTCCATGCTAAGCATTTAGTATACATTGTGTTTAATCCCCTCAAAACTGCTATGAGGAATAACTCTTACTATCCCTATTTTACAGAGAAGAGAACTACAGTAAGATGCAGAGTAACTTGCCCAGCTCTGGGTATTATTGTTCCTTTAAATTTTTGCTGACAAGATCTCTCACCTGGCTTTAAAAACTTAGATATTCTAAAATTTTGACTCTATTCTCTTCAATATTTGTAAATAACTTTGGTTTATTTGGTTATTCTGTACTAGCTGAGAGGAGGAAGACTTGAACTTTGGTTGCCTAGGGTTTTCCTGAGAACTGTATCTTCTGGTTGTGGTTAGTTAATCCCATGTATTTTGCACATGCCAATATCTCCATAATCTAAATTCTTCAGATTTTCTTAAGACTACTATCCACCTTTTAGATTCACTTTTGGTGTTTCCTGACATTCCATTTCAATTGGATACACTTATGCCTGACCTTAAAGGAAAGGGAAAAGAGAAGCTAGTTTTTTCACTCATTGGATAGACATAGCCAGTCTTCTGGCCTCACCAAAACAGCTGAGAGAATGATTGGCCCAAAGCCATTTGGAGAACACTCCATTAACTAGAGGGAGAGAACAAGGAGTATTACTCTCTAAATTGCTGAATTAGGTTTTTCCACTTAATAGATTATGTTAGGAGCAAACAGGTTTTAGGCACAAATATTCTTCTCGATCACTGCCATAACTTAGAAGAAGCCATAAGAATAAGGTTAAGATTTTTAGAGGACTTGTTGAACCAAGCTGTATAATCAGAGTGCAATTCACGGACTTTTTAAGACTTTGTCAAACAAAGTCTGTATGTTATAGTACTACTATAGGGAAAGATTGGTTTTAATAAGTGAAATTAGAATTATACACATTAAAACAAGGCAGTATCACCTAGTTTACTTGCACCACCTTATTTTATTTATGTATTTGCTTTCTAAGTTTCTCTACTTTTATTTCATTTTTGTAAGATCTTTTCAAAAGCCCCACATTTTTTAAACAGTTAAATAACCTTTTCAAGTTATTAGATACATGCCTTATAACAAACACCTTCTATGCTGAAGGTAGCTTTTAATTTTAAAAAGTTTGAGCCGGGTGCGGTGGCTCACGTCTGTAATCCCAGCACTTTGGGAGGCCGAGGCGGGTGGATCACGAGGTCAGGAGATCGAGACCATCCTGGCTAACACGGTGAAACCCTGTCTCTACTAAAAATACAAAAAATTAGCTGGGCATGGTGGCAGACGCCTGTAGTCCCAGCTACTCGGGAGGCTGAGACAGGAGAATGGTGTGAACCCAGGAGGCGGAGCTTGCAGTGAGCTGAGATCCTGCCACTGCACTCCAGCCTGGGCAACAGAGCGAGACTCCATCTCAAAAAAAAAAAAAAAAAAAAGTTTGGCTTTGAGAAATAGCTGAGCTGTTGATTGATTATTAAGTGATATAATAACAAAAATGGTACTAGCGACTGTATTGGGTGGTAAGCTGATAAGTGATTTTTATTTATTTTTATTTTTTGTTTGATAAGTGATTTATAAAAAATTATTATTCAAGCCTTATGTGATGTTAGAATATGTATATTTTAAAAATAATCACCTTGGCTGGGTGCGGTGGCTCACACCTGTAATTCCAGCACTTTGGGAGGCCAAGGCAGGCGGATCACCTGAGGTCAGGAGTTTGAGACCAGCCTGGCCAATGTGGCAAAACCCCATCTCTACTAAAAATACAAAAATTAGCCAGGCGTGGTGGCACACACCTGTAGTCCCAGCTACTTGGGTGGCTGAGGCAGGAGAATCACTTGAACCTGGGAGGCAGAGGTTGCAGTGAGCAGAGATCACACCATTGCACTCCAGCCTGGGTGACAGAGTGAGATTCCGTCTCAAAAAAAATAAATACAATTTAAAAAATAAAATAATCAACTCTATTAAAGCTATATATTTATCAGATGCCCTTTGATGTTTTAATTAGCAGTGATAATTTAATTTTTAAATAGTATCTCACCTGCTTTCAAGAAAGGATTTGAAGTATGTTTGATAGTCACTAGTACAAACCGTTTGTTAAGGTAGGTATCAGAAGCCTTATAGAACCATGGACTACAGTAATTGTGGCAACTATTTGGCATAAAACAATTTCTAAAGTTTAGTGTTACTTTTTATTTTATTTATGTATTTATTTATTTATTTTTTTGAGATGGAGTCTAGCTCTGTCTCCCAGGCTGGAGTGCAGTGGCGCGATCTCGGTTCACTGCAAGCTCTGTCTCTCGGGTTCACGCCATTCTCCTGCCTCAGCCTCCCGAGTAGCTGGGACTATAAGCGCCCACCACCACGCCCAGCTAATGGCTAATTTTTTTTTTTTTTTTGTATTTTTAGTAGAGACGGGGTTTCACCATGTTAGCCAGGATGGTCTCGATCTCCTGACCTCAGGTGATCTGCCCACCTCGGCCTCCTAAAGTGCTGGGATTACAGGCGTGAGCCACCGCCCCAGCCTAGTGTTACATTTTTTTAACTGTATCCCTTGGCTTCCTGACAGCCAGAGGGATAAAGGCATATGCAATCGATTATGTGGTTTTTATTTTCATAAAGTTATTTAGAAACTTCCAGGCAAAAAATCCTAAGAATTTTATGGGTGAGACCTCTAAATAGTGATATCGAGTAACATCATGGACAATATAACAATTTTGTGGGTATTTTTTATATTGACTGATAGTTGAGGCATTTGTAAAGGGAGATAAGCCACTGTGGTCTAAGAATGTTGTTTTCTGGTCTTACTTGATAATGATAAAGTTTTTTGTTTTTTTTTTTTTTGAGACAGAGTCTCGCTCTCTCGCTCTGTCTCCCAGGCTGGAGTGCAATGACTTGATCTCGGTTCACTGCAAGCTCTGCCTCCCAGGTTCACGCCATTCCCCTGCCTCAGCCTCCCGAGTAGCTGGGACTACAGGCGCCCGCCACCACACCTGGCTAATTTTTTTGTATTTTTTAGTAGAGACGGGGTTTCACCGTGTTAGCCAGGATGGTCTCGATCACCTGACCTCGTGATCCGCCCGCCTCGGCCTCCCAAAGTGCTGGGATTACAGGCGTGAGCCACCGTGCCCAGCGATAATGATAAAGTTTTAAAAACATAGCAGAATAGCTTGTCCCTTATACTGTCTGATATCAATTGTCAAACTACATTTGTTCATTTGTTCTCCAACTTTTAATCAAACATCCTGACTCTGGCAAGTGAATGTCTGGAGCACAGATGATACTCTGTGTTCTTGACTGAAACAAGAGCCATAGGCTTCTGATACATGATTGGAAATCAATATGCCTGCCTGACTTTCATTCTCCTCCAGGGAAATGCATATTTTGGTCAAGGAGCTGATATATGGAGGATGAATGTGAGCAGCATTAAAATTTTCTGATTTTTTTTTTTTTTGAGACAGTGTCTCACTCTGTCACCCAGGCTGGAGTGCAGTGGCATGATCATGGCTCCTAACTCCTGGGCTGAAGCAATCCTCCCACCTCAGTCTCCCCAGTAGCTGCAATCACAGGCACTTGCCACCATGCCTAATTTTTAAATTGTTTTGTAGAGAGGAGGTCTCTTTATGTTACCCAGGCTGGTCTCAAACTCTTGGGCTCAAGCGGTCCTCCTGCCTCTGCCTCCCAACCACAGACTTGTTTAACATAAAACCTAAAAGTGACTCTTTTAGCTTGAAATCTCTCGAAGGGCAGAGCTAGTAGTAAAGAAAGATCTGGGCCAGACATGGTGGCTCACACCTGTAATCCCAGCACTTTGGGAGGTCAAGGCGGGCAGATCACGAGGTCAAGAGATCGAGACCATCCTGGCCAACATGGTGAAACCCCATCTCTACTAAAAATACAAAAAATTAGCTGGGCGTGGTGGCGTGCGGCTGTAGTTCCAGCTACTCGGGAGGCTGAGGCAGGAGAATCACTTGAACCCGGGAGGTGGAGGTCGCAGTGAGCCAAGATCGTGCCACTGCACTCCAGCCTGGCGACAGAGCGAGACTGTCTCAAAAAAAAAAAAAAAAAAAAACTGAAAACGTCCCAAAAGTCCCTTGAAATGACCACTGCCTGTTTGTTTTGTTTTGTTTGGTTTGAGACGGAGTCCCGCTCTGTCACCCAGGCTGGAGTGCAGCGGCTTCATCTCCCCATACTGCAACCTCCGCCTCCCAGGTTCAAGCGATTCTCCTGCCTCAGCCCCCTGAGTAGCTGGGACTACAGATGCATGTCCCCACGCCTAATTTTTGTGTTTTTTGGTAGAGACGGGGTTTCGCCATGTTGCCAAGGTTGGTCTTGAAATGGGGAGCTCAGGCAGTCTGCCTGCCTTGGCCTCCCAAAGTGCTGGGATTACAGGCATGAGCCACTGCGTCCAGTCTTAAAAAAGGTTTATCCTAAACTAGTGCATTTTCTTTTTTGTTCTGGCTGCCAGGAATCTCAGCTTCCTTGATTTTAATTGGTTTCTAGTTTGATTTTTTTTCACTTGCTTTTATTTTTCTTGCTTTACAACATAAACTAACCCCATTTGTCTTTTCTTGCTTTTGAGATGAGGGTCTTCCTGTGTTGTCCAGGCTAGACTTGAACTCCTGGGCTCAAGCAGTCCTCCTGCTTCAGCCTCCTGAGTAGCTGGGATTACAGGTGTGTGCCACCACTCCCAGCTCCCTTTCATCTTGGGTTAGAAAGGAATAAATAAGTAATTATCTCCTATGTCAGCTTCTTCTGGCAATAGAATTGCCTCTGCCAGTTTTCATATAAGTCCCTTTTGGAGTTCTCCTTGAAGTTTTGTTTGGGGAGAGAAGGGTGGGTAAAAGTGATCTTGACAGAAATAGGACAGTAGGTAGTTCCTGAAGCCACACAGAAGATAGTGCTTAGAGTGAGATAGAAGTATGGATCTTTTATTTAATAACTCTATTGCCTTTTGATTTGAACTGAAGTTTTCTCTTGTTCAATAGGTATTGTCAGCCATTCTGATCTACTTGTCTATATACACACATACACCTCTCCTTCACCTAGAGGATTAGTTGGAATATAATGTTGTTTGAGGTATCACTAAGGTGATTTTTAAAAATTTTTAAATTATTTTCTTTTTTTTTTCTTAAACCTGGTGAACAGGAGAGGTGATTTTTTTTTCTTGGTAGAGACCCGAGTATGGGCACTGAAACTTTCGTGGTAAAATATAGCCCTACTTCATACTTAGAGTAAATTCCTATGGAGTTACTTAGTAATTGGACCAGAGTACAGTTAACACAGAATGAGGGCAAGGACCACATTTTATTCACCATTGTTTCCCTAGCATCTAGTACAGTGATGAGCATATGAACATTTAATATTTACTGGGTAAATTGCCAGTATGGTAGAGGTGGTACTGTCTTTTGTTAAAGTGTCATTATAGAACAGTAGTGATTCACTCCTTATGATATTTCTACTTCTTTTGCTATTTATGGACTCTGTAACAGTAATAGGTGATGCATCAAATTTTATGTACATCACATGTACCTATATGAAATGAGATACAGGCCACCTGCTAAAATTATGGTCCGGTTATTTGTAAGTACTTTAGACTAACATGTGCCAACCATTTCATGCATCTTTTTCGTGTCTGTCACATGGTAATATTAGAAAATATTACCATAGAAAATGGTAATATTTGTATAGTGCACTGGAGTAAACTGAGGCAGTGAACTGCTTCTGGTATAAGGCTCCTTCAGAGGATCTCCTGAAGCCTAGGTGATCAATATCCACATGTAGCTGTAACCATTCACAGCATACTAGTAGGGAAGCTGTTCTTAGACCTTATTGTCTATAGAAGTATAGTAAAGTCATCCCTCAGTATCCACAGGGGATTGGTCCCAAGACCAAATCTGCAGATATGAAATAGTGTAATATAAATATATATATATATATATATATTTTTTTGATATGGAGTCTTGCTCTGTCACCCAGGCTAGAGTGCAGAGGCACGATCTCTGCTCACTGTAATCTCTGCCTCCCGGTTCAAGCAATTTTTCTGCCTCAGCCTCCTGAGTAGCTGGGACTACAGGTACCTGCCACCACACTCAGCTAATTTTTTTTTTTTATTTTTATTTGAGACGGAGTCTCACTCTGTTGCCCAGGCTGGAGCGCAGTAGCGTGATCTTGGCTCACCGCAACCTGTGCCTCCCGGGTTCAAGTGATTCTCCTGCCTCAACCTCCCGAGTAGCTGGGACTACAGGCGTGTGCCACCATGCACGGCTGATTTTTATACTTTAGTAGAGATGGGTTTTCACTGTGTTGGCCAGGCTGGTCTTAAACTCCTGACCTCAGGTGATCCACCCATCTTGGCCTCCTAAAGTGCTGGGATTACAGGTGTGAGCCACCACACCCTGACTAATTTTTTTATTTTTAGTAGAAACGGGTTTCACCATGTTGACTAGGCTGGTCTTGAACTCCTGACCTCAGGTGATCCGCCCACCTCAGCCTCCCAAAGTGCTGGGATTATAGGCGTGAGCCATCACGCCCGGCCATATGAAATAATCTATGCACATGTTCCCTTATACTTTATTGTTATTTATTTATTTTTTGTAGAGATGGGGTCTCACTGTATTACCCAGGCTGGTTTTGAACTCCTGGGCTCAAATGATCCTCCTTCTACCCTGCCCCCTGCTCCCCAAAGTGCTGAGCCACCATGCCAGGCCCTCCCATATATTTTATTTTATTTTATTTTATTTTTGACACAGAGTCTCACTCTGTTGCCCAGGCTGGAGTGCAGTGGTGTGATCTTAGCTCACTGCAACCTCCGCCTCCTGAGTTCCAGCGATTCTCGTGCCTCAGCCTCCTGAGTAGGTGGGACTACAGGCGCCTGCCACCATGCCCTTCTAATTTTTGTATTTTTAGTAGAGATACATGGTTTCGCCATGTTGGCCAGGCTGGTCTCGAACTCCTGACTTCAAGTGATCCACCCACCTTGGCCTGCCAAAGTGCTGGGATTATAGGCATGAGCCACTGCGCCCAGCCCTGCCATATACTTTAAATCATCTCTAGATTACTTATAATACTTAATACAATATAAATACTACGTAAATAGTTGTTATACTGTATTTAGAAAATAATGACAAAGAAAAAAATCTGTACATGTTCAATACAGGTGCAATTTTTTCTCCAAATATTTTCAATCCACACTTGGTTGAATCCATAGATGTGGAACCTATGGATATGGAGGGCTGACAGTACAGTGGTTTAAAATCTATTTCATGTTCTTTCTTTCCTCATTGTAGTGTGGAAATTGGTGAAAGTGTACGTGGAGAGGATGTCTACATTGTTCAGAGTGGTTGTGGCGAAATCAATGACAATTTAATGGAGCTTTTGATCATGATTAATGCCTGCAAGATTGCTTCAGCCAGCCGGGTTACTGCAGTCATCCCATGCTTCCCTTATGCCCGGCAGGATAAGAAAGATAAGGTAGGAGCAGAATTTTATTTTTTGAGCAGAGGAAGCAGGAGCACTTGCCCCAAATCACAAATAAATTCCAAAATTATCAAATATATATTTAGGGGGAATTTTAAAAATCACCTTTTCTTAGGTATTACCCTATCTTCAAAACAATAGAAATATAATTGGTTTGTATAAAGCAACACATTTGTAGTCTGTATTTTATTACAGTGATACATATATAACTTTCAGTTAGCTCACTGGTATTTTTAATTGTATCAGTAAGACTAAGCACCAACTCCTCTGGAGTACTGGAGTATATTTTTAAAATTACGGTAGATCCTCTCAAACTGTAAGATTGGGATCCTAGTTGTGACCTCTTCATAAAACTTGAAGTCTGTTATATGAATACTTGATCTGATAGATACATAGATAGATAGATAGATAGATAAACTATATATATCTCTCACCTTATCCTGGTATATTAGAGGATAAGGCATATACATAAAACTTTGCAAGTCTATTGTAATTAATGCCCAATTTTACACACAATGCCTCGAAGAAGGTCAGATATTTTTATTCCAACAGAGTATAAAGTAAAGGGCATGGGCCGGGTGCGGTGGCTCACGCCTGCAATCCTAGCACTTTGGGAGGCCGAGGCGGGAGGATTGCCTGAGCTCAGGAGTTTTGAGACCAGCCTGGGCAACGCTGTGAAACTCCGTCTCTACTAAAATACAAAAGAAATTATCCAGGCGTGGCGCTGCGCGCCTGTAGTCCCAGCTACTCGGGAGGCAGAGGCAGGAGAATTGCTTGAACCCAGGAGGCAGAGGTTGCAGTGAGCTGAGATCATGCCACTGCACTCCAGCCTGGGCGATAGAGCAAGACTCTGTCTCTACAAAAAAAAAAAAAAAAAAAAAGGCATGCATGGACTTTGCTATTTTACAGTGCAGCAAGTATGTTTTATTTGAGGAGTTCATAGTTGTTGGAAAGTTGACCTCCAGATGAGTAAGTAGTGATGTGATTTACAAAGGAAACTATAATATCTATTCTGTGATGTATCTTCAAACCTTGACATGTTAGGTGTTAAAGGTTTACATATGTATGTGTTGAAAGAGATTTTAATAAAATTATTTTTTAAAGTCTGCCTAGTTTGAATAATTGAGCATTGGAAACACTTGAATAGGATTGAAAATGTGTACATTAAGAAAACAAAAGTTAGGAAAGCATTTTCTTTATTGATAAGTGTATCCTGATTTGGAAAAGTGATGTTCCACTTAATATTTGTTCTGAATTATGATCCACTTAAAGTCAATGGACATGTCTCCTTCTATGAATTTCTGGGTACCATAGTGCCTTTAACATAGTAGGTACACAATAAATAGTTTCTTGAGTAAATGAATTGTTTTTCAAATTGGCTTTTTGGTTTTTCTTTTCTTTCCTCCCCTCCATTTAGAGCCGGGCGCCAATCTCAGCCAAGCTTGTTGCAAATATGCTATCTGTAGCAGGTGCAGATCATATTATCACCATGGACCTACATGCTTCTCAAATTCAGGTATCAGTGGAAGCTAAATATTGGTGTTTGAAAGGTGGGAGGAAAGGACTGATGATGCTGAAGACTGCAGAGAAGCCAAAAATTATGCCCAAGTACATCTGAAATAAACTAGATATCAACAACATTTTAAATGTGTTCACCTTAAGCATACTTCATGATCTTAGTCATTTCAGGTGGTTAGATAGGGAGGCAGTCTAGTTTTATGGGAAGAGCACTACTTTGAATAAAGGCTCTGGTATTTACTAGCTTTGTAAGCTTGGGAAGGTTACTTAATTTCTCTGAACATATACTTTTTCATTATTGTGAGTATAAAACATTAAATTCATATTATAATGCCTGGCCCATGACAGGTACTCATAGATAGGAGCTGTTATTATCATTCTTATTCTCCTTGAATATTCATGGAGTGCAGTGGCACGATCTTGGCTCACTGCAACCTCTGCCTCCTCAGTTCAAGCAGTTCTCCTGCCTCGGCCTCCCAAGTAGCTGGGATTACAGGCACCTGACACCAGGCCCAGCTAACTTTTTTGTACTTTTAGTTGAGATGGGGTTTCACCATGTTGGCCAGGCTGGTCTCGAACTCCTGACCTCAAGTGATCTGCCTGCTGCAGCCTCCCAAAGTGCTGCGATTACAAGCATGAGCCACCGTGCCTGGCCTCATGGTCTTAAATTTAGAGCCACAGATATTGGAGCCTACTTTCCAACATAAACCCAAAGTAAGGGGGGTGGAATACCACCTTTATTTTATATTTTTTCAAAGAGATTTTTCAAATCATTACATTTCAAGCTTGTGGGAATTCAATGAAGTACATTGGACAGGGACTGTACTCCTTTTATGGAAAGGAATGACTTAATTGAGAAATACAACTAATTTGTATCAACTAGAATTAGAACACAGATCTCCTGATTTCTAATTATTCACTGTGACTATTTATCATAAGTAGCTTCCATTAAGTTTATATGCCATAGCATCTCTAACTGGTTTATCCATTAGCTTTTACTCCTTAACAAATCAGTCCAACACTTAGTGGCATAAAGCAGTATTTACAAACTCACTGAGTCTGCATGTTGACTGGGCAGTTCTTAATGGTTTTGTCTGAACTTAGCCATTCTTTACAAGGGCTCACTTATGTTCCTATGTTCAGTTGTGGGTTGACTGAGGGCTGGCTTTGCTGATCTTGGCTGGGCTCTCTCACATAGCCCAGATTCAAGGAGGCTTTTATAATCTACCACACTGGGCCTGCCTTCCCATCAGTTTGAATGTTGCAGTAAGACATTCTCTGAGCAAGTTACTACTTTGTGTTTGCCATTTATAAATGGAAGAGAAGGAAAGTGAAGCAAAACTGATCCAGCTTCTTTCTACAGGGCTTTTTTGATATCCCAGTAGACAATTTGTATGCAGAGCCGGCTGTCCTAAAGTGGATAAGGGAGAATATCTCTGAGTGGAGGAACTGCACTATTGTCTCACCTGATGCTGGTGGAGCTAAGAGGTATGGTTGAAATTAGTATTGTTCCCAATGTACTGGGAAAATCTTTCAGATGGTTGTGTCACAAAGTGAAGTTTTTCTATCCAAGTGGCAGTTTTTAAGTATTTTTGAATGGATGTAAGTAGCTAGCACATGGGTTGAATATAGTTTTACCCTTTCCTCTTTTACTGTCCTCAGTTACTACTCGGAAGACAAGACAGAAAAGGGGTCCTAAATCATCATATTATGGATTTGACTATAACTTATGAGTAACTTGGTGCTACAGAGCTAGCAATACAGCTATAAACCTTTTGGGAAGGGTAGAAAATGTGGTTTTCTAATGAATAGCAGCTGCTATTGAACCACATATTGGTGGACAAATTCGCTTTTACACTCCTCTTACAATGCTGTTGGTTAGATCATTTTGATCCTTGGGATTAAAATATTAAGCAGGAAGGAAAGTAAAGTGTGACATTTTTATTTAAAGCCAAGATCTTAACATTTTAAACAAACTGATTGCCAGGGATTGCCAGTTAACAGTGCTTTGCAGCTCACATGGTGCAGACTAAGAGCTCTTGATTTCCTTAGTGGATTACTCGTTAGTAATGCATTCAAAAGTGTGACACATGTTCTTCTTGTTGTGGAAATAGAATGAAGAGCTACAAAACACAGATGATTAGGAAGAGCTAATTCAGAACTTTCTAAAAGCCATTCAAATCTTCAATGACTGTTTCTCAACAACCTCTTTTATTTCAGTAACTTCAACAGAACTGATAAGCTGAGAACTTGAGTTATGTTATCCAGCCAGATATATGGGTTGGTGAGTCCCATGTAATTGCTAGTTACCATCTGTAATGCTAGAGACAGCCTAAGAAACATCCCCCCAACTAGTAGTTGTCATATTTAATTTGTCGGTCATTATTTTAATATCTTTCTGTGGGACTTAGAAAATAGTCACATTTGAAATAGGCAGGATTTTCTTTCCAAAGGTGGGTATAGGAAAACTGCCTTTAGTAGACAACTTATTGCTACCTGATTTTTTTTTCATTATCATTGTCTTATAGTGATGGAGTATTTTACAATTGAGTGTCTATCACTTCTGTGTTGGCAGGGTTTGGGGAGTAGGTAGAGATCCCTGTGTGATATTCATTTGTACAGTAGTTCTCTCCTCAAAAGGTGTAGAGAGTTACTTTTTCTAGCCCTTTTTATGCTTTGTTGGTCACTGAATTTGTTGGCCTTTGAGTATGGTTGGTTTGGGATACTTGAACTAATTGATCATGCATTTGCCTTGGGTAAGTAATCATTCCAAGCGAATTGGTTACCACTGATGTTATGTGCTTATGCAGTAGTAGTAATGGAGAGTACAGGGTATGGTTGGTTTAGATCAAGGTACAAATGTTACCTAGATTATGGTTCAAACCTTATTATGTGGTCACAGGTTCTCACTTATCCAGCAAAAACTCATGTGACCATAGTCACAAGAGAAACAGGACAAAATGCTATAGTTTGTTCAGTTCTACATTAAAAAACAGGACAAATCCCCAAGCACGGGCTGCTTCACACATGACGGAGATGGCACAGCGGAGCATGGACAGACGTGCCACTGGGGCAGCTCACTGTCATTTACACTGAATAGATTTTTGTTTGAATTATGTGGTACTTTGTCAAAAGACAAATTTGTCTTCTATCCTACCTTCTAGTCTGGTTTATTTTCTCTTGTAATAAGAAAAATAAGAATTCTCTTTGATTGGAAGATACTTTGGACCGAATGGTGAGATGCCTAGCTTGTCTGGGTAATTGATATAACTTTCTGTCTAGCAATTGTGAAAAAAACTCCCAAGCTTGGTGTCCAGGTACAGTTGACAGTGACAGTTGATGGATGTTTTGCCAACAGCACTGAGGGAAGTGATGAGGACACAGGCATTGGAACAGGCTGGATGCTGCTCCTCTCCTGCCAGTCAGGTTCTCTTCTCACCACATCCCCATTCACGGGTCTTCCATGATGGGAATTGGGACAGTCTGTGTACTCCTGGCATTAGTTAATTCTTTCCTCATTCCTTCTGCTGCCAATCCATTAAATAAACTTGCGTGTCTTAGCGTTATACTGCTTCCCAGTACTGGTGAGGGTGTCTGTCCTCTACCCAGAATGAATACTCATCTAAGTTTGATCAGTACGTTCATAAGCTTCTGTTGAGCTATGGAGGCACTGGTTTATAAAACCCAGTTTGTGATATTTGCCTTTGAGAAGTCAATGATAGTTGCTTTCATTCTTCCAGCCCTGGGAACTATTGGTTTCAAGGAGTATTCTCCTCCCCAAAACAAGCCCATTCTTTAGTCCATTTCTTTTTTTCTTTTTTTTTTGTTTTGAGACAGAGTCTCGCTCTGTCACCCAGGCTGGAGTGCAGTGGCGCGATCTCAGCTCACTGCAAGCTCCAGCTCCTGGGTTCACGCCATTTTCCTGCCTCAGCCTCCCGAGTAGCTGGGACTACAGGCGCCCGCCACCATGCCCAGCTAATTTTTTGTATTTTTAGTAAAGATGGGGTTTCACTGTGTTAGCCAGGATGGTCTCTATCTCCTGACCTTGTGATCCGCCCACCTCAGCCTCCCAAAGTGCTGGGATTACAGGCGTGAGCCACCGCCCCCGGCCTCTTTAGTCCATTTCTTTTGTCTTAGAAGCCACACATACATATGAACACGCTCTGTTTTGCAGAGTGACCTCCATTGCAGACAGGCTGAATGTGGACTTTGCCTTGATTCACAAAGAACGGAAGAAGGCCAATGAAGTGGACCGCATGGTGCTTGTGGGAGATGTGAAGGATCGGGTGGCCATCCTTGTGGATGACATGGCTGACACTTGTGGCACAATCTGCCATGCAGCTGACAAGTAAGTGTGGATTGATGGGGCTGGTAGTTAGAAGGAAAAAGCTAGCAATTGCTGTCTGAATGTCTTCAGCCTGCTGATTCCTTTTGGAACCAAATTGAGGGGATAAGTAACTTTGTGAGATTTTTATCACCCAAGGCTTAAATTATAATACATAGAAATTGTTGAGTACTCTTATTTTTTTTTCAGATTTTCTTATTTTTTAAATTTATATTGTACTAAGCTACATATAACACAATTTGCCATTTTAACTATTTTAAGTGTATAATTCCATGACATTAACTATATTCACAATGTTAGACAACCATCGCCTGATCATCAAAGTTTTTTGATCACCCTGAGTATGCTACATGCGATTGTTTTTTGTTTTAATGAGTTAAAATAAAAATCCTGAGCAGACAGGTGTGTGTGCTCATATTTTTATTTTACCTAAGCCGGAACCCTTGGTCTTACTTCTCGACTGTTTTACCGGCTGCTACTTTTGTTCATTATTACTTCTTTTTTTCACTCTAATCCTGTGATAGGTTAATGTTTATATTACTTGTCATCTCTTGCCTGCAGTGTTCTAAATTGCCTCCCCACTCTGTTCTCCATTGCCAGTCACCGTTCTCTCACCTCCCCACTCCATCTCTCCATGCTTGCTAATCTTCCTGCAACTGAGGCTCGATCCCATCACTCTTTAAGATTTTAAGTGGCCCCTCATTACTAACAATCCAAGCCACTATGAGCAGCATTGTTTCTTAGAATGGTATTTTTACTTTTATTTTTATTTTGAGACATGGTCTCACTCTGTTACCCAGGCTGGAGTGTAGTAGTACAATTACGGCTCACTGCAGTCTTGAAATCTTGGGCTCAAGAAATCCTCCTGTCTCAGACTCCCGAGTAGCTGGGACTACAGGCAAGTGCCACCACACTTGGGTAATTATTTATTATTATTATTATTATTTTTGTAGAGAAGGAGTCCCACTATGTTGCCCAGGCTGTCCTTGAACTCCTGGGCTCAAGCAATTCTCCCACCTCAGCCTCCCAAAGTGCTGGGATTTCAGCTGTGAGCCACAGCACCCAGCCCTGAGAATGGTTTTTTTAAACTTTCTTGTGTCTGTGCCTTGCACAGTGCCTGGCACATAATAGGTGCTAAAAAAAAATTGGGGTGAATGATTCTTGGTTTGGGATCCTGGAGTAAACATTCATAAAACCCATTTCATCCTTGTACAAGTACGGGAATACTAGTCGCTATAACAGATCAACTCCCTAACATGATAGTTTCCTTCTTGTCCATGGCACACTCCAATGCAAGTGTTCTTGTTGGACTCATTTTTTCTAAGCAATAGTTAGGAGCTCAGATTCTTTCAATCTTTGGTGCTATATCTTTAACATGGGGTTTCCAAGATTACCTTGGAAGACATTTCAATTTTGGCCAGCCAGAAAAGGAAAAGAACACAGAGGATCACCCCTGGAAGATTTTTGTTAAGTCCAACCAAAAACTGATGTACATTGTGTCTGCCCACATTTTAATAGCCAGAATTAAGCCACATGGCCACACTGAACTATGTGAGGGAGGCTGGGAAATGTAGTTCAGCTATGTGCCCAGAAAGAAGAGGAAGTGGATTTTGTTAAGTGCAACAGTCTATGCCAGAGTCCTTTGACACTAATTCAGACCTATTCAGATAAGTTCTTAGTGCAGTTCTTTCTCGATATGGACTGAATTGTGTCCTCCCCAAATTCATATATGTTGAGGCCTAACCCCAATGTGATGGTATTTGGAGTTACCTTGAGGGGCACGTATTTAGGATTAGATGAGGTCACTAGGGCAGAGCCCTTACAATGGGATGAATGCCCTTATAAGAAGAGAATGCTGGAGAACTGGCCAGCATTTCCCCATGCGCACGCATGCGTGCACACACACTCACACTCACACACAAAGAGGTCATCTGAGCACACAGCAAAGTGGTGGCCACCTACAAGAGAAGAGGCCTCAGCATGACACCTACTTTGTCTGCACCTTGATCTTGGACTTTAAGCCTCCAGAACTGTGAAAAATTTGTTTCTGTTATTTAAGCCACCCATTCTATGGTATTTTCTTTTCCTTAAAAAAATTTTTCCCCTAACCCACTGTGCCTTATAATATTTTTTATTTTTTTATTTTTTTTCATATGATATTTTGTTGTGGAAGCCTAAGCAGGCTAATATACTCCTCCCTGACTAAAATTCTGCAATGACAAGTAAGATGAATCCAAATCAACATTTTTTCCCTCTAGACTTCTCTCAGCTGGCGCCACCAGAGTTTATGCCATCTTGACTCATGGAATCTTCTCCGGTCCTGCTATTTCTCGCATCAACAACGCATGCTTTGAGGCAGTAGTAGTCACCAATACCATACCTCAGGAGGACAAGATGAAGCATTGCTCCAAAATACAGGTGAGGATGAGATTTGTGCAAAACAAGACTTTTCTAAGTGTTTAGGAGGTGGTTACTTACGTTGAATTAGGTCTCTGGATTCTGAAGATATCTTTCTTTGGTCTGAAGGATTTAGTCTTGTCATCAGAATTTGTGATCCAAAAGTTAACAATCACCTGTTTCTTTTCCTTTTTTTTTTTCTTTTCAAACTGCCAAGCCTTGGGAAAATCACCTGTTTAAAAGTTTAAATTGCTACACCTCAGAATCTCTGGAAGATGGAGCCTAAGATTCTACATTTTAACAGGTTCTCCCAGTGATTCTGATGCAAATTAAAGTTTTCAAGTCCATACTTTACAGTATGTGTTTGTCTGTTAACTATCGGCCCCTGTAGATATAATGTGAAACCTTTAAACTGATTGTACACTTCTACCAACTTTAGTGTTTCTCAGTGTGCTCTGGACCTAAGGTTCTTATTAAAATGTAGATTCCTTTGCTCCATCTAAGACCTATAAAACCAGAGGTCCTGGAACCAGTATTTTAAAGTAATTCCCCAAGTAATTGTTAGAAACTAAAGTTTGAGTGCTCTTGCACTAAAAGAACAAGGCCTTGCTTAATTAAAAATGTTCACATTAATCTATGAGCTTTTTGAAATTAATATGTGTAATTGGAGGATTATCATCTTTTTTTTTTTTTTTTTTGAGATAGGATCTTGCTCTGTTGCCCCAGCCGGAGTGCGCAATCAAAGCTCACTGCAGCCTCAACTTTGAAGGCTCAGGCAATCATCCTGTCTCAGCCTCCCAAGTGGCTGGCGTGCACCACCATGCCCAGCTAATTTTTTTGATATTATGTGTAGAGACGGGGTCTCCCTATGTTGCCCAGGCTGGTCTCAAACTCCTAGCCTCAAGCTATCCTCCTGTGTCAGCCTCCCAAAGTGCTGAGATTACAGGTGATGTCATTCTTAAGGATTTTTTTTCAACTTAGTCTTTTTTTTTTCCTTCATAAGGTTTTTTTGTTTGTTTGTTTTTTGTTTTTGAGATGGAGTTTTGCTCTTGTTGCCTAGGCTGGAGTGCAATGGCACGATCTCAGCTCACCGCAACCTCAGCCTCCCAGGTTCAAGTGAGTCTCCTGCCTCAGCCTCCCAAGTAGCTGGGATTACAGGCATGTGCCACCACGCCTGACTAATTTTTTATTTTTAGTAGAGATGGGGTTTCTCCATGTTGCTCAGGCTGGTCTTGAACTCCTGACCTCAGGTGATCCGTCCACCTCGGCCTCCCAAACTGCTGGGATTACAGGCATGAGCCACCACGCCCAGCCTATTCAGAAGGATTTTTAAATGCGAACCTACCACCATTTTTTTTTAGACAGGGTCTCACTCTGTTGCCTAAGCTGGAGTGCAGTGGCCTGATCTTGACTCACTGCAGCCTCAAACTCCCAGGCTCAAGCGATCCTCCTGCCTTAGCCTCACAAGTAGCTGGGACTACAGGCATACACCACAACCACGCCTGGCTAATTTTTGTTTTATTGTAGAGACAGAGTTTCACCATATTGCCCAGGCTGGACTCAAACTCCTGGGCTCAAGTGATCCTCCCACCTTGGCCTCCCAAAGTGCTGGGATTACAGGTGTGAGCCACAGTGCCCAGCCATTTTGATGAACCAAAGTCAGCGTTTTTTCTCAGTTAGCATTTTGACTCTTTCCTAAGTGGCTGTTTTGTTTTGTTTTGTTGTTTTGAGACAGAGTCTCGCTCTGTCACCCAGGCTGGAGTGCAGTGGCACGATCTTGGCTCACCGCAACCTCCACCTCCCAGGTTCAAGCAATTCTCATGCCTCAGCCTCCCGAGTAGCTGGGATTACAGGCGTGTGCCACACCATGCTTGGTTAATTTTTGTATTTTTAGTAGAGACGGGGTTTCATCATGTTGGCCAGCCTGGTCTCCAACTCCTGGCCTCAAGTGATCTGCCCACCTTGGCCTCCCAAAGTGCAGGGATTAACAGGTGTGAGCCACCGTGCCCAGCCGTAAGTGGCTATCTTAAAAATGTTATGAAGAATAGCTGAGTGCAGCCTCATGACAGGGAAACAGCACAGTGTTGCAGTTTTAAGAGGAAGGGCACTTGCCTGGCTGCTCATCAGTGTCTGCAAATTGGCCAGTCATCTCTGACCATATGATAGTAACCTGATTTCCTTTCTTGCCTTTCTAGGTGATTGACATCTCTATGATCCTTGCAGAAGCCATCAGGAGAACTCACAATGGAGAATCCGTTTCTTACCTATTCAGCCATGTCCCTTTATAATAGAGTAACTTCTGAGGCTTTTTGAGAATAAAATCCACCCCACCCTTGTTTCCCCTTGGTATTTGATGACAAATTCAGCAGAAGACCCGGCTTGCTCCAGTGTAGCTTTCTACATCCCACATCAGGTATATTAGAGCTTATCCGAACTGGGGAAAGACGGATTGAGATTAACTGCTGGGACCTCCTACCTGCATTATCTCATTCTGGCTTCCTTGATAATTCTGTGGGCCTTGCAGCTTTAACTATAGCTCAGCTGCTGCAAGATTTCAGACTTTTGAGGATGTTGTGTGAGGGTGTTTGACTGTGACTGGGGAAGCTCAGACTACTTTGTATGTGAATGCTTCAGGGTTTTCTTTGTTGAGAACAACTAGCAACAAAGGCAACCCATGTGTGACCAGTTCTCCCCAAGGTCTATGCTAAATTATAGCAAGAGCCCTGGGCAACCCCAAACCTAGTCCTGGTAGCTGAGCACCCTGTAAGGCAGGAGCAGGCAGCTCAGCTTGAGCAGACATTGGGTGGGGGGTGGGGGGTGGTTGAGGGGGGAGGCAGCACAGTGCAGCAAATGTTTCTTGGGAGGAAGAAGCCTGATCCATCACCATCTGCTTGACTATGTAGCTTGGATTCTCCTTTGTACCTATCCCTTTCGATTTGGCTTTACCTTCATCTATCTTGATCCTTTCCTGGCCAAATATCCTCTTGGGCCCAAATGAACATTGTACCATAGTCTTCTGGAAAGCAAACATGCTTCCTGCTATGTAATTGCTAACATTCATATTAGATGATGTGCTGTAGCTTGATCTTCCTTAGCCTACTGCCACTGAGGCAGTAGGTTTTAGGTGGTATCGTAGTGCCTTTTGATTAATTTAAGTATTTAATTTTCATCTTCCTTCTTTGGATCTATTTGGCCTCTCAAATGAACTGAGATTCCTGTTAAAAAAGATTGATGTTATTGTCTCTTGTAGAGGAAACTAATAAAGTGTGTGTACCTGTGTGATTTGGGGTCTGTATCATACATAATCTGTACTGATCTCTCTGCTAAAGGTTTGGTTTAGATAGATGTCTTGCTGTCCATTGATAGCTCTTATTTGTTTCCAAACTACGTTAGCTTCATTGTTAAACCAAGAGAAGACATTGGCAGCAGTTTTATTCAACTGTAAGACTAAGATGTCTGGAGTTTACTGAGAATGTGATAAGAGTGTAATTCTGTGCAGTATACCTAAATTATAGCATGTATAATGTCTGGTGGATCTCTGGTTCTTACTCCTGAAGATCCAAATTAGGTATTTTCTTATGGGAGGAGAATTTCTGTGATTTATTCATTTTGAACTAATTTTGCCAAATGTGATAATTTCCTTCCATTCATCAGTAATTGACATACGTTTGGCATTTACTTTCTTTGTTTTTTTTGATTTTTTGGTTTTTTTTTGAGATGGAGTTTCGCTCTTGTTGCCCAGGCTGGAGTGCAATGGTGCAATCTTGGCTCACTGCAACCTCCGCCTCCCGGGTTCAAGCAATTCTCCTGCTCAGCCTCCTGAGTAGCTAGAATTTATAGGCATGTGCCACCATGCCCAGCTAATTTTATATTTTTAGTAGAGACAGGGTTTCACCATGTTGGTCAGGCTGGTCTTGAACTCCTGACCTCAGGTGATCTGCCCGCCTCAGCCTCCCAAAGTGCTGGGATTACAGGTGTGAGCCACTGGTGCCCGGCTGGGCATTTACTTTCATCCCTGCTAAATAAGAACTATTTTGAGAAGGTAAATGTGCAAAATTTAAGGATGAATTATTATGCATTCCAAAATTTTAAGTTTCCTTCTTTCTTTCCTTTTTTTTCTCTTTCTTTCTTTCCCTTTAGCTCTCTCTTTCTTCATTTCTTTCTTTTCTTTCCTTCCTTCTCTTTCTCTCTCTGTCTGTCTGTCTGTCTTTCTTTCTGTCTTTCATCTTTCTCTTGCTCTGTCACCCAGGCTGGAGTGCAGTGGCTCGATCTTGGCTCACTGCAACCTCCACCTCCTGGATTCAAGTGATTCTCCTGCCTCAGCCTCGAGAGGGATTACAGGTTATCTGGGATTACAGGTGTGCACCATCACACCTAGCTAATTTTTGTATTTTTAGTAGAGACAGGGTTTTGCCATGTTGCTCAGTCTGGTCTCAAACTCCTGGCCTCAAGTGATCCGCCCACCTTGGCCTCACAGAGTGCTCGGATTACAGGCATGAGCCACCATGGCGGCCTTAAGTGAGTGAGTTTCTTGGCCCATCATCAAATAAGGGTGCTCTTTTACTTTGGGAAGCTACATGGCTACAGAGCTTCATGAAGAGTGCTTCCTTATTTGTGAAGCCCAGGTCTACTTTTGTTTATTTTGTTTTTGCTTTTGTTGGATATCGGGATATCTATTTTACAGCTAGCTCTTTGATAAAAGTGATTCAGGAGGGACTAAAGTATACTATGAAATGTGCGCCTCTAACCCTCTAGACCTCTTTAATCTCAGATTTTTGCTCTGGGAGAAGCTGATGTGAAGCACCAATGCCTTCACTTGCTCATCATGCTATTTCCTAAAGTATTGGATCAGTGGGTCAGGTCTCATTGTTACAGAATATTTTGACATTAAGATCTCTCTTGTGGGCCCCTTTGGGTAATTCATTTCCTAGGATGAGGTTTTGAGATTATTCAAAAAAGGCCCAGTCCCCAACTTTGATCCCTTTCAAAGCAGTTGTTTTTTGTTTTTGTTGTTTTTGTTTTTTGAGACAGAGCATCGCTCTGTTGCTCAGGCTGGAGTGCAGTGGCACGATCTCGGCTTACTGCAACCTCCGCCTCCCGGATTCATGTGATTTTCCTGCCTCAGCCTCCCAAGTAGCTGGCTAATTTTTGTATTTTTAGTAGAGATGGTGTTTTACCATGTTGTCCAGGCTGGTCTCGGACTCTCGACCTCAGGTGATCCACCCGCCTCAGCCTCCCAAAGTGCTGGGATTACAGGCATGAGCCACGGTGCCTAGCCTCAAAGCAGTTCTTGACTGTGGGGAATAGTAGCAGGAGCAGACCTGCCAGGGCATGAGGAGGAGGCAGCACCAAAGCTAAGTGGAGTTGCAGCGAGCACAGTTGACAAGAAACTCTAGTTGTGATAGCTACATGATTGCCCTTGAACACCTGTCTGAAGAATGGAGGTACAGACTAAAGCAGGGGTAGGAGGCTGGCTCTGTTTCCTGACCTAATGTAATGGCTGCTTTTCACACACAGAATGTGTTTACTCAACATCTCTATGAGTGGTGGTCCCCAGGGCAGTAATGCAAAGCTTCCTCCCCTCAGCCTCACTTCAAGTTTTTTGTAAGGTAGGTGCCTCCAATAACCAGATTCCCTTTAAGAGGCCTCTTTGTTCTCCCCCACAACTGAGAACTAGTAAGGATGAGATGGCAGGAGGGCATGGCAATAGGAAAATGATGCTTTTCTGGGATTTCAGGCTTTTTATGATTTTAATGCCTTCAGGTTGTTAAGGGCTACATGCGATTAGTATACAAGTTAACACTTTCAGCAGAAAACACTTGGTATCCAAATCTGGAAAGAAGACCAGGACTAGCAGCCCCAACTTAGATGAAAAAAATCTTTTATAGAGGCACCAACTTACAGAGTTGCTGAGCTTCTTCTCTGGTCCTGAGAATGCAGGGAGGTGAGGGGGTATGACATAGAATGGATGCTGCTGTTTGAAACAAGTGGCTTCTGTCTTGGCAGTGGTGGTTTAAAAAGCAAGAGTGCTACAGCCAGAGATTCCCCCTCTGCTTTGCCTCCACTGTGTTTGGAGACTTGTTTTTCTCTTGCAGATTTTTTTTTTTTTTTTTTTTTTTTTACCACTCTGAGACTCCTTGTTTAAGAATAAAGCAAATTGTGCTCCAAATTATGGCAGATAAAGCTTGATACTCTGTAAAATCTTGGCTCGAGCATTTCTTTTTGTGTTTATAACATTTACTTGACTCTTTACAACTCTTCAACTGCTATTTGTTGCTATAAAGTTTTAAAGTTTGGGTTTAAGACAGAGTCTCACTTTAGCCCAGGCTGGAGTGCAGTGGTGCAACCTCGGCTCGCTGCAACCTCCGCCTCCCAGGTTCAAGTGATTCTCGTGCCTCAGCCTTCTAAGAAGCTGGGATTACAGGTGCCCGCCGCCACACCTGGCTAATTTTTGTATTTTTAGTAGAGATGGGGATTCACCATGTTGGTCAGGCTCGTCTTGAACTCCTGACCTCAAGTGATCCACCTGCCTCAGCCTCCCAAAGTGCTGGGATTACAGGCGTGAGCCACCGTGCCCGTCCTATAAAGTTATTTTTTAAAATAAGTGTTCAGTTCTAGGAGCCAGGAAATAAATAAATAAAATAGTGTGTGGGTGCGGTGGCTCACACCTGTAATCCCAGCACTTTGGGAGGCTGAGGCAGGAATGAGCCTGAGACTCAGAAACCTGCCCATGTGGGTGTGGCTCCTCCTTCCCTAGTCCTCACTGCTCATGGGCTACTGTATGCCCACTCCTTGGTCTACTGTCCCCCCACCCCGTGCCCTAAGGAAAACCAGAGACTCTCCACTGACAGTCAGACTTCTCTCCCCATCCTTCCCCTTTCCTGAGCTTTTCTTCCCCAATATATTCATTCCTCCAATAGCTCAGCTGCCAACTATAAAAAATAAGGGGAAGCTCATTTTGAAGCAAAAATAGCTGAAACTGTACAGGGTGACAATAGGCCTTATTCCCTCAGCCCCATTGTGTTTTTTGTTGTTGTTTTCTGACTGGCTCAAGATTTTATCTTCTTAGCCAAGTCCCCACCCCTCCCCCCTCTGGCGTGTCCACTAACTGCTGCGGCTGGGTTCTTGTTGCTTCACCCATAGAGTTGCCATGAGCTCACTCATGGTGTGGCTCTGATTCAGGGTTTGAATATAAAACAAAACAGGCCAGCCAGGTCTGACCAATCCATTCCTCCTGGGTAATATGCTGAGCAGAGATTTTCCCGCTTGTAAGCAGCCTGGAGCCACACAGCCCAATTTTAGTCATCGCCCTCAAAGTTCTTGGGGTAGAGCCTCTAATGATAACAATGGGCGGGGACTTTGTGGTGTGGGAGGGGCTGCAGTGAGGCAGAGAAGGAGCACGGTGACGGGCGGGCTTCCCTGGCTAAAGCCTCATCCCAGCTTTCCCTAGGACTGGCTGCACAGCTGCCTCCTGGCTGAGGACACCCCCTCCCCCTCCACGCGCACACACTCGCTTCCTTTCCTGCCGCCGCCACCTGGTTCACAGGGCCTGTCACTGCTGTCCATCTGCCACTAGGGGGCGCCTAGCAGAGAGGATGGAGGGAAGGGGCACCCAGGGCAACAGGACTGGGGGCTCCAGCAGTGGAAGGAGTGGCAGCAGTGGAAGGAGTGGCACCTGTCGGTCCTCCTGGCCCCCTCTTCCCCTGTATGTCCTCCGCAACCACGGGACAACACCGTGCCCAGTCCACACTCATTCAGCAGACAGGAATGTGTGCACGCCCTAAGGGCATAGCTCAGTGCATTTTCACACACCAAGCACTGTGCTAGACGCTAGGAATGCAGAAGCGGCCTAACGTGGTCCTTGACGCTGAGATGCACTTGATGTAGAGGAAGAAACAGATAGGGAAATGGGTAATTACAATGTGGTGTGATAAGTACTATGATGAGGGAAGAACAAAATGCTATGGGAGTGTGGGGGTTGCGGGGGGGCACCCAAGCCAGCCTTGGGAGTCAGGAAAGACTTCCTGGAGAAAAATACTTTGACTTTTGAAGTAGTTGACTGGAAGTTGGCCAAAGAGCGAGTGAAGAGAAGGGTGTTTCAGGCAGGCAGAATAGCACGTTTACCTGGACACCCCAAAGGAAGTGGCGTGTGTGTGTGTGTGGGTGTGTGTGTGTGTGGGGGGGGGGTGTGTGTGTGTGTATTTTCGGGTAGGATGAAGAGCTGTGATGAGGGGTGGGCTGGTGAGACTAGATCATAAGGGACTGTATAAGGAGAGTGTACATATGTCTATTGTCCCTGCATACTTATTACCAGCAACCCCCTTCACTCTCAAAAGGGTCCTGATTTTGGTAGTAAATTATACAGGAACCCTAATTGTAAGACACACTAGGGAGTTTGAATTTTATCCTAGGAGTGAAGAGGAGCCATTGAGCATTTTAAACAGGGCATCAACAGGATGAGATTTTGATTTTAAAATAGACTGGCAGTAATGTGAAGAATGGGTTGGGAAGGGGCAAATGTAGAGGAAGGAGTTTGGTTAGGAAGCTGTGCGTTGCCCAAGTGGGAGAGGAAGGTGGCTGAGGTGAGAAAAGTGCTGGTGGGACAGAAGAACAATTTACAATATATTTTGGAGGAAAATTCAACAGAAGTTGGTGATATTTCAATGTAGGGATTGGAAGAGAGGGAGGAGTCAAGGACAACTTACATTTTTCTGGCCTGAGTGACTGATGGATGCTGGTACTGAGCAGCACAGGAGATGAGGCTGAAGTTTAGGAACTGCTAAGTTTAAGGTGCCTGAGGGACCTCACCAGGAGGACTGAACAGGCAGCCATTGTAGCTAGTAGAGGTTTTGATCATCAATACATTTTTGCCCAAATGCCATCTTCAGATAGTCAAGAAGCTGAAGCAACGGGGCTGTAAACTAGGCCAGCCTTAAATATCCTGGGTGTTTGTCTTAAGAGGACAAGGACACAGTGGGAGAGGTTATGGAATGGAAGGAAAGCTAGGGAACAGTGAAGAAATTAAGTGTATTAAATGCAGAAGATATAAATTTGGGTTATGAGATATCTAAAGGAGAAAAATAGAAGCCAACAAAGAAGGCTCTAGTGCCTGTAATCCCAGCTACTTGGGAGGCTAAGATGGAAGGATTGCTTGAGCCCAGGAGTTCAAATCTAGCCTGGGCAACACAATGAGACCATGTCTCCTTCTTTAAAAAAAGACTCTAAACTTTAGAGTCTAAAGGAAAAAAAAATGGGTCTTTTAACAATTATAGATATTTTACAACAGCATCACAGAAAATTTGGGAGATATGTGTAAGAAGCCTCACCCATAATCTGGTGATCTTCTTACTGCTAGGTGGTGGTCAAATCAACATTCCTCTATATCTTCTGACACCACCCCAGCAAGGAAGGGGAGGCTTGCCTTATTACAGCCTAGTAGGGGTGGAAGTCCAGCCTCTCCACGTGGTCTCCACAGACACCACTGGAGGCAGGATATTGTTACCATTCAGCGGGGAAGAAAGTCCCAGCTTCCTACTTGGACTTCTCTGACACCTACCCCAGCAGGGGCTGCAGGTGGGTGTCTCGTTACATGAAGTCCCTGCTCTCCACTCAGGCTTTGCTGGTGCGGGGCGGGACACAATTTTCCTTGTGGCGTGTAGCTACAATGGAGTGATCAGCATTTAAAACGTTCTTTCTAGGCTGCCCTTTTTCTGGTCCTTTGCTGAGAGAGAAGACTTTGTTTTGGTCTAAACCCATTGGCATTTCCATGTTGTCAGCTTCTTCAGCTCCAAGTCAGGGATATAGGAGGCAAAAAGCACACCCAAAAAAGAAAAAAAAGTGAAAACCCAAGGAACTCACCACAAGGAACTACTTTATCTTCCTAGAATGTTACATGCCTTTAAAAAAGCAGAAAGTGCACAATGCTTACATTTATAGCTAAGCTGGGTGCGGTGGCTCATGCCTATAATCCCAGCATTTTGGGAGGCTGAGGCGGGAGGATCGCTTGAGCCCAGGAGTTCAAGACCAGCTTGGACAACATAGTGAAACCCCATCTCTACAAAAAATCTTAAAAAATTAGCCAGGTGTGGTGACATGTGCCTATGGTCCCAGCTACTTAGGAGGCTGAGCTGGGAGGATTGCTTGAGCCCAGGAGGTTGAGGCTGCAGTGAGCTGAGATCATGATACTGCACTACAGCCTTGGTGACAGAGCAAGACCCTATCTCAAAAGAAAAAAAAATTATAGCTCAATGAATTTTCAGACACTGAACATACCTGTCATCCAGATAAAAAACCAGAAGTCCCCTCTTGTCCTCTTCCAGCCACTACTTTACTACACACAAGAGTAATCATTGCCTGGAGGCGTTTACCTGGCCTGCTTAGCAGTGGGCACTGACAGCTTGAGACCCACTCTGGCTCAAAGTTCTTTCCAGACTGTGTGTGTGCATATGGGTTCTTGCACATCTGTCTGACTTCCTCACCTAGGCACCTTAGGTTAGAAAGTTCTTCACAGACCTTGATTCAAATTTGAATTACATTAATTCCCAGAAGTGCAATGTAGTGGTTAAGAGTATGGGATTTGGAGTTGAACCTGATTTCAAATCCCAGCTCTATAACTTCTTGGCTGTATGATCTATAACAAGGTAATAACAGCACTGACCTCGGCATGATGTTGTGAGGTTTAGGAGAAACAACTCAGGCTGGGCATGGTGGCTCAGGCTTGTAATCCTAGCTCTTTGGGAGACCGAGGCAGGAGAATTGCTTGAGGCCAGGAGTTTGAGACCAGCTTGGGCAACATAGTAAGAGCCTGTCTCTACAAAATATATATTTTTAATTATCCAGGCAAGGTGGTGCACATGTTAGTTAGTCCCAGCTACTCAGGAGGCTAAGGTGGGAGGATTGCTTGAGCCTAGGAGCTCAAGGCCGCAGTGAGCCATGATCATGCCACTGCACTTCAGCCTGGGCAACGGAGTGAGACCCTGAGGAAGGAAGGAAGGAAGGAAGGAAGGGAAGGAAGGAAGGGAGAGAGGGAGGGAGGGAAAGGAAAGAGAAAGAAGGAAAGAGAAGGAAGAGAAAGGAAAGAGAGAAGGAAAGAGAAAGGAGAGAAGGAAGGAAAGAAGGAAGGAGAGAAGGAAAGAAGGAAAGAACGGAAGGAAGGAAGGAGAAAGGAAGGAGGGAGGGAGGGAAAAAAGGAGAAAGGAAGGAAGGAGAAAGAAAAGAAGGAAGTAGGAACAAAGAAAAGCAGAGAGAGAGAGATGAAGAGAGGGAGGAATTACGTGGTGAAGGATGAAGTGAACAGCGGTGCTTGGCATATAAGCCAGCCCTCAAACAAGGGTAAGTGTTACTATCCTTATTATTATTATTAAGGCTACTGTGAACACTAAATGATATAAATTATGTAAATTACCTGATAAGGTTCCTGGCACTCAGTAAGTGTTAGTTCCCTTCCTTCCTCCCTTCAGGGGAGGACTAGGGAGTAAGTACTTTTTGTAAGTTTGTTCTCCTGGGTTGAAGGGAGGGAAGGAAAAGCTCCAAGGAGGAGAGTGGCTGTACTGTGGGTGGTGTCCTTCTCAGTACTTCCTGGGAGTATGCGGTGTGACAGCTCCCACCACCTCTCTCTGCCTCCCTTTGTGCCCCTACTCAGGACTCCATCAGCAAAGGCCTGGATGGAGCAGAAAGCAATGATGATGGGAAAGCCAGCCCCTCTCTACGGGTTGAGGTTCACTTGGCCCCATAGTTTGAACACTATTCTACTTCCCTCTCAGTATGGTGGAGTAAGGGCCCTGGAGGGCTCTGGGCTAGCACAGGTGCACATCCTAGCTCGGCCTCTGTGAGCCCTTTCTTCCCTTTGGCAAATGCCACTGACTGCTATGCCCAGGCTGCCTCAGTGAAGTCCCGAGATGGCTCCCAGTACCCCAATTTGGGGGTTCCTGGGAGAGCTTGTCACCAAATGTCCAAATACAGTTTGACATAACCTTCATTTTCAAACTATGTCACATTTCTGTGAGGATACAGTATCTTGAAATTAAACAGATCTAGGGCATTACAGTTCCACAAAGTTTTGGGATCAGCTACTCTCATAATTGAATGTAATTTATGAACTCCTGATCCACCTTGTTCCTCTGCAGAGAAATTTGCTACAGCCTCTAGATTTATGAAATTGCCCTTCTCTCTGCAGACAGCAGAGGGCCTCATTAGCACAAACTCAATGTCACTGGCAAATATATGGGAAGGAAAGTTTGCCAAGGTTCTAGAAGCACAGCAAAACTTTGATTAACATAAATAGGCAAGAAAATTGGCCAGTCAGCTTAATTCCCTAAAAAAAACCCTGGATTTCCTGAGTTAATAGGGGTTGAGCAGAAGCTTCTTGCTGTTCCACCCTTTGTGGTCGAAAATTCATCCAAAATTCCCAAATCCTCTTTGCTCCCTCAGCTGGTAATAGGGATCCTGGATAGAGTTGCCAGATTTAGAAAATAAAAATACAGGCCAGACGCGGTGGCTCACGCCTGTAATCCCAACACTTTGGGAGGCTGAGGTGGGCGGATCAATTGAGGTCAGGAGTTTGAGACCAGCCTGGCCAACATGACGAAACCCCATCTCTATTAAAAATACAAAAATTAGCCAGGCATGGTGGCACATGCCTGTAATCCCAGCTACTCAGGAGGCTGAGCCGGGAGAATCACTTGAACTTGGGCAGCAGAAGTTGCAGTGAGCTGAGATCGCACGACTGCACTCCAGCCTGGGTGACAGAGCATGACTCCATCTCAAAAAAACAAAAATTAAAAAAAAGGCCGAGTGCAGTGGCTGACGCCTGTAATCCCAGCACTTTGGGAGGCTGAGGCAGGCAGATCACTTGAGGTCAGGAGTTCGAGACCAGCCTGGCCAACCAACATAGTGAAGCCCCGTCTCTACTAAGAATACAAAAATTAGCTGGGCATGGGCCTGGCGCGGTGGCTCACGCCTGTAATCCCAGCACTTTGGGAGGCCAAGGCGGGCAGATCACCTAACATCGGGAGTTTGAGACCAGCCTGACCAACGTGGAGAAACCCTGTCTCTACTAAAAATACAAAAAAGAAATTAGCCGGGCATGGTGGTGCATCCCTGTAATCCCAGCTACTTGGGAGGCTGAGGCAGGAGAATCGCTTGAACCTGGGAGGCAGAGGTTGCAGTGAGCCGAGATCACGCCATTGCACTCCAGCCTGGGCAACGAGCGAAACTCTGTCTCAAAAAAAAAAAATTAGCTGGGCATAGTGGCAGACACCTATAATCCCAGCTACTCAGGAGGCTGAGGCAGGAGAATCACTTGAACCTGGGAGGCAGAGGTTGCAGTGAGCTGAGATCACGCCACTGCACACCAGCCTGGGCAACAGAGTGAGACTCAGTCTCAAAAAAAAATTTTTTTTTTAAAGAAAATAAAAATATAGGATGTCAGATAACAGGTCTGGACATTATATATTGAACCATAAGACTCCGAAAGATGGAGAGAAGGCAGATCCAGTAGAGACCTCAGGACCTGAGGCAGTGAGTTCCCCGGGTTTTCTTTTTGCCTCACATATCCCAGACTGGGTTCTAGAGAGACTGGCTACCCAGAAACTCCAGTGGGTACACACAAAAAAAGCCCTAACAAAATCTGGCTCTCTCTAGGGAAAGGACCAGGCAAGAGGCAGCCTATCAAGACATAAAACCTTTAGACAATAACCAAACACCACAAAGCCAACTGGCCCCACCCCACCCATGTCAGCAAGGGCCAAGTGGGAAGCCAGGTTACAAGAAGGTATTTCCAATCTCCCACCAGGTTTCAGAAAAGGCCAGTACAGAGCTGGGATTTTCACTGCCACCAGATGGTCACAAAGCTATGCAACACTGGGGACATATACCAAAACGTTCTTTTTCTGAGATTCAAATTCACCTGTGCATCCTGGTTTTGATCGGGCTGCCCTGACTGTGGGTGAATCTTGATTTTCTGACTGAGGTCTGGCCACCATAAGATTGTCAGTCTGAACACCATTAGCCCAGACAAGGAGATGGGGGAAAAGTAAGTTGAAGAGGCTGAGCTGAGTGGGTAGTTCATGGGTAGTCCCTCCCATTGACAACTGCTTTCTTTAATTCCCCATAGCTGCTTGTTTTCTTCCTAATTGCTCATTTCTTTTAAATGCCAATTGCAGGAAGAAAACTAAACAGTGTAATTCATGTGTGTGCTCCAGGCAAACTGAGCTGATTGTCTACGAGGCACCTTATTGTGTGGATTAAATAAGATCATGTCAATGAAAGCCCCTTAGCATCCAGGAGTTGCTCAATAAATGTTACTTTCCTTCTTTCCTGAAACATCAAGGATAACTTTAGACATCCTCAGCCTGGCTGTGGCTCAGAGAGAAAATCCAGCTGACCTTCTGATCCCTGAATGCCATTATTATTTTAGTAACCAATGCTTTTATTGAAAAAATAAGCCATGGTTAACAAAAATCCAGGCAGTATAAAATTGTATACGATGAAAAGGAAGTCTCTCTCCTATCCCAGGGCACAGTCCTCCACTTCCTCTCCCTAGAGGCAACCACTGTTACCAATGTATTCTTCCAGAGGAGTTCCATGCATATGCATACCTATATATAACCCTCTCATTTCCCTCCAATGTGAACATACTAGACACACTGCTCTGTATCTTCACATGCTATTTTTAGCTCCTAATTGCCTGGCTGCGGTGGGATACAGGCAGTTGATCCTGAGGGTCCTTATGAAAAACAGCCCTTTGAAACTTGTTGCTACCGCTATTGAAAGGATGTTGTCAAGGATGTTGTTCATTGTATCCCACAGTATCGTCTCTGAGGACCCCCGGGAGGAATTCCTGTCTGATCTTAGTACTGAAAACACTTGCCCTTCTGAGCGATTCGTTTGTTTTTATCTCCTGGACATTGTGAATTGTATAACAACAAGGTTTCCCCTTCCCTGTTGGCTGCTAGAAAGCTTTAGTTAGAGCCAACTTTTTGGCCCACCCTTTGTGGGAGCAGAGGTTTTTATGGTATGTATCTGTAGCCTGATGCTTGGCCGTATTTTGTGTCCACCCTCCCCTGCTTTTCTATCTTTAATTTATGCTGCCTTGACATACCTTGTGTGCCCTGGCAAGCTACCTGAAATCACTTCTGAAAAAAGGCAAAGTTGGAGTAATTAAATAACTGCCTGGCTCAGCAGCTCACTACCTTCAGTCTCCACCCACCCTCTCTTAACCCCCATCGTATCCTCTCAGCGGCTTCCTGGTGCTCCCCGCTGGCCTGTCTGGCAACTACTCTCCCCTTCAACCTTTTGTCCTATCTGGCCCCTCATTGCTCTTGGGCCTTGCAGGTCCGCTACTGCTTGCAATGCCCCCACCCCCCACCCCCCGGCCCACATCCTCACCTCCATATGCATCATGTGTAGCCATCAGATGCTTGCTTTGATCATTCTAGGACTGAAAACTCAGGCCCTTGGCTACATATTAGGACTGTTCTCTGTCTTTCCAAGGTTCAGTAATGCATGCTGCTAGAGCAGAGCCATCATAAAAGAAGGCTACCTCTCTGGACCAACCTGGGCAAAACTCCAGGGGCCAGGCGTGATGGCTCACGCCTGTAATCCCTACACTTTGGGAGGCCAAGGCGGGTGGATCAACTTGAGGCC
Source organism: Homo sapiens (assembly GCF_000001405.40). Classification (NCBI taxonomy): domain Eukaryota; kingdom Metazoa; phylum Chordata; class Mammalia; order Primates; family Hominidae; genus Homo; species Homo sapiens. Next base: position 107,663,390 of record NC_000023.11, read on the forward strand.
AAGAGTTGGAGACCAGCCTGGCCAACATGGTGAAACCCCATCTCTACTGAAAATACAAAAATTAGCCAGGCATGGTGGTGCACACCTGTAATCCCAACTACTCAGGAGGCTGAGGCAGGAGAATTGCTTGAACCTGGGAGGCAGAGTTTGCAGTGAGCTGAGATCACGCCACTGCACTCCAGCCTGGGTGAGAGTGAGACTCCGTCTCAAAAAAAAAAAACTCCTGTGGAGGCTGATGAGATGATGTATTGCATAGAGGAGATGAATTCTTTTGAAGGGAGCAGCATCCCAGGGCAGCTAACCTTGTTTCCAAGGTGAAGAGCTTAGAGTCTGAAGGGCCAGGAAGGCAGAGTGGTCGTGAAAAAAGCATGAAGGCCCTACAGAAAAATTAGGGCACGCAAGTTCTGTCTGTTCCCCCACCTGCCACTGAGTGGCTAGGCAACATCAAGCAAGTCCTGTCTGTTCCCTGGACCATGCTTTTTTTTTCTTTTTTGAGATGGAGTATAGCTCTGTCGCCCAGGCTGGAGTGCGATGGCACAATCTCAGCTCATTGCAACCTCCACCTCCCAGATTCAACCAGTTCTCCTCCCTCAGTCTCCCAAGTAGCTGGGATTACAGGCATGCGCCACCATGCCGGGCTAATTTTTGTATTTTTAGTAGAGACCGGGTTTCACCATGTTGCCCAGGCTGGTCTCGTACTCCTGGCCTCAAGTGATCCACTGGCCCCGGCCTCCCAAAGTGCTGAAATTACAGGCGTGACCCATCATGCCTGGCCTTTTTTTTTAAAAAACAAAACAAAACAAAACAAAAAAAACTAAAACTAAGAGGGTTGTCTCTATGTTGTCCAAGCTGCAGTGCAGTGGCTGTTCACAGTTGTGGTCATAGCACACTATAGCCTTAACCTCCTGGGCTCTAGCAATTCTCCCACCTCAGCCTCCAGAATATCTGGGACTACAGGTGTGAGCCATGGTGCCCCGCCTGCATTTCCTTTTGATGCCTCTGCAGCATTGTCCATTTCTCACTGCAGTTAGATCAAGTGACTCGTAATAAATGTCATTTTACTGTTTTCCTGATAGTCCTATCTGAGCTGAACGTGCTCAGCAGTTAATAGTGGCCTTTTTACATGGAGTTGCTATTTTTGGTTTTAAATATGTTTGATTCAGAAACCCTTGAAACAAAGTATAGAAACAATAACAGCTGATTCTAATGATTCATACTTACTGGGTCTATATGTACCAGTCCTGTTCAAAGCACTTATTTACTTATTTTGAGACCATTACAGTGCTGGGATTACAGGCGTGAGCCACCATGCCCGGCCTGTTCAAAGCACTTTAGATTGATTATCTCATTCTTCACAACATCCCAGTGAGGTTGGCACCATCATAATAAGCACTTTATGAAGTCACAACCCAGATTTAACAGATGTTCACTTTTTGTCATATTTACCCTAGATCTTTTTTTTTTTTTTTTTTTTTTGGAGACAGAGTCTCGCTGTGTCGCCCAGGCTGGAGTGCAATGGCGCGATCTCAGCTCACTGCAATCTCCGCCTCCCAGGTTCAAGCAATTCTCTGCCTCAGCCTCCCGGGTAGCTGGGATTACAGGCGCCCACCACCACGCGTGGCTAGTTTTTTGTTTTTGTTTTTTGTGTGTGTGTGTATTTTTAGTAGAGACGAGCTTTCATCATGTTGGCCAGGCTGGTCTTGACCTAGATCCTTTTTTAAAAAAAGAAGAAAGAAAACATTGCAAACACGATTAGCATTCTCCCCATCCATTCCCCTTTTACCCTCCCCATTGGCAACCATTATCCTCAAGTTGGTAGTTGGTGAGGGTCCTTCCTATGGTATGGTTTCATACCTTTACTACATAGTATATATCCATAAATATAATATTGATTTCTGAGATTTTTTTGGCATCCATTATTTCTGTTTTGTTTTTGTTTTTTGAGACAAGGTCTCACTCTGTCACTCAGGCTGGAGTGCAGTGATGTGATCTCAGCTCACTGCAACCTCCACCTCCTGGGTTCAAGCGATTCTTGTGCCTCAGCCTCCAGGGTAGCTGGGACTACAGGAGTGCACCACCACACCCAGCTAATTGTTGTATTTTTACTAAAGATAGTTTGGCTATGTTGACCAGGCTAGTCTCAAACCCCTGGCTTCAAATGATCCACCCGCTTTGGCCTCCCAAAGTGCTGGGGTTACAGGCGTGAGCCACCACTCCTGGCCCAATTTCTGAGGTTTTAAAAATTTTATACAAATGGTGTTATAATGCACATTTTTTTTTAAATACAGGGTCTGTCACCCAAGCTGGAGTACAATGGTGATGTTGGCAGCTTCGATCTCCTGGGCCCAAGTGATCCGCCCCCCTCAGCCTCCCAAGTAGCTGAGACTACAGGTGCATGCCACCATGCCCAGCTAATTTTTGTATTTTTTGTAGAGACAGGGTTTTGCCATGTTGCCTAAGCTGGTGTCCAGCTCCTGAGCTCAAGCAATCTGCCCACCTTGGCCTCCCAAAGTGCTGGGATTACAGGTGTGCAACCACTACACCTGGCCCTACATTTTCTTTTAAAACTTGAGTGATTAATTTTGTATCTTGATACAGTGATGACCTCATTCACACAATTGGATTCCAGATCATAAAGTGTCAATAATTAGGCCACATTCAGACTCATCTTCACCATAAAGCTCTTAATTCCCTCACAGCCTTGGGTCTCAAAAAGTCTTCCCACCTGCCTTTCATGGACCGGCTTTAAGTCTTTAGGATAGAATAAATCTAACTAGCTCCTATCAGGTCATCAGCCAGGAATTTCCTCAACTTTTAACTTGCTCCACCCAATTCTCTGTATTTTTTTTTTTTTTTTTTGAGATGAGGTCTCGCTCTGTCACCCAAGCTGAAGTGCAGTAGTATGATCACGGCTCACTGTTCATTGACCTCCCAGGCCCAAGCAATCCTCTCACCTCAGCCTCCCAAGTAGCTGGGACTACAGGCATGCACCACCACACCAGGCTAGATTTTTTATTTTTTATAGAGGTGGAGTTTCCCTATGTTTCCCAGGCTGGTCTGGAAGTCTTTGCCTCAAGCAGTCCTCCAGCCTTGGCCTCAAAAGTGCTGGGATTACAGGAATGAGCCACTGCACTTGGCTGTGTATCTTTATTCACCACCATAACTGTCTTCCTTCCAACTCATCAGATCCCAGAGCTTCAGTGATTACCTATTGAATGACTGACTTGCCAATCTGTATCTACAAAGGCCCTATTTTTCTCCTGTGCTTCAGGGCTGTATATCTATCTGCCTAACTGGACACTCTGTCTGGACGTCTTATAGGTATCTCAGATTCAACCTGCCTCAAACTGAACTTATTTCCACCCTCCTAAAACAAGACACAACTCTTAAAATAATTGTCTACACGCATGGCTTCAATGTTTTACTTCCCATTTACTTTTTTTTTTTTTTTTGCCTCCGCCTCTTGTGTAGCTGGACCCAGGCATGAGCCACCACACCTGGCTAATTTTTATTTTATTTTTTTTTGTAGAGACTAGGGGTCTCGCTATATTGCCCAGGTTGGTTTTGAACTCCTGGCCTCAAGTGATCCTCTCACCTTGGCCTCCCAAAGCACCAGGATTATAGACATGAGCCACCACACCTGGCCACTCTTCTTTTTTAATCTGTTCATTTTCAACCCATTCCAATCTAGCTTCCATCCCTATCACTTCACAAAAGCTGTTCTTGTCAAGGTCCCTGATTTCCTCCAGTTTACCAATCCCAATGGTCAATTGTCTATCACTATGCTTCTTAGCACCATTTGTTCCACTGATCACTCAGTCCTTCTTGAAACTCTTTTCTCACTGGGCTTTTGGAACTCCTTCACACTTTCCTGGATTTCCTACCTCACTGGCTGCTGTTCCTCACTCTCCTTTGCCAAGCCCTTCTAATCATTCAGCTCTCTAAACATTGCAATGTCCCAGGACTTAGTCCCCAGATTCCCTCTTCTTCTCTACCTGCACTCAGTCCTCAGGCAACCTCATTCAGTTTCATTGATGATGAATCCCGATTCCCAGCACCACTCCACACCTCTTCTCTCAACTCCAGACTCATACAGCCAACCACTTACATGACATTTCCACTTGGATGTCTCACTGATATCCCAAAAAAATCTAGCCAAAACTGAACTCAAGTTTTGCCCAAATCAGACTTCCCCACCTTAGGAAATGACACTCAACAAGTGGCCTTAAGCAGTAAACCTAGAAGTCATCCTTGACATCTTCTCCTTACCTCCTGCACCCCAATCCATCACTGCATCCTGCCAATTCTACTTCAACATAGGCTTATTCCCATCACTTCTCACCACTTCCATAGCTTTCACCCCAGTCTAAGCCACCTCATTTTCTTTCCTGGACTTCTCATTGGTTTCTGCCTTCAATCATGCCCTCTTATAATTCATTCTCCATATAACAGTCAGATACATATTTAAGTCAAATATATCAACTCCCCTACTCCAAATTCTTTAACATATGCCCATTGTCCACAATATAAATTTTTAAAACGTGTGTGGGTGGTGATTTTTTGAAACAATAGGACGTTTTAAAAAGTTTAAAAAGGCTGGGTTCAGGCCAGGCATGGTGGCTCATGCCTGTAATCCCAGCACTTTGGGAGGCTGAGGCGGGCAGATCACGAGGTCAGGAGATCAAGACCATCCTGGCTAACACAGTGAAACCCCGTCTCTACTAAAAACACAAAAAAATTGGCCGGGCGTCGTGGCAGGCACCTGTGTTCCCAGCTACTTGGGAGGCTGAGGCAAGAGAATGGCGTGAACCCAGGAGGTGGTGTTTGCAGTAAGCAGAGATCGCGCCACTGCACTCCAGCCTGGGCGACAGAGCGAGACTCCGTCTTGAAAAAAAATAAAAATAAATAAATAAATAAATAAATAAATAAATAAATAAAAAGGATGGGTTCAGTGGCTCATGCCTGTAATCCCAGCACTTTTGGAGGCTGAGGCAGGAGGGTTGCTTTGAGAGCAGCGTGGGAAACATAGGGAGATTCCACCTGTAAAAAATTTTTTTTAAAAAGTAGCCGGGCATGGTGGTACATGCCTATAGTCCCAGCTACTCATGAGGCTGAGGTGGGAGGATTGCTTGGGTTCAGGAGGTCAAGGCTGCAGTGAGCCGTGATGGTGCCACTGCACTCCAGCTTGGGTGACAGAGCGAGATCTTGTCTCAAAAAAAGTTTTTGTTTTTGTTTTTTTTTTAAAAAAAAACCCTTTTGACATAGGTAAAAGTGGAGCTATTCTATTAGGCTGGTGCAAAAGTAATTGTGGTTTTTTTGGAGTGGAGTGTTGATCCTACAGCCCCATCTGCCCACTGTCCTCCTCCCTCCTGCCTCCACTCTCACCACCAGCAGCTACTGGGGTAGTTCCACAGAGGCAGCTCTGTGGAACTTTAGTGCTCTGGGAAGCTCAGCTGGAAAATCTGCAGGATAAAGTCCAAACTGTCACACAACAAAGAAAACAATAAGAACAATAGAAAAAGACTTCCCCAGCCAGGCATGGTGGCTCATGCCTGTAACCCCAGCACTTAGGGAGGCCAAAGCAGGCAGATCACTTCAGGTCAGGAGTTCGAGACAAGCCTGGCCAACATGGCGAAACCCCATCTCTACTAAAAATACAAAAATTAGACGGGCGTGGTGGCACGTGCCTGTAATCCCAGCTACTCAGGAGGCTGAAGCAGGAGACTTGCTTGAACCTGGGAAGTGGAGGTTGCAGTGAACTGAGATTGCGCCACTGCACTCCAGCCTGGGCTACAGAGACTCTGCCTCCAAAAAAAAAAAAAAAAAGAAAGAAAGAAAGAAAGAAAGAAAAAGAAAAAAGAAAAAAGAAATAAAAAGAAAAAGACTTCCCCATGCTCTGGGTCCTGCCTCCCTGGCCTTCTTGCATCATGTTACCCCTGCCTTGCTCCTTATGCTTTAGCTACAGCCAATCCTTGGCATCTCCCTCAGCACCCTAGAAGTTTTGACCCTCAGCACACAAGCTTCCTGTTCCCTGGGGGCGTGCCCTATCCTCTCTGCCAGGTGTTGGTCTGACAAACTACTCTTTCAAGAGTCAAGACAAAAGTCAGCTCAGAACTGTCTCTGGGAAGTAGTATTCCCTGACTCCTCTTGGAAGAATTGGTGGCGTGGTGGTGGGAGGTGGCTGCTCCTCCTCCTTCCTCCTTCCTCCTCCCCCATCCCCCTTCCCCCTCCTCCTCCTCCTTTTTTTTTGAGATGGCGTTTCGCTCTTGTCACCCAGGCTGGAGTGCAATGGCGCGATCTCTGCTCACTGCAACCTCCACCTCCCGGGTTCAAGTGATTCTCCTGCCTCAGCCTCCTGAGTAGCTGGGATTAAAGGTGCCAGCCACCACACCCAGCTAATTTTTGTATTTTAGTACAGATGGGATTTCACCATGTTGCCCAGGCTGGTCATGAACTCCTGACCTCAGGTGATCCACCCACCTTGGCCTCCTAAAGTGCTGGGATTACAGGCGTGAGCCACTGCGCCTGGCCAGTGGGAGGCTTTTTCAAACTCAGAGTGCTCAGAGAATTGCATTATTTTGGCCTGGGTGCCTCGAGGACAGCTATCTTATTTTGTTTATCTCTGTATGCCACAGTGCTTGGTTTGTAACAGGTGCCCAATCAACGTTTGGAGAATGGCCCAGTAGACTGAAGTGATGAACTTGACCCTATTAATAGACCCTATTAATATGGTACTTTAACCAACAGGACAAACTAGATATGGCTATCTTTACTGATAAGAAAGAAATACACTGAGCCTGGCTTCTTCTTTCCCACCCTGAAAGATATAAACAATGTATCCCTTCTGAACTTAGCAAGTTCCTGAAGGGAAAGACAGGCTTCTCAAAGCCAGCTGGTGTTGGCAGCCTTCTTGAACCATATTTGGCCTGAGTGGGAGCACAACAGGACCTCCAGGTAATGAGCACACGATCACTACAATGTGTGGAGCTGCAGAGTGAAGAAAACAAACATTGTATTCTTTATATTGTTTACACTAACTTCATAAAAGCATTTCACACAGGTGGAGGGGCAATGACCCAAGAAGACTATCAACAGGGAGAAGGGGGGTAGTGGGGAGGGAAGTCTGCAAATTCATCAGCAATCCTCCCTGAAAAACATGCTGAGGTGGCTCCCACTATCTACCTCATGTTTTTTGTCAAAGAAGCAGCAAGGGAAAGAGGACTTAACAAATAACAGCTGCCATTTATTTAGGCTATTAATTTTTTGAGACAAGGTCTTGCTCTGTCACCCAGGCTAGAGTGCAGTGGCGCGATCTGGGCTCACTGCAGCCTCCGCCTCCTGGGTTCAAGTGATTCTCCTGCCTCAGCCACCCGAGTAGCTGGGATTACAGGTGCGCAGCACCACGCCCGGCTAATTTTTGTATTTTTAGTAGAGACAGGGTTTCACCATGTTGGCCAGGCTGGTCTTGAACTCCTGACCTCAAGTGATCCACCTGCCTCGGCCTCCCAAAGTGCTGGGATTACAGGAATGAGCCACTGTGCCTGTGTCTGGCTATTTAGCCGTTACTATGTACCAGGTACTGCATTGATGGCTTTGTGTATATCAGTTAATTCCTAATAACCACTTGAGATAAATATTATTATTATCCCCATTTTACAGATGGAGACACAGGCATGGCAAGGTCAAGTAGCTTGCCTGGTGTTAGACAAGGCAGCATTCAAACCCTTGCAGTCTGGCTCCAGAGCCCCTGCCCTTAACTGCTGTACCACACTGTCTCCCAGTTTTTTGTTTGTTTGTTTTTTGAGATGGAGTCTTGCTCTGTCATCCAGGCTGGAGTGCAGTGGCATGATCTTGGCTCACTGCAGCCTCTGCCTCCCACGTTCCAGTGATTCTCCTGCCTCAGCCTCCCAGGTAGCTGTGATTATAGGCACACGCCACCACGCCCAGCTAATTTTTGTATATTTAGTAGAGATGGAGTTTCACCATGTTGGCCAGGCTGGTCTCAAACTCCTGACTTCAGGTGATCAGCTCGCCTCGGCCTCCCAAAGTGCTAGGATTACAGGCGTGAGCCACAGCGCCCGGCCCTGTCTCCCACTTTTAAAAGTCCATTGCGGCTGTGGTCCTGGCTCTTGGGGAGCTGACAAGAGGGCAACCAGAGACTGACATGGTCTTCAAGGGGAGGGAATGTGACCATAAGTACACTGGGTAGAAAAATAGAACAGGAAGCCCAGAGAGGCTCACCAGTCACCAGTCACCACTCAGTTGGTGCTGGGACTCATTGGTGACGGGGTCGGGGGGTAGGGTGGGGTGAAAGAAGGTGCTTTTCCAAGAGGTGCTGTTGTGTGCACAGAGACAAAGCAGAGCTGGGGCAGAAAGCTGGGAAGGCAACTTTCTTCTGAGGGGGGCCAGACCACTAGGCTGCCTCGGGAATGGGCAAACGGCCCCAACAGCCACTCCTAGGTATATACCCCAAAGAATTGAAAGCAGAGGCTCGGACAGATACTTGTACACCAATGTGTTTACAGCAGCATTCTTCACAATAGTCCAAAGGTAGAAACAACCCTTAAGTGTCTATCAATGGATGAATGGATAAACAAAATGTGGTATATCCATACAGTAGACAATTACTCAGCCTTAAAAGGAAAGAAACTCTGGCACATGCTACAACATGAAGATTATGCTAACTGAATAAGCCAGACACAAAAGGACAAATATTGCATGATTCTGCTTATATTAGGGACCTAGAATAGTCAAATTCATAAGAGACAGAACATAGAATGGTGATTACTAGGGGCTAGGGGGAGGGGAGAATGGGTATATTCTCTACCCTCACTCTGGGGGCGGGTTTGTGGGGGGGATTATTGTTTAATGGGTATGGAGTTTTGCAACATGAAAAGAGTTCTGGAGGTGGAGAGTGGTAATTGTTGCAGAATAATGTAAATGTACTTATTGTCACTGAATTATGCACTTAAAAATGATTCAAATGGCAAAAATTTTTAGGCTGGGCGCGGTGGCTCACGCCTGTTATCCCAGCACTTTGGGAGGCTGAGGGGGGCGGATCATGAGGTCAGGAGATCAAGACCATCCTGGCTAACACGGTGAAACCCCGTCTCTACTAAAAATACAAAAAAAAAAAAAAAATTAGCTGGGCGTGGTGGCGGGTGCCTGTAGTCCCAGCTAGTTGGGAGGCTGAGGCAGGAGAATGGCATGAACCTGGGAGGGGGAGCTTGCAGTGAGCTGAAGTCGTGCCACTGCACTCCAGCCTGGGCAACAGAGTGAGACTCTGTCTCAAAAAAAAAAAAAAAAAAAAAAAAAGCTAGGCATGGTGGCATGCGCCTGTAGTCCCAGCTGCTTGGGAGGCTGAGGCAGGCAGGAGAATCACTTGAACCCAGGAGGTGGAGGTTGCAGTGAGCCAAGATCGTGCCACTGCACTGCAGCCTGGTGACAGAAAGAGACTCCATCTCAAAAAAAAAAAAAAGAGATTCAAATGGTAAAAAATTTTAAAACACCACGAAAACAAAAACAAAACAGCCCGTGCAGCAGCCTGGTCCACTGAGCTTGCAGCCCAGACATTGGTGGTGGGTTTTGAGGTCTAAAAATAGGGCCTCCTATGGCAAAAATTGGTCACCTGGACAGGAACAGCAGTGAGAGCTTATTGCCTGAAGAGGGGGCAAGAGAGCTCTGGGACGGTGAGTTTCCTCACCTACCCCATCTCCCTTTCCCCCCTCCCTCCGTGTGTGCGTGCGTGCGTGCGTGCGTGTGTGTGTGTGTGTGTGGTGTGCACCTCACCACCCCACCCCACTCCAGAGCAGACAGACCGCCAGCCCAGCAGAAGCAACTGGGTGTGGCCTGACTCCCAGGGAGTCCTGGGGAATCCCTGCAACTGAGCAAATTTCGCTCCTGCCTCTTCCAGATTCTCCAGGGAGCTGTCCTCTCCTCTGAGGTCCAAGTTAGCTAGCCTATTCTCCAGTGAAAAAACTGATAGAAGGTATCCAGTTTTCAGGATTGTCTGGGGGGAAATGGAGGCAGTCCAGCAGAAAGATCATCGATTCAAGTGTAGCGGACTTGGGTTCAAATCCTGATTCTCCCACTTAGTAGAGTATGACCTTGGCCACAGTGTTTAACCTCTCTGTGCTTCAGTTTCCTTGGCTGTAAAACAGTACAGGGACCCATCTCAAAACTGTTGAGGATTAAATGAGATGTGCAAAGCACTTACAATAGTAAGTGTGAGATAAGCATCAGCTAGGATTACCTCATGAAGTGATTATTAAATGGTGAAAGGGTGGAAGCACCCAGTACCGTACAGGCCCTCAATCAGTGGTAGCTGATATAACGATGCTAATAATAACGATGAAGGTGCAGAGGCCCGAGAACCTAGCAGTCAGAGCAATGGCCAGAGGAATGTGGAGATGCCTAGTGCTGGCAGAGAAAGGAAAGCCCTGTTTCAGGGGCTCTAGGGAAGACAGTGGCAGCAAGTCCCTAGAGAGCACTGCTTGGCATCTCCTCTAGGTTGTTGCTCTGTGGCTCAGGCAGCCATTCAAATGCATGGGAAGGGAAGGAAAGAACCAGCAGTAGACATCCAGTGACACTGTTGGCCTTCCACCCATGGGAAACCTTCAGAGGAAGGGGAAGGGGCGGGGCCACCTTGGAGTCTCCAGGGACCAGCTGTACAGTAACAGCCTTTTTTTTATTATTATTTTTTATTTTCTCAATTCCTCCCCTCTTGGTGTCAAGCTTGTTTTTGTAGCTGGAGAGGAAAGGCATGGGCGGGGCTCGGCTGCACAGCACTTGGAACCACAAACCCGCCCCCAGAGTGAGGGTACAGAATGTACCCAGACTGCAAACCACACCCTTGTGGCTTGGGGAGGCCCCTGAGGTGGGCTGCGGAACTGTCACACTACATTGTTTGAGCCCTGCACCTAGCAACCAGCCTGGGAGCCTGCAGTGCTCAGACAACGGGGTGTACTCAGGGGCCAGGACTGAGTTAAAGGACCTTCTGCCAAATGGTCCCCCAGGACTAAGGATCCCTCTGATCGGAAAAAGAGGTCCATGGACCCCTGACACCCTCCTGGGACCAGATTAAGTCTGAAGCTGGCCTAGGAGAGGTTCCAGCCAAAGGCTACAGCCTGCAGACACTCCCAGTCACATCCAGATCCTCCTCCACCCCCAACCAATTTAGGGGAGCAGATTCTGCTTCCCTTTACCTGTCCTCCCCACCCCACTCCCTCTCAGGGAGGCCCCTCCTCCCAGGGAGGTTGCCCTCCCTCCCCCAGTCAGGGAGGCCTATGTAGGGTTTCCAGAGCAGTGAAGGGAGGAAACCAGATGGGACCTTTTGGGAGGGTGGAGACAGTTTTCCGAAGCCTGAAGTGACTTGAAAATGACAGAAGGTTGGGAGGGGGGCCAAACCCACAGCAGAGAGGGGAGGGACTTCCAGTTGGACGGGTTAGAGGAAGAAGGTCCTGTGAAACCCGGGTGAAATTCAGCAGGGATGAGTGCAAGGGGTTCGTTAGTGACAAAACCTAACAACATAATTTGGCTCGACACAAATAAACAAGGAAAACACCAAGTGAAGGAGGGAGTTGACCACAAGCTGAGTAAGATTCAGCGTCAAAATAGAGCACAGCTCACTTCTGTGGACCACATTTTCCAAAGCAAAGATCAGGACACATATTTGACAAGGATGAATGTACTTATGGGGAAACAAGCCCGAGTGTTTGAAGCTGAGACTCTCCCCAGCAAACATGGGTCCTAAGCTTGTTGAGACCATGCTCTGTGACAGTCTAGAGTCTTCATCAGACAGCCATGTCCATCATCTGGGGAAAAGGGAAAAGGCTCAGAATAGGAAGAAAGATGAAAGATGGGGCCTCGGGGCAGAGATTGGTGAAGTAGAGGCAGTGTAGTGAGGCGGAAAGAGTTCAGGCTTTGTCACTTAGTGGCTGTGCAACATCAGGAAAGTTACTTAACCTCTCTGAGCTCCAGTTTCTGCGTCTTTAAAACTTGGGTAATAATCTTTGCCCTAAAGGTTGTTGTGAAGATTTAAGTGATTCACAAAATATATAAAGCACTAAGCACATAGTAGGTCCTCAAGAAATGCTTGGCTGTCCATTTGGAGAAGGGAGAAATAAGATGAGAAGATTTTATAAGGAGGCTACTAAGCAGTAATTTTCCCACACTCATGGAAACTGGAACAAAAAGAAAGACTATGGCTGGAGTAGAAAGGATTTGGGTGGGTTTGGGAAGAACCTGGTGACTGTCAGAAGTTGCAAACTGGTGGCTAACAGACTGAATCCAGCCCTTGGGCAGGTTTTGTTTGGCCTGAACAGTGTTTTCCATAAATTTGAATTAGTTGCCAACCTTTTAAAAAGTGGAAGATTTCACATAAAAATCCACATATTGGCTTCTTTTGCAAAAAAGCAGAGAATCTAGCAACTCTGGACCCTCATGGCTGCATGGCAATGATTGTGGGAAGGGAGTAAGGGCCGTTTGTTTTAGAGGGTTTTTCATGCCAGTGCTTTGCAAACCGTAATGTGTGTAATTGCGACATCCAGACGGAGCAAATCCTTAGAGACAGAAAGTACAGCAGCGGTTGCCCATGGCTGTGGGGAGGGAAATGGGGACTGACTGCTAAAGGGTCTGGGGTTTCTTTTTGGAGTGATGAAAATGGAACCAGATAGAGGTGGTGGTTACACAACATTCTGAATATACTAACAACTTCTTAATTGTACACATTAAAAGGGTGAATTTTATGGCATGTGAATGATACTTTAATAGGGCTGTTATTTTTAAAATGCAAATGCTGATTCAGTAGATCCCAGCTGGGGCTCAAGATTCTGCATTTCTGACAAGCTCCCAGTTGTGGTTCATGCTGCCGGGCTTGGGACCAGCTCTGAGCAGCGAGCTCTTGCACTGCTGGTTTTCAGAGTCAGCTGCACATTGGAACCACCTGGGGAGTTTAGAAAAACACTCCTGCCTAGGTCTCACCCCCTGGGATTCTGATAACATTGGTGTAAGGTGAGACCCGGGTGTCCGGATTTGTAAAAGCTCCCCAGGTGATTATAATTTGCAGCCAATTTTGAGAACCACCCTCTTGTACCCTGGCCACTTTCCCCTTTCCCCTTACCTGCCTAGGCAGGCTCTCAGGCATTTGACCCCTGCTCTCCTCTAAACCCCAAAGCTTGGCTTCCAAGGCTGTGCCAGGGCGGCCAGCCCTGCCTGCCTCTCCACCTCCTCCCTGCCCACCCCTCATCCCACTGTAGTTCTGGGATTCTGAGGCCAAACCTTCATTGCCTCCCCCACTTTTTCCCGCCTCCCTAGTTAGCGGAGCTTGTTTTGTTTTCTTGGGCAGCTTTGAGTGAGGACATGTGTCAGAGGCGTTTGGAAAATCTAAAGAACTCACGTCCTTCCCTGGTGCCTCTTGTCCCCACTCCAGTCACCCGGAACTCACCAGGAGCCCCAGGCAGGGCGAAGCGTCCCGGTCCCGCCCTCGTCTGGCGGCCGCATGGAGGCCCACATGCCTTACGCTCCCCAAGCCGGGGCCGCGTGGGGCGACATGTGCTGCCGGTCACAGGGGAGGGTGGCCAGAGGCAAGTGATGCTGATCAGCATGGGCTTGGAAGCCGCCTAAGAACCAACCACAGCGACTTTTCCAGTGGGATGAGGAGGACGGGGAGGAGAAAAAAGTGGGCGGGGGCGGGGGAGGAGATCTTACACCAAGGCTTACTGGGTAATTTATTATTGCGTGAGAGCGTCTTAGAGCAGCAGCCCTGATCAACGTCCAGACATAGCAAGTCATTCCAAGTGAAAAGAGGTTACAACCACAAAAAGACAGAACATTTCGTTCTGAGTGGGAGGGAGACAGCTGGGCAAGGCCAATGGAAAGGCCCCCCAGCCAGGCTTGCTTTTAAAGTACTGCTACCATTTCCCAGCTATTTTAAGCATAACATCGCCAATTTTTTTCCCCCACTGACTACCTGTTTTCTCTGTGAAGGCGGCTTGAATGCAGCTGTGTGTGTCCTCTTTTTCTCAGGTGCTTGCTTTTTTCCTAGAGATTGGAAAGGAGTTAATGAGATTCTACCTAGAAGGTACGGAAGAAGCTGGGAAATAAAGCTGACAAATCAAGGACTTGATTGCCAAGGCGATCCTAATTGATTTAGCACCAGGGACATTTTCACACTTGCTCTCCATAACTCATCTGAGGTGGAGGGGAAGTAAGTGCCTTTGGAGAGACCTGTGGGCACTTTGGAGAGCAAAAAACGCTGCCTCCGGTGGTGGGTCAACCTCAGGAATTCCCTCTCTTTTCAAGAATAGCTTTCCCGGCTGGGCATGCTGGCTCACGCCTGTAATCCCTACACTTTGGGAGGCCGAGGCGGGTAGATCACTTGAGGTCAGGAGTTCGAGACCAGCCTGGCCAACGTGCTTGAAACTCCGTCTCTACTAAAAATACAAAAAATTAGTGGGGCATAGTGGTGCATGCCTGTAATCCCAGCTACTCAGAAGGCTGAGGCAGGAGAATCACTTGAGCCCAGGAGGCAGAGATTGCAGTGAGCCAAGACCCTGCCACTGTACTCCAGCCTGAGCAACAGAGCCAGACTCCGTCTCAAAAAACAAAACAAAACAAAAAAGAAAAGATTAGCTTCCCCCTTGGGTTTTCAGTGGTTGGTGTGAACTGTGGCACGTGGATGCCTGCAAGAGAGCAATCGAAGGTGGCAGTGCTGGGCTGGACTGAGGGGGCTGCCAGGAGGGCTATGTAGGAGGTGATCTTTTGAGCTTTTTAAGCTTCTTGTTCCTTCCTTCCACCCAAGAGATCAGAAACTCAGCTGGGGTGGAGGCTGTGGCCCCGGGGAAGCCCAGCTTTGGACAGGATGGGAGCTGGACATTCTCAGAAAGCTCAGTCCCTTGGTGGCTGCTTCCCCACATGGAAAAAGTGTTGACGGGACAGACTCTCAGCGTCTCTTCTGCCCAGCCTGGCTTAGCCAGCTTGCTCTCTGTCCCTGTCCTTTGTTCCCTGTCTCTGGCTCCTTCTCCTACAATGGCACAAGACAGAAAAGGCAAAGTGCTGAGGTATAGAGGGCAAGTGGCTCCGAATTAGGGTGAAAGTCCCAGGGAGAACTGCCATCTGTGGAGCAAGGACTGAGATTGTCTGAGAAGGATCCATGAGGAAGCTCTGTGGCCAGGCAATGGTGGCCCGAAGGGGATGGTCCTGAGCTGTGGCCTTGGGGAAAAAGGTCTGATGAGGGATGAGGGAACCAAGAGGGGACGATGGGCATAAAATCGAAGGGGGATAATCATAATAACTAACGCTTATTAAATCCTTACTATGTGCCAGATGCAAGGCTAAATGCTTACCTGAATAATCTCATTTAATCCTAGCATGTACCTTTATTATCACAATTTTGCACTTTGGTAGCGGACATTCTGGCTCAGAGAGGTTGAGTAATTTGTCCAAGTTCTGCAGCTAGTGAGGGGAGAATGAAGCCTAGAACTCAGATGCATCTGAGTTTAGAGCCACTCCCCTTAACCACCATACTAGGCAGCCTCCCCACTAACTACATAATGGCCTCAGAGGTTACCAAGGAAGGTGCTGGCAACTCCATCCCAAGCCCCGAGGGACCACTGCTTCCCAGATCCTAGAGAAAGACAGCAAGGATCTTGGGCAAATTCTAACCCTACCTTTGCATCCCATGGGGAAGAGCCCTTCCCTGCTATCACCCTCCTCCTGTCCCTGATGAAGCCATGTGCAGATCCATGTGCAGCTATGAGGTCACAGGATGGGGGCGGGACTTGAGGTTAGCTCAAGCATCTGGGCCAGGGTGGAGCAAATCAACACACAGAAGCAGGCTCTGCCTTCCTGACTCTTGCATCCCCAAGGGGTACTAGGCTTGAGCTTAGGAGAGTGTTCTAGATACTCCTGGCCAGCAGCAGGGCTGAGATGGGGCATCTTTTTCATCAGTTGTGCTGAAAGTCACCCCCAAAAAAAGGCCAGCATTGTTTTGGCACCTGTTGTGTCCCCCTGTGTGAAGCTTTCTGAAAGAGTTTGCACAGGAGGCTGTTTGGAGTGTTCTTTGGGGTTGCCTGGCCCTTCCCCTGGCAGGCAGGACCTTCTGTCCAGGGACAGTGATTCACCCAGCCCAGAATGCTCACATCTGCATGGGAGAACACTGCTCTGGATGGGCGCCGGGGCCCAAGAGGGAAAGGGAAGTGTGCAGGACTGACTGGGGGAAAGCCTGGGAGAGGTTTCAGCTATGGCAGCTGCTCGGGCTCTTCTACCTAAGCCTTGCCTCCTTCCCTTGGGCAGCGGGAGGTAGTGAGGAAAATCACAGGATCCTCGATGCTCGCCTAGCCCCTACTTGGAGGCTGCTCCTTCTGCAAGCAACATCCCCATGCCTCACTCCCCCAGTGAGCACTTGTCATTAAGGTAGCACCCTCTGATTTGGGCTGAGTTGCTCCTGTATCCCACCTTCCTCTTTATGCCCACTCCTCTGCCATGGCTCAGGGCTTAATCCTTTGTCCCTTGAATTGCTGTGACAGCCTCCGAACTTGCTCCACCCAGCAACCCATTCTCCTTGCTCTATCCAAGCCATCTTTCTAAGAGGCATATCTGATCGGTCAGTCCTCAAGTTAAAACCCTTCAGGGCCTTCCTTTCCCCCAGGGCACAAAGTAAACACCATAGCATGGCATTCAAGATTTTCACAGTTTGGCCCAAACTTGCTGTCAGAAAACGCAGGATAGATGCCAGAAAACGCAGGGATGCCCACTTAAATTTGCATTTTAGAAACACAACGTTTTAGTTCGAGTATGTCCCTTGCATTGTGTCCTGTATTTTTATTCATTACATCTGGAAATCCTACTCTAGCTGCATATCCATTTCCACTGGTAGAGCTTTAGTTCAGGTCTTATCATCGCTCTTTTAGATGAAGTCACTCACTTCCAAGCTGATTTCCTGGCTCTCTGTCTTCCAAACCATCCTGCCCTGTGCCCCAACATGTAGCTCAAGTCACTCTCTCACTGCCATCCAAGGATGCTCTGTACATTGCCCACTCCTGCCCAAATCCTCCTGTCCTTCCCCACACTCAGTTTCCTCCTCCATGAGACTTTCTCAACGTGTTCCGACAACAGTCGCTACCCTCTTTTCCCTGGACTCTTGACACACCCCACTGTTGCACCTAGCATTTGACTGCGTAATGTTTTGCATTGCAATCCGTCTATCTATGGAGTGTATCTTCTTGACTCAATTGCAAGCTCCAAGAGGGAAGGCACCATGCCTTACTCATCCTTTTTACTCTCTCCTCCCACTGTCACACAGTGGCGACCTCAGTAAATGTAGATTGGCTGATGAATGGGCTATTTTCTCCCTCACAAGACTGTGAACTCCTCAAGGGCAGTTTCTGGACAGAGTCTTATGCTGTTCTGTTTGTTTTAACGAACAATTTTTTGACCAGGATCTGTTCCAGATGTGGGATTATGGAGATGAAAGGCATAGTGCCTGCCCTCAAGGAAATTACCATGTAGCTGGGAAACCAATGTGTGTGAATATTTACAATGCAGTGTGAGATGTACAATGAATAAAGCATAGACAAGGTGAAAAATGCCTAAAGAGGTGAAAGTGGTAAGCAGAATTTGGGGAATGGGATGTTGAAGACATAGCAGAGGCAGTGCCTGCTTAGGGGGAAGGTAAGGACATTCCAGTCAGGGGAGCTGTAGGCATAAAGGCTTGGAAGCAGGAAAGAGTACATGGTGTGTGTTAGGGAACAATGGAAGTTCAAGAGCAGGGTCAGGTATGAAGGACCTTGAACAGCAGCGGGAAGTGTTCAGATGGAGAATGATGGGAAACTGTTCAAGGGTAACTGAGCAGACTTCTATATTGAGAGGCACTCAAAGTCAAACACAAAAGACCCCATATCATATGATTCCATTTATATGAAATACCCAGAAAATGCAACTCCATGGATACAGAAAGTAAATTAGTAGTTTTCTGAGGCTAGGGTTGAGAACAAGGGAGTGACTTCCAATGGGCACGAGGGACCTTTCTGGGGTGATGGAAATGTTTTAGCGTTGGAGTGTGGTGATGGTTACACAGCTCTGTGAATACACTCAAAGTAATTGAATTGTACACTTAAGAGGTATGAATTTTGTTTTGTTTTGTTTTGAGACAGAGTCTTGCTCTGTCACTCAGGCTGGAGTTCAGTGGCGCGATCTCAGCTAACTGCAACCTCTGCCTCCCGGGTTCAAGCGATTCTTCTGCCTCAGCCTCCCGAGTAGCTGGGACTACAGGCGTGCACCACCATGCCCAGCTAATTTTTGTATTTTTAGTAGAGATGGGGTTTCACCATGTTGGCCAGGCTGGTCTCGAGCTACCGACCTCAGGTGATCCACCTGCCTCAGCCTCCCAAAGTGTAGGGATTACAAGCCCTACACCATGCCAGGCCAAGAGGTATGAATTTGAATTGGATGGTATGTAAACTATACCTCAGTAAATCTATTTAAAATTAAGAGTCTGCCAGGTGTTGTGGCTCACGCCTGTAATCCTAGCACTTTGGGAGGCCGAGGTGGGAGGATTGCTTGAGGCCAGGATTTGGAGACCAGCCTGAACAACATAGCAAGACCCCATCTTAAAAAAAAAATAAGAGACCATCAAATCAGTCTGGCTGCAGTATGGGGAATGGATTGGAGTGAGGCTAACCTCAGTGTGGGGAGAGCAGTGAAATGACTTCTGCAATGGCCCAGGCAAGAGTTAGTGAGCTCTGGAACTAAGGTAGTGGCAGAGGGGCTGGAGAGGAGGGTTGAGAGTCAGAGGACATTTAGGAGGTTGAATCAATGAGAGTAGATAAATGGATTGAGGGGAGAGAATAAGTTAGACAGATGAAAGAGTCTAGGATGCCACTCTGGTTTCTGGCTTTGACAGGTGGGCAGATGGTGGTACTACCAAACCCCACAGGGCTCAGTACAGTGTCTAGCCCTCAGCACAAGTCTGTGGAATGAACACACGATTGAATGATTGAATGAAGTGTATTCATGTCCTCTCCTCCCTCTCTGTGGCTCCTTATCACCCATAGGGTAGACCTTTGAACCTCAGCATACTTGATTCCACCACTGCCCATTTAGAGGCATGGAGCAGCCTGGAGATTCTGCTGTTCCTGGGTTCAGCCCCAGGATACCATTATCTTATTTCTTTCCTTCTGGTCCAGAAACCGCCTGGTCACTCAAGAGATTCTTGGCCTGGGCGGAGGGATGGGAGGGAACTTGGGAGTGGATAGCCACCAAGGTTCTGAGGACCCTTGTCATGAGCTCAGGACCCTCTCTTATATCATTAGCCTGCATCCTCACCCAGACTGCCACTCATCCACAAACCCACCTCATCCTACCCAGCTATGCCTCCCATCAATTAGTGATGCGACTGGAATCCTCATTCCTAGGTTTCCCACTGTGGGCCTACATTTCCTTTGCAGTTCCCGCTGGAATCAGCCACCTGCCAATCCACCAGGCCAGCAGTGGGCCTCTCAGCATTCTCTTTGGACCACCTGCCTCAGAACCACATGGATAGGGAGATTTATTAAACACGCAGATGGCCACACTCCATGTCTGCTCCACTAAATCAGATTCTACAGGGCTGGGTAGAAGGAATGCATCAGTCCCGCATGTTTCAGAGGTTCCCTGGGTGGTCCTGATACCCAGTAATATGGGAGCTGCTGTGGTGGAGAGTGTAAGTGTGGATTAAGGGTGCATGTGCTCCTGCCACACTGCACACAGCCCCTGGGGGCCACTCAATGGACCCTTCCTTAGAATGCTCTCCCAACATGGGCATGCTCCCTCAATGCTCATCTTTCCACCAGGAAACACACTCCTGCTCTGCCACTAATCAGATCTTGCACAATCTTCTGCCCCTCCTCCTTCCCCCACTAAATTTCCACAGGACAATCAGTACTCAATTGCTTTTTCCTCTGTCCTTCCAGGCACTTATCACAGTCTGACTCGTGTGAGAATTGGTTGTTTACATGTGAGCTCGTGAAGAGCCTGGGCCAAGTCTGGGAAGACTAATGCTTTTAGACTAGCAGCATCTAGGACAGGGCCAGGCATACAGTAGGTGCCTGATAGATACTTAGGGAATTGAATCACTCATGAGAGGAGCAAGAGGCCTGAATAACATAAATCAAAGTCTTGTGCATTTGGCTTTAGGAGTGACTGCATTCCGGGTCTTTTCCAAGAACAGATTTGCCTGACAGTGAGGTTAATAGGTCATCACCACTGCTTTATAAGCCCCAGAGAGGTGGGAACAGAGTGACCTGCCAAGGCCATAGCAAGGTCAAGAGCTGTGGGGCTGGCACTGTGGACAGGCCAAGCTGGCAGGGAGCTTCATGCATTCATTCTTTCAACCAACTTTTAGTGAGTTCCTCCTATGTGCTAGGCACTGCACAAGGTACCAAAGATAAAGCCGTGAATAAAACAGACAAGGTTCCTGCCCTTACAGTGTTTACAGTTTAGAAGGGGAGATAGATGTTATTAATTTCAGAAAGAATTATAGTTATGATAAGTGCTGTAAAGGAAAAGAACAATGTGCACTGAATGTGCATATAATAGGAGGACTCGATTTAGCCTGACACGAGGGCAGTGGAGCTGTTCAAGGAGGGTTTACCCAAGGAAGTGGCCATAAACTGAGATCATAAGCATGCCTAGGAGTTAAACACAAAAACCTTGGAGGAGAGCATCCAGGCAGAGGGTGCAGCCATGGAAAGACCCAAGTCAGCTGCAAATTTGGCATGTGTCAGGAACATGCAAGAGGCTGATGCGGCTAGAACAGAGGGACTGAGGGAGTGAGAGGCAGGAGGTGAGACTACACAACTAGCTGGGGGCCAGGTCACTAGGGCTTTTGTGGGCCATGGTAAGGAGCTTGCATTTTACTAAAAGTGGAATGGGAAGGTTTTAAGCTGGGGAGTGGTACAATTTAACGCTGTGTGTGTGTGTGTAGGTGTGTGTGAATAGAGAGGGGAGTGTCAACATCTTGCCCAGGTTGGTCTTGAACCCCTGGGCTCAACCGATCCTCCCACCTTGGCCTCCCAAAGTGTTGGGATTACAGGCAGCGTGACCCCACCACACCTGACCTCATTTGTGTTTTAAAGAGAGTCCCTTGGCTGCTGTGTTGTTGGTCATGGATTGAGGTGGGGACAAGAGTGGAAGCAGAAGGACAAGTTTGGAGGTTATGATGGTGACCTGGCAGTGGGTGGTGGCTGTGGAGGCCTCCTGTGAAAGTTGAGCCCACACATTTTACAAATGAAGAAACTGAGGCCCAGAGAAGGGGAGTGACTTTACCAAGGTCACCCTGCTTCCTGGTCCTATTCTCCCATAAGAGGGAATTTAACAGAGAACCAAGCAGATAATTCTAAGTGAATTCTGGTAGGATGAATTCGTTGGTGCACTGTGGCAAATTTGGGGTTCTGGAAGCTGTTGCAGATGCTTAGAGTGGAAAGTAAATTAAGAATTCTGGTATTTGGGGTTCTCTGTTGTTCCAGTGCCTGGGGCTGCAGTGAGGCTGGCATCAGCCCCAAGTTACATATCCCCACCCTGTTTAGTCTGGCCATTGCTCAGACAGGAGCTAAGTGCTTGCAGGCCAGTTCCTTCCTGCCTCCATAGTATAAGGAAGTGTGAGCTGGGCAGGACTCCCAGTGCTCTCTTGGTCTCAGAGCAAGCAAGCAGAAACCTCATGCGGGGCCATGTGAGGTCAGGAGGGAGGGGTCCGAATACCTGAGCTTGGTTGAGATTGGCTGCTCTTTGACACACCACTTCTGTGGACGGCCAATCACAAGAGCCACAGTATCCTTGCTCACTTCTTCCCCTCCTTCACTTGTCCTTGCAAAAGCCACAGAACTTCCCGCCACAAAGTGAGCAGGGGAGAGAAGTTCCTTCCCTCCTCCACTCCATAACCGGTCCAAAAGGCCTTGGGGAGAGGCACCTTGCTTACAGCCAAAGGATGAATGCCCTGCTTCCCAAAGCTTGGAGAGAAGCATTTGCTCTTTGTGGGGGACCAGGTTGAGCACCAATTAGGGAGAAATGACACCAAATGGATTTTCAACCAAGGCTTTGCCAAAATAGCCTAGACTGTAGATAATTGTGAAAATAATCCTAGTCAGGAAAATTCCTCTTCTCCCAAGGCCTTATCTTCTTCTTCTTCTTTGTTTTTTTTTTCTCTGTTGCCCGGGCTGGAGTGCAGTGGCGCAATCTCAGTTCACTGCAACCTCCTTCTCCTGGGTTCAAGTGATTCTTCTGCCTCAGCCTCCAGGTAGATGGGATTACAGGCATGCGCCACCACGCCTGGATAGTTTTTGTATTTTTAGTAGAGACAGGGTTTCACTATGTTGGCTAGGCTGGTCTCGAACTCCTGACCTCAGGTGATCCACCTGCCTTGGCCTCCAAAAGTGCTGGGATTACAGGCATGAGCCACTGCGCCCGGCCGAGGCCTTACCTTCTAGGCGGCACTGGTGCCGTTACACTGCACCAGTCAAAGGGGCATTTGCCATCTCCCAAACCTGACCTATAGCAGGCTGGGCCTCAGTTCACTACCTACCCATCTGCTTTGGACAAGAGAAATACCATAGTGGAGTGAAAAGGGTCAGGAAACCGTTTCTAATCCTGGTTCTTTTGTTGGTGAGTTGGATAACCTCCCCTCTAGACCCATTTCTCCATCTAGAAACTGAGGGAGTTGGAGTAAATGCTCTCCAAGGTCACTTCCAGTTGTGACATGCAAAGGGTCAAATAGCTGCTATGCATTAGATACCAGGCTAAGCATTTTACATTTCTTATTTGATTTCATTCCCACAACAGCTCCTGTGAGTCAGATACTATTATGCCCCTCACCTCTCACATAGACGTCGCAGATGAGGAAATCATGGCTCAGGGAGGTTAAGTGACTTACCCCAAAACACACAGCTAGCAAAGGGCACAGCCAGGATGCGGATTCAGGTCTGTCTGATCCTGATTCCACACTCCACACTCATTAACTGCTTCCCTAAGCAGCAACTTTACAGGTTCTATGCCATCCAAATTGCCCTTAAAGCCCTGATAAGCTGGGACTGCCAAGGAGCGAAAATGACCCTTCCTCCCTGTTTCACAGTTTGAAGGTGGGACTGACATGTTGGTAGAAGCAGGTGGGCACTTGGATCCTATGAGCTGAATTACCAAGAGCGATCGCCTGGCGATAATCTACTGCCATGCTGGGGTGCCCTGGGCATCCGGGGAGAAGCAGGAGGGCACTGCCAGCTGGGAACGTTGGCAGGAAGAATGCCTCACAATCCCCTAACTTATGATCTGAAATGTCTGACAAATCCTGTACAGGTTCTCAGTGCTATACTCTAATGATATTAATGAAGGCAGGGGAGCCTAGTGAAAATTTAATAGACCAGTATAAAAAGTTTCACAGACTCTGTCTGCAGAAGTTCTTTTGAAGGTCCACACAAAGCCACAGAGCTGCTTGGAACTCTCCATCCAAGGAAATTATTAACCTTCCTCATTTCTGGAGGACGATGCAATCTCTTTATTAAATGCCTAAATTGAAGGGAGAGGACACAGTGCAGTTGGGGGTTTTCCACCATAATTCATCTGAGGCTCTCGGTCAGGGAAATTTGAGCCTGGGGCCCACTCAGCTTCCTGACCACTTCCTGCTCCCAGGCTTCCTCCAACCCTGTGTCTTTAATAAGTTCAGGTTGTCTAGAGTTCAGCTCTAGTTAACCCTTTGAAGTCTGGGTGGATAAATCACAGCTCAAGTCCACGAACCACTTAATGTGCATCAAAGATTGACCAATGAAGCAATTGTTCCAGCATGGAAATTTCTATTGTAAGGATCAAATGAGATAATGTATGAGCGTGAAAGCACTGTGTGATCTCTGAAGCACAGTGAATTACTTTTATTATTATTTTTCTCAATAGGATGGCTTGCTTATCTACAAGATAGATACCTGTTCTCATTGGAGGCCTTCAAACAAATCAAACTGGTACTTGTTGAGCCTGGAATTACTAAATTTTCCTTGTATTTCCTCCTGTGTTCTTCAAGCTACTTGACACCTGTTTAAGTAGCTTCTGATGGTCCTGTAGCCTTGTGTACTTGGAGTCAGTGTAATTTGCTTATTGTTTCTCCTCAACAAAGAATGTGAAAGGCAGACGATGCAGGAGCATTTCCAGCAACATAAGGCTTGGTTTTGTCCATTGCTCCCCATACCCCAACCCTGGGATGTGAGTGCTCAAGGGGCAGGCTTGTGTTCTGAGTGCCTGAGGGCCCTTCGTGTGCACTGGGATGAATCAGTCACAGACAAAGACAGGTCAGCTAGGAAAGAGAGCTAGTTAATGTTCTGAAAACACCCTCTTTCAGAAACGCCTGAAGTGACTCTCATATATGGCTGGAGGGAAATAAAATTGATACAATATCTCACAAAATTATATATGCATTTACCTTTTGACTCACCAATCCCATTTTTAGGAATTTACCCTGAAGATACACCTCCAACAATATGGAAATGCATATGTGCAAGAATTTTCATTGCAGTGTCGTTTATGATTACAAAATATTAGAAACTACCTAAATGTCCATACATAGAAAAGTGGTTGAATAGATTATGGCATAGCCACAGAGTGAAGTATTATGCAGCTGTGAAAAATAATGCAGATGCTGTCTATGCACTGATATGGAGTGATTTCCAGGATATATTGTTAAGTAAAAGAAAAGCCACGTGCAAAAACAAAGAAACAAATAAACAACAACAACAAAACAAACATGTCTGTAGTACGCTTCCTTTTGTGTAAGAAGGAAGGGGAAGTAAAAAAAATACAGAGTGGCATCTGTTCATTTGTACAAAAAGAGACACAAGAAGAATAAACCAGAAACTGATGGAATTGGTTACCTACAGGAGTGGATAGGAATGGCTCATAATAGGTGCTTAATAAGCATTTCCTGATGGTGAATTACAGGACACAACAAAGGGAATGATTGACTTAGCCTGGGAGCATCAGGAAAGCTTTCTATTGCTATCTTGAAAGATGAGTGTGTGGTCATCAGGTTTGCTGACCATAATGGGGAGATTGTTTCAGGCAGAGGGAACAGTTATGAGCAAAGATCCACACGGGGAGAAGTAGCCTGCTATATAAAGTGGCTGGAGCATTGGGTGGGATGGGGACTATTGTGAGAGAAGGCTGGACAGAGCAGGCAGGAACCAGAAGGTGGACTTCCTTCTATGCAATGGTAAGGAGTTTGCATTTTCATCTCAGTAAGATGAGAACCCATTGGAATATTTTCAGCAGGAGAGTGATATGGGCCAGTTTATGCTCCATCAATCCCTCTGCTGTAGAGCGGGGTGTGGACTGAAGGGTATGAGAGTGGAAGCAGGGAGGCCAGTTAGGAAGCTATTGTAGCCATCCAGGTAAGAGAGGATGGTGGCTTGGACCAGGAAGGTAGTACAGGTTGAGCATCCTAAATCCAAAAATCTGAAATCTGAAATGCTCCCAAATCTAAAACTTGTTGACATGGCGCTCAAAGGAAGTTCTCATTAGAGCATTTCAGATTTAAGATTTTTGGATTTGGGATGCTCAACCGGAAAGTATAATGCAAATATTCCCAAATGGATCTGGGGCTCAGGGGAGAAGGCCTGGATCAGGCCACAGATGTGGTAGCATATAGATGGAGGGGGGAAAGATGAGATTGGATGGGGCCAGAATGAGAGAGTGTATGTACTGGAGTGAGAAGAGGTCTGAGGACAGAGTCCTGGGAACCACTGACATGTAAAAGGGGCAGAGGAGGATGACTTAGTAAAGGGGGCTACAAAAGAGTGGTAATAGCACAGTAGGAGGTCTAGGAGAGAAGAGAGTCAGAGAAGGCTGAGGAGAAGAGCGTTTCCAGGGAAGCATGTTCAGTATGCTCAGGGCCCAGGGCTAAGAGGCCCTCTAATATAGGAGCAGAAAAATGTCCACTGGGTCTGGTGTTTACATTGGATCTTTGAGCAGGTCCAGGGGAGTGTCAGGGGCAGAAGCCAAACTGCAAGACTGAGGAATGAAGGGAAGGAGTGAGGTGGGATGGTAGCCGGGGGAGGATTGGAGGGTGACAGGTTGGAGGAGAGTCCTTATTATAAGGATAAGAGACAAGTAAGCCTGTTTTAGCCACAGAGAAAGAGTCAGTAGACAGGCTAGGCTGAAAACCTAGAAGACAAAGGAATTAACTAGTGGAGCCAGATAGGGAGTGGAAGGTGGGAGCTTAGAGCCCAAGAAGAGGGGCTAGAGTTGAGTAGGAGAAGGGGTACCTCTCTTTGAAGGGTTATTTCTCATGAAATCATTTTCCACGTGAAGGAAGCAGCAAAGATTAAATTATCAATGCATGAATTGGGGCTTTTTTTTTTTCAAACTTGGATAGTGTGGCCTAATCATGTGTTGGTTCAGATAGAACCCTGAGCCTTGGTCATAGGCATCTGGAGAGGACAATGCTGACAGAGACACTGCTTCCCTGCTGGAAAGTACAAACAATGCTGCTTCAAATGTGCTTATACACATTCAAACACATTTTAATGTATGCATGGGAGCCTACAGTATTAATCAGGGTTTAAAAGTCTCCCTTAAAACAAATTATGAGCCTTTAGAGTGAATAAATAGGACCTAATGAATAGGTGTGCTAATGGTTCTATCCTGCTCTGGACTTGGGCCAGGAGCAGGAGCACTAAAAACAGAACAGGGAGAAAGGCCTTGGGCTCTTTTCAAGTTTCTCCCCTCTGAGGCCTCCCCTAGCCCTGAAGATTCAGCAGAACTCATGGCAGAAGTGAGGCCTGGGCTTGGCAACAGCACTGATCTCTTATGAAGCAGAAGCCCACCAATCGCAGTGTTTGCCTTCTAGGGAGACGAGCTTAGGGCTAAGATGTTCTGTCCCTTTGCAGACAATAGAACCTGTAAGCTACTTCAGAAGAGCTCATGCTAGTCATTGTCTAACTGAAAAACAATGTTCTGACTCTTGCTACATGGCAGGGTGACATATATTGGACAGAGAAGCAAGACATCTGGTTTGACCCAGTCTGTGCTACCAGCCTGCTCTGTGACTTTGCGTAGGTACCTTCCACTTGCCGGGCCTCAGCTGCTCCATC
Organism: Homo sapiens; assembly: GCF_000001405.40. Classification (NCBI taxonomy): domain Eukaryota; kingdom Metazoa; phylum Chordata; class Mammalia; order Primates; family Hominidae; genus Homo; species Homo sapiens. The sequence goes on from NC_000023.11 coordinate 107,690,488, forward strand.
AACCAAGTAAATGGAGTGGACAGATTGATCCCTCAGGGACCTGAGACCCCAACTTCCTATTTTTTTATTTTTTTGAGATGGAATCTCTCTCTGTTGCCCAGGCTGGAGTGCAGTGGCGGGATCTCGGCTCACTGCAAGCTCTGCCTCCCAGGTTCGTGCCATTCTCCTGCCTTAGCCTCCCAAGTAGCTGGGACTACAGGCGCTCGCCACCAAGCCTGGCTAATTTTTTTGTATTTTTGGTAGAGACAGGGTTTCACCATGTTAGCCAGGATCGTCTCAATCTCCTGACCTTGTGATCCACCAGCCTCGGCCTCCCAAAATGCTGGGATTATAGGCATGAGCCACCACGCCTGGCCTCTATTTTTTTTTAAGTACACTATTTATTTATTTAGTTTTGAGACAGGGTTTCACTCGTTCACCCAGGCTGGAGTGCAGTGGCGTGATTTTGGCTCACTGGAGCCTCCGCTTCCCGGGCTCAAGTGATTCTCCAGCCTCAGCCTCCTGAGTAGCTGGGACTACAGGTACGAGCCACCATCACCTGGCTGTTTTTTAATATTTTTTTCGTAGAGACAGATTTCACCATCTTGCTCAGGCTGGTCTCGAACTCCTGAGCTCAAAGTGATCCACCTGCTTCAGCCTCTCAAAGTGCTGGGATTACTGGCATGAGTCACCATGCCCGGCTTAAGCTTTATGTTTTAGGGAAGTTTCAGGTTCACAGCAAGGCTTAACAGAAAGTACAGAGAGTTCCCATGTAACTGCTTTCCCCACCCACGCACATGCTGCTCCACTATCAATATTCCCTACTGCAGTGGTACATTGGTTATAACTGATGTCCCTACACTGACACATCGTTATCACCCAAAGACCATAGTTTACATTAGGATTCATTCTTGCAGTCATACCTTCTATGGGTTTTGACAAGTGTATGGTGACATGCATCTACCAGTACAGTATCACACAGAATAGTTTCACTGCTCTAAAAATCCCATTTTCCACCTATTCATCCTTCTCTCTCCATTAACCCCTGGCAAGCCCTGATCTTTTTACTCTCTCTAAGATTTTGCTTTTTCCAAGTTTCATCTAGTTAGAATCATATCGTATGTAGTGTTTTCACATTGGCTCCTTTCACTTAGTAATGTGCATTTAAAGTTCTTCCACGTATTTTCATAGCTTGAACATTCATTTCTTTTTAGCACTAAACAATATTTCATTGCCTAGATGTACCACAGTTTATTTATCCATTCATCTACTGAAGGACAACTTGGTTGCTTCCAGGTTTGGGCAATTATGAAAAAAGGTACTATAAACACCCATATGCAGATTTTTGTGTGGACATAGGTTTTCAAATCATTTGGGTAAACACCCAGGAGTGTGATCAATGGATCATATGGTAAGAGGATGTTTACTCTTGGAAGAAAATTGTCAAACTGTCTTCCAAAGTGACTGTACCATTTTGCATTCTCAACAGAAGTGAATGAGAGTTCCTATTGCTTCATATTTGGTGGTGTCAGTGTTCCAAATGTTGGCCATTTTAATAGGCATCTCATTGTGACTTAAATTTGCAATTCTCTAATGACATGATGTTGAGCATTTTTTCTTATGCTTATTTTCCATCTGTATATTTTCTTTGTTGAGCTTTCTATTCAGATATTTTGCCTATTATAAAATCAAGTTGTTTGTTTTCTTATTATTGAGTTTTAAGAGTTCTTGTGGCTTACGCCTATAATCCCAGCACTTTGGGAGGCCGAGGGAGGGGGATCACTTGAGCCCAGGAGCTCAAGACCAACCTGGGCAACATAGGAAGACTGAGCCTCTACAAAAAACAAAATTAGCTGGGCATGGTGGCACACGCCTGTAGTCCCAGCTGCTTGGGAAGCTGAGGCGGGAGGATTGCTTGAGCCCAGGCTGTCAAAGCTGCAGTGAGCCGTAATCGTGCCACTACACTCCAGTCTGGGCGACAGAGACCCTGTCTCAAAAAAAAAGAATTCTTTATATAATTTTGGTTAACAATTCTTTATCAGATGTATCTTTTTTTTTTTTTGAGATAGGGTCTCATTCTGTCACCCAGGCTGGAGTGCAGTGGCATGATCACAGCTTACTGCAGCCTCAACCTCCCAAGCCCAAGCAATCCTCCCACCACAGCCTCCCAAGTAGCTGGGAGTACAAGTGTGCACCACCATGCCTGGCTAGTTTTTCTTGTGTTTTTTGTAGATATGGGGTTTCACCCTGTTGCCCAGGCTGGTTTGGAACTCCAGAGCTAAAGTGATCCACCTGCCTCGGCCTCCCAAAGTGCTGGGATTACAGGTGTGAGCAACCACGCCCAGCTCATATGTGTATTTTGCACATCTTTTCTCCCAGTCTATGGCTTGTCTCTCTCTTGACAGTGTCTTTCATAAAGCAGAAGTTTTTAGTTTTAATGAAGTCTAGTTTATAAGTTATTTATTTCATGGATTGTGCATTTGGTGTTGAATCTAAAAAGTCATCACCATACTCAATGTCATCTAGGATTTCTCCTATGTTATCTTCTGGGAGTTTTATAGTTTTGAGTTCTACATTTAGGTTTGTAATCCATTTTGAGTTAATTTTTGGGAAGGGTGTAAACTCTGTGCCTTGATTCATTTTTATGAGAGTCTTATGATAAAAACTCTCCTGAATAATTTGAATTCATTAGTTGAATGAATAGGCCTATGCCATTTCTTTTTGTGTGACTTTGGCGGATTTATCTTTTAAAGAATTGGTCAATTTCAACTAGTTTATCAAATTTGTGAGCATACAGTTGTTCATAAGATTCTTTTATTATCCTTTTAATGTCCTTGGGAATTGTAGTAATATCCCTCTTTCATTTCTGATGTTAGTAATTTGTGTCTTTTCTCTTTTCTTCTTAGTTTGCCTGGCTAGAAGTTTATCAATTTTATTGATCTTTTCAAAGAACCAAGTTTTAGTTTTGTTGACTTTTCTCTATTCATTTTCTGATTTCAATTTCATTGATTTCTGCTCTATTTTTTATTATTTATTTTCATCTGCTTACTTTGGGTTTAACTGGCTCTTCTTCCAGTTTCCTCAGGTGGAAGCTTAGATTATTGATTTTTCGACCTTTCTTCTTTTCTAAATACACACTCAATACTATAAAACTTCCTTCTAAGTGCACTGCTTTTGCTGCATTACATAAATTTTAATAAGTTGTATTTTCATTTTCTTTTATTTCTCTTTTTTGGGGGGATAGGATCTCTCTCTCTGTTGCCCAGGCTGGAGTGCAGTGGTGCAATCATAGCTCACTGCAACCTTGAATGTCTGGGCTCAAGTGATCCTCCCTCCTCAGCCTCCCAAGAAGCTAGGACTATAGGCACAATAGGCACATAGCTAGTCCTGTTGGCTAGGACTATAGGTGTCATACCCAGTTAATTTTTTATTTTTATTTTCTTGTAGAGATGGGGTCTTGCTATGTTGCCCAGGGTGGTCTTAAACTCCTGGCCTCAAGCAATCTTCCCACCTCAGCCTCCTAAAGTGCTGGGATTACAGACATGAGCCAACACACCTGGCCTATATTTTCATTTTCATTTAGTTCAAAATATTTTAAAATTTCTGTTGAGACTTCTTTGATCCATGTGTTACTTGGAAGTGTGTTGTTTAATCTCCAAGTATTTTCAGGATTTTCAACTATCTTCCTGTTATTGATTTCTTGTTTAATTCCATTGTGGTCTGAGAACAGACATTGAATTATTTATGTTCTTTTACATTTGTTAAAGGTATGTTTTATATTCCAGAATGTGGTCTATCTTGGTGAATGCTCCACGTAATCTTGACAGGAGTATGCATTCTGCTGTTGTTGGATGAGGTAGTATAAAGATTTCTATTATATCAGTTGATGGTGTTGTTGAGTTCAACTATGTCTTTACTGATTATTTGCCTACTGGATCTGTCCATTTCTGATAGAGGGGTATTGAAATCTCCAACTATAATAGTGAATTTATCTATTTCTCCTTGCAGTTCTCTCAATTTTTACCTCACATATTTTGACCCTCTTTTGTTAGACATGTACACATTAAGGATTGTTATGTCTTCTTGGAAAATTGACCCCTTTATCATTATGTAATTCCTTTCTTTATCCCTAATAACTTTCCTTGCTATGAAGTTTGTTCTGTCTGAAAATAATATAGGTACTCCCACTTTCTTTTGACTAGTGTTAGCACGGTACATCTTTCTCCATCCCTTTACTTTTAATATATATGTGTCTTTATAAGGTAAAGCGGGTTTCTTGTAGATAATACATATTTGGGTCTTGGTTTGTGATATACTCTAACAATCTCTCTCTTTTAATTGGTGTTTTTAGACCAATGATGTTTAAAGTGATTATTGATATAGTTGGATTAATATTTACCACATTTGTTACTATTTTCTATTTGTTGCCCTTTATCTTTTTTCCTATTTTTGTCTCCCATGCTTTTTCTGACTTTTATGGTTTTAATTAAGCATTTTTATGATTCCATTTTCTCTCCTTTCTTGGCACATCAGTTATACTTTTTTAAAACAGTTTTTAGTGGTTGCCTTAGAGTATGCAATATTGGGTTAACGACTAATCAAGTCCATTTTCAAATAGCACGATACCACTTCAAAGTACTGCAAATATCTTATAATAACTGCATAGTCCCAAATCTTCCCTCCTATTCCTTGTATTATTGCTGTTATCCATTTAACTTCTTATATGTATAACAGAAGTTAATAATAGAATATGTATATTCTATTAATGTCTTCATATATATAATAGAACTTCACGAACTTCTTTATATATACAATAGAACTTCTATTATATATAAAATAAAATACATTGTTAGTATTATTATTTTTAACAAACTATTAGATCACTTAAGAATAAGAAAAATAAGAGTATCTTGCTCTACGGACTGAGCTAGCCAGGCACTATGGAATACTACACAGTCATAAAAGAGTATGAAATGATGTCCTTTGCAGCAACATGGATGCAGCTGGAGGCCATTATCCTAAGTTAATTAATGCAGAAGCAAAAAATCAAATACCACATGTTCTCACTTATTAGTGGGAGCTAAACATTGGGTACCCACAGACATAAAGATGGAAATAATAGACACTAGAAACTCCAAAAGCAGGTTGGGAAGAAGAGGGACGAGGATTGAAAAACAAACTATTGGGTAATTTCTTCATTACTGGGGTGATAGGTTCAACAGAAGCTGTACTCCCTGAATCTAAAATACAATTTATTAAAAATAATAAGAAAAACAATTTTTTAAAATTTTACCTTCACTTATTACATTTCTGATCTATATTATTTTCTTGTCTCTGAGGAACTTATTTTAACATTTCTTGCAAGGCAGGTCTACTGGCTACAAATTCCCTCAATGTTTGTTTAAATCTTTATTTTTCCTTTACTTTTGAAAAAAATATTTCACAGGGTAGACAATTCTAGGTTAGTTTTTTTTTTTTTTTTTTTTTTTTTTTTTGGTCCTCTCAACACTTTAAATATTTCATTCTACTCTCTTTTTGCTAGCTTGGTTTTTGGGAAGTCAGGTGTAATTCTTTATTTTATTTTATTTTTATTTATTTATTTATTTATTTTTTGAGACAGAGTCTCATTCCGTCGCCCAGGCTGGACTGCAGTGGCACACGATCTCGGCTCACTGCAAGCTCCGCCTCCCAGGTTCACGTCATTCTCCTGCCTCAGCCTCCCGAGTAGCTGGGACTACAGGCGCCCGCCACCACACCCTGCTAATTTTTTGTATTTTTAGTAGAGATGGGATTTCACTGTGTTAGCCAGGAAGGTCTCACTCTCCTGACCTCATGATCCGCCTGCCTCGGCCTCCCAAAGTGCTGGGATTACAGGCATGAGTCACCGCGCCCGGCCCAGATGTAATTTTTATCTTTGCTTCTTTATAGGTAAGGTGTTTTTTCCGCATCTGGCTTCTTTCAGATTTTTTTTCTCTAACTTTGATTTTCTGAAATTTGAATAAGATATGCTCAGGTGTAGTTTTTTGTGGGGATTGGGGGTATTTATCCTGCTTGTTATTCTCTGAGGTTCCTGGATCTGTGGTTTGGTGACTGACATTAATTTGGGGAAATTCTCAGTCATTCCTTTCTTTCTTCTTATTCAGGTAGTCGCATTACATGTATGTTATATTTTTTGTAGTTATTCCACAGTTCTTGCATATTCTGTTCTCTTTTTTTGTTTTCAGTCTTTTTCTCTGCTTTTCAGATTTGGAAGTTAGTTTCTTTCTTCCTTCCTTCCTTCCTTCCTTCCTTCCTTCCTTCCTTCCTTCCTTCCTTCCTTCTTTTCTTTCTTTCTTTTCTTTCCTTTCTTTCCTTCTTTCTTTCTTTCTTCTCTTTTTTTTATGAGATGGAGTTTCGCTCTTGTTGCCCAGGTTGGAGTGCAATGGTGCGATCTCAGCTCACCACAACCTCCTCCTCCCAAGTTCAAGCGATTCTCCTGCCTCAGCCTCCCGAGTTAGCTGGGATTACAGGCATGCACCACCACGCCTGGCCAACTTTGTATTTTTAGTAGAGACGGGGTTTCACCATGTTGGTCAGGCTGGTCTCTAACTCCCGACCTCAGGTGATCCACCTGCCTCGGCCTCCCAAAGTGCTAGGATTACAGCGTTGAGCCACCTGGTGCCTGGCCCAGATTTGGACATTTCTAATGACAATCTTCAACTTCAGGGATTCTTCCTCGGTTGATCTAGTGCACTGGTTCATGCCTATAATCTCAGCACTTTGGGAGGCTGAGATGGGTGGATCACTTGAGGCCAGGAGTTTGAGACCAGCCTGGGCAACATAGCAAGACCCCATCTCTACAAAAAATATATATATATAAAATAGCTGGGCATGCTGGTGTGTGCCTGTGGTCCCAGGTACTCCCGGGAGGTCCAGGCTGCAGTGAACCATAATCAAATCACTGCACTCCATCCTGGGTGACAGAGTGAGACCCTGTCTAAAAAAAAAGAGATTTTTCCTCAGCCATGTCTAGTCTACTAATGAGCCAATCAAAGGCATTCTTTATTTCTGTTACTGTGTTTTTGATTTTTAGCATTTTTTAATTCTTTCTTAGAATTTTCATCTCTCTGCTTATGTTATCCATCTTTTTAAAAAATTTTTCTTTTTTCTTTTTTTCCTTACCAGCAGCTAAACCAATATCCATCTATCTTTGCATGTTGTCTCCTTTTTCCATTAAATCCTTTAGCATATTGGTCATAGTTTTTAAACATCCCTAGTCTGGTAATTCCAACATCCCTGCCATATCAGACTCTTTTTTGTTGTTGTTGTTTGTTTGTTTGTTTGTTTTTGTTTTTGATACAAAGTCTCACTCTGTCACCCAGGCTGGAGTGCAGTGGTGCGATCTCGGCTCACTGCAACCTTCGCCTCCCGGGTTCAAGTGATTCTTCTGCCTCAGCCTCCTGAGTAGCTGGGATTATAGGCCCGTGCCACCACACCTGGCTAATTTTTGTACTTTTTAGTAGAGACGAGATTCACCATGTTGACCAGGCTGGTCTCGAACTCCTGACCTCAAATGATCCACCCACTTTGACCTATGAAAGTGCTGGGATTACAGGCGTGAGCCACCGCACCCAGCCCAGACTCCCAGACTCTAGTTGTTATGCTTGTTCAATCTCTTCAAACTACATATTTTTTGTCTTTAAGTATAGCTTGTAATTTTTTTTTTTTTTTTTTGAGACAGTCTCGCTCTGTTGCCCAGGTTGGAGTGCAGTGGCCACAATCTCAGCTCATTGCAACCTCTGCCTCCCAGGTTCAAACGATTCTCCTGCCTCAGCCTCCCGAGCAGCTGGGATTACAGGTACTCACCAGCATGCTCAGCAAATTTTTGTATTTTTAGTAGAGACAGGGTTTTGCCATCTTGGCCAGGCTGGTCTCAAGCTCCTGACCTCAAGTGATCTGCCCACCTCGGCCTCCCAAAGTGTTGGGATTACAGGCGTGAGCCACTGCACCCAGCCATAATTTTTTGTTGATGAGTGGAAATGATGTACTGGGTAAAAGGAACTGCTGTAGATATTTAGGTTGGTGCAAAAGTAATTGCGGTTTTGACCATTACTTTTAATGGGAAAAAAAACACAATTACTTTTGCACCAGTTTAATAGGTCTCTAGTGATGTGGTGGTAAGGTGTGTGGGGAGGGGAAGTGCTCTCTAGTCCTATGATTAGTTCTTAGTCTTTTAGTTAGCCTGTGCTCCTAGGCAGTGAACTTCACCAATGCTTCTCAATCTCTATCCTCCTTAGGTGGGACAAGATGGCTAGAGAGGGCTGAATTTGTGTATTCCCTTTCCTAACATGGAAGGCTAGAGGAAGCTGCAGTTAGAGATTTCCTTCCCCTGGGTTGGTTAGGCTCTGAGAAAACCCCAACTTAGGCATAGTTTTTCCTAAGAGCAGGCTTTTTTTTTTTTTTTTTTTTTTCAGACAGTCTTACTCTGTTGCCCAGCATGGAGTGCAGTGGCACCATCATGGCTCACTGCAGCCTTGACCTCCTGTGCTCAAGTGATCCTCCCATTTCTCAGCCTCCTGTGTAGCTGGGACTACAGGTGCACATCACCACATCTGGCTAATTTTTATTTATGTATTTATTTATTTATTTGTATTTTTTGCAGAGATGAGGTTTCGCCATGTTGCCCGGGCTGGTCTCGAACTCCTGAGCTCAAACTATCTACCTGCCTTGGCCCCCCAAAGTGCTGGGGCTACAGGCGTGAGCCACTGTGCCCAGCCTGGGCAGGCCTTTTTAAGAACAGAATGCTCTGGCATATTTCAGAATAGTACCCTTTCCCCTCCCTCTGCAGGTAGCATGATATTTCTACCTGATACTCACTGTAAGGACATGTAGAGCTTATGGAAGTAAAACTCACAAAAGTGTGGCACCTCCCTTCTCCCCACCATAACTGGTTACCCCTGGAGTTTTTAACTCTCAGGCTTGTTCACACTGAGCCTCCAGGAATTTGTCAATTAAAATTCAAATTTTCTCCCTGGCACTGGTTCCCACAGAGATTTCTGTTCTTGAAAGTTGTGATTCTCTATATCAGCTTTTCTCTCTAATTTTTGAGGTAGCAGTTCGCCCTGTGATTCCACTTCTCTGACAGATCTAAGAAGAGTTGTTAATCTTTCAGTTTGTTCAGCTTTTTACTTGTTGTTGGGATGGAGTGGCAACTGCTAACCTCCTTACATGCTGGGCCTGAAACCAGAAGTCTCTCTGTTTTTGGTTTTGTTTTGTTTTGTTTATTCACTTTGTCTCCCTAACTATACTATAAACTCTGCAGGAAGAGGAACCTTGTTTGTCTTATTCATCCTATAAACTCAGTGTCTAGTGCTGTGCCTGGCACATGGTAGGTGCTTAATATATGTTCAGAGAAAAGAGGAAGATACTGAGAGTCAGAAGACCTGGACTGTGATCTCACGCGAGTTCCTTCCTCTCTCCCAGCCTCAGTTTCCTTACTATCTGATGTTATTCTTGTTTGTTTCTCTATTGTCTGTCTGCCTCCCTCCACTAGAATGTAACCTCCATGAGATTGGGAACCTCATCTGTCAAAGACCCTGCCATATAATAGGTTCTCTATAAATATTTGTTGAATGAACAAATGAATGACTGAATGACTTAATCTACAAAAGGAAGGGATTGACTTTGATAATTTGATGGCAGGGATTTCTGGTAACTTTCCCCTTCCCTACTCAAATGGGTTACCTGTCTGGGCTAGTTTTAAGTACTCCTAAGAGAGATTAATGCCTTTCTGGGAGAGGAACTCAAATAGATTACATGGATTAGAATGATCGGAAGTATATGGAAAATCAACTTGTCAAACTTTGGAACTCAGCAGCTTTTCTTCGTGTTATCCAGGAGAGCACAGGCTGTGCTCCAACATGTGTGTGTGACAACAATTTGAATCTCAGTGTTCAGCCCTTTGAAACCACATAGACTTATGTAATGTGACCCAATTCCTTGGTTTTGCAAAGAAGGGGGGTGTACAACTGGGAGAAGAGAATGCAGTTATTTACCAGTTTCTTCCTAAGAGCAAAAAACAGAATGTTCAGCATTTGTGGGAGGGGCAAGAGTTGTGTTCTGCCTGAGTAATTCTTGCTCACTGGATGGGCAGGATCAGGTGACAAACGTCCATATCTCTGCCTGGCACCAGCATGAGCCCTGCCCAGAGGCAGGAAAAAAATGTTTTAAGTCCTAGTTTCCCCAGCGGTTTGTAACAATGCCCTGGTGTCCCATTTCACAGGCTCAACGGGGGAGATTGAAGGTAATCAAGCTATAGGACCTTCAAAAACAACTCGAAGTAGAAGAGTTCAATTGGTAGCCCCCAAGACCAAAGGAGTTCTAAAGGGCCCCTTGCCTTTTGCTAAAGGCAAACAACAACAACAGCAACAACAACAACAACAACAAAACATATGCTTTGACCTTCTTCAGAGCAGACACTGCCAAGATGATATTGATGCCTTTGGAGGGAGAAGGAGAAAGAACTTATGGGGAATGATTTGGCCCTCAGTGATACTCAGCTGTCTATGTCATTCTCTATAAGGTTAGCAACTGCTCTTCAGCAAGGTTGAAGACTGTTGAAATGGATCCTGTAATCCTACATTTGAGGAAATGGGTGTTACTGAATAATTTTTACCCACAAAAAAAATCTTTTAGCTTTGCAAAAAGCTACATTCCCATAAAAAATAATTCCCTCAAATTAACATCTTCTCAACACAGCCTGTCTGTCCTGAATGTGAGACTGCAGGGTGGAAGAAAGTGTGATTGGTGGGAAGTGGTTTACCTCCCACCCAGTTCCAGTCCCACCCGCCCTCTCCCAGTTCCAAGATTTGAAGATTCTGTGCTGATGTTCCTTTTATAGCCATTAAAAACTAAGAGGATCTTTTCTAGAATTTTGACTTTGGATATCAGGGCCGCAGATTTTGACCTGAGGCTGCCTATTTTAAGGATCACTATCCCCTTTGCCTCCATAAAGACATTTAAGAGCATAGTCTGGGCTCCCAGTTTCTGCAATTTCTTTAGTAAGAGGCCTCTCGGGTCATTTCCTGAGATCCCCCTTGCCTGGGCCATTCTGGCAAAACAGCTCTGCAGCAGCAGGGACACTCCCCCAACCCTCAGGGATGTGCTCTTTTCACTGTGTTCCCAAAGCATATGGCCACACCTGTCAGCCAGCTCTGACCTGCTTGAGTAGGCATAACCCTCTGTGTAGAAGTCAGTGGTCACAGAGCCTGAGAAGCTCTTTCCTGTGCTCTCTTCCTCATTTCTTCTTCTCCCTCCTTTTCATCTCTCAATATATCCAAACACCTGAAGAAGAAACTGCTGGTTGCCTACTCCAATGTCTGTTCTTCACTTCCTTAATAACAGAAACTTGAATCTGTTTGGGGCTAGCAATGTACTCAGTTCAAGAAAGCCCTTCTTTTAGTTAGGAGTGGGCAGACTAGATTCTGGCTAATGAGCTATAAGCAGAAGTGTTGTGCAGTATGTCTGGGAAGCTTTCTTAAAAGGGAGGAGCCATCTTTCTTCCCCTTCCTCCTTTCTGTGGCCTAGATTGTGGATACAATGACTGGAGCTTGAGCAGCCATCTCAGACAATGAGGCAATATGCTAAATACAGTAGGCAGCAACTAGGAAGAAGTTTGGGTCTGTGGTGACTTTATAGAGCTGCCCTATCAACCCTGGACTGTGTACCTTCAGACTTCTCTGATGGGAGAGATGAATAAACTATCTTTTTAAAGCAACTGTTATTATTTTTGCTGTTATTACAGCCAGGGCTAATCCTAACTCATACTATACCACCCCCACCCCGAGAATGAGACTATGGCTTGACAAACAGATCCAGATAATGGTCTAGGGTTTTATGGGTTAAAATATGGATATAGGGAAAAGTAAGCATTTGGAATGTCTTACGTATGGAGTGGGGGATCCCTAGTCAAGAGGCACAGGAATACTAGTAGACTGTAGGCAATTTCCCTTCATAGTACAATTTCCCTTCATAGTAAGCCCCATGAAGACCAGTACATGTCTCTCAGATTTACCACAGTATCCCCAGTGCTTAGCCTGGTGCCTGGCACATAGGATAGGTTAAATTAAAAATTATTAACAGAGGCTGAGTGTGGTGGCTCACACCTGTAATCCCAGCACTTTGGGAGGCCGAGGCAGGCAGATCACTTGAGGTCAGGAGTTTGAGACCAGTCTGGCCAACATGGTGAAACCCTGTCTCTACTAAAAATAGAAAAATTAGCCCAGCATGGTGGTGCACACCTGTAATCCCAGCTACTCGGGAGGCTGAGACACGAGAATCACTTGAACCCAGGAGGCCGAGGTTGCAGTGAGCCAAGACCGCACCACTGCACTCCAGCCTGGGTGACAGAACGAGACTCTGTCTAATTGACAGAATAAACAGTTCAATGTTTTCATAATGGAAATAATCAACAGGCCACCAGTTTACTTAGGTGATATGAAAGAATTTGGGAAAGCTTTCCCACCCCACTGTCCCTACCCAAAAATGTCTTCCCCAATCCATGACTACTATAGCATGTGAACCTCCCAGAAATTTTTCTTTTTCTTCCTTCTTTCCCTCCTTCCTTCCTTCCTTCTTTCGTGTTTTTTTTTTTTTTTTTTTTTTGAGACGGAGTCTTGCTCTATCACCCAGGCTGGAGCGCAGTGGCACGATCTTGGCTCACTGCAACCTCCACCTTCCAGGATCAAGCAATTCTCCTGCCTCAGCCTCCCAATTAGCTGGGATTACAGGCGCGTGCCACCACGCCAGGCTAATTTTTTGTATTTTTAATAGAGACAGGGTTTCGCCATGTTAGTCAAGACGGTCTCGATCTCCTGACCTCGTGATTCGCCTGCCTTGGCCTCCTAAAGTGCTGGGATCACATGCATGAGCCACCGCACCCGGCCTATTTCTTTATTTCTTTTTTTTTTTTTTTTTTTGAGACGAAGTCTCACTCTGTCGCCCAAGCTGGAGTACAGTGGCACGATCTCAGCTCACTGCAAGCTCCACCTCCTGGGTTTAAGCGATTCTTCTGCTCCAGCCTCCTGAGTAGCTGAGATTACAGGCGCCTGCCACCACGCCCGGCTAATTTTTGTATTTTTAGTAGAGATTGGGTTTCACCATCTTGGCCAGGCTGGTCTTGAACTCCTGATCTCGTGATCCACCTGCCCCGGCCTCCAAAAGTGCTGGGATTACAAGTGTGAGCCACTGCGCCTGGCCTTATTTATTTATTTATTTGGAGACAGAGTCTCACTCTGTCACCCAGGCTGGAGTGCAGTGGTGGGATCTCAACTCACTGCAACCACCTCTCCCGGGTTCAAGCCATTCTCCTGTCTCAGCCTCCTGAGTAGGTGAGAATGCAGGTGTGTACCACCACGCCCGGCTAATTTTTGTATTTTTAGTAGAGATGCAGTTTCACAATGTTGGCCAGGCTGGTCTCGAACTCCTGACCTCAGGTGATCCACCCACCTCGGCCTCCCAATATGCTAGTGTTATAAGCATGAGCCACCACGCCTGGCCCCAGAAATTTATTTTTTGATCAGCAAGTATCAGGCACTGTGTTCAGCTCTGAGGATATAGTGTTGAGCAAAATTGATATGGGTCCTGCCCACAGGGATATTCCAGAGTGGCAAGGCAGAAACAGCAAAAATTTGTGAACAAATCATTACAATCTGGGATAAATGCAACAAAACAAAGGTAATGGAGAAAACTTATTTAGACAGAGTGACGGGCAAAGATGTCTCAGAGGAAAGGAGAGCCCAAGGATTGGAACAAGCAGCGAAGCAAAGTCAGGGGAGGGTGCTGGTGGAAGGTTCTGGGCTGACTGAACCAGACACACAAAGGCTCTGAGGAGTATTTGAGGAATGAAAGCAGCTCAGTGGGCTGGAACTTGGTAAGAGCAGGGGAGTGACACGGGAAAAGGCTGGAGAGGTCAGTGGAGGCCAGATCACGCAGGCACTTGTAGGCCATGGGAAGGAGTTTGGACTTTACTAAGTACAATGATAAGCCACTGACAAGCCTAAAGCAAGGGAATGCCATGATCTGATTTTGCATTAAGAAGGAGGTCACTCTAGCTGCTATGTGGAATTGGACAGGGTCCAGTGTGGAGGTAGGGAGACCAACGAGGCTTTTGCCTTTGTGTGAAAGATGAGGGTGACTTAGATCAGGGAGTGGGAAGGGGGCTAGAGAGAAGTGGAGGGATTCGAGGTGTGTTGTGGAAGTTGAGTGGACCAGACTGGGTAATGGATTGGATGTAGGAGCTAAGGGTTGGGGGAGGAATCAAGATTTCTGGTTTCAGCAGCTATGTAGGTGGTGGTGCCAAACACCAAGGTGGGATACAATGGGGGAGGTGGGAGTCAGGACTTTGGTTTTGGTCATGCAGATATTGACATACTTGTGACACAAACAAATGGAGCTGTCAAGGAGACAGTTGAATATTGGAGTCTGGAGCTCAGGTGAATGCTTAGGACTGGAGATACAAATTTGGGAGTCATTAGCATGGCAAATGTTTCTTAAGACCTTGGGAGTAAATGGAACTGACCAGGGAGAGAGTACAGAGAGGACAGAGCTGAGCTCAGAGACACTCCAAATAGGGGAAGAGAAGCCTGCTAAGGTGACTGAGAAGGGGCCTTAGGATATTGCCCATCTCCGATAGAATGTTCTGGAGTTTGAGGTCGCTGATAAATAGCACCTATTTTCTTCTACCTGAAATCAGAATCAATCAAGACACATACACACACACACACACGCAAGCCAGACAGGAAAAAAGAATATTACCTTTAGCAATCATAAGGCTATTTGGAGAAAAAGGAGTAGGGGTGCAGCCGAACAGACTTGCTAATATGCACTTCTGTCCAGTTAGAAAGACTTAGCCATACTGTCCTTGCCATAGGTGGACAAGCACACGCCTCCCCAGTAGGGGATGAGCCTGCCCCACTAAAGTTACTGCAGGGCTGTAAGAGCAGACCAGAACACAGAACACGTGTGCTCTGCAGGCCGAGAGAACCTATAAGGTCTGGAGAGAGCAGGGGCTACTCTCAGTGTGCTCTGTTCTGCCTTGCCAACTCCGCATTCTGTCTTTCATCTGCTCTCACCATTGGAAAACATGAAATAAGCTCCAGGAGCACAGAGGCGAAGTATGACCTGGTCATTGTTTCACCCCTGTGCCTCACAGGGTACCTGACACACAATAGGTGCCAATGTTTGTTAAATGAATGAATGAACAGATGTGGATGTCAAGACTAGAATAATCCTCACATATCATTCAGGAATCACCTATGCCCAGGCCTCAATCCCAGACCAATTTTTATCAACATTTCTGAGGATGAGGTTCAGCATTCAGGATTTCTCCAAGCTCTCCCCAGGTGATTTCAATGTGCGGCTAAGGTGACGAACTATTATCGCAGGGCCCTGGTCCAACCCCTCATTTTACAGCAAAGTTATTTGTAGAGGGTGTAACGTCAGAGGGCTTGTCCTGGCCCTGCTGCTGACTGTGTGTGTGGGGCTGGGACTTGCCTATTTCTCTGTCTGGCCCTCATTGCTCTCAGGTGGGAAGTGAGGGGGTGGGGACAGATGATCTCTAGAGCCCTGTCCAGCTCTAATGGTGTATTACTCTCTATTCTGATCCCAGATGTGAACTTAACTCACTAGGACATCGATTGTGCCTCAAGATGCCTTTGCACGGTGGTTAGGTTAGTTTTGCGCTTGAGATGACAGAGTTCTGGATTGCAGTGGACAGCAAAGTAGAGATGTTTGGAAGAGTTCAGGACCTACAGACTCAGTCTTTGGTGGTTAATTCGTCCTGTTTTTTCCTTAGGTGGTGGCAGCAAGTTGACCAGTGGAACAGCAAAGGAACAACAGAGGAGCCCAGCTGAGGAAGCTGCAGTGAGCTAGGGCTGCCCTCTTTGCTCCTGCTCCTCCTCTTCTAGCTCTTGTCTTCCCCTACCCACCCACCTCCCAGTCATCTCTTTCTCTTTCCTTTCCTGCCCTCTCCATGTATCTGCATCAATCACAAGTCTTTCAAAGGCAAACCTATTATTTCTTCCTACCCATGGAATCCACCCACCTCCCTCCCATTCTAGTTTGGCACCCCAGAGCTTCTAAGTGTGTTGTCACAATGTGAGCAATCAGAAGTGGCTCCTGAAATGAAAAAGGGGGGAAGCCAGGTGCAGTGGCTCATGCCTATAATCCCAGCACTTTGGGAGACCAAGGCAGGTGGATCATCTGAGGTCAGGAGTTCAAGACCAGCTTGGCCAACATGGTGAAGCCCTGTCTCTACTAAAAATATAAAAATTAGCTGGGCGTGGTGGTGCAGGCCTGTAATCCCAGCTGTTGGGGAGGCTGAGGGAAGAGAACGGCTTGAACCTGGGAGGCAGAGGTTGCAGTGAGCTGAGATTGTGCCACTGCACTCCAGTCTGGGCGACAGAATGAGACTGTGTTACAAAGAAAGGAAGAAGGAAGGAAGGAAGGAAGGACAGAAAGGAAGGAAGGAAGGAAGGAAGGAAGGAAGGAAGGAAGGAAAGGAAGGAGCCGGGGGTGGTGGTTCATGCCTGTAATTCCAGCACTTTGGGAGGCCAAGGCGGACGGATCAGGAGGTCAGTTCGAGACCAGCCTGACCAACATGGTGAAACCCTGTCTCTACTAAAAATCCAAAAATTAGCCAGGCGTGGTGGTGCACGCCTGTAATCCTAGCTACTCAGGAGGCTGGGGCAGGAGAATCACTTGAACCTGGGAGGCAGAGGTTGCAGTGAGCCGATCGCGCCATGCACTCCAACCTAGGTTACAGAGCAAGACTCCGTCGAAAGAAGAAAGAAGAAAGGAAGGAAGGAAGGAAAGAAGGAAGGAAGGAAGGAAGGAAAAGAAGGGGAAATAAAAAGGGAAGAAATAAGGCTGTAGGTGATTCTCTTCCTCTCCAAAATTGCATGGAGTCTTGTGGGTGCTGGGCCACGTATCCATCTTTAAAAGTGGCTATTTCCTCAGCCTTCTTCAAACAGGGTAACTGGATAAGAGCTAGATATGAGGATGAGTAGAATTTGGGGGCTAGAAGCAGAGCTGAGGCCTAGAACAAAGAGGTAACATGTAGGAGTCTCACAGCCAGAGGACTCCTCCTGGCCCCAGTACCCACTAAGCACTTGACTTAGAAACGATCGTGTATAGCCACCTTGTTTTGCAGATTGGAAAACCGAGGTCTAGAGATGCCAATGACTTGTCCAAGGTCATGTAGTTTGCTAGCCAAAGACTAGGACTACAGCCCAGAACTCCTGACTGCCTTTTCCAGGAATACTTCTGCTCCCTCAGCCTTCCTCAAAGTGACTGTCAGTTTAATTTTATAAGATGGTGGGGCTTGTGGTAAGGACTCTGAAGAGAAAATGTCAAAAGAATAGACCAAATGATGGAAACAGGAGATTATCAAGCCTCAGCATTCTCTCCGACTTTCCCTAGCCCTTTTGCCACCTCCATAGCCTGCCTGTCTTCCTACTCCCTGGAACGTAAGGCTGCCCTGGGGACAGCCTCCCAGGGTTGGCTCTGGAGCTCCTGCTCGTCCTCCTCTGTAGCCACTTCTCTGGGGCATCTGTCCGCACACGTCTTCAGCTCCCATGACACACAGACATGCCCGCATCTCGAGCTCTAGCCCTCGACTTCACCTTCACATTTGTCTTTCTATAGGATATTTCCATATGTAAATATGCCTCGCTCAGCCAGAAATCAAAATTGGAATTCATCTTCCCTATGCAAAGCTACAGCCTTTTCCTACCCCCTGTTTCTTTCAGTGCTTCCATAGTCCACCAATCCTCCCGACTCAAAACTTCCATGTCACCAGAGGCTGGGGGAGAAGGAAATGGGGTTGGGGGGTGGTTAGTGTTTAATGGGTATACAGTGCCAGTTTGGGATGATGACAAAGTTCTTGAGAAGGATGGTGGTGATGGTTACACAACAATGTGACCATAATTAATGGCATTGGACTGTACATTTGTAATGGGTGAAAATGGTAAATTCTATGTTATGTCTATTTCACCACAATTAAAAAAAACAAAAACAAAAACCCAAACCCAAAACTCATGTCATCCTTGACTTGTGGCTACCTTGCTGTCTTCTCCCCAGCTTACTTTGCCACCAAGTAATTCTGATTTTTCACCTAGTGGAGATTCCTCAAACTTTCCCATACTCCAGCACCAAGAGGGATTTGTTAAGAGTTATCAATTCCCCAGTCCTACTCGGCTCTTTGGTGTAGGGGTGGAGCATGGAATCCACATTTTAAACTTCCCAACAAACCTGATGTGGGTGGACTGCAGACTGCACTTGGAGAAATAAATACTGCCTCTCAGTGTCTTTTGGCTTTGTCCCTTCCTCTTCCTTCTACTACCCCTATCCCTGCCCCAGCTGGCCCTCATCACCTCACACCTGGATTACAGCAACAGCTGGCCCATCACTAGCCTTTCCCTATTCCAGCCTCTCCAGCTGCCAGGACCCATCTTCTACAAATATCTTTTGCATCACATCACTTCCCTGCTCAGAAGCCTACCATGGCTCCCTGAGACCTCTTAGATTCTATCTAAAGTCACTTGGCTGGGAGCCAGCCAAGTGAGCCTCCCACCCTCCCGCTTACCTTCTTCTCTGTTCACTGCCACCCCTCCCGTGCTCATTAGTCATTTATTTTCCTTGTGTTAGTCCCTCTGCTAGTTTGGGGTGGTCTTTCTTCTATTTCCCCCTTCCCACCATGAGCCCTGGAACACTTCTGGTTACGTTGGAGGAATTATGAAAACTGTTCAGATTCTCTATCCTGCTTCTCAGTGCATTAATCTTGCCTCCCCCCAATGTGGGCTTTGCCATTCACCAGCTGTATGACTTTGGGCAAGTTGCTTAACCTCTCTGTGCCGTAGTGTTTTCATGTTCTCATGTGTAGAATGGTGATCTCAATAGGGCATACCTCATATGTCTGTGGACAGGATTAAGAGTCAACAGATGTAAAAAGTCTTATGACGGTTTCTAGCGTAAAGTAAGTGCCATGTAAGTGTTAGCTATTATTAGTAATTAGTATGATCACCTCCTCTTTCAGCCAGCTCATCTCTGGAAACCATGTCTGCTTGGAATACCTAACTGATCGAGTTCTCTGTTAAACCTTGCCTGATCTTGTGGAGGCGGTTAAGTATTAAGTGTTTGGGTTTCAACAAGCTCCTGTACATGAGATAACCTGAGGAACTGGGCCGTCTACAAAGCTGTAATTATGTCCATTAATTTCTAACCAACTAGGAGGAGAGGTGCTGAGAGTTGAAAGCAAGATTTTCCAGCATAAATAGGATTGATGATGTGGATGATGTGAGGGCAACTTTGCAATAATTTTATCATTTTTTTTTTTAAGACGGAGTTTCGCTCTTGTTGCCCAGGTTGGAGTGCAATGGTGTGATCTTGACTCACTGCAACCTCCGCCTCCTGGGTTCAAGCAATTCTCCTGCCTCAGCCTCCCGAGTAGCTGGGATTACAGGCATGCGCCACCACACTCAGCTAATTTTGTATTTTTAGTAGAGATAGGGTTTCACCATGTTGGCCAGGCTGGTCTCGAACTCCTGACCTCAGGTGATCTGCCCGCCTTGGCCTCCCAAAGTGCTGGGATTGCAGGCGTGAGCCACTGCACCCAGCCAACTTCACAATACCTTAAAGGACAGTGGATCATGCACCTTTTTTCCTATGGTCTTTCTGGAGTCCTTCTGCTGATACTCCAGGTCCCAGAGGCCCTGCCCCTGGCTTCCTTGTCGGAGCCCTCCTGGAACACCCTCCTCTGTGGCCATCCCCAGCTTGAAAGCCTCACACTTTGTGTCCCAAGCAGTCCTTGTCTGGAAATAACCCATCACCCACATTTCTGTTCTAGTCTACTTTTTCTTTAAATTGACAGACACAACTAAAATTGTATGCATTTGTGATGTTTTGAAATATATACACATTGTGGAATGGCTCAATCTAGCTAATTAATATATGCATTGTTGTTTTAGCTTTCAAATCCATGTCTTTGATTTTGTAGTGAATATAATTAATTCCTTTAAGGCCCACTGAATTCACAGCCAGTGTTTGTAATTATGTGTCCTGCCGCCCCCCCCCCGGCCCCGCCCACCCGAGTCTCTCTTTCTCTCTCAATGAATACCAAAAGTTCAAGTACTATAGAGTTGGGGGAGGTTTGAGAATATTTTTGACATAAAAAAAGGGCCCTTATTGTCACTAAGGTTGGGAACCACTGCCCCATGGGACATGTGGGAGCCATGGGAGTAGCACTAAGTTCTCTGGCTCTCAGTTTTCTCGTCTGTCAAATGGAGGTAAATCATAACTGCCTCTTTTTCTAAGGGCAGGAAACAGAATGTTTTGTACTCGGAAGCGGGGCCAGGGAGCAGTGCTCTTGTGATCCTTGCTGCTATGCTGGGAAGCCTCCATGAGGATGAGATGAGAGAATAGATGGGAGGGCACATGCAGAGGTGGCAAAAGCAGGCAGGGGATGCATACTCCTTCAAGCCTCATTATTATTTTCCTCGTTCTGGGTCCAGCTGGACCAGCTGAGCCCAGAAGCCTAAAACCCATGGAAGTCTTTCCAGGAGCAACGTGTTCTTTTGCCTTCCTCCACCCTTAGTCACTTTTCTGTGGAGAAACAACAACAGAAAGCAGCTCCTGTATGTGACTAAGAAACATCTACAAACTTCCTCTTATCTAGCCTAGTAACTGCTGTGGCCTCAGAAGTTGCAGTGTTTGTCTCTGTTTAGTCAGCGTTGCCTAGGAAACAAAGTTGTTCTCTCTTTACCACTATGTGACTGTGGGGCCAGTTTTTTCCCCTTTCTTGTAGAGAAAGGCTTGATGACCAGAGAGGTTTGGGGCGTTGTTGGGCTATTTTCTAGGTTTCCTTTTTTCATCTGCTTTTTCTCATTCAGCTGCAAGTCTGGCATGGGAAGTCTACAGAAGATGAACCAAATAGCCACAAAGTCTCTGAGCTAATTTTGAAAGGTGGGGATTTGGGAGTAAGTGGGGACTGGGAGAGCTGGTCAGGGTGAGGAATGGCTGCCAGGGGGCTTTGAATGCACTCGTTTGAAGTTTGTATCTGTACCAGCAGCTGTGGAATCTGCATGCCATGAACCAGTTGGCAGGTATAGACAATGAACCTGGCATTATGAATAGCAAGGTTGGGAGCAGGTGGGGAAATTGGGATTTGAGAGGCCAGCAAGCAGGAGTTTGCAATGTTCTGAAGGGTTTTGGTGATTAGAAAAGAACAGGTCAGCTGGGTGCAGTGGCGCATGCCTATAATCCCTGCACTCTGGAGGGCCAAGGAGGCAGGTTGCTTGAGTCCAGGAGCTCGAGACCAGCCTGGGCAACATGGCGAAACCTCCATCTCTACTAAAAATACAAAAAAATATATATATTCAGGAGTGGTGGTGCACACCTGTAGCCCCAGCTACTCAGGAGGCTGAGGTGAGGATCATCTGAGCCCAGGGAGTTGAGACTGCAGTGAGCTTTGATGGCCCCACTGCATTCCAGCCTGGGCAACAAGAGTGAGACCCTGTCTCAAAAAAAAAAACCAAAAAAAAAAACCCAAAATGTCAACATGTATGACCTTTACAGAGGAAGAAGCATGTCATTTTGATTACATTTAGGCAGTGGTTGATGTAAGGGGCGGGGGGCAAGATATCTTGGTCACCCTGAGGTTTGTGGCTCAGGAAAATCAAGGAGTTCTGTTTCCCCAATTTCAAGTGGGAAAAGGATAGGTATATATGCTACCAGAAGCTGAGATGGAATGGAGTCACTTGAAGAGAGGTGATCGTTTCCCTTGGGAACATAGTGGGCTTAGAACACAGCTCAGGGTCCAGAGGAAGTTCAGGTTAGGGCGTGGTAAAGGAGACACTAAGCACTCATCAACAACCAATCAGAGAAATGCTAGGTCTCTGGATGCTGGGGACATGGAGCTGGGAAAGGGTGATGGGTGATAATGAACCCCAAAGAGAGGTGGAGGAAGGAATCTGGAGCCAGGAGCCTTAGACTTGGCCCTACCCACGTGGTTGGTGGGTTTGGTGAGAGAACTTTCAGCAGTGTCCCTGAGAACTTTCAGCAGGGACTGAGGATATCTTTCCTTGGCTGGAAGTAAGGGGAAGAGCAAAGGAAAGGGGGGTGGTTTTGCTACCTCATACATTCTCCCTCCTTCTCTTACTAGAGCCTTCTTAGCTCCTTTGCCAAGTCAAGTGTCACATGTGGATTGGTATTAAGGAGAATGCATTAAGTGAGCCCAGTGATGTTTTCAGAAGACAGAAGAGGCCCACGCCTGTTGATTTGGTTCCGCTCTTCTCGCTCCCTCCTATGTATACCCTGCCTGTTTCTTTTGGGCCTTCCTCGGGGTATCTTTCCTCCCAAATCACCCCCTCAAGCTACAGTTGTGTGTTATGAGTCACCTTGCCACTCACTCCGAAGCTCTCATATGAAAGCGGAGCAGGAGAGGGAGGAAGGATCTGGGCTTGAGTCCTAATTCCCGTAATAGCCATGTGACTTTGGGCAAGTCACTTAAACTCGCTGAGTCTCAGTTTCTTTATCCAGACAGTGAGGGCAAACAGCATGTCCTTCATATGAGTATTGTGCAGATGACACGAGATCACGGCTGCAGCATAGGCCTGGCACTGACAGGGTGCTCAAGGGATATTCAGGGGGTCAGCAAAACAGCCCCTACTGGGTGAGGGGCCTCTCCCACCCAGTCCATTTATACTCAGTCAGACACCAAGTTTATTTTTAGAAAAACAGAGCAAAGTTTATTGAAATTTCAAGCTACATTTGGAAAATCAAAATCCAAATCCTGGAACCATACATCAGGATAAGGTGTCAAAAAGTGGAAAGTGTTCACTCTCACAAAACCCGCTACAGACAAGCTTTCTGGGCACACCTCCCAGGCTCCATTGGATCAAAGCCATCCCCTTGTTCATCCCTCATCCACAGTAGGACACCATCCTTCTGTTCACTTGAAAGTTTTCCACAATAATTACAAAACAAAACAAAAAACGTTTTCAAATGACACTGTGAAGCCCAAACTGATCTTCTCTCAACCCCATTCTATGTAGTCAGCACCAGTGAATGGTGGGTTTGGCATTCAAAACAGGACTTCACGTTTCAGTGGACAGCTGGGGAAAGGGTTGCAGCAGCAAGGCATCCGTGGCCGCATTCAGAGGCTGGCCCCCCTCCTTGCCTTTACTCTCGAGTCTTACTTAACCTAAAAGACAAACTGGGTCAACTTGGTAAATGAACACAGTCAAAGACTTAGCCATAAGAGGTAAGGGACCAGTCAATACTCCCAAGGCTGGTTAGGCCCTTCAACATGTAGGTGGATGTGTATATGTATACATCGCTACACTAAGATACAGATCTAGCCCTATGGGTATATATACGCATTTATGGCTATATAGAAAAACTATGCCAATACTAACCAAACAGAACTTTGTAAGCGGTCATCCCAAAGCTGTAATCCCACACTGGGCTGTGCACAAAGCCATGCATTATACCATATTAACCAACAGAAGGCTGACTTGGCTCAATCTCTCCCATCTGTGTCCCCTGCCTTCACGAAACAGAGGAGAAGAGAGAGGTTGCCTCTGCTTAAAACACAAGTGGCTTCTTCATAGGAACAGTCGTTGTCAGGTGAAGCTGTTGAAGATGTCCATGGAGATGAGAAACAGACCCCTTAAACTTTCTGGAGCAAACTGGTGTCACACCTCAAACTACCCTTCTCCTTTGCCAGTTGCAGCTAAGTTGCCCAGGCCCTGGGAGCCCCCAGGGCGCAGTAGCATTAGAGGCTCACTGGCTTGGTGTTACTAGGCCCCATGCAACTCAGCCTCCAGAGACCTGCTCTTGTCAGGGGTCTGTCGCTGGAGTGGACCCAGGTGGCCATGTCCTTAGGACATCTCTTGGCACCAGCTGTGCTAGGTGTAAAGTTCTCCTCGTGAGATGATGCTTGGGGAGCCAAAAACAAACTGGAAAGAACTAGGTAAAACAAGTTTAGTGGCTCTGCCCACCCTGAGGACAGAGCCACTTACACCGCAGAACCACCAGGGGCCTCGGGCACTTGTGGGGATTCGGGAGCTGGCTCTTCAGGGCTCAGACAGGACTGGAACTTCTCCAGCTGCTCTGGGCTTGCCAGGGTCTTCAACAGGGTGTTCTCACGCTCTAGCTGGGAGTTCTTCTCCACCAGCTCTCGGATCTGCTCCTTCAGGATCTCCACCTCCTCTCTCACAGCATACATCAGATGATTCTTCACCAGATCCTGCCAATGAGGGAATCATAACAAAGCCATTCCTTAGCCATCGTGGCCCCTCTGCAGCACCTTTGCTCTGTCATTGGTGTGCCTGTGCTGTCCTTAATGCCAGGGCCCTCCAGCCTTCCCTCAGTGAACTGGTCTGGCAAGTCCAATTCCTCGTTCACCTTTCTCTGAAGCACTTAAACCCTCATTCAGGAGAGCTACATGATTTGGCTTATGCTGGAGTTGAGAGCCCAGCTTTGAACTAGATAGGTTCTCCCCTGCAAGTTTCTAATGACTTTCAAAGCTGGCTGCTGAGGGGCCTTTGGGGTGACACTTCTGCTGTTTGCCAGTGGTTTGCTATGTCCCCCTTTTTACATAAGCCCCTACTGCTGCCGATCCAGATCTGGGGGAAGGGTAGACCTGCAATGCATCCCATACTGTTTGTCTGCTGTACAAATCTTAACCAAGAGAATAAAATTGGCTATTTTAGAGTCTCCTCCCCTCCATATGACCCAGCACATTGAATTGCAGCTGTCCTGCAGCCGGCCAGTTAGCACACAGGACATTGGCCTTGGGGAAAGGTACAGAACTGCCGCATCCTCTCTGAATTTGATGACTGCACTGGGGGCAGGGAAGGTGTCCTTAAGCTCCAGGGCACAATTAAGTGGCTCCCAACCGCTGAAGCCCTAACCCTCTGCAGCCATTGTGGCTGCTCCTTGGAGTATGACCTCTACCTGGTAAGGAGAGGGACAGGGGTGGGGTGCTTCGCTTCCTGTTTCCACCCAACTCCTGACCCCAGTCCAGGCTCTGCAGAGGCACTGCAGTGCTGTTGCATCCAATGAGCTCAGCCCCTTGCCAGCTGCACGATGCACACAAATGCAAGAGTCTGAGCTCCCTGCCCAACAACAGGCCCAGGAGAGAGTCAGAGCCTGCGGCAAAGACCTGAGATGGAGGAGGGAGGAAGAAAGGAGGGAGCCCAGGAAGGGAAGACTGGAAATGCCCTAAAAGGTGCCACTCTAATCAGACTCCACCTCCAGTGCGGATAGGAGGCAGGCTGTCGGCTTCCTCAGGGTTTTGGCTAAGGGCTTTTTCACCCATTCCCTCAATCCTGCCCAGAGTTACATAAGCAGCAGCTAAGTCAGGGGATGAGAATGACGCAGTGATGCCACTCACCATGGCCTGTTCGATCTTGTTGTCTATGGCCACCACGCTGGCTCCGGAGGCACTGCCAAGACAAAAAGCAAAGCGACCCATTACCCACTCGGTTCTACTCTTGAGTACATGGCAGTTGTGGCCAAAGTCCTCCATCTGCCTCGGCTCTTCCTCTCTCTCTCCTTCTCGCCTCCCTGGCCCAGAGTTCCGGACAGTTTGTCCCCAGATCCTTCCTTGGCCCCTGCAGGAAGCTGCATCTCCTCATCCAGGCCGGCTCAGCGCTGCTGCCGCCGCCCCGAGTTCCAACCGATCGGAGCTGCTTGCGAGTCCTGGGGCGCGCAGGCCACCGTGGCCTGCTCGGGCAATATGCAAACAATGGGGCTGTGCGACCCGGGGAGTCCCCCACAGCCGGCCTACAAGGTCCCAGGCAAACCTACCCGGCTCTGAAGCTAGCTAGGAATTCCTTCTCGGCTGGTAAGCTTCCGGCCTTCTCCCAAGCGGCGCACGGCGCTCGGCCAGCCCCCTGCCCAGCCCTGTCTGGTCCTGCCCGCCGCCCCTCTGCCTCCGGCTGCCTCTGCGGCTGCAGCAGCTGGTTTTCACGGCGCAGCGGCCGCAGGGACGCTTCGATGACGGATCCCAGAGCGGCGGTGACCCCCCCCTTCCTGCGTCCCCTCCCCCCCGCCCCTTCCCAGGATGCTGCACCGCGGGGAACAGGGACCGGCGGCACACAGCTCGCTCAGAGACCGGGCTCCTAGCCCAGCTCCGGCCGGCGCCCCGGCTCGGGAGGCGCCGGAGCTGGGGCCAGCGGTTACCTGTTGTCCAGCTTAACGGAAACCACATCCCCTCCAAGCAGAGAAGAGAAGAAGGAGATGGAGAAATTGTGCAGCTGGTAGACCGCCACCTCCATGGGGGTCTGATACATTTCGGTGTTCATGGCTCGGGCTGCTAGGAAGCTCTGGCCGGGTTTCGTGCGGGGCTGGGCGGCTGGGCGGCTGGGTGGCTGCTGGCAGGCTGCGCTGGGCTGGGCTCTGCGCTGGAGTCCGGCCCTGAGGCTAGGAGCGGGGCGAAGGCTGCAGAACGAACCCAAAGCCAAGCAGGCGCTCCAGCTGGAGTTGAAGGGAAGTGACTCGAGGGGTGTCACCTCGTATGTCACAAACTCCACGGCCGCCAGTCCAACCCAGACTCGGAGATATTTTGGCTCCTGCTTCTTTATATAGGAGGAGCCGGCTGCGTCACATGGCGTCAGGGGCCATGCAAATGAGTCCTGTACCGGGCTTTGTGGCCCAGTTAAACCACATCCCCTCCCTGAACCTTAGGCTGGGACTGTAAACAGTTCAGCACTTTCTTGTACCAACTGGCATCTCCAAAGAAGGCTCTGGAGATCGATAAAAACCAAACTGGAGCTGATTTCTAGAGAAATAAGAAATACAAATGCCCTAACAAGAGGCAGAGGGCATTCAGTAAAGAACAGCGCTAGTTTGAAAAGCTCTTCTTCAGGTGGCAGCCAGCATGCCCCCATGGCTTTGCATGCTCTCCCATGTCATACTCCCTGGACACGCGCCCTCACCATCACGGCCTCACCCTCTTCCCAGTCACTGCCCTCTCAGTCTCTCCCCTGCACACATACTTTGTCACCTGCACATTCACTCTCTAATCAACTCAGCTTTCCCCTCACCAGCCAGCTGGCCTGCCGACCTGCCCTGAACCCCAGCACTCATCCACTTGCCCCTTCCTCTGAATGTTCAGGTGTGGGAGTACTTGTCTGTGGACCGGCACATGTACAGATCTGTGACATGCATGTAATGCATGCACAGGTCCATGCTAATCTACAGATGCATATGTATGGAGGAGAGGGTGTCCGGGAGCTGAGGTGAGTGGGTGAACATGTATGGGAGAGCAGCTAGGTGGGTGACAGAGGAGGTGAGGAGGAGACAGGGTATTGGAGTGAGCACTGGAGTGACCACAAGATGCCAGCCCTTTTCTCTTTAGTCTCCACATTCTACTCTTTGAAGAAAATACATTCAACATTATCCAGGATCCCGTGTCTCTATTTTTTAAAAACACAACTTTGTTACTTTTCTTTAAAACAGCGAATGACAATAACACTCCAAACCAAAGGTATACATTTATATAAACGATCCCAGGAAAACACCTGCCCTGTGATGGGCCCAGCCATGCACAGCATTAGAGGTACTTCAGGAAAAACAGACTCCAAACCATAAACAAGATGAGGTGATTGTTCCATAATAAAAGTTACACGTTTCCATTAAAATATATCTTATTTATATTCAGCCTCAAGCTGAGGGAAAAAAAATAAAGGCACCAGAGACTTGAGGTCCTTTTCTTCTGCTCCTTCCTAAGTGAGGCCACCTGGTGGACAAAAGCAGAATTTCCACCAGAAGGAGCAAGAGGGGCAGGGACAGGTGATGCAACCGGGAATATTATTTACACCAACTCAGGACCAAAGGAGAACATTGGGTTCCACCACATATACAACAGTTTGGATGAAGTTAAGGCCAGTACCCATGAATCAGTGCTCCACAGGCTGTGGTCCAAAGAAAGATCCTAACGCAATCATGCTATTGGAAAAGTACTGGGGCCTCTTATCAGCAAAGAAGGTAATTATTGTTTGCTTCAGGACATTTATCTTAACCAGGTGCCTGGCACTAACACCCTGGCCAAGGCCCCAGCCAAATGCAGTCTGAAGGCCTTGATTTCCTCCCGGCTTCCAGGGCAGTTATGCCACTGAACAGCCAACATTTTTGGCTATGGTGTGGTGCTCTATTGGTGGATTCCAGTGGTGATAATATGTGTACAAGAGCCATTATATTGCAAAGTACTGACCAATAGAACTAAGTAAACCTGCTGCACTAGCCCGGGATGGTGTTTTTCTTCATCTCACTTTAGGTGGGAGACAATAATGATCTCAGGACATTCTGTTAACTTTAAGACACAACCTCTCTGAACACGGTGTTTGCACTAAGACATGTGTAGTAGACAGAACAAAGTGCAGGCTATACTTATGGGTCATCAAGAACATTCACTAAAAAAAAAAACCTCTTAAATCAGGAGCTTAACTGGTATCAGAATTCCCTGATATATTAATATTAATTTGCCCTCTGCACCACATAGAGTTTTCTTGGTTCAGAAAGTCTCCGAGCTGACCTTTCATTGGCTTGTTAATTTTTCCTCAACTATTGCTTTCCCCTCCCCCGAAGATTCCAAGGAAGATGATGAGAAGAAAAGGGGACAGAGAAATAAGCTGGGCTGGCAGGGGAAAAACACCACCAGGAAAACAGGGCACAGGACAGAAGTAAAAACAGCTCCTTCAAGAGGGACTCCCTTATGTGGAGACAGAGGCAGAGAAATCCAGGTGGTATGGGAAGGGAAGGCAAAAGGGTTAAGGTTCCCAGCAAAGCTGCATTTGAATTGATCATTAATTTGTCTACGGCCATACCACCCTGAACACACCTGATCTCGTCTGAGTTGTTCATTAGTTATACTTCAATTATAAAAGCAAATTGAGTCTGAGACTCACTGACAATAATAGTTACTATTAATAGAGCATCAGCTATGGGCAGACACTGTGCTGGCTGCACCACCAACCCCAAGGTTTAGGCACTGTCACTATCATTTTACAGATGAAGAAACCAAGGGTCTGAGAGGCTACCTTGCCCAAGGCGGCAAAGGTAATAAATTACAGAGCTAGAACTGCAGCCCAGGGTCTTCCTGACCCAGAGATCAAATCTGTTCCTACTGCACTGATCAGTGGGGCAGGGAATAGGTTTGTTGAATGGTTAGAGGCTTGAATGAGTGAGTTGAGGAAGTTGGTAGGGGGTTTGGAGGTGCCAGAGAGTGGTAAGGAAGAAGAAAGGGTGAGAAGCAGCAGCCCTACTATTAGAGAGGTCCAGAGACTGCCTTTGAGTTCTGCGAGCCTTGGCTTTTCTGACACGTGAGGCAGAGGAGAGCTGCAATGGGTGACTGGAACAATATCCAACTGTCCAAATGAGCTTTATGAGACGGCCATGCTCAACCACATCATTCCAAAAGGCAGCCAAGCAATCCTCAAAGAAAGCTATCTGTTTGGGAAATAGGAGACATTAATCTAACAGGGTGGCTTCCAGAATGGAACGTGTAGGAGAGTGTACAATATTCCAAATCAAGTATGGAGTCTTGGCAGCACAATCACAATGCAGTCAAACTTTGAGTTCCTGGAGCCCCACTCACCGGCAACTCTTAATTAACTCCTTTTTCCCCCTATTCCAGCTTTTAGGAAAATGAGGTCAATAAGAAAACAAGTTCGTATCAAAGATTTAGTTAAAAAAAAAAAAAAAGACTTGGAAAGGAGGTCCCAGGTTCAGCCCAGACTCAGACAAGCTCTCATCCTCTCTACATCTCTGGTTCTGCTGAGTGAGATGTGATCACCCTGAGACCTTATGATCCTCCATTAGGAAAGAATGAATGGATCCCAGGGTCCACTGGCTCCCTAAGGGAAGAATATGGACTTAAATGTCTCTGTAGAAAGATTTTCTGGCCAGGCGCAGCGGCTCACGCCTGTAATCTCAGCACTTCAGGAGGCTGCGGTGGGCAGATCACCTGAGGTCAGGAGTTCGAGACCAGCCTGGCCAACATGGTGAAACCCAGTTTCTATTAAAAATACAAAAAATTAGCCGGGCATGGTGGCGCATGCCTGTAATCCCAGCTACTCGGGAGGCTGAGGCAGAAGAATCACTTGAACCCGCGAGGCGGAGGTTGCAGTGAGCCGAGATCGTGGCATTGCACTCCAGCTTGGGCAACAAGAGCGAAACTCTGTCTAAAGAAAAAAAAGAAAAGAAAAGAAAAAAGATTTTCCAACAACAAGGGCAGGGGAGATAAGGGTGGGTAGGAAGGGTGGGGGTGGGGGAAGGAGGAGGAACCCAAAGAGTTTTCTGCTTAACCCTCAGCACACCAGAAAATTTCTCCACCCAGAATAGCTATGCCAAACCTTGCAGTGAGTGGAAGTTTGTGCTGTACCTATCCATGATCTGATCCAATATTGAGACTCTCAGGGTCCTTGTGTCCCGTGGAAGTGGGCCCCAAACAGGAAACAGTGGCCTAGGCATTCAATGGCCCAGCTACCCCAACATTCATAAATGTTGCCAAATTCTCTTTCTGACATCCCACAACTCACAATGTAGGCTGGACCCAGAGCCAACACGGCAACAGCACCTCACTGAGGAGCCAGGCCCTTTGCTGGCTCTCAGCTGTAGTCTTAAAGGGACATAGTAACAAAACAGACATGGCTGACCCTACCTTTCTCAGGGGCGACCTTCTAGATGGAGGGTGGCGTAATGAGGACAGGGCCAATTCCCTTCATTTCAGGAGGCTTTGGAAACCAGCATATTCCCTTTGAGCTGAAAGAAGTGCCTCAGCATTTCCCATTCATCTTTTCCCCTTCAAAAGCCAGACTGGACTCTCTAGGACAAGAGCCCTTCCTACGTCAGGTTCCCATGGGACAGTAGAACAGAGACTGGGCAAAGTCTGGGCAGCATAACCCCGGGCAGGATCTCAGAGCCCTGATGGCGTTGGACAGCAGATTCAGGGCGGGTGCGGTAGGTTGGGGGTGGTGATGAGGGGGAACATCTCACTTCCCTTTTTGTTACACTTGAAGCACTGTGTACCACACAGCCAGAAGGAAACTATTTATAGGTAAGTCTTCCTTATTTTCTACAGGGAATGTTCCACCCAAAGGTTCGGCAATGTTGCCAGCAAAACACAGGGTCCTGTGTCAGGAGAAGCGGAAAAAGACATGATGCGAGAGGTGCGGGAGAAGCCACAAAGCAAACACTGGGTTAGGAGCTGGAAAAGGAAATACAAAAAGGATATTGAGCACTAGAGCGTTAACACAGTGTTAATGGGATGGTTGAAAAACATCCCTCCCCACTTACTCCTCCACTACGGGCCCCCTCCATCTGAAGCACTGTCTAGTTCTAATTACTTACTTGTCCCTTTTTCTGAAGAGGCTGGAGGAATAAGGAGGCTGAAATGCCATGGTTTAATTTGTCCTTGCTTCTCGCTTATCTTCTCTCTTCCCTTCTGGTTCCACTCCAGTGTGGGAGACTATAGACAGGAAGGCCACTGCCACTTACATAGTTACTTTGGTTTCATGGAAAATCCCCAAAGTCCAGAAGGAGGGAAGCAAGAAGGAAAGACAGAGAAAGAGAAAGTGCCTTGTTCTCTGTGGATCATGTGAACTGCCCTGCATGGCCAGGGCCCAGAGCTCCGAATTTCAGGGGCAGGAAAATGGGGAGGAGAATGCAGATGCAGATGCAGAAGGCGATGATGAGTGGGAGGGAGCCCAAGGAGAATCTTGGTGGAGAGATGGACACTGTCTTGGAAAAGCAGCTCTAGCAATTGATTTGGGGCAAACTCTGGCACAGAATGATGGCAGGAGCAATGAATTGTGCCTTTCAGCTTCCTCCTGTCCAAGGTCCCATGTGAGCATCACAAACAATCTCTGAGTGACACAAGGGATGACGGGCGCAACCAAACCTTGTTTTAACAAGGCATTCTACCCCTCCTGCCCTCACTCAGAGAAGTAAAAAACTGCTCTTGTCAAATCACCTTCATCACCCTAACTTTGGTGGCTCACCATGCTGGGGGGTGGTTTGTTCTGCCATGTCAGCAGGACTGGAAGTATTTATTGGCGACTTATCCAGGAATGCAGTTTAGCTCAGTGGATCTTAAATTTCATGAACCTTGTGTCAATATTTATGCTTGTCTCCCTTCCCCTTATGCCTTCCAGCTGGGAAAATTTACCTCCATAATTTTTCCAAGCCCTCCTCTTATTTTCCACCCTCCCTATTGTCCATCTACAAGCAGGAAATAGATATACCTGAAAAAGGCGGTTGGTAAAACTAACCTTGGTAAATGGAGTCACTGTCCTCCTTTCCCCTGCCCATGCTAGTTGCCATTATCATTTAATTCAATTCAAATCAGTTCAATTCAAAGTTGTATGCTTATTCAAAGCACAAGGCACATTTCAAGGAAATTAAAAAAAGTAAATTGGCAGTACAAATCCAAAATTGTGCTTCCTTCCAGAATATTCTAGGTCTGTGGCCAATTCAGAAGTCTCCCTACTGGTTAGACCTTAGTGAAATGTTTGCTTCAGGAAAAAGCCTCGGGCTTGGGGGTGCTTGGGTTGGGGGGTGGCCTGGGGTTGGGAAGGACCATGCCACTACCATCTGGGGCATCATTTCATGGGGCAGAATGAGGCATGCTTTTCTTCTCCCCACCCTGCCCCTCAACTGGTGCCCACCTAGATAGGATAATGCAGCAGCACGAAACTTAGGGTTTCTGTGGGATCTACCACTCCTTTAACATTGTGGCTGATAGTGCCAGGAAAGGTCTCTCACCCTGATTCCCTTCCTTAACTGCAGGGCTTTGTAAAGCAAGGGAACAAGGCACAGGTATTTGCTTTCTGAGTTGCTAGTCCCTTTCTTCCAAGAAGGTGGTCTTTGTTTAGCATGGGCTCACCTCTCCGTGCCAACTTCTCGATCTTTGTCCTTTAGCCAGCTCCTCTCAGCCTTATACTTATCCCACCTCTTTCAGAGGCAGGTGCTAAGGTTCCTTGCCCTCTCCTACAGACCAACAAGCATCTTCAGGTAGGCAAACAGGCTCCCTCGTCACAGCCCACCCTTTGGCAATCCCAGTGTCCTGCAGCCTTCCCAGGGGCTGAGAAAGAAAGCAGCAAGACTATGCCACTCTCCACATTTATGTGTCTGCACCAGCCCTCCACCAGTCTATCCAGGCCAGCGGGACACTGGCAAGGCCTCTCTCCATCCACTCTGCTCTGTGGAACAGTTCCAAGAGCCGAAATTCCAAGCCATTTTCTCTGGCAGTTGCCAGGGTTACTTTGAGTAGCATGTGAAGGACTTGGGGGCTATTGGCAATGCTTGGAAGACAGCAACCAGGAGGATCTTGTTGGGGATGGGGGTGCAGCAGACGAGGGGCTTGTGAAGAGGGCAGGAGCACCTGCCTCCATTGTGGGCCTCGCTATAGAATGGGTGATCTTTGAAGTGGCAGAGGTTCTCTAGGGAACAAAAGGATGGTTAATAATGCTGGGCTCTTTAGTTCCTTGGCTGTGATGGGTAAGCACTGTGAGCCTCCTAGGGCCCTCGCTTACCTCACAGCAGAGCTATTCACCATGAGCTCATTTGAGGTAGCTCCTTGATTCTCAGTTGTGGGACTCTATCACATGTGAAGAGGGGCTCTGCAGATTGCAAAGGGCCTCTGGCTCTCCAGTCATCACCAACCGCTGCCTCCCACCTTCCAGGATGGATAGAAGGCAGCCTAGCTGGGGTGGGGGCAGTGGCAGGAGGAGGCAGGGGGCACACTATTGCCAGAACAGAAAGAAAAGGAGAAACAGGGCCAGCTTCTCCCTGGGGAGGGCCCCCCAACCATGGGAACAGCACCAGGGATCTCAAAGGAGTGTTGGAAGGGCTTAAGGAAGGTCTCCTGGCCTGGTTTGAGAATCACTGACAAGGAATACACACAACTTCTCGGAAGAAAGAGTAGCATGGAAGCACGTGCATTTGTGCAAACACCCTCTCCAGCCTTTCACACAGTCTAATAATTCACAGATAGCCAGGCAGAGTGGGGCATCCGCCCCCCTTCCCCTATGTTGTCACCTTCCCCATGACCCCAAAGGGACAGTAAGGCCACAAGACATAGCAAGATAGCAATGCAGGACACTCTAGCCCATGCCAGAATGTCAAAAGTCATGGCCTCTGCGCTCTCTGACATCCAGAGCTAGCTGTGTGCTGTGCAAGGGTGACAGGTGACAGGGTCTTAGGGGAAGCTTGAGGTGGTATTCAGATGGACACGGGGGAACCAATTTGAAGCCTCATACTGCATACTGGGAACGGGAAGTCCTGGCACTGCCAGAAGCACAGTTTTCAAAGATATCAATCATGCATTATAATGGGCTCTTTTAAATGAAGGAGAAATAAAAACAAGTACCATTTGTGCACAATCAATCATATGGACGCCTAAGAAATGATTCCCACAGGCTCCTCTTGAGGACAGTTCTAACTAGAGCCAGTCCTGGCATAGAGGCCCTCTGTGACTTGAGAAGTGTGATCTGAAGGGTGGTGAGAAAAAAAAAATCCCTCTCAGTCAGAGCTGTTTTCCAGACCACTACTGTGGTCCTTACAAATGCCACCATGAGAATCATGCCTTTGGATTCCAATGATCTCTCCTGGAGTTCTTCATTTATACTTTGAGGAATGAGAACGCCTTCTTTTCCAATGCAAAAAGCCCTGGGAAGGTGCCATATTCAACACTATCAGTTCAAATACTTCAGTATGAACTAAATTATAGTATTACTTTCAACAGAGTAGTCAGTGGCCAATCAGTGTCAGCAGACAATTGGACACACAGCAGGTAAACCTTGATGGTGGGCTGCAGTGGGCCTAAGGGAGATTGTGGAAAATGCAGGCGTCCTGGGCTGCAGCCCTAGCATGTCTAGTGGAATAGGCGTGGGGCGGGAGAAGGGTATTTCTCAGGTGTTTTGGACGCAGCTCTTTTGACACCAGTCCATGGAATTGCTTTTAGGAACTGCTGGCCTAAAGGTAAGAGCCAAGAAAGGGTCTATCTGAAGAGCCCCTATGGTGCCAGGGGCACTGAGACCCATTTCGTGTGACACATTCGGACGAGGCTTGGCATATTCTAGGCCTGCTGTCTGTTCTGCCCTTTCTTTCCCTCTCACTCCTGAAGGTTTGACCAGAATGTGAGTGAGATCTACTATGAGAGAGATGATCCTGAACATGCTGTGATTTATATTCAAATCTTTGGCAATTTTTGCCTCTCTGTTAAGAGGAACGGATGCCTTTTAAGATACTTCACAGCGGTCAGTGGAAACTCTCAGCCTGGCAGGTCAGGGACATGCGGCGGGGGAGGGGTGGGCATCGTTGTGGGAAAGAGAGAACCCAGCATAGAGAAGGGGAAGGGACTGGTTTTTCTCTAACAGCACAGTTTGGTCAATGAACCGGCCCAACCTCCCTTCTACAGGAACCAGCTCTTCTCCAGCCTTGTGGCTGTCACTGCCCGGTCAAACCTGGGTCAATTCCCAGGTGAGCTGAAGGGGTGTGACTCATTCCCCCCTCAAAAACCTGCTGGGGCTGACTATAAAGACTTGCCAGGATCTCTGCAAACATGCCTGTCCCCACCCTGATCCAAGCCTGGAACTCACCCCTGCCTACCATCCTCACCCCATTCCATTGCTTGTGAGCCCCTCCCTGGCAACAAGGCCATCTCCCCTGCTCGCTGACTCCCCTCTCCAAGGGGGAGTAGGAGGGGAATTTACTGTTGTCTGTGGTATGCATCCAGACTGTCTTTTGGCCTTATTTTATTTTATTTTATTTTTATGTTTAATTTACATTGTTTGCTAGGTTTGGGCTTAAATAAACAAAAGCTATGCTTCTCCCCAAGGCCTAGACTTCCTGGTTGCCTGCCAGCAACAGAGTGACCCTTTTAACCTCTTCTCTTGCTCCTTGAGACATTCAGTGTTGGGGGTGGGGTTGAAATAAAAAGATATTTAGGGTCAAAAACCTGGAAATTCTTAGTGCCAGCCTAAAATAACATCCCCGGCCCTTGCCGGCATTATGAATGTTAAGCACTGAAGCCACCTTACCAAGGACAGGGTTCTTTTAAAGCCCACAGCAAGATTGCAAAAATAAAGCACATAAATGGAAAATTCTAAGTATTGGCATTGATTTCTTTTCTTTCTTTCATCTTCTTTTTTTTAATCTACTCTACAGATGTCTTCGTACCACCAAGCAAAGACAGAAGTGCCCAGGTCTCTGTGGGTGGGGCCTCTGTGGCACGAGCAACCTTAAAGACCTATAGACACCAGAGCATGGTGGGCCTGACCAAGAAGGCTTCCTGCCAAAGCTCATACACCTTAAAAAATAAAAGGAACACTAGCCCCTATGTCCTAGGGATAGAGCTCTAACAGCAAACTAACGAATCCTGGTCAACAGTTCTGACATCCTGTTATTTGCTAAAACTAATAATACCATGGAGTTTGTTGACAGAGTTGCAGAAGAGCTAAAGTAAATATGGAAACCGAGGAACAGCCAAGTATAGACAGTTACTAGCTCAGCAGTTGAGGGGACGAGAGTTTCACAGATACTCCTTGGACATCTTGGGGCACCGGGGACTCAGCACGATTGGGAGATAACCCAGAAGGCATTTGTCATGTCACAGGGTGATTTATCTCCAACAATAGGCTGCTGCAATGATGGGTTTGGCCTACAGAGCTGATACTGAGCTCTCAGACAGACAGCAATGATATGAAAAATTGAGAGGGACTCCCTTGATGCATTTGTGAAGGGAGTTATGCCCCAAGAAACATCACTTTAGTTCCCATTTTAAACGAACGTGTTCAAGTGGGAAGAAAATATGTCAGAAGGCCAGAGTTCTTTTCCACCTTGGCCACTAGCCAGCTGGCGACTTCATGGAAGACCTCTAAACTCTCTATGCTGCTAGATCCGCATCCCTGAAATGGGAGTAATGCCACACAAGGTATGTATGTTTTATGGATACCCTAATGTCTGGAAACATAAACAAATCATTTTATTTATTTTTTTTTTTTACAGATTAAAGATGTCTTTGATGACTTTATAAATATTTACCTATGGACTTTATGGACACCCTGTAGGTAGCATAGCTGAGCTCTTTGGAGAGCGAAAAAAAGGGCTACGTGAATGTGATAAACTCTATGATAAATAGAAATTCTGGTTCCCAAACACCGCTGGCAAAATGGCTCCCCAAGTGAACAGCCCTTTTCACACTGTTTCAAATTCGTCTTTCTAACCTTCTGTCCAGTTTCAATGTTTGTTCTCATGGTTTCACATATACTGCTATGGGGAGGGGGTAGTTTGAGAAGTTGTTGTTAAAATGGAGTCTATATTTAAATTATTCTCCTGAAGGTCCTAGCAATGTTTCCCTGTATGTAGAACTTCTAATTTGCACAACGTTTTGACCCGAAGAACCACTTTGATAGTACAAACAATCAGTAATCAGTAAGACCTCTATTCTTTCTAGCACGACTGAAGGCACAGTCAGACAGGACCACGACTGAAAATGGGCCGTGCAAGGTCTCAAGTGAGCACTGATTGGCTTTCTAGACTAGAATATAAACCTTGTGAGGGCAGGGGCTTATCTTATTTACTACTGTACACCTAAGGCTTGGACCGGTGCCTGGCACACAGTACAAATGCAGTAAATACATGCTTAGTAAGAAAAAAAAAAAAGGTTATGTATGTGTTAGGACTTTGCTAATGGCCTCGTGGAGAACTATAGGCACATTCATGAATTAGTCTTCTGTTAGTTAACACTTTAATTTGGGGACAATCATTGTCTGAGAGAAACTGTGCAGTTACAAACACAAAAGACCTGTGAAAATCAAACATACTTGGGAAACCCAAACATAGTTTAATTGAGTAAGTGGCCGCTAATGACCTGGAAGCAAGGCTCAACCACTTAAACAAAAGGGATAATTCACCCATGTGTGTGCTCCTGGTTCTCCACTAATGCTAGGACTTTGGTCAGTTTCCATCTTTAGCTAAAGGCGCTGGGTCAGTTGGGAATAGGTCACCCACAGTGAGCAGTAGAGGGTGATAAAGC
Source organism: Homo sapiens (assembly GCF_000001405.40). Taxonomy (NCBI): domain Eukaryota; kingdom Metazoa; phylum Chordata; class Mammalia; order Primates; family Hominidae; genus Homo; species Homo sapiens. The sequence continues at coordinate 107,728,547 of NC_000023.11, forward strand.
CCAGGAGCAGGGTGGCCAAGTCTCAGCTGGCACCAATATCAAAGAGGGATTTAGGGCTAGCAGGCCTGACGCTCTGAGTGAGTGGCAGCCATACAGCTGGAATGATGGGAGTGGGGGGAGGACAAAAACCATCTGGACTAAAAATACTCACTAAGATAAAGGAAATTCTCACCATTAATGTCACCCTTGGGTTTGAAGTCTTGAGGTGCCCTGTTAAAATGGAAAATCTTTCTCAGAAGGGGAATTGTTTAGTTTTTCTCAGGGAAGGGATGTGATGACCTGCCTCAGCTTGGTCAGAATAGTGGGAGGGGCTTCTGGGAGAAGCAACCCAGGCTGGCTAAGTATAGACTGGTGGGGTGCTGCCTAGGGTGGGGCCTCACAATGGGTCCTGGTTATCTGGTGGCCTTGGGATTTCAGGGGACAGGCAAATGTGGCCAAATATTGAAGACTCGCTGGCAAGAAACCAAACTGCCTCTGAGTGGGCAGCTTTAAGAGGAGTAGAGTTTAGGGCAAAGGAGATTGTTTTCTCCTTCTGTTCTTGGTAAATGAAAGCAAGCTGTTATGAAGATGTCGTGAGGAGCAGCAAGGCTGCCTTGGGCATATTGGGGATGTTAATCTTCAGTGCTCCCTGCCTGGGAGACCCCGTTTGCTTGCTCATCAAAACATCCTCCCTGGGTGCATCCTCCCCCAGCTCTACTGCCTCATTTATACGGTGGCATAGCTGAGAAATTAACCCCCAGAAGAGTCTGTGGCTGCTGGGGTTGATGGATTCTCCTTCCCTGGGGTAATTTCTTTTTACCAAGAGCCTGCTGCGAACCCAAAGGAATGAGTCTAGTGGGAGAAATTCCAGGCAGAAGGGCAGGACGCTGGAGGAGCTTTCTTTGACCATTTTCTGCTACTTTCTGCTGGCAGTGGCCTTCTCTGCCTGTGAACTAGGCAGCCCTGGCAGCAGAAACAATACTGACACTAGAGCTGGCGAGGGAAGCCCTTGCCCCTCATCACCACTCCTTTTTGCCCTTGTAAAATTCTGGAAAAACCTCAGCCCTGGAGCTCCCTCTAGTTTGACCAGGTGATAGCCAACTCCCTGACACCAGGCAGAGCTGGGCCGACAGAGGGAGGCAGGGGAGTGGGGCTGGGCATCCCCCTCTCCACCCCCGGGGCCCTGTTGTGAGGTGTTGACAGCTGGGAGAGGACCTGAAACCAGTTAGCCTGGGGCTCCCAGCCAGCAGTGTATTTTCATCTTGTTTTGACTGGGACCGTCCTCCCCTGTGTAAACACATCCATGTCAGGGGGAAGAAAATGTAGAACAGCTTAAAATAAGTGGGCGGAATGCCTCCCACTCATGAATCACCAGTGCAGGGAATGCCCCGCAGGTGGGCCTTGCTTTAAGCAAACCTGACATTATGAAAATTTTAACTTAACAAGAGGGCAGGGATGGACAGCTGTTAGGACTTGACCTACCTCTGGGAGATCTCAAAGCCTCATTGGGTCCAAATAATATCAGCAGCTCCCATGTACTGATTGCTTAGTGGGCACTGCGCTAAAGACATTAGATAACGTTAATTTTTTGAATCTTGTCAACGCTGTTAGGAGTTGGGTATTACCTTATCATTAGACCCATTTTGTGGATGAGGAAACTGAGGCTCAGAGAGGTTAAATAACTTGCCTGGGATTACACAGCAAGCAAATGGCAGAGATCAGATGAAACTCCCTGGTGTGTGATTTTAAAGCACTGGGCTGCCTCTAGCTGGAGTTGTGCTTTGTTTTGAGGAGGGCTCCAGGCCCAGCTGCACTCCAGGCAGCAACTGGAACCTGCACTAGTGTTCCTTCCCACTGAACTCCCTTCATACAGCTGCAGAGGAATTTGAAAAGGGTCCTTATCAGGGTCATGGTGGGGAAGGCCTTTGGTGGGGCCTGTTTCTTTCAATTGACTAAAGGATTCCCAAGGCAATTAATTCCCTGGAAGAGTAAGCCCCCCCGGAATGCCAGGATGGGATGGGTCATCTCCATTTCAATTCAGGGACTAGCAGATTGTTTATGGGCAGCTGCTTGACCATTCTCAGGACAGGCCACTCAGTAACTGCAAATAAGTACAAACTACCAGACACCAGGCTGGGGAGGGGACAAAAGACCAGTATAATCCAGTATAAGCAAAAACCAAATGTAAACACATATTTTGAAACAAAATGTCACCAATCACGGTCTGTGCAGGGCTGGCCCCCAGGGTAAACTGTGAAGTAGGAGTCTGTCTTCAGAACCTTCCTGCTTCCTTTTCGGGTACCTTCCTCCTGCCTGTTCCTTTATGCCACCTGTGCCCTCCTGCTGCCTGGAGTTTCATGGGGCCCATAGCTTCAGGGGTGCAGTAGGGGACCTGCCTTCCTTAGCAATGCCCGCTTTAAGAGAGACTCCCAGTCTCCTTCACAAAAATCAAATGTAAATGGCCTTCGGGCCAGCCCTAAAAGACAAATCGAAGAAATTTGTTTGTGTAAATTGTAGGTAATGGCTCAACAGGTTTTTCTCAGTCAGATCACAGGGGCTTTAATCCAAAGATTTCAGTCAATGCTATAACTTTAGTCATACGTGGGGGATGGTAGGGAAAGAACAAGCTGGAGAGATGCAGCATTGAGAGAAAGATTGCTTATCAGTGATGTTCAAATCTTGCCAAGTTGGCCACAATTGACTGTGACTCTAGGTAAGGCTGGCTGCATGAATGTACAGGGATGAATACTACGCTCTTATGCTTGTGCCGTATTCTTCCAGAGCACGGTGGAAAGAGCACTGGAATAGTAGTCAGGAAACTTGGGTTCTGGCCTGAGTTTGCCCCTGACTACCAGAACAAACAACCTGGAAAAGTTCCAGAACCATTCTGGGCCCATTTCCCCTAATTGTAAAATGAGAGGGTTGAGGCTGCAAAATTATATTTATTTAGGTGCTTTTTTGATGAATGATACCTCTATTTAGACTGGGAGCTATATCCAAAGTTTCCTACAACAGTGTCTGGCATATAGTATGTGCTCAACAAATGGATTATGTTGAGTGAAATGAATGAATGGATGGCAAGAATGACTTCTAAGGTGGTTGCTCAGTTCTGACAGTCTCAGTCTCGATCTCCTCAGATGCAGCTATTTGCAACCATGCTTCTTCAGTCAAGAGGCGTTGGCCAAGAGCTGGGTGAGGTCTTCAGGCCCTCGTCCTCAGGACCAGATCATGTCTGCCCCCATGGGGTACAGGGGCAGCCTGCGCTGGGGATAAGCAGATCTGAGACAAAGGCAGCAAGCAAGAGCTTCCAAGAGGTGCGGAAGGCTTGCAGGATGCTAGATGGGGGTGGGGGGAGGGAGAGGGCTGTAGGAAGGGCAGGGTAGGTCAGGAGGAGGAGCCATGGGAGTAACTTTTACATTTTCTGTAAAACGGGAAACCTAGATAACAGAGACCTGATGGGTGTCTGGGCTGAGGTAGGGAAAAGTGCCGAGTCGCATGGTGACTCAAGGTCAGGAGCTGGAATGGGGCCCAGAGCTCTCAAGCCTCTGCTCACCCGCTTGGGACTGGCCCTTGGCTCCAGGCCAGCTCCCTGAATAGTTCCCCCAACCCCCACCCTTCCCCTCCAGGATTTCAGCTTCATAGGCCAATCTGCTTCCTTGTTCAGCCACTGCCTCCACTGCCCTCCCCTCCCCTCCCTCTGCCAAGGCTACATGGAAGCCCTCCCCCAAACTCCCTCCAAGGACTCAGCACTGGGGCCCAGTGCAGTCACCCATTAGAGCTCTCCAAGGCCAGGCCAGCTTCTGGGCAGACTGGCCCCCCTTCCCAGTGTTGCCCACATTCACACTCTGACAGAACTCCTCCCCTCCTTATGCAAAAGGAAGGAGGCTTTGCCAGCGCTACCTTCCTCCCCTTCAAACACACCCCCGCCCTACTCCAGCCTCCTCCATCACCCAGGCCTCTAGGGACACTCCCAGACATTATTCTCAGGTGCCAAGATGTTCTCCCTTTCCTTCCCTACTCTTTCCTTCAGCAGCACCCTTTCACATTATAACAGGGGCTGCAGTTCCAATCCGAACGAGTGAATCTTCAGGGGTGAAACTTTAAGTATTAGTGAGTTGGGAGAGAGAGAGAGATTTATGGGGCAGAATTCCTTCCCAGTATTCTTGACATAACACTATGGAGATAGTTACCTACTCTAGATACTCATTAGGCCAATTCTGGACTTTGCTGCCCTGGGAGTCGGAAGGCTAAATTTCTGGTCCCATCTCTGCCATTAAAATAGTCCATGTAGGCTGAGTGGGGTGGCTCACACCTGTAATCTCAGAACTTTGGGAAGCCAAGGGGGGAGGATCGCTTGAGGCCAGGAGTTCGAGACCAGCCTGGGCAACATGACGAAACGCCGTCTGTACAAAAGAATTTTTAAAAATTAGCCAGGCATGGTGGTGCACACCTGTAGTCTCAGCTACTCCCGGCCGAGGTGGGAGGACTCCTCGAGCCCAGGAAGTCGAGGCTGCAGTGAGCTGTGATTGCACCACTGCACTCCAGCCTGGGTTGATAGAGTGAGACCCTGTCTCAAAAAAAAAAAAAAAAAAAATTATCTGTGTAACCCTGAGCAAATCACTGCATCTCTCTGCATCTGAATTTCATCTGTCAAGTGGGGGTAATCACCCCTGCCCTACCCACCTTGGCAGGACTGTTATGAAAATTAGAGACAATGTGTGCATGTGTGCATGCACAAGTGCACAGGCATGCATAACATAGAGAGAGAGCATGCGCACTTTCTACATGGCAAGACCCTGGACAAATATTAGGGATTATTATCCCTATTCCCACCTCCACTGCAATGTGCTTGAAGTACTCATTCAGGTTACTTGGTAGAGCTCTCTTCACAAAAAAAAATGCCAGTGTACTTTAGGCCTGTCCCTTTCTTCTCTCCCAATTTCTGTCCCTCCCACAAGGCTTGGCCCTTAGCTACATTTGGCCTCCTGCACACCTCCACCCTGCTTTAAGAACATCTCCCACCCAACCCTCATCCCCCTCACCATCCATCCTGTCCCCTCAAGCCTTCCTCCACCAGCTGAGGACTTCTTGCCATGCTCTCTCCTTCTCTTGCTGCTGTGCCGAATGAACCCGTTTTCCCAGCCCTGACCTCGGGCCCTCTCCATCAAAGCTTTAAAGAGGAAGGGACTCTGGGGAGTAATGACTGAACTTGACAATTTTCTACAGAGACTGAGCACAATGTGGAACACCCAGCATGTGCTCCAAAAACACACCATTGTTTGGTTACTTGCGCTGGGGAAGATGTTTGGGGTGGAGTCTGCTTTGGGGCCCCTGAAATCTTGCCAGATAGACAACTGCCTGCCCCACCTCTAGGTTCGGCAGGCACTGCCCGTCTGCTCTTCCCACCCATTTTTCCCTTCACCTCTCAACCCGGAGAATGGGCTGGGCTATTTCATCTCTAGGACCTGCACATTAGAATGTGATTTCAGTCCTCCCTGGCCTAGTGCCACTGAGTTTCTCTGGTCTCACCACCTTTCCCCCAGGGATGAGAAGCTAAGGAGCAGTCTGGGGCATCCTCTAAATTTCCCAGCACAAACAATCAGCTCCCTCTGCAGGGCCACACCCAAGAGTCCTCTCACCTGAAGAAACCTGGGCTTCCCTTCCCAGAACTGAGGGTTTTTGGGCTTTGACCTAGGGGCTGGAAAATCGGGCCCACCATAGTACAGTGTGTATCTTAACAGCTCTGCTCCTATACACAGTGATGACATTCTCCTTGGCTGGAACATCTCTTGCTCTGAAAAATACTGGCGAGAGTGTGTCTCCCAAATTGTGGGGGCAAAGCCCTTGCTTTCATCCAAATATTCCCTCCAGGCTGCATTTCAACCCTCCTCTTCACAAAGAAGGAAATCATAAGCAAAAGGTGACCTTGCTAGATCTTGCCAGGGAACTGGTGACAGGGTGGCAACGCATGGTCTCATTTTTTGGCCCCTGCCACCTGTCTGTCTCCCTCCCTCTGTCTGCTGCTGGGGTCCCATGTTGGCAGGCAAGTTGGGAGGAGATGGAACTCTCTGGAGAGGCCATCTGGGGAAGCTGGTCCTGTAATGGAGGTGAAAAATGTGGTCTTGGGGGACCAAGCCTCAGGCAGGTGAATGTGAAGACTCTGAAGCAAGTGAGGGAAGAGGGAAGTGGCAGGTTGGCAAGAAAGATCATAAATTGTCACATTTTTTTTTACCAGTAATGGTAAGAGTAATAACAATAATAATAGCTACTACTTATTGAGAGTTTATTATATACCAGGCACTGTGCCAAGCACTTTTCACGCATTATTTTATCTATTGTTCACAACTCTACGTAAAAAAAAAAAAAAAAAAAAAAAAAAAAATTGCAGATGACAGATGAGGAAGCAGAACCTCATAGAGGTTGTAACCAGCCCAAGGTCACACAGCTAGAGCTGGGATTTGAGGATCCAGTTGACTCTAGGACCCACACTCTTCCCCCTTACCCGACCCTCACTGTCCTTGCCACAAACATGGGTCCTGTTGCTGAAGGGCTCACCAGGCACCATCCGCCACAGTTTGGCCTCTCAAGGCCCTTGGAGCCTTAGTTACTTGAAATTGTTGGGGTTTTTTTTTTCACTCCATTTTTTCTCCCTAAGAGGCCAACATTCCAATGAGGGATTTGCTTAATAGCATCCAACGGATGGGGCAGGAGCCACACAAGAGTACTGGGCTCTGAATCAGGAGAAAGACCAACTTTGCCCCTGGTCCTGCCATAAAATTGTCATGTGACCCAAGGCAGGTTGAATCCCCTCTCAGGGCCTTGGTTTCCACACCTGTTCAGACGCTATTCTTGGTCCTGGGCAGGGATCAGTGATGTATAAAATGCAAGAGTATCAAAGACTTAGTGATGGGCCCTTGATCTCACTCTCCCCAGTGGAAGAAGGCCTGGCAATTTGAAAGCATTTCAGCTCCCCACCTTCTACTTGGAGATCATGAGTCTGCTGTAGCATTCACCACCACCCTCAGCATTTGATTCCAGGACCAAGTAAGACCTCCATGCCAGGCGACGGCTCCTCACTGGCATGCCCTCCAACCAAACCCTCTCTCACTGAACATGCGTTAATGTCCTTTCCAATCACCCCTCTGAGATGACCTTGCCTTGCTTTTTCCTTCCCCTTCTCCTTCTTCCCCTCAGCACCCGCCCCCCCAGCTGACTATTGCTCTCAGAATGCCATTCTTCTTCACTCCTGACATAAGTAGCTGACCCATACCAACGAGTTGGCTTCTTCCCTGAATGCACAATTCTCCCCTTTAGCTTACTTGGCATCCTCTGGCTTCTTTTTGTTGTGTTTTGTTTTTTTACATATTCAAAGAGATGAAAGGAACTCTGAAGATGAACTAGTTCAATTCCCTGCTTTTTTGGGGTGAGGAAACTGAAATTTGGGTAGAGCCAATGACTTGCCCAAGGTCACACAGACAGGTAGGGACAGAGCCAATACTCTAACCAGGCCTGTGTAATTCCAGAGCCTCTGCTCTTTTACTCTGCTCCCTTGCCCTTTAGGCCTTGGCTCGCCAGCCACCATCACCATCCCCTTCTCCAAGTGTACCTCTTTTCCATGACACACCTCTGAGCACTGATTCTGTTCTCTAATTGTTTGCTATGTGTGTATCTAGTTTTCCCAACAACAAAGCAGCCTGAGTGGTAAGGGGCTAACTCATTCCTCTCACTTGAATGAGGTACAGAGGAGGGAAGTGACCTGCCTAAGGTCACACAGCTCATTAGTGATAGAATTGGGAACAGGATCTTGGTCTCCAAGCCTCCACTTGGGGCCACTCCCACTACACCACAATGCAGCACACCTCTCTTTCTCTCCCCATTTTCCCCTTCTGTGCTGTCGTGGAATTTTACAATCTTGTCCCTTTCTCTCTTCTTTATATTCTTCTCCTCATTCCTAACGTCTGCATTTTTCTTAACAAGCCTGCTGGATTTTAGAACTGGAAGGGACCTCTACCTATCACTTAACAGACGAGAAAACTGAGACCAGGAGAGGGAAAACAGAGTGCCTGAAATCACACAGCTAATTAGTGGCACACCTGGGATGCAAGGCCAAGTCACCAGCTCCTAGTTCAGAGCTCTTCCAACCATCGTCTTTCGGTCTGTGCTCGATTTTTATGGCCGTTCTTGCTTGAAAAGCCCCCTTCCAGGCATGACCAGATCCAGCAAGATCTGAGAGTGCTTGGGCCCAGGGTCACACAATGTCCCTGGGGAAAAGTAGAAGGAGCTGAGAGGCCTGGAACCACCCACATCCTCTCACATCCCACCCCGGGAAGCCCAATTTGGCCTTGCTGAGGGCGGTGACTATCAAGTATGTGTTGAGATAAAGTCATAGCCTCTCCAATTCTCAGTTCATGGCCTAGAGAGTGGCGTCAAAGCCCAAATGGGCTGCAAAACGAGGTCAGTTAACTGTCCTCTCAATGGAAAAATCTTGGAAAATCAATAGCACTTATAACGTCAACAGACCCAGAGACCTTTCCTTTGTTTGTTTTTTCCTCCTGGGCCGGTCTCTCTCACCCACCCTGCTGTGAAGGCACAGACAACACAGGAATCCAGCAAGGGAAGTTGCAAAGGCCAGACCACGGCTCCCAGGGCCCCTGGACCAATGGGGGACAAGGGGCATGCTGAGGTATAAATGACTTGTGAAGATCCTGGCCAAGTCCCTCCTTATTCCCCCAGGCAATGTTATTCAGATTCAAGGCCCTCCCTGGCAACTGGCACCTGGTTGGAAATAACCAGGAGCTACTCAAAACTCCAGTAGAGATTCTGGAAGCTCAACCCTGTCCCAGCTTTGTCACACAGGGGTTTCGCTAAGTAAGAGAACAACCAGAAAGCCAATTAGACACCACCATGGGGTCTTCCTGCACTGGGAAGTGTCTGAGGCTCTCAGACTGGAGTGGATGTTGGCCCTTTTCCCAGACATCCTCCCCACTACACACCATGGGTATATTCTACCTTCCCTCCGTGCACAAAGAGGGTGGCTGCCTCCATGCTGCTTTTTTTCTTTTTTTTCAAACAGGCTTCTTCCTGCTCCCAAACTGGTCCTACTGCACAGCCTGTACTTTCTCCCATTAAATGAAGTCCTTCATATGAAAGTATTGTGAGTTGATTCCAACCTGGATTCATTTGACAAAAATTTATTGAGCCCCTACTTTGTGTCAGACACTGGTAGCTTTTCTCAACGTGTTTTGTGCTATCAAAGACCATTGCACCCCATGAGTTCCCATTGAGAAAACAGGGCCAGATCAATGGCAGATTTGTTGCTACCAGGCAGAGAAAGCTCAGCAAAGAGATGTGAATTTAGGTCCTGGGAATAAGTGTGTGCCATCGTGTGGGTCCCTGGACACTGGGATATTGATGCATGGGTGCCTGGGGTGGTGAGCTGAGAGATGCCCTTTCCATATGAACTCCTACGACCAGGAACAAACACTACATCCCAGATAAGTTGTCCTGGCTGGCTGCAAGGGGCAGAAGTGAGGACAATTCCAGGGCTTTCCATAGCTAAGAAACAACTGTGTCCTCTGGTCTTGGTCCTAGCAGCAGGGATCACTGCCTGTTGGCCTCCCAAGCAAGTCAAGGGACAGGCATTTTGGGAGAAGCAGCCCCGTCTTTTCTGATATGTCCCCTGGGCACCTGAGTTTGGTTCCCTTGCTGGTCAAGACACATCTAAAGCATTTAAAGGCAATTAGGTAGCTTTTCAGCGGAGAGTTTTCCTGGTTAAACACCCCATCCCTACCTCTTGAATGCATGAACAAAATTTTGCAGCTCATCTTCTCCTAGGCAAGGTCTTGGCCCTGTGCCTGCTCCCCCAACCCTGCCCTCTGGGTGATCTTGCTCAAGGACGCCAAGGGAGTTGGTGGTAGAGGCTGGGAGCACAGCCCAGGTTTCCTGGATCCTGGCCTGGCACTCTTGCCACCAGACCCCGCTGCCGCTCCCTCTCCTCTCTTGCCCTTTGTGCCCAGTCTGCACCTCCTGGAGGCACATGCCCCACACCCCACTAGTTTTCATGGGCGAGATGTTTCTATTCAACACCAGTTGGCAGTTCAGCCATATGGGGCATAGGGAGTCTGGCCTTCTGCTGCCCATGGGGCCAGACCTAGGTAAAGGGAGGGGGAGAACAGGCTACTCTGCTGGTCTGGGACCAGCAGAGCTGAGTCCTTAAGGCAGTAATTTTTACCAGGGGCTCTAAGTGTGGCCCATGAGCTTGGCTTCCCAGAGCTAGGGCCCGGTCACTGTGGGGTCCCCCCACCCCCACCCTTGTTGCCATGACACATGGTTCTACAAGTGCTGAGTGGCATTGTCAGAGCCGGATGCAAACGGCACGCAGCAGGGGCTAGCTGTGAGCCAGTTGGCCAGCTGACATTTCAGGGTCCAAAGAGCTTGTGTGTACCGGACAAGCTGTTTATTGTGGTCTTGGCACTGCCCGGCCCTTCAGACAGCAACAAATGCTCCCAAACTGGGAAAGGAGAGGAAATAAGGAATCAGTCGTAGCCAAAGAAGACCTGGACTCTCTTCCCTTACACCATTTGCTCCCTGCAGCTGACATGCTGCTGGTGCCAACCATCGGAAGTGCCCTTCCAAGGGAACTGGAGGGGGCAAGCCCCACAAACCTCCATTCGTGAAGACCTACATCACAAATCGTGGAAATGCCCACGTCAGCATCCTCCTGACTACCCAGAGCTCAGAAGCTGCTGCTGAGGGAAGGTGAAGCAATGGGTATATGGACTAGGAATGAGGAATCTTGATGTCACAAGGTTAACTGGCACTTCAATGCTGCAGGCTCCACACGCACACACGCACACACAGGCGCGTGCACACACACACATGCACCCTTTCAGGGAGATGGTCATAAATGGGCTGTGATAAAAATGGTCCTTTCCAGTCCTGGCCTGGTCCTTCCAGATATACTCAAGGTTGACCACACACACGCTGGGGAAACTGTGGCAAGGGCATGCGTGTTGGAGCATAGGTGAGGTTCACAGGTGAGAAAAAGAAGACCCCACATGAGGGAAGCCAGGAAGCCAGAGTCTGGAGAAGTTGTGTGGTAGGTGGAGCTTCCCAGAAGACATTTATTTAGCCCCATGCCCAAGGGCCAGTCTAGTCTGTCCCATGGCCTGAGGGGAAGCCCTATCTGGGAGGGACAAAATCAGGGATAATGGGTTCAGCTCTGCCTCAGGCTCTTGACTTCTGCACCTCATTCCACCCAGGTTTGTAACTGCCAGGGCTGGACACACATAATTACTGAAGTGTCTTCTTAGTGTCCCGCTTGGGGTCTTTGATCTGTCTATGGTTGATCACATAGTCAGTCCTATCAGCCCAGTGGTGTGTGATCGACACGATTGATCATCACACATACACTGGGCAATGGGAATGAATACCAGCAGCTAACAGTCATTGAGCACCTGCTTTGTGCAAAACGTGGCTCAAAGCACTTCATATACAGTATATATGTTATCTCAATCAACTTTCTCCAGACTCAGGAGGTCAATATTGTATGTATCACTTCCAGTTTGCAGAGGGGAAATCTGAGGCTCAGAGAGGCAAAGTAACTTACCCAAAGTCATACCGGGTAGAGAAAGTGGCTGACTAGGGATTCAAATTGAGGTCTGGCTGGCTCCAAAGCCTGAGCTCATTACGCTTCAGGGCCACTTGTGACTAAGCATATGAGCATGCCCATTTGTAGAAGAAGCCTCAGGGAAGGAAAGAACAGTAAGAGAGATCGTGCTGGGCATGGTGGCTCACGTCTGTAATCCCAGCACTTTGGGAGGCCGAGGCGGGCGGATCACGAGGTCAAGAGATCGAGACCATGATGGCCAACATGGTGAAACCCCGTCTCTACCAACAATACAAAAATTAGCTGGGCCTGGTGGCACACGCCTGTAGTCCCATCTGCTCGGGAGGCTGAGGCAGGAGAATCGCTTGAACCCGGGAGGCGGAGGTTGCAGTGAGCCAAGATCGTGCCACTGCACTCCAGCCTGGCGACAGAGCAAGACTCAGTCTAAAAAAAAAAAAGAGAGAGAGAAGATCCAAGAGCTTGGCTGAGGTTGAAGAACCATGACGGTGAAAGAGTGGGTGTACAACAGAGGGAGGATGGGCAGCAGAGTGCCCAGCAGATGCCAGAAGCTAAGATTATCTAAGTTTGTGGCCTTGTCCCTCTTGGTAACCCCCATAGCAACCAAAACTGGTGTCTGCCATTTCACTGGTACTCATTCAGCCAAACTCTGCTAAAGAATGAATAAGCTCAACATGGCAACCTTGGGAAATACACACAGACCAAGTTACTGCCTCCCACTTGGTAAGACCCAAGCTTTAAAGTGAGTTTCCCCAGAGTCCGGGTCACCAGACATTACTTAAGCCCCAAGCACATGACAGGCATTGGGAGTAGGGAGATGAACATCACAAGGATCCTGCCCTTGAGGTGTGGCCAGGCTGGCAGGGGAGATGTTAGGTTTGCCTAAGCCATCTCCAGGGGTCTACTGAGGTGTGGGCTATGGTTAGGGAAGAGAATGAAGCCCCTAGACCTCCTCAGGGATGAGGTTGTTGCCTTCAGCTCCCAGAACTCAGCACTGCCACTCACAGAACTAGGCAGCCCCACTGGCATCTTTCTCCCTGGGGTTGCTTCTACAAACGCAGCTCAGAGCTGCCTTTTGGGGCTATGCTGGCCACTTTAGCTGGCAAATTGGGAGCCTGAAATGAGTGAGGACTGGGAGAAGGGGCGAAGCCACCGTAGATCCCCCTTTCCCTTTCTTTCTTAGTGTGTGGCAGTGAAGCCCCCTCAACCACACCCCAGCAAGGGGAGAACAACTTTCCTCAGAGCTCTCCCCCACTCCCACATTGTCTCCTCCCACTCTGGGAAGCCCAAGGCTTAGAGAAATGAATCCAAGTCATTAACTAATTAATGAATATGGATGGCAAAGTTGCTGAGGTTGCTGGAAAACACCCTGTTGCCGCCAACACACACAGCGCAGCCAGGCACCCGCCTCCCACCATGGGCGAAAGGAGGCTAAGGAGAAACTATTGGACTGTATCTTCCTAAGGCTCTAGCTGCAGCAGAAGCGCCCACAACGCAGCAGCCCCTTGCTCAGTGCCTGGAGACCAACTCATGGGTAACACATCCCTTTGCAAGAACGGCCTCCTCCAATCCAGCTGGGGCAGCAATCTGCTCACTTGCTCAGCATCAAGGGTACTCTCTGTGGTCCAAGGAATTCTGTCTGTAGGGCTAGCCCAGTGCAAAGTGCAAGGCTGCAGGAGATGGATGGATGGAGATAGGAAAAGGGGAGAGAAAAGGAGAAGGAGAGACTGAGAGGCACACACAGCTGGCAAGAGCCCATCTCCAGCTGTTGGGCGGGCTGTTTCCTTTGATAAAGCACTTGGCAGTACTCCCAGTTCTGTAGTTTCTGGCCTGCGAAAGCACACCCGGAGCACGAGCCTGCCTGTGGGAGGACTTCAGCCTTGCTTTGTTTTCTTTCTTTCCTTTTTTTAAGCTTTAGAAAAGGCCCCTCCCCTCCCAAGGAACCTTGTCCCTCCCCCAACACCTCGGCAAAGTGAAGTTGCACCAGCAGGTGATGTGGGCTGGGCTTCCGGGTGCCTTCACAGAAAGTCAGTGCCACAGAGCCATGTTAAAGGGCTTGGGACGGGTGTGCAGTTAAGTCTCAGCATATACTTTCAGGCACATGTATTTGAGAGAGAGAGAGAGAGAGAAAGAGAGAGAGAGAGAGAGAGAGAGAGAGAGAGAGAGAGTGTGTGTGCGCGCGCGCGCGGTGTTTAGGAAGGGGGGAGGGAGCGGGGGAGGGAGGGAGAGAGAGAGAAAGAGAGAGAGGGAGAGAGACTGAGTTGTGTGTGTCTGAGAGGCTCTGCTTGTTTGTTGTGGTTGATGCTGCCTTCTGTGTGGCACATCACCACTGTTCTCCCCGCCGAGGCTCCTTTCAGCTCACTAATGCTTCCCTGGAAGGCCTGGGAAATAGAGGGAGTCCCCATGTCACAAGATCACACAGAACAACAAGCCTCTCTGCCCGCTGGTCTTCTGGCTTTGTGGAAGTCCGTCTCTCCCCCTTCACCCTCCTTCATAAAAGGAGCAAGGGGACTTGAAGGCATCCAAGGTCCCTTGCAGGGACCAGAGCCTGTAATATGGCAAGTCTGCCTGCCCCCTCCCTGCATTTACAGTCCAATGACCCAACGGCCCCAGACCCCAGACAGTTTAACCAGCCCACGCACGTCCTCCCTGCGAGTTTCCCAGATTCCTGAGGGGAACCTGATCCCGCCCTGGGATCAGTATGGGCTCTTCACATCATCCGCGAGAGATCCCTGCTCCTCGGGAGCCCCGAGAGCAGCGCCCGTTCCCACAGGCTGCCAGCCCCACAGCACCTGTGGTTGGGAGGCGACCTCCCAGAGTCAGTGGTGAGGCCGCCCAGGGAGAGGGCCCTGTGGCCGGGTGGGAAACACGAGCAGAAGCGACAGAACTTCCCCCTGCCAGCCCAGGCTGCCAGGATAGCCCTGGACACTGCCCCGTCTGACCCGCTGCCCCACCACGCCCATCCAAGGCTGGAACCAGAGCGGCCCTTGGCCCTGAGCTACGGGAGAAGCCAGTTCCGAAGAAGAAAAGGCGGCACAACGACAAACACAGCCTGGGAACTTTGCACCAGCTTCCACACTGGAAGGCCTCAAACGTCCCTTGTTCCAAACAACCCCCCATACCCCCAACAAAAGTATTTACCTCATGAAGAAAGGGAGGGCGCTAGACTCACAGAACAGACAGCAGAGCCAGAAGGGCGATCATCTAGTCTGACCCTTTCATCTTACATATGGGGAAACTGAGGCCCACAGTGAGGAAGAGACTTTTGCTGGCTAGCAGAAGAACTGGCAGTAGAAGTCAAGGTACTTCCCCAAACACTTCCAGGTCCTAGCCATGGTTGAAAGAAGATATACCAACCTGAGGCCCAAGCAGGTATTTCGGGCCCCAGAAGCAGTAGTCCTGGCTCCAGAGTTGGATTTGTGAGCTGAGGATGGCCAGGATGCTTGTGTGGTGCAGGGAGCACTCTAGACCCCTTTACTTGTCAATAGACATGCCTGTTGACACTGCTGGGCCAGGTGGGCATCACATGTAGGGCTCGATGTCAAGCCTGAGCTGGATTGAAGACCTTTGCTCTTCCCTGCCCTCATTCTTTCTAGAGTGCTCTTCCTACCCAGGGCTCAAGCTCTGGAAGGGAGGGGAAGCATGGCCCTAGTTTTTCCACTGGTTGTGGGTGAGGGGGGAATCAACAGGGGAACAAACCCAGGTCTGTAGCCTTTACCACTCCTTTGGGATTCAGATCCCACCTTGCTCCTTCCCAGTCCAGATGTAGTAATACTCCACTTGAGGCCCAAGTGTGTAGCCTGAAATAAGTGCAAGAGAAGTGGGTGGGTGGGAGTGCCCACCAGCTTTGAGAAGGTGATAAGCCATGGGAAACTTTCTTAACATTTAAGCCTACTCCGTGGCCAGACTGTAGGTAGATGGTAAGGTTCACTAAGCTGACCCAGGTATGCCCAGGCCAAAATTAAATCAATCAGGTCGATCGATTTAATACATGCTCAAGCCATGGGCCAGGGCTGAAGCTGAAGCCACTGGTACTGCTGCCCTGCCCTCTCTGACATGGCCAACCTTCCAATACTGCCAGCCGCTAACCCTTCACTATAGCCAGTGTGGAAATAGCACACTATGTTCTGAGATAGGGTGACCTGGATATCTGGGAGAAAATCCATTAAAATAAAGAGCTCAGGCTGGGTGCGGTGGCTCACACCTGTAATCCCAGCATTTTGGGAGGTTGAGGCGGGCGGATTGCTTGAGCCCAGGAGGCAGAGGTTGCAGTGAGCCGAGACCATGCCACTGCACTCCAGCCTGGGTGATACAGTGAGACTCCGTTTCAAAAAAATAAAAAAAATTTAAATTTAAATTAAAAAAAAGCTCAGCATCAAAGAAAACTGTGCCTACTACTTTCCATACTTACACACATGCTGTGAAACCTATTCTAACCACTTTTATTCTTGTTCTTGTTAATGACTGTGATACACATGAAACACTTAGAACAAGGTCTTCTTTGGCCTTCCACACATGAAATTCTGCACCAAGATTCCAGACAGTTGCAACTGCCACCTAATTCCTCCTAAAGCCAGAGCCCATCATTTTATAGGATATTTTGGTTTGTGCTATTTTGCTCCTGTGGATGTATTCCTTTATAATTGTTCTTGAGTGATTTTTTCCATGTATATCCCATCTCTCTAACTTGACCCAAAGCTTCTGAAGGGTGGGAAGCAGGCTTTTGGTGTTCTTTTTATGCTCCCCTCCTCCCTTCTCCTGTGGCACCCAGTACAGTTGTGTGGGCAAGAAGATGGTCTCAATGGTGCTTTTTCAACTCAGTAATAACAATTGGGGAGGCCAGTATAATTTCTGAATTCATCTGCAAAGTGCATCCAGTGATGACGGAAATCTGCAGCTGGATGTATCCGTTGCAGCAAAGAAAGAGCTATTCTTGAAGGGAGGGCCACCCAAAGCCAGCATGTGAGTTGACTTAACCACCCCCTCCCTGTCCCATCTTGATGAAATAACAAATAAGTAGTTGGGACAAGGGTGGGGTGCCTCACATCAAGCAGCCATTAAGCCTAGGAGCTGGACATTCCATTCCATCCCAGCATCCTCTCCTCTGTTTCATCCATCTCTTTGGCAAGAGGATTTTAGGCTGATTTCTAGGTTCCTTTCCAGAAGTGGCAGTCTCCCCGAATCTGGCCACTTGACTACATCAGATCCAAAGAGAGTTACTGATAGGAAATCACTTGAAACTAGATATCATGTTTGTTCATTAATGTGTATTAGCATATACCTTGTTTATGGGTTTACCTATGAGAAGATACAAGGGGACTGGTTTTGGTGGTGGACACACATTTATGGATGGGAGCTGTGAATAATTAGGAATACTTTACCTAAAATACCCTTCAAATCAGAACTGTCTCTAGTTTGTACTTCTCTCCTGCTTTGCAAGTTGCTTTACAGACTGACTAGCTTGAAATTTTAAATTTCTAACATGAAGAATACAAAAGTAGCCTGCGACCTATATTATAGCTGAAGACTGAGAATTTAGCTAATATCTTGAAAGAGAGAACCACTTACTATTAACCAAGTCATTAATTAGGGTCATGTTTGCACTTCAATTGTCAGCTCCAAACATCCGTTTGTTTAAACCAAGGTCACTTTAGTTTATTACAGTTATAGCCACTGGTGAGATAATCTGCTTAGATTTCACAAGTATGTGTGAATTGCCTACCTCAGCCCTTATTTTCACAGAATAAGAGTTCTCTTGAAGGCACAGGGTCAGAGTAAAGAAAATAAATGATTTTCCTTCTCAATAGAACTAAAAACAAGGCTTTAATTAATTCACCAAAATTCTAGGATTGAATATCTATATTACATTTCTTGATGATGTTAAACTGTCCAAGTGTGACCCACAGGATTCCCATTGATCCAAGAACAATCTTTAGGCAGACATTTCATTGGCTTGGAGATTGTTTCCCAATCATTGAGCCCTGCAATTCTCACTGGTGGAGTCACCCCCGCTTTGTTGGAAGAGACTGCAGGTGGCCTGGGAGAGGGGGCACCTCTCTCTGTATCTTATGAAACAGAGAAAGGAGGGACACATGGTACAAAATATCTCCCTAAGAAGGAAGAAGCAGAGGCAAAGAACTAAGGAGGTCTGGGAGTGCAGAAAAGGGAAGAGGGGCCAAGACGGTTCTCCCAGGCAGGCCCAAGATTGAGGACAGTCCAGACATATACACTCTCACTAGACAGACAAGACAGACAGACACACACACACAGACATACACACACACTCATGCATGCACACACAGGCAGGCACACATACCTCCTTCACATATGCCTTGGTCATCCTGACTCTCCAGGAGTACTACTTCCATATACAGGATTTGACTCAGATAGAGTCACACACAGAAGAACACCAACCCTCCCAGATGCTATACTTCCAGCTGTCCCTTCACAAACACAGGTAGGCCCCCATAAGTATATTTACCATACATTTTTCCATACCTTTTTTGCATACAGCATAACAGCTGTTTTTTTACGTACACCCTCATCACTCCTCAAGTCCCTTCCACCCACTCAAGTCCTGACATATGTACGGAGTTACACATACACACATTCATGTGTGTCCTCCTTCCCAACAAAGGCAAAAGGAGTCTGCGCTCAATACATTCTTTGTTCTTTCTTACTTGGTGGATTACATTTGAAGGAGTGACTGGACAGCTAGGTGAACTGGATAAATACTTTTTCCAATGTTTCTTAGCATGATGGAAAAGTCCATCAAGGACATTTGAAATCCCTCACAGAGTTCACTCCCTTGGCCTATAGACAAGACACCAGTGGTAACCTTTAGTGACTGCCAAAAGCTTCTAAGATTCTCTTAGTCCTGCTATGCTAGCTGACCTTTGCAAGGAATCTTGGGTATTCCAAACTAAGAACATTTAGTATAAGAAACAAAACAAAAACAAAATCTTTCCCTGATGGTTAAGAACAATATGAAAGTATCTGTCCAAATTAGCAGGCCTGGCCTGCGGCAAGATGGTGAAGAAAGAAAAGTTGACGTGAAAGCCCACTCCATTGTGTGTCCTCTTGCAGCTTGCTTAGTCCCCCTTATCACACACGCCCTGGGACCACATCTTGTCCCCTGCCAGGCTTACTCTGTTCTGGCCAAAGACTCCTAAAACTGGGAAAAGGACTTTTGGATTTGACTAGAAGGAAGTCATGGGGAAGCTTAGAAAGAGAAGTGGGTCTGTCAGATCTAAGCAGAATGTAGTGTGACATCTAAGTGGTGGGCACTGTGATCTACGCAGTGCAGTGTGCACAGAAAACCTAGCGACCAGTGAGTTTTTACCCAGTCCCGCTAGCCTGCCCATTAAAAAGTTCAAATGTGGCTTGGCTGAAAAGCAATCAGATCTGTTATTGACACTGTTTCATTCTGAATAGCACAGAGGACTAAAGGCTTTCTTTACTTAGTTCATTAGTTAGCTAACAAGCATTTTTCAAGCACCTACTGTGCATGGAGCACTGTCCCAGACACTCGGCTGTTGCCGTTGCTGCTCTGCTATTGAATTTCTAAATACAGGCTGTTGCCAGACATCCAATTTTCTGAGTGCTTGCTCTGACAGGGAACAATGACTAATGAACCAAACATCAGGGAGGGCCCTCTGATCTCCAGCACAGAACATGCCCATAAAGGCAGATTCTAATTTGTTCAGCAAGCAGCTGCCAATTCTTCTGGGATCTTAATTACCTGGAGCAGTTTATGTGGGTGAATCCCCTTGGGAGAGAAACCCTGAACCCTGTCTTTCTCATACCCTATCATACCCCAGGCCCTATAAGTGGCTTTAACTCTCAGCCACTGCATATGTGTCCAAGGTCCAGGCCACAGCAGTTCACCAGATAGGCATTCCAGGCACTGCCCACGGCCTTCTTCACACCCCTGCACACACACCCCTGGACACACCCCTTCACACATGCACATACATGGAGGGAGCTGTATGTAAATAGTGGAAAACTCAATGGGCTGCAAGTCAAGAGACAGGAATTTCAATCCAACTCTGCTTCTTCTCCGTGTGACCTTGGGCAAGACTTTTTCTATCTCTGGGCTTCTATTTCCACTTCTGGAAAATGAGGGGCTGGACTAGATAATCTCTATGAGCCTTTCCAATTCTAGCACTTGAAATTCTGCTCCTCAGAATGAAATGAGACTCAAGTGAGCTGTGTGACAAGATCAGATTTGTGGCGTGGGGATGAGATAAGGTAGGGCCAGTGGTCAGCTCAGAAGCCCCAGAAGTCACCATCATGGAGAAGGAAAAATCGCTGCCTCCTTGGGTCAGCCCTTCCCAAAGTTCCATACTGCTTCTGAAATGGTTCACAAATAAGGCTGGTGGATCTGGGGCACGGTGGGATCTTCCTCCCTTCTGCCTCATCTCCCTCCCCTTTCATTCCTTTTATAACCCTTGTTCCAACTCTTGTTCCCTTTAACCAGCCCATCAGCTCACACCGACTAGTTCTCTTAGCAAACTCTTCAGAAAGGCCAGCGATTAAATGATCTCAAGAGTCTCCCGAGTCTGTAAAATGTAAATAACAGCCCCTGCCCTGGCGGCCTTCACAGGCTTTCCAGAGGATCAAATAAGATAGAGTCTGTGAAAGTGCTTTAGAAATTGTCAAGTGCTATGCAAATGCGAGGGATTATTATTAATGATGGGTGGGGAGGCAGCCACATGATGTGAGAAGCAGAGTGCCAACCTGTCTGCTTTGCTTACCATCTTAATTGGGTAAAGGCATTGGCATTGCCAGCCTATAGCCAGCTTGTAGTAGGGACAGTTATTTGCTTAGCATCCTCCCCTACTGGACCCCGTCTGCTAGCAGAGGGCAGAGCCAGAGGGAAGAGGAGAAAAGGACAGGACAGGTCAGGTGCGGTGGCTCATGCCTGTGATCCCAGCATTTTGGGAGGCCGAAGCGGTTGTATCACCTGATGTCAGGAGTTCAAGACCAGCCTGGCCAACATGGTGAAACCCTGTCTCTACTAAAAATACACACACACACACACACACACACACACACACACACACACACACACAAATTAGCCGGGCGTAGTGGTAGGCACCTGTAATCCCAGCTACTCAGGAGCTGAGGCAGGAGATTGATTGAACCTGGGAGGCAGATGTTGCAGTAAGCTGAGATCACACCATTGCACTCCAGCCTGGGTGACAGAGCGAGACTCTGTCTCAAAAAAAGAAAAGAAAAGAAAAGTAAAAGACAGGAGGACAGGAGGTGGTTAATTCTGATATGGAGAGAGAAAGGCCTAGAGTAGTGATTTTTTTTTTTTAGAAACAGGGTCTTGCCAAGTTGCTCAAACTGATCTTGAACTTCTGGCTTCAAGTGACCCTCCCACTTTGGCCTCCCAAAGCACTGGGATTACAGGCATGAGCCACCATGCTTGGCAGATTTAAAATAGAATATCACATAGAAAATCCAATTTATAAAACAGACAAAAGCAGAGCTACTCAGGGTGAAGTTGGGGTGATGGGCATGGGGTCCCACTGGCTGAATCCTCCACTTGTCCTTGAGATCACTCCAGTGGCACACACTGTAATTGGGAGTGTTGAGCAGGAGCCCTTGCTTAACACCTGGTGCTCCCAAGCATCTCCAGGGGGCAGCCACAGCCTCGACGCTGGAGGAGTTGGGGTGCAGGGCACAGAAAAGGAGGGAGAGAATGCTATACAAAGGCAGACAGAGTTACCTACTCAGCAGCTTCATCGAGTCTCCCCACAACAGGCCTACATCCTCCGGTTACCCTAGAATGGGGTTGCAGCTTTAGCAATCGGTACTGGAAGGCCTATTAAAAATGTGGATCCAAGGGGGGCATGGTGGCATGTGCCTGTAGTCCCAGCTATTTGGGAGGCTGAGGCAGGAGGATTGCTTGAGCCCAGGAGTTCGATGTTATTGTATGCTATGACTGCACCTGTGAATAGCCACTGTACTCCAGCCTGGGCAACATAGCAACATAATAATAAAAATGTGGATTCAGAAACGGGTTAAACAAAGCTGTGGGCCAAGTGGATGTGAGCAATACTCCTGCTTTCTCGCTTAGTTTTTTTTTTTTTTTTGGTGGTGTGGCGGAGTGGGGAGCAGTTGCTCCCTAGGGTGAGTCTGCTGAAGCAGCACCTTCCACCTGTGGTCCCACCATGAATAAGCATCCCTGGCATGGTGAGAAGGCAGAGGCTAAAAGGAATTGGCCAGACATCTTCAGGTGGGCTCAGTGGCCAGGCAGGTAGAAACCTGACACCAGCTCAGAAGCTGAGCAGAGGAGGAATGCTGGAAGTGGCGGGCAAGAAGGCAAAGCGAGGACGGCGAGCAAAACTGCAGACCCAGCATCACAGGCAAGGGGCATTGGGCCTGACCAGGATTAGAGCCCAGAAACAGGAGACAGAACAAGGAGAGAGAGCTGGGGAGTTGGGAGAGGGGGCGGCTGAGAACAGCTCCCTCATGAAGCACTTGCCCCATTTTCCCATGCTCCCCACCCAAGCAGGCTCAGCAACAGGGCACATCTGACTAGGCAGAAACTGATCAGATACCGCAGGTAGGTACTTATTGGAGGCTCCAAGCTGGATAGGGGTATGTATGCCCAAGACTTTCACATAGCCAGGAGATGGGCAGTAGCTGACTCCCTGAGGCAGACGGCACAGTGTCAGGGATTTTGTTAAAGTCATGGAAACTGGGAGGATAGAATCATAATTCTAAGGTCACCTTAGAGTAAATTATGCTGGCATTCTGGAAACATCTGCTGCTGGTATTTCTATATTATTAAAGCCATTTACAAAAGCCCAGCATCTTTCTCAAGGAGATTCTTATTCCACATGTGTCTTCCCCTGATTCCTTTTCCACATGTGATGGCCTAGAGCTACTTCTCAAATTACCCTGAGGTAGCTGCTCCAGAGACATGTTTGCTGTGCCAAGGCTGAGCAGGAAATGGGTAACCCAGAGCAGAGGATCAGCAGCAAAAGCCATTTGTGCTCGAAGGAAACAAGAGCATTTGGAATTCCGGTGTGCTTGGGTGGAGGGGAAGAGGTCGTTATGTTGACCCAGACAGTCTTTGTCCCCTTTCTTCTGCAAAGGAGCAATGGGACCATCTCGGAAAATGTGTTGGATGAGAGAATCACTTGGCGAGGGGTTACTTCCCCTGCGTAAGCTGTGTGAGTACAGACACCGGGAAGGAGGTGGGGAGAGAGGCTCCTGAGGGGCCTAGAGGGGAACAGAACTCAAGGAAGAAAGAAGAGCAAATGAGCCAAAAATAGCTTTTCAACAGACCATTCGGAAGGACTGTAACCCTTACTCTGTAAGTGGTTGGAGTTCCTCCCTTTAACCGAGAATGGTTTTGCTATTACAAGTAATTGCCTCATGCTTGTGTTCTCAAATATTTAAAAAGTCAACTGAGTCAGGTATGCACGAGGGAGGATTTCCAGTTTCTTCCCTACATCTTCCGTAAGTGCCTGCCTGGCTGGTCAGGGGAGGGACCAGAGGCCTAGGCCTAGGTAGAATTCAGCTACTGCTCTGCAGGCTAAACTGGGGACTTCACCTAGACAAGATTTTCTCAGTTCCCTCTACTTAAGTCAACCAGATTTTCAGGGATGGCCTTACACATAGATGGACAGGGTGGCTGCCTGCGTGGTATGATTTGAGGGGATAAAGGTCAAAGGCACCATGCCCCAAAACTCAACTCTACTTGCCCTAGGCTGAGCCTGAAATCCTCACTTTGCTTACTCCTTTTGAAGGCCCAGGTTTAAATAAAATTGCAACTTGGGAAGGGGAGCACATTCAGTTACTACAAGCTGTTTACACCTCAGCTGGATTCATCATATCACATTCGCATTAGCAGAAAGTAAGGCCTCAAGGCCATGGTTAAGAGGCAGGAGATCAGGAAAGTTTTGGAACATGAGCTATCATCCTATAGTTGAGAGTCCTAAGCAGCGGCGGGGGGTAGCATGAAGAGCTTGTGCTAGAAGGGAGAAGGAGTGAGAAAAGGGAGTATGAAAAACAAAGCCTACACTGTTCACCATCTGTTTTCTGAGGGATGAGCTTGATTCCTCTATCCAAGCTGAAAGTGGTTCTGATTTGGCAGCTAGGTTTACAACAAGGGAGACACAATCTCCTCTCCAGACTGAGGCATTTATCCAGAATTCATACTAACCTCTTCCCTCGTAATACAGGGACTTTGTGCTGGTGAGGAGGAACCAGGTCTGGAGCCTGGGTGGGATTCACTTTCCCTACTCAACTTCAAGGCCTGGCATGACCCATCCCTTGCTTCCAGAGGAGGGGAATGGTGAAAACAGTCATTAGTTCTTTGTTATGGGTGGTGAGTTGGGGGGTGATCTGCCTCCTTGGCCAAGCTTCCTGCCCTGGAGACAAAGAACAAGGAAGGGAAGCACAAAGAGCTATGCCTGGAGGTGTGGACTTTCTCGTAGCCTGTCTCAAACAATGAGTGGGGCTCCCAAAGAAGGCTGGTTTTGATTTTTCAGCTGGAGTCCCTTTGCGTTGGAGAGGTTAGGAGCCACCTGGATGGATGAGAGCCCTAAAGATGGATCACTGCTGCCCAGTTTAGATTCCCCACGGACACCACTGGAGCCTAATGAGGTTGCCAAGGGAGCTGGTCCGGCAGCCTTGCAGAGGAGAAGGGGCAGGAAGAAAAGACTCTGTCCCAGGCTCAGCAAGAGATCCCATAGCCAAGATACGCACAGCAGGCCAGAATGTAAAAATCAATTCACAAAGACAGCAAGAATTAAGTCTAGACAGAACCCAACTGAGTGAATTTGTTGGTCTCTGTGGGCTGCAGGAACCAGAGAAGCCCCATCCACTCAGGTTGCCACTAGCTTCAGCCATGGTGACATGGCATCAGCTGCAAGCCTACTGTGGCTGGCTCAAGGGCCTGGGACTTGTCCCCTGGGCCTCTAAATGCCAGGCCAGGAGCAGTACAAGCCTCTCCTATCCTTCCCTTTACCTACTGCTTGGCCACTGACAGGGTGCACCTGGCTAGCTCAGCTCTGTTTTCTTAAGTGCTTGCTGAGCCAGAGAGGAGAGAGGAGGGAGGATGGACTCAGGGAAGGGAGGAAGGGCCAGGATGCTGGCCTCCTGAGGTAGCATAGATTCCCCATGAATACACTGCTGACTATGATAGGTAGCAGTGCTGCCTCTTCCAATTCTAGCACTTCTGGGAGTCATTTCTCAGCTCACACTTCCCTCCTGTGACAGATACATAAATCCTTGGCTGAAGAGGCTGCCGTGCCCCTTCCTGTTTCAGATGTGATTTTCCTCAGATGAATTGCGCCACCACTTTCAGACTCACATGGGTCAGACGATCAGACCAGGCATTGTGATACAGCCATCAGGTTATAGTTAGGAAGAAGAAGGGAACTATCGATTTCCTGGTAACTCCTTGGATCTGTCTCCCCAAGTCAAACTAGGTACCATTACGCAGACCCCTTAGGTCTTCATGGACAAATCCACAGCATCCACAACCATATGACATATTTCAAAGACACACAGAAATGACTTCAGTATGCTTGAAAATCAACTCCCAAGTATTTCTAGGTGGCTTTTCCATTTTGTGAAATAGCAGTGGCAATGCTTGGTCTCAGCTTAGCTTCTCCCTACATCCAGTTTCTTCTAGTTTCTGTATACTCCAGGGGTGCAAGCTTATTTTCATATCAGCCCAAATAATTAAGAAGGCAGATCTACTGAAAAAAGTTAGACCCATGGTGCAATTTCTTTCTTCCTTTTTTTTTTTTTTTTAAGACGGAGTCTTACTCTGTTGCCCAGGCTGGAGTGCAGTAGTGAGATCTTGGCTCACTGCAACCTCCGCCTCCCAGGTTCAAGTGATTCTCCTGTCTCAGCCTCCCGAGTAGCTGGGATTACAGAAGCGTGCCACCACGCCTAGCTAATTTTTTTTTGTATTTTTAGTAGAGACGGGGATTTCACTATGTTGGCCATGCTGGTCTCGAACTCTTGACCTCATGATCTTCCCACCTCGGCCTCTCAAATGCTGGGATTACAAGCGTGAGCCACCGCGCCTGGCCTATCATGGTGCAATTTCAAAGCTAGCTAGACATGATGTTTCTCCTACATTATCTCTTATTTTGGATTATCCATGCCACATGTCCTATGTTACCCTAGCCATGTGAAACTCAGCCATACTTGGATTTGGAATCCATTTGTGAGTGGGTAATTTATTTTTGAAAAAACTTTCTTTATGCACTACTTGGGCTGGTATCAAAGTGATCCTGCACCCCAGAGTTCCCAGAAACTAGCTAGAAGGTCGGTGGGGGGCAGCCTGGAATTTTGTGATTGCTATAGATAATCCACAAAATGGATAATGAATATAGGAATAATCAAAACTCTACCCAGATACAAGAATGGGGCTATGTGGGTAGGCAGCTAAGAGCAGAGGCTGCAATGAGTTGCTAGCACACAATTTAGTATCATTAAGGAACAAGCATGACCCTGGATGCTCTAAATAGGAAAGAAGCTTGTAGGAACTATGAAGTCGTCTTCCTTCTCTATTCCATGGTCATTGGCCACTAATGAAATCTTACACAGCTACAGTTTCCTGTAAAACAGCTAGCTTGGGGGTTAGGGCAGGTGATTGCGTCCTCTGCAGTTCAGTTAACCCATTTATGACAGAGATTGCAAATTTTTTTTCGTGAAAAATCAGACCTTGGCGATAACCTTGAGCAGTAGGATATAAATAACTCCCACAAGCTTAGCGTTCCAATAATGGAACACCAGGCCTAAATGGGTTAATTTTGCTCCTTTCCTAACCTGCTATCTTGCAAATGTGTGTCACTGATCAGAGGATGGATTTGGGTGACTGGCTAAGGGCAAAGGTTTTCATGCCACAATCTCAGCTGTTACAGAGGACAGAATGAAATCTCTGGTGGATAACTTGGACATTATCTAAAAGATGGAGAAATGAAAGTTCAAACTTTTTTCTTTAAAAAAATGGATTTAGCTAATTTGGAAAGTAAGACCGACAAGGGATGGGATAACTACAATTTAAGCATATTAAATTTATTAAGCATAGGAAAGCTGGAGGACAGAATTAGGAGGAATAATGTCAGAGAGCAGAAGTTGTTAAACACTGGAATGTATGAACAAAGGACTTTGTGGTATTTCCTTTCTTGGAGGTGTTTGAAGATCAACTGTCTCTGCTTGAGGCTTTTGCTAAAAACTGTTCAAGGGACTGGCCAACATAGGAAAGACACACAAGGCTCCTGAGGTGTAACCCAGACAGAAGGCAGGAGACCAGACCCAGAACCTTCATCGTCTTTCTGCTTCTCTCCAGGGCTTGCCTTCGTGAAATCCACAAGGTGAGCCCTAGGAGGAAGCAGGACTAATAATCATGTTTTGTATCACAGGGAATGGAAAGAAGTGGACCAAACATATTTACACGCAGCCTATCATAAACTCCTGGTAGAAGTGGGAACTCTCTTGTATAGTCTGATTTCGTACACATTTCCCACCAAATCTTATCCGAATCTGTCAGGAAATCAGAGCAAGTCCATGTGAAATTGCCACAGTGACATATTTCCTGTCCTTCTACTGTGACTTTGTGCATTCAGAGAAATATTATAACCTCTTGACTTGCTTCCTGGAAATACCTCCCTTAATTTGGGTTGAATAAAGCCCGTGAACAATGCCAAGAAGAAATCAATGGAGGCTGGTGAGGACAGACCCAGCAATTCTCCAGTGCCTATTTCCCCATGTCTGCCAGGAACGTGGTAGAGACAGTGCTTTCAACCAAGGGAAAGGCCTGCTGCTAATCTGGAGTGTTGAGTGTCATGGGGCAGAGCAGGACACTGGGGATATAAAAATAGCAGGTTGCTCTTACACTTGGAAGAAGGCTGTCAGAGGGGGACTTCAAGCTAGGTATACATGGAAAAGACCATCTCAAACCATACTGTACGGCTCCTGTTACATATCTTCTGGCCCCTCTTGTCACATGTCACACGTCTGCTAACACACAGTGTAGTAGCATGTTCTTGACTCCAGTTACTTGTCTACCGTTACTTGTCTACCACTATCAAGATTTTTTGCCATATCTGAGTATTGTTGTTTACTTAATATTTACTGTAAATTAACTTTAAGCAGATTCCCTTTTTAAGAAATGCCTCATCCTTAGAAATAATATTTTTTGAGACCATGGAGTGGATGTGTTAGCTGTATATTCCCCCAATACATGTTAAATAAATAAATAGCTATAAAAATAGAAAAACAAAGTTAGTCCACGTACCACCTAAAATCATCTTGCACACCACCAGTGTATGTTTACCACATTTGGGGAAACAGTGCTCTCTGTATAGTGCACACAGATGGTCCCCACCGCCAACAAGCACGGCTTTATTTCCTTCTCCAATGTAAAGCGGGCTGGGCTTTAGACTGCTGCAAATGGCCAGGATACAGTCCTGAGCCTGCCTCCCTCCCTCCTTCCTCTCAGGGCCAGGGCACCGGCCGTTATTATTTTTCTCCTTTCAGGTGACAGCCCCAGCCAAGGCTGGGGTTTGCAACAGAACACAAGGCCCTTATTCCTGGTCAAGTGTTCCTTCCCTCGAGCTATTTCCCTTGCCGAGAATTCCACACTGGACTTCACTCAAGTCGACCAGTGCCCTCTGTGGAGTGGACTTCCTCTGCTTTAGCCCCAGGGGCTGCATCAGCTGGAGTGCCCCATGCCCACATCAGTAACCTGCCTGTCCACGCAGAGCTCACATAGGCCCCTTGGAGCACGTGGTGCCCCCAGCTGGGAACTCAGTCTTCCCGGGGAAGCCAGGGGCCACTCCTCTCCTTCTAGAATCTGTTCCCCGGTGTTCAGGAGACAAAAGAGGCCTTCAGTGGGAACAAGAGAGGAGGGACCAAAGCATTCTGTGGGCAAGATGTGTGCTGATTTTGACTAAACAGACGGACAGTCTAACAATCAGGGCCAACCAACAAGGGAAGTGGCTTGTATGTAGATTGCCTTCGAGCTGAGGCAGCGTGTCCACCCTCTGGGAGTGCTTTAGAAGAGATTCTTGTAGCAGCTGGGAAGTTAACATCCTTCTGTGGCTTACAACATATTTTGTTGTTGTTGTTTAACAGATAATCATCCCTAATCCCTACCCCACTCCCCGGTCTAATGTGGGAGGTCACAGGGTCTCTGGATACAGAGTCCTTAAAGGAGTGGAACTGCTCTGAGGGAGGCAGGGCTGAGGCCAGGAGCTCCACCCACCCAGCCCACAGGTCTCCCCTGAACATCCATCACCCACTTGGAGATGCCTTCTAGTTAGGAGGAACTTAGCTTGAAAATTCTCTGGTGAGGAGATACAAGCCAGGTGATGAACAAAACACTACAAACTTTAAAAGAAACATATAGATTCTTATTTGCAACCTTGTTTCCAGATGTAGCCCATATTTGGTGAGGGCTGTGGCACAATCTACCTCTCCTCTTTCTTTTTGTCCTCCACACACTCTCCCCCTCCCCTTCCCTCCCTCATATTCACCCTTGCCTCTGCTCTCTTACCCCACACTCTCTTCCCTTTCCCCCTTTCCCCTCCCGTTCCCACAGCCCCTAAGGCGCCAAGGAGGACCCTAAGGGTTCTTTGAAAACCATTGTCCTGAGGGAATTCTAAGAGCCCCTCCTTTAGGAATCTATAATTGATTAAGATTAACTTCCAGCCTGGGCAACATGGTGAAACTCTGTCTCTACAAAAAATACACACAAAAAAATTAGCCAGGTGTTGTGATGCACAGTCCCAGCTACTGGGGAAGCTGCTTGAGCCCGGGAGGTGGAGGCTGCAGTGATCTGAGATTGCACCACTGCACTCCAGCCTGGGTGACAAAGCAAGACCCTGTCTCAAACAAACAAAACAACAACAAAAGATTAACTGAGTGGCCAGAAGTCACCCAAGAAATTATTGTTGAAAGAATGAACAGAGCCAAGAAGAAGGAGGGCTAGCAGGGAGGGAGGAGACTGTGCAGTAGTGAGCACACTAGGGCTGTGGGCAGGTGTCTGGACAGGTGGAGGGAGGTTCTTCGTCTACTCACTCTCACCATCACACTTTGCCCAGCAGTGTAGATACTGGTGGTTATGTGGTTGGCGGAGCACATTGTAGATGATCTGTGATATAGGGAGCCCTGAGATATCATGCCTGGCCTGGAAAGGCACTCTCTGGTTAATGGAACGTCACCTGTTATGGCTTAAGAGACTCTCACCATGTAATCCAGAGAGGGATGACTGATTTTGATGGAATTTTAATGCAGTGAAATGTACCAGATATCAACACCCACCAAGCAGATTGGCTTTTGGTAGCTCATCTGTGCATTATTTGGGGGAGAGTAGCTGTATATAGCAGCAGTCAGATTCTCAAAGGGACCTGCACTGAGTCATGCAACAGTGGGCCTGGTGAGAGTGGGGATTTACCAAGAAAGGAGGTTTTCAGAAAGAGGGCCAGACCAGTCTCTCTTTGTAGATTCGCTTTTTAGATCTGGACATCACTATCTGAAAATCCCTCACAATTCAATAGAGAATTTCTGCAAACACACACGTAAAGAACTCAAGAAATGCATTGTGCGTTCAGTGCTGGCATTTTGGGGCACATGGGATCACTGGGAGACATGTGGTTAAGGAGCTTATTAACAACTGCACATTAATGACACCTCCAAACACCCAGATTCTTGTTACTAATCCGTTCCAAGCCCATCATCCTTGATTTTTTTTTTTCTTTTTTTGAGATGGAGTCTCGCTCTGTCGCACAGGCTGGAGTGCAGTGGCGCAGTCTCGGCTCACTGCAACCTCCGCCTCCGGGGTTCAAGTGATTCTCTTGCCTCAGCCTCCCAAGTAGCTGGGATTACAGGTACAGGCCACCACGCCTGGCTAGTTGTTGCATTTTCTTTTTTAGTAGAGACAGGTTTCATCAAACTCCTGACTTCAGGTGGTCCACCCGCCTTGGCCTCCTAAAGTGCTGGGATTACAGACGTGAGCCACTGTGCCCGGCCCATCCTTGAGTTTTGAAAATCGACCTCAATGTTCTGTTCAGCTGGGACCCCCTCTTGGGGTCATGACTCTTATCCAGGTACTACCTTCTCATTCTCTTTTTTTTGTCTTATGTGAACTCCCTCTCCCTGCCCAATACCATTCTGACATTCTGGGGTTCAGTGACTTATTCATTCAAGTTTCCATGCATCCCATTCTCACATATCAAGACTTTAGAAACATAGTCTTCCAGAATATCTGCGTTGAAAGAGACCCTAGAGACCATCTTGTCTCTCCCCTCCCCCATTTTGTAAGTAGGCAAAGCAGCCCACAGAAGGGCAGGAGTTACTTACTCAAGCTCAAGCATCAGATTGGTGGCAAAGTCTGGACTCGAACCCAAATCTTCTGGATCCAAATCTGACCCACTTTCTACCACCTCGAGCTGTAGCTCCTCCAGGAACTGTGCCTCCTCCCCAAGCTCTGGGTCCTCCCCGAGTTGGGGTTCCTCCACGAGCTGGGGCTCCTCCAGCCTTTCCACCTTCATCTCACAGCTGCCCAAGCCTTGATTACCTGGCTGGGGATGCTTCTCTCCTTTCTTTTAGTACAGTGCACTCTCACGCTCTGGCTCTCTCCTCTCTTGCCTGCGTTCTCTCCCTTTCTCTGTAGCTGCCGGGCTAGGGTGGGACAACTGGAAACTCTAGGCTTAGAATAAAAAGTGCTCAAGGAGCCTCAGGGCCAGCCTGGGCTGGCTCGGCTGTGGGGGCGGGAGGAAATTCACGGTCCTGAGTGTCTTCAGGAGCTCCCAGGCCCTGAGGGAAGCCTGGAGCTCCTGGGGCAAGTGCTGCCCTCGGGATCTTCTGCCGAGACCGGGCCAGCTTCCTAAACTAACTCCCAGACTGAAGGGGAGGGCCGGATCCTCCGGGAGAGCCCAGACGGCGGCTCTGCCAGCCAGCCCCTGTGGTTGGAACTTTCAAAAAGACCAATGTTTCAGCAACTGATTTCTTTTCCAACCCGAACAGCAAGCCTTTCTGTCCCCCTTGCATGACTGTGGCTGTGGCATGCAGCCCCAGCCTGAGCAGAAGCAAGATTCCAGGGCTGGAGCTTCATAACACCCAAATCATTGGTCAATTCTATTAAACAAAATCAAATTTAAAAAAATCACCATTTTTGGCATCAGGTGTACCCAAAGCTGGTCTCCTGGCATGGAGATGTTGTGTACCTACTGGGATGGGATGCTGCACAGCCGTCTAGAGACGAGAAGTCGGAAGATCATTGGATCAGAAAATCAGGAGACATGGTTTCCCTTTGCAGCTGGTCACTAATTGGCTGTTTGGTTTGGGGCAGGTACCCACCCCACATTGGGCCTCAGTTTCCTCATCTGTAATGGGAAAGGGTCAGGCAGATGGCTGAGAAAACTCCTACCAGTTCTGAGCCTCTGTGTCTCCATCTAAGATGCACGTGGAGGTACAAGGTGTGGTCACCAACCCTGAAAAGGGAGGGGCTCAGGAGCTTGAAGAGAACGTCCCCAGGCCCATTGTCCTCTGAGATCTTCCCCAGTTGCTATCAATGCCAGTAGGGCAACTTCATGCTTTCTGTGGGTTTTGATCTCTGGTAAAAATTTCAAAGTTCTTCACAGTTCCCTGCTCTCCCCTCCCTGAAGAAGGGAAACCAGAAGTGTTCTCAGTCATTTATACCTGTGTGTGAATGAAGAAAGTTGAGAGAGCAAGCCTTGACAGGGAGAAAGCTTGCCAGGCTGGGTTTCAGGTGTCATCTGGCTCTGAGCAGAAAAGGGTATGTGAGTGACAGAGCAAGAAGAGGACTGGTGAGAGAAGGATTTTGTGAGAGAGGGAGGCAAGGCCAGCCAGATAAGGTTTTGTTCTGGTACCACATTTGACTTGGCTAATGCTAATAAAGAGACACTCAGTGCTTTCTAGGAGTGTCCTCTCACTTCACTTTCCCAACCACACCACCACCAATTTCTAGTGGTGGAAACTGAGGTCTAGAGAGATTGTCATTTGCCAAGGTGGTTGTCTATTAGACGCAAAGCGCCTGTGCTTCATGATCACATACTGGCTAATGTCCTCTGCTCCTTGGTGGCCTCTCCAGGGCCTTGTGAGGGCAGAGAAGCCCATCCTAGCTCCCCACAAGGGCTAGAACTTCCTGCCCCTCTGAAAGAGGGACAGGGAAAAACAGACTGGGACCCCATCTCTCTAGGATCCTGGCTCCCCAGGACTGGGCTCCTGCTCAAAGGCCCTGGGGCACACCTTGCAGCTAATACTAGAATATACCAGGAAAGCCTCCCACATTTAAAGAGGAGATGGAGGACATAGAATTTTGGAGACATGGCCACTGCTGGGGGTCAATTTCAAGTGCAATTTTCACGCATTAGTTCTTTCTTCTCTTCACTGACCTCCATCCTATACACCTGGCAAGTGATGAGCTCTTCACAGTCTTCCTGATCCTGATTTTCAGCTGATCCTATACACCTGGCAAGTGATGAGCTCTTCACAGTCTTCCTGATCCTGATTTTCAGCTGATGAGCCATTATGACCTTTGGAGAGTCACTCGCCTAAATCAAGCCTGCCTGATCTTGGCAGTGAGAAAATTTCCCTGCTCCTAATCTGACAGGGCTTCAGTGAGCTGGAGGAGCTTCAAAATCCACATCTTAGGGCATTAGCAGTGACTGGGTTCATTTTGCCTTTCTGCTACTGATTTTTGGGCAAGAATCACTCACAGCGGGGCACTTGCAGTGCCCCATGTCTTTACATAATGAATTTTCTTTTGTGGATTTTCTAATTCTGGGTGAAGTCCCGTTAGCCTGTGTTCTCCTGACTTCCTGCACTTTTCCTTCATTACCATCAATTGTAATGATGTTGCTATTTGTGTAATTACTATTTGATGCCTGTCTCCACCACCAAATTGTAAGTTTCCTGTGGCAGGGATCCTGCATGGTTTGTTGTTCGCCACTGTACCCCTTGTATTCAGTTTGTATCCCCTATATCTAATCTTGTTTGTGTGCATGAAGAGGAAAACATTCTCCTCTGCAACAAGTACTTGGGGTGGGCGGCCTTACTCCAATGCCCCCTGCAGAGGAGTGTGCTCTAAAATTGTTAAAATGTAGAAGATGGGGGGCCCCCTTGAGACTAATTTATCCAGGAGACAAGAGAGCTGAAGGATGATAGAAGGGGCCCTACCAGCTCCTCAGTCCATTCTCCCACACTATTCCAGTTACAGGAGAATGTATGCTAGTTTTACTGACTTATCTCCAATGGAAATTTCATTGACATTTTTATTATAAAAGTATTTTCATGAAAACACCTTCACCTTTCACACATACACTTTCTTTTTTCTTATAAGCACCTGGTCCTGACCCCTTTGCTTTCCCCACCTGTCTGTCCACTTCTGACCATGGTCCTTATAAAACCAGGACTCTCACACTTTTATCCAATTCTTTATCTCTACTGTCATCAGCTTCCCCATATGTATAAACTACATACAACATCCCTTGGTAATTTTGTCCACCTCCTCTGAATGCTTGTAGTCAGGAAGTTCTTTCTGCTATCTAATCTCAATTCTTCATGCTACAATGTAGGCCTGTTTCCTCTTGTTCTCTTCCCAGTGTGGTTGGGAAACAGCTAGTCACCATCTCTGAGTTGTGACTTTTCTTATATTTGCTTTAAAAAAAAAAAAACCTGCACATGTACTTTTTTTTTTTTTTTTTTTTTTTTTCTGAGATGGAGTCTTGCTCTTGTTGCCCAGGCTGGAGTGCAATGGCACGATCTCGGATCACTGCAACCTCCGCCTCCCCAGTTCAAGCAATTCTTCTGCCTCAGCCTCCTGAGTATCTGGGATTACAAGTGCCCACCACCACACCCAGCTAATTTTTGTATTTTTAGTAGAGACAGGGTTTCTCCATGTTGGCCAGGCTGGTCTCGAACTCTTGACCTCATGATCCACCAGCCTTGGCCTCCCGAAGTGCTGGGATTACAGGCGTGAGCCACTGCGCCCGACCTGTACTTTTCTTATATTTGAAGACTGACCTCTCTTCTTGCTCTCTACCACCTTCCACCCCACCCTTAAACTTCTTGTAGATCAATAATCTTAGTTCCTTTAGCTTTGCACCACAGGTCCCTAGAGTCTCATGTTTGCCTCCTGTTGGCTAAACAAGTCCTGTTGGCCTTTTCCTGACACTTCACAATCAGATTCCCTTGGATCACACTGGGCTGTTAGCTATCACCTGCCTTGCCATTGTGGAGGGCAGGTGATACCCACCATTTGAGAGACAGGCTACCTCTCTCAAATGAACACTCTTTGGGGCCCCTTGATCAGTTTATTTGTCCTTCCCAGAAGAAAGTCTAGCCTCCCTCCCCTTCTGCATTCAGGCTGTTTTTCAGCCTGGACAAATATCTGATATTTGCAGCCCAGAAAATTTACACCTTGGGCCCCAGAAAGGAGTGCAGCCTGAAGCTCTGTGCCCCACTGCCTCTGTACAATGAGAAGCATTCATAACTCAGAAGGAAGCCCGCAAAGGGAAAAGAAAACCCAGACAACCCCCCATTTCTTTTTCCTTTACAGTAAATAATTTACAAAAACAAATTTTCCTTCCCACAGGCTATACCCACTTTATCACTGGTCCCCAGGGCTAGCCTTTACACATTTCCTACTGTCATGGACTATTTTTAGCAAAGGATGACATTAAATACTAGTTACCCCATGAGCTTCAAACTCATCTCTTCCTCTTGTCAGAAAACTGTCAGTCCTCCCCTTTGGGACCTGCTGGCTACTCATGGCCTAGAGATACTTCCAGGGGTGTGAGAATTACCTACATGGTATGGCTTCAGTGGTTACTCAGAAAGTCTTCTATCTGAAAATATCACCTTTGGCCTGGGTCTGATTATTAGAATTTCAGTGCTAGAGACTCATTTCTTTAGCTCAAATATAACTTCTCCAGGAAGGCTTTTCTGACCTTTTGTTAGACTCTTTGACAGAAGTCTATTCCTTTTCTCTCTTGGCATCTAGTTTGTAACTATGCTTCATTAGCATGACTATCTGGTTAATGCCTGTCTCCCCCACTCCGTTGACTGTTCTATGACAGCTTTCGTGTGTTTCCCATTATATCCCCAGTACCTGCCACCAAGTCTGGCACATGAAAGTGTGCAATGAATATTTGTTATTGACTGAAGGTATTCATGAACTTAAACATGAATTCTCCAGAGTACTGGTGGGAAAGGATGTGGGCACAGGTGTGTCCAAGACACTAACTTGGGGAGAGGGTCCCAGAGAGTGAGGATGGAACGTTGACCATGAACAACACCTTTCTTCCCCAGTTTACCTGAGACTGCTTTCTTTTTCCACCCTGGTTCTGTCTCCCTTCCTGTCAGCTTGAGGCTTCTTACCTTTCTCAACCTTACCCTGAGGCTTTCATTTATAGGGTATCTGGGAAACAGGTTTGACCAAGGTGCAAACAAGGTTAAAATGCCACCCTGCAGGGCCATCAGCAACTTTTTTTTCCAGAGAGACTTGGGTGGATTATCTATATATTCTCGTGGTAGCACCTTGACACACCCCTGCTTCTGTTACCCACCTCAGAAGGGACCTCGTGGAGACTGAAGCCAGAGATGCACAGATAGGAAGCCACAGCCCCCAGGCTCCTCTGGTGCCCACCCTCGACTGCACCCCTTGGTTCTACCCTGCTCAACTCTTCTTGTTCTGCTGGGCTTTCTCCAGGATAAGAGGGAGGTGCCTCCCTACTCCCAGGCCCCGAAGGCCTCTGCCTCCCCAGGGCTAGCCTAGGTTCCCAAGGAGAGGGTGCTAGGGTCCAGTTTGCCCTGTGTCAGAGAGGGGCAATGAGGGGAGGGCCAGAGTGGGCCTTTCTCTCTTGTTCCTGAATCAATGGTGACTCCGGGTTCCAGCCCAGAAGGAATCAAAAGTGTCCCCACACCAGGCCATCCCCTTCCTACTCAAGAGCCCTGCTGGACTAGCGAGGTTCTCCTCCCCTCTCCCAATCTGAAAGCCCTGCTGCTTTCCATCGTGCCAAAGCCAACCCATTCTTTCAGGCCCTGCTGGAAGCGGCCGCCATAAAGAGACTCTCCCTTCCTAGTTTGCTTTGGCACCATCCAAGCTCCAGACCTGCAGACCCCAGGAGCAGTAAGCTTAAGGCCTTTCCCTTAAGGAGCAGGAGGCTGGACCAGGTTTGCAAAGGCCTGAGGTCACGCCAGTGCTTTGTTCCCCACTGGCCTTGGGTGCAGCTGCTCCACTCCTTCCTGCTATACCCTCAGCTCCTCAGAGCCCTGGTCCTAGACTCTGACGTCTCCTGTGTCCTCTACAGTGATTAGCAGGATAGGCATTCAATAAATCCTCAGTCGGTACTCAATACATAGCAGGCCCTTGGTCAATAAATGATGGATTGATTAATTGAAGTGCTTGGTCGCTTTGGTACAAGGCCGAATGAGGTGCTGCCATCATTCATTTCTCTGTGCACCTGGGCAGGCAGATTATGTTGCCTTAAAACTGAGCAGTTCTTTTTCTTATTATTTATTATTTCTTTGTTTTGTTTTCTTTGTTTCTTTTTCTTTTTTACTGCTACAGCCTATGAACCAAAAAGGCAGAGGGGATAGGGAGAAGAAAGGGGCTGGAAGCCTGGGAGGAGTCCCACAAAGGAAAATTCTGCATCTCCATCTCAGGTCCCCTAATTTTCACTGGATTCTGTGATCTGGGGGACTAAGGGTGCCAAGCTCTTCTGAGCCCTGAGATGGTAGTCTTGAGCTTGTCCAAGAACTTATGAGTCAGCTTTGGATACAAATCATGCCTGCTGGTAATTCCCACACCACCTTTTTGACTTTGTTTCCCTGTTTCTCCTCTATTTCTTGGAGTGGAGAGCAGTGTCCCCACCTACTCACAGCCTGTGAGCCATTTACTTGATGGCAACACACGTGAGACAGGCTGGGGAAAAGACAAAGGAAGAGAAGAAGAGGAGCTATTGGTTTAGTTACAAACCTTGAGCTAGTGGAATATTAGATTGATGGGGGTATTCTGTGCTGTAGATAGTCACATTTGTTATTAGAGAAATCTGTCATAGAATCTGGCAATACTGACTTCACTGGGGGCTCAGTTCCACTAAGCCGGTAATGTAATTTTCTGAATAGGCCAGGCAGAGAGCTAAGAATCACTGTGAATTCAGGTCAACCTGGGGACTTTGAGACTTCATGGAGCGTGGACTGGGAATTGGCTCTTGAAAGGCCTTCCTTTAAACAGCTCCTCCACCTTCCGGTAAACCCTTTCACC
The DNA here is from genome assembly GCF_000001405.40 of Homo sapiens. Lineage (NCBI taxonomy): Eukaryota > Metazoa > Chordata > Mammalia > Primates > Hominidae > Homo > Homo sapiens. Next base: position 107,766,427 of record NC_000023.11, read on the forward strand.
TGGTGTCAGTCAGCCTGGAGTTTCCGCCCCCCCCCCAACAACTCCCCCCACCCCAACCCACCCAGTAGTTTCTGAACCAACAAGCAGATACAAAAGGAAGAGGGACTTCTGCGACCTGTTCTGGGGCCTCTCCATGCACCACGCAGTTTCTTTAGCAGTGCATTATCAGGTGATAGTAGGTTCCTCCCTGCCACCTCCAAAATGCCTCAAGCCAAATTAAGTCCACTCCAGCTTGCCTGTCTGCTTACATTTACTGCTGAGTGTGGAGGCTGAGTGTGGGACCGGGTCAGGCTTTGCTGCCTGGCATTTGCCTCTGAGCAGACTGCTTGCCTGACACTGGGGAGAGTAGGCTTTTCCTTGGGAAGTATGATGAGCTTGACTTGGACCCCCAGCAGGCTTCCAAATGCCTGTCCCCAGGGAAGCCTACCACTGAGCAAGCAGAAGTGTGATGCCTCAGTAACCTGGCTGTTACATAAGATGTGCTAGTTATGAGTCAGGGCCCTCAGGCTGGCCTAGGCCCAGCCTAGTCTGGGAGTGAGGCTAAACGGCAGCGCTGAAGGAGGGGTGTCTTGGGAGTGGGGTAAGCCAGGAAGGAGCTGCTGGAGTCGCTTCCTTTCCTCTCACTTCTCACCCCCTTCTTCCTTAGGGATAGCTCTAGCCAATCACCAGCCTAGATAGCACGGAGCGGGAATCCTGGCCAGACCCCTAAGCTGTGAACAGCTGCTCTCCATCTCCCCTGAAGAGAAGATTAGAAGAAGTGGGTTGAATACTCAAGCCTATTCTGTGAGTAAAGTCTTCCTTCGAGGAAGGATGGGGAAGGTCCCTGTGTGCTCTGTCCATAGGCAGGGGCCCGATTTCTGGCTGGACCTATTTGAGGAAAGTGGCTCCCAGGAGAGGAAGGCCAATGGTGAGCCTGGATCATCAGTGATCCAGCCTGCTTCCAGCTCTTGTTTTCCCTCGGGCTAGTGTCTGCACAATGGGAAGCTTCCCATTCAGTCTTCTGTGCTGGCTGGGATCTTAATGCCTCTTATACAGTTTCCAGAAGGGCCACAGCTACTTTGGGGCAGGAATTTTCAGCTAGAAGGTACAAGTGAACTTGCCTTGCCTACTGATGAAATTCCCTCCTGCCTGGAATAGAATCGAGAAAAGCTTGCTTTCTGCTCTCACAGATCGCATCTTAGCCCCACTCCAACTCTAGTTAAGCTGGATTTCAGCATGGTAGACAGTGGCCTCCAAAAGACATTTTCCCTGACCTGACTCTTCATCAAACCTAGGTTGCCCTGAAACTGGGATCTAGCCTTCTGGCCTTCATGGGGCTCCTCCTAGCCCATGGGGTTCTGTGGAGGGCCTTTTCTGCCAAAGCTGTGGTGCTACAGCAATGCCCTAACCCTTGTCCCATTATTGCAGACTTTGGGACAGCACAGTATGTTCTGGGCCATTATTGTTCTCTTTATTTAAAAGGAAATTTCATCTTTCTGACCCCTGTGGTCATGGACTCCTCTCCCCTGAGTTCACTGAGCACACAAAATACCCCATCAAATGAACCCATGTTTTAGTCTCAACTTAGCACATTGGTTTCTCCAGGGTTCAAGAGGCTATTGCACGATACCAACCAATTTGTTATATAAGCCCAGCCAGCCATGGCAGATTATGGCTTTACAGTTATCTCTAGGGATGGCTTACATAAGAAGAAGAGAAAGTTCAGGTAGGAGCAGAATCACGATGAGCAAACAGCGCAACAGCCACCACCAGGTGCAGACATGGCCAAACTCATTCCTCCCAACCAACCCACCCACCAGGTGGGGGCAAGAACTCTGCAGGGTTCCATCACCCGGGATGCCTAGAGGTCTTGGCAGTCTTGGCCAGATACATCCATCTCCATTTTACCCAGACTCCCTGGCCTTCAGTACCTGATCTGGAAAGGAGCCAACCCTCTACCTGGAATGGAGAGCTTGTTGGATTATCTGCAAGTGCAAATATAAGCAGGAGTGTTAACCTTCTCTTCAGGCAGGGAAGAAAACTAAGGTCACCCTGGAAAGCATTATTTGCTGAGGTGTGGACTCAGTAAATAATAGTCCACTCCTGGCAAAAACTGAGGAGTAGATGAAATTCAAGCTCTGTGCTTCCCACCTTTCTTTAAGAGCATGAACTTTCCAAACAGATCTTTTGAACTCTCATGCTGTCCAGGCCCCGTGCTGTAACAGCCCAAGCTAGGCCTTCCATGGACTCCAGCCCCATCTCTCTACCTCTCTCCTCCAAAGTTGGCTTTGCCACATTCCAGTCCCATAGGACCCTATTCCCAGTGGGCTGTCACCATGACCAGAGGTCTGATAAACAAATCCATACAAAGTAGTTAATGGCAAGTAATGGTGTCACATGTTACTCTTTAAAAAGGTATGCTAGACCTTGGCCATTCATGAGAGATACACACTAAAACTTTTGCCAGTCTCCAACTCATGGATGCAATCTCCAAAGCATGTCATTTCCCCCATAAAAAGTCCATTCCCAGGCAGCACCATCACTTTGCCAAACTTTGTAGCTTTCTCTTCGTTGTAATCACTAGCACCAGCAGCTGGCTTAGAGAGGGAGCATTCTCCTCAAGGAATGCCCTGAGACATTTGCTCATTTTATGACAGGTTCCTACGTATGTGTTGACTACGAGCAGTAGACCACAAAATTGTGTTGAAAAGTAGGTGCTGGGCAATGCCACTCCTAGGTATATACCCCAAAGAATTAAAAGCAGGGACTTGAACAGATACTTGTACACCAGTGTTCATAGCAGCATTCTTCATAATAGCCAAAAGAGGGCAACAACCTAAGTGTCCACTGACAGATGAATGGATAAGCAAAAGAGGTATATCCATACAATGGAATTTTATTCAGCCATAAAAAGAATGAAGTACTGATATGTGCTACAACATGGATGAACTTTAAAACATGTTGAGTGAAAGAAATCAGACACAAAATATTGTATGATTCAATTTATATGAAATATCTAAATAGGCAAATCCATAGAGACAGAAAGTAGAATAGAGGTTACCAGGGGGTAGTGGGAGGGGAAAATAGGGAAACGGTGAGTTATTCTTTAATGGGTACAGAGTTTTTGTTTGGGATGATGACAAAATTTTGGGAATGATAATGGTTGCACAACATTGTTAATATACCTAATGCTACTGAATCGTACACTTAGAAATGGTTAAAATGGCAAATTTTATATCTATTTTACCACTATATATATATATGTACTATGTACAATATATGCATATAATACATCTCTCTCTTTCTCTTTCACACACACACACACACACACACACACACACTAGTAGATGTGGGGTAGGGCACCAGGCTCACTCATTGGTGAAAGGACCGGCCCCCACCTACTAGTCTCCTTGCACATGTGATTCACATCTGTGCCTCAGCAAAAACACAGTTTCTTACCAGTCTGAGTTCTCATGAAGTATCCAAACCATGAATGTTAAGTTTGCAAATGCATTTGTGCTTTTAATGGAGAAGGTCCCTTAATCCAAGAATGCCTATTCTTTGTCAGACCACTAGGCACTCAGGAAATAGTTATTTTAAATTACTTTGGGCTATGAAAGGACTTTTGAAGCTTGATACCAAAAGCAAAAATCACAAAGGCAAAGAATGACAGGCTTAACCACACAGAAACCCAAAACCGCTCTACAGCGAGTAACTCCATCCTCAAAATCAAATGGTAAATTAGTTGACAATGCGTTGCAATCTCTAATACAGGGTTTCTCACAGTGTGGTCTACATACCAGCGGTGCTCTGGGAGAGGAATTTTAGATGGTACATGGACAGAGAACTGAATCTTAAATAGTATGAACTTAGGCACTGCAGCAGGCAGCCACTCAAATCATGCCGTGTGAGTGGCCACCACCTCAGAAGCCAGGTCCAGGAATATACATTATGAAATTACTTGTTCTGAGACTCACTTAGAGAAGCACAAATAATTTTTTGCACAAATTTTTCTTGAAAACCTGATCTCTGAATCTATATCCTTCCCCTTTGTTACTATATTAATAGGGGATATTAAATGAATTAGCACACATAAAGCAATTAGAAATGTTTGCTATTTTTATCATTTTCTGAGCATTTATATATGGGAACCAGTTGGGGCCAGGTCAGAAGCTTAAAGGTAGAATCCTAGGGTTTTTAGAGCTGGAAGGGAAATCGGATTCAGAGTATTTCAGACCACACTAGCCAGGTACGCTCTGGGGTCAAAGGTAGAATAGAGCTGATTAAGAGGTTTTGGGTAAAATCTTAGAAAAAAATTTGAGGTTACAGCAACAGCAATCACAACGAATACTGTCAAAGCTCCTGTTACAGGTTGTTATACCTTACAGGTCAGAAAAATTAAGGAAGGCTCTTCAAATGTCAACTTGGGAAGCTTTTTCATATGCTACATTTAAATTGGAAACTTCTGCTGTTTGCCCAGAATATTCTATCTCCCTCCTAAGTTTTCCAGTATTAGAAGCATATTCAAATGACAAGGGGGAAGTCCCCTAACAACAGGGTGACCAACCATCCCAGTTTCCCTAGGACTGTTCCAGTTTGAGCACAGGCAGTCCTATGTCACAGGACTGGGATGGTTGGTTTCCCTACCTAATAAGGACATTTTGACCATTTGGAAAGGTTCTGAGCTCACATTTACCTCTGCTTCATAGACAATTCTTAAGTGTTACAAGAATTTCTTTAGCATTAGTTTAGTTACTGAGTGTTCTTAACAATTCTTTCTTCATAGACAATTCAGGCTCTGCTCTTCATTGTGAGGCATTGGGCAAGATACTTAATTTTTTCCAAGCCTCAATTTCCTTCTTTATAAAATGAAAATGGATGATAATAGTACCCATTTGGTCGGGCGCAGTGGCTCATGCCTGTAATCCCAGCACCTTGGGAGGCCGAGGCTGGTGGATCATTTGAGATCAGGAGATCGAGACCAGCCTGACTAATATGGTGAAACCCCATCTCTACGAAAAATACAAAAATTAGCCGAGTGTGGTGGCGTGCGCCTGTAGTCCCAGCTACTGAGGAGGCTGAGACAGGGGAATTGCTTGAACCCAGGAGGTGGAGACTGCAGTGAGCTGAGATCGTGCCACTGCACTCCAGCCTGGGCGACAGAACAAGACTCCGTCTCAAAATAAATAAATAAATAAACAAATAAATAAATAAATCCATTCCAAAGAGTTGATGTAAATATTAAATTAGATTATGCAGGTACATTGTGAATGTTCAAGAAGTGTTAGTTATTAATCTGTTATGGTTATTAGTTACATAATACAAGATTGAAAGGATGGTGTTTAAAATACACTTCTTCCCCAACCCAATTGTTTACAGGTACCATTTACATACCAACAGGCTGCATGCCCATTCTCACTGATTCGTATGTATATACACAGCACTATCAGGACTTCCATCAGGCTATGAGAGTTACTGCATGTGGTTAAAACGGAAGGAAAACAACTTTTAAACATTAATAAGGATTTTCTAGCACAGTATAAAGTTGTAAAATCTTTACAAGGGACCACGTCAATATTTAAGTAGTCATCCAACTGAAGAAACCTTTATTGAATATTGGCTGTATAACTAAAAGCCAAGGGAAAACCAAGCAAGTAAAACACAGCCCTACCCTCAAATTGCTTATACTCTTGTGTTCCAAGGAAACCAAGAACGAAGCTGGGAGCCAGGGACAGGTCAAAGCAGACAAACCAGATGTAAATCAAGAATGTGCCCTGCTCTTCTTCCTAAAAATATAGGAGCCCTCTTGGCAAAGGAATGGACTGCAGGAGGAGGGGTGGGAGACTAGCTTCTCCAGCAGGAGAGGCCTTGAAAGTTGACAAAGGAAAAAAGCACCCAACAGGAACCTGAAATGTCAAATCATTAAATTGAATAGAAGTAAAAACGATGGCTGAAGTATGATGATAGAAACCCAGGGAATTTAATGAAGTAACAAGGGATATGTTCACTTAGGAGAAGGCTGTCTACCCCAGATATTGGAGAAGCCCCATGACCAGCAATAATGGTCTTCTAGTTTGCTAATGAGCATGTCATACTGGGCAAAACCTAAACCGAATTCAGAATCCCCAGTCTCTAAGGTCCCAATTGTCAAGGAAAACAAGAGGGGATCAGTGGCTCATGCCTGTGATCCTGGCACTTTGGGAGGCTGAGGTGGGCAGGTCGCTTAAGCCCAGGAGTTTGAGACCAGCCTGCACAACATGGCAAGATCCCGTCCCTATAAAAAAAAAATACAAAAATTAGCTGGGCATGGTGGTGTGTGCCTGTAGTCCCAGCTACTTGGGAGGCTGAAGTGGGAGGATCGATGGAGCCCAGGAGTTTGAGGCTGCAGTGAGCTGTGATCATGCAACTGCACTCCAGCCTGGGTGACAGAGTGAGACCCTGTCTCAGGAAAAAAATAAATAAATAAAAATAAATAAAAGCAAGAGAATACTTTGTCCTCTTAGAACTATAAGACTGTTACCACAGGACCCTGTTATTCCCAGCCTTAGCGAAGCCTGAGAGCTTGCTGGTTAGCTCCTCACTGGTTTTGAACGCTGAGTGAGTTGCTCTGATCGAAGGAGGCAGGGTGCTCACACAAACCTTTCCTACAATTTGCGCTTCTCCCTCAACCAATACCTATAATGCCACCCCACTACATCTCCACCCTGTAGCATTTCCAGGCTTTGCCTAAAACCAAGAGTCAATAAACTCGTATTAGTGGAGTAGATGACAAAGGAGGTATTCCCTTTCCACAAACCCAAACAACCAGGATGCTCCCGAGGTGTGGCAGAAGGAAACACTTTGATCTCAGGCTTTTAGCCTCACACTTCCCTCACCCAGGTTTGACCCTCCTAGGGCCAGAACCAGAAGAGGCGCCCCCTCTCACACTTTCCTAAAGCCTGGAGTGGCAGTTTCTCTCCCAGTTGAACAAATGCAAATGCTACAAGCGCTCTTTCCAGGTTTTTCTACTACCCCTCCCCCACTGCCACTCTCCAACAGAGACAGGCGGGATCCTTAGGAGCCTGTTAGGGCTTTCGCTTGGCAGGATTTCAACGTCTGTGGGCTGAATACACTTGTAGTAATCTTTCACTAGAAATGAAGATTCCCTCGAAACCTTTCTGCCCGCAGCCTGGTTTATTTTATTTTATTATTTTTAAAAATTCAGCCTGGTTTATTTTAGACAATGAGATAATTTGATGCCTAAAGTGAAATAATAGATGAGAAAGGGCTTCAATGGTGTCGAAAATGCCCGAGGAATACGACTTGTTATAATAACACTAACGAGGTTAGCGGCCCTGCTTGTCTTGCCCAGAATCACTGGGGCTGGGCTGAGCGGGAGGCGATGGTGGATTTGTCTTGGGGCAAGGGAGGCAAACCTGCTCTTAGCATTAAGTGAGAATAGCGCCTGCCTTTCTCGATTGCTTTTAAAATTTCCTATTTGAGCCTGCTTGCATTCTAAATATTTTGTAGGTGCTCAGAATTTCTTATCACTTTGTCTGGGCACATCGCCTGCCTACAGCCTAGAATCTCAGAGCTAAAAGGAACCTTGGAGAGACTAGAGAGGTCAGGCGACTTGCTCAGGCTCATACAAACAGGTGAAGCCATAACTTGTACTACAACCCAGGTCTCCCACAGTGGCGATGTCTTTCTCTTACATAACCTGTGTTGTTGAGCAAGAATAAATCCTCGCTTATACACTCACACACACATGTTGGTGCCCTATCCTGATGGCGCTAAGGACACTAAATCCATGGCTGGGTTTCCTGATGTTGTCTGCCCTGCCTCTAAATTGCCTCAGTTGTTCCCAGAGACTGGTTCTTGCCAGAGTGTCTCAAACTGAAGGACAGCAGCTGCCTTGGGTCTTCCCATTGTGTTTTTTCCCTCCCTTGTCCTCTCCTTGCCTCCCCAGCAGGATTTCTAGAAAGCTTGACCGGTACACCAATACACGCCTGCAACGACATGGATTCATCCGCCCTCCTGCCACACATAGTTCTTGAGGCACTCAAGATGTCCTAGGGTGCTCTCTGGGGTTGCGCTTAGCTTACATTTGAAATTTAACGCTGTGATCCATGGAGGAGGCGAATCCCTCCCATCCAGAGGCTCAAGAAATTCTCACAAGTCTCTGATTTTTAAAAATTTTCCCCTCCCCATCTCCCTCTCCTACCACCAGCAGTTTAATTTGTCTTGACATTTTGCTTGCCCTCACTGTCAGTCAGGGGCACTCAGTAATTTTAAAGCCCTTGTAGTTTCAATCTGATTTTGCACATTTGAGATGGGCTTTTGAGAAGGGTAGAACTTGGAACTCAAGAAGACCCCATGGCAGAATCTCCAAAGGGGCTATGGAAATGTATGCATTTGAGGAGCGGGTACTTTCAGCTACCTCCAAACCATCTGGGGTCTGCCCACCTTCTAGGCCCCAGCGTCCCCATCAGAAAGCCTTTGCAGGCAGCTTTCAGAATAGGGCTTGCACCTGCCAGTCCTCCCCTCAGCTCCGCGGTACTCCAGGCAACCTCAAGGTCCAGTCACTGTAGCCTGAGTCAGACCTCCCCAGTACCCCTCCTGAACTTCCTAGTTGCCCCTTTTGCCAGAGATGAGGGTGCAGCAGAGGCTGGTGGGAGCAAGGACCGAGTTGCCGCCGTGTGCCGAGCCACCCACCTGTGGAAGAAGAGCAGGATGGAGAGCATGGTCTGGTCGATGTTGCGGTTGCAGATGCCCTCGTTGATCAGGTAGCAGGGGTCCCGCAGCACCGGCTCTAGCGAATCCTGCCGCATTATGCTGTTGAGCTTGTCGGTATTGAGGTTCTCAAAGACCAGCTTTTCCTGCAGCTGCCGAAAGTTGCTCACTGTAGGGCTGCCCGGGTTGTTGTTCTCCCCGCTGCTGCCTCGCTGGAGCCCACTCCGATGGGCCAGGTCCAGGCAGCAGTTGCAGCAGTCGAGGCCGACAGGTGAGCGGCAATCGAGCTTGGACTGGGCCATCTTCTCAGGCTCGGAGGTCGCCTGGCCTGCGAGGTCAGGGGCGGCTGGCAGGTGCGCGCCCACCGAGCTGGCCTGAGGGGACTCCAGGGTGCCTGGAAAAGACAAGCTGTGAGGAAAAGAGTTGGAAATTAGCGCCTAAAGCCAGCCACCTTCGGCTCGGCCCCCTTCTGGCTGTACTGCTCCGGGTGCGAATAGAAACAGCTGGACAAACAGCTCCGAGCGGATCCTTCGGGCTCACTTCCTCCTCTTCCTCCTTCTCCTCCCCCTCCTCTTGAGGCCGGGGGCCGCCCCCCTGAGGTGCCACACGCGGCCCCAGCGCAGTCCCAAGTTTCCCAAGTGTGAGCGGGGATTGGGGCGGACCTGTGGAGGCAGGAAGGGCGGGCAGCAGGGCAGAGGGAGAGCCAGGGCGCGCCCTTGCTCCCTCCCTCCTTTGCTCCCTCCCTCCCCGGTTTGCAGGCTCTCAGGCTCTCGGGCTCCCCTGGGCTGTGACGGCTGAGCGGTGGCAGGAGCTGAGAGCGAGTGAGCTAGTTAGCGGTCTGCACGCCCGGGAGTCAGCACTGGGATATGACAGCATGTAAATTACCCTAGAGGGGACGGCGGAGAACGGTCCTCCGCCACTTCTCCGGCTGGCGGGCGGGGGCCCCGAGCGGCTGGATCCTGTCCCTCCACCCCTCGCCCCACCCCGCCCGCACCCTTGTGCCCTGGCATCCACGCTGCCGCTCGCACCCTCGCCCGCGCTCCTGGGAGCCGGCCCGGCTCTCACTCTCTCGGCGAGCCGGACGCTTCGGTTCAGGCTCTTTCAGCGCTCATGGCGCATCCTCCGCCAGAAATACGCACGCAGCCCACCCGGGCTGCCGTGCCCCCTCAGTGGCCCGGTCTCGCGGGGCTCGAGCTCGGCGTGAGGGCAAATGTCTCTAGTCTCACCTCGAATGGGTCCCCCTACAGAAGAGACGACGCCCTCGAGAGCCCCAAGTGTTGTAGCCTTAAACTGCCGCCCTCCAAAGCCCCCCTTTTTCTGGGGGGGGGGCGTGCAAGGAGAGCGGTTGCCTCTGCAGAGAGTCAGAGAGTGCCAGGCACACATTAGGAGTACCCAATAAATGCCGTAAGCAAAACTCAGAGAAGCACGCTCAAACTCTCCTCAGTTTCTGTCTCTTTCTGCTTACTTAACGATATCGTCACCTCCTTTCCCCAGCTCGCTGTGTCCTCTCTTCCCTGAACCCCTCAGAGGCAGTCTCTGTCCCGGTTTCCCTCTGCCCCTTCGCCGTCTCTCCTCAGTCCTCCCCTTCCTTCTCTCTGCTCTTCTGCTTCCACTCATTCCACTATTTCCCTTATTTTTTCTCTTTTCTTTACCCATTTCCTCTACTTTCTCCCCCATTTCCATTCTTTTACCTTTCTTTCCTTATTTCTTTTCTCCTTTTCTCTATTTCCTCATTTCCCCTTTCTCCCCTTTCCTCTTTTCTCTCATTTTTCTCTCCCCTACCCCCGCCATTTCCCTTATTTTCCCCTCATTTCTTACTTCAGCACCCCCTCTTTTTCCTCACTTCACTTACCTTCTCCTATTTCTCCAAATTTGTTGTCCTTCTCCTTTTCTGAACCTTACCTGCCACCTTAGTTGATCTCCGTCTGTCGTTACCCTTTCAATAGATGTAGCGATTGCATGTTCACAGGCCTGAGGGGCGTGCCCCAGCTCTGTAAGATGGAGGGATGTTCTGGGTGGGCAAGTGGTGGGTTTCCAGGGTTTCTCAGGACTCAGAGACTTGGAATACTTTAAATGTGTAGGATTAAATAACGATTAGTGTCTGAAAAAACTAAACTTTTCATGACGTTCAGTTTTCACGTAAAACTGACTTACATTTCAGTCAGTACTCCCCACCCCCGCATCGGCTCCTTCATTCACAAGTCTGGCCTTTGAAATAGAGCAGCATATACTGCCATCTAGTGTCCAAGACGTTGAACGTTCTCTGCCTGCGTCACAGAAGCTCGGAGAGGCACCAGAGGTACCTCCTGGTGGAATCCACAGTGCGTTGGTTCCAAGAGTAGCAGGGAAGAAGTGTAGGAGGCGGAGCTGCTACACTAAGAGAGTTCTGTGGCCAAGCTAATAGGCAGGAACACGCTCCTACACTAAGAGAGCTCCAGCTAATAGGCAGGAACACCAATTAGGGCCAGAGCCGCCCTTTTTTCTAGTGGAGCTTCACTTGGCCTGAGTCCCTGCGGATTGGACTTCCATAGATTTGAAACTTCCTCCGGGTACCACAAGCATCAGGCCTGTGATTAAGAGCAAAGAGCGGCCAACTATTGTAACTCTTATTCCCAAGGCCCTGTGGGTCCTATATGTGCCCTGCAACTTGGGGAAAATGGAGGTGGGGTTGTGGTCTCTATGCTGTAGCAGCCGGAAAGCCAAAAACAAGCCGTACTTCTCGCTCTTGACAGGATCCCAAGGTCAGAGGTGAAAGAGGTGCTGGGGGTCACTGACCATACCTGCAAAACTGAGAGTATGGTCCTTTCGTTCTAACAGACTGCTGAGGAGTCTCTATTTCTCCTCTCAAAAGCAAACCCTTTAGATGTATTAATTTCCCTTTTTCTTCTTCTTCGCTTTTTTTTTTTTTAAATGTTCTTGGGTAAAAGCCAGAGGAGGTAGTAGAATATGAAATTTCATCTGCATTGTGTAGACTTATAGTCTACTAAATTGTTTTGTAATTACAGTGTTTATGTTTTTTCCTCTTGTTTATAATTATTTCATGTTAAACGTTATAGCAAAATATATTAGACCCATAAATGTTTATTTAAGTTGTGTTTTGTGAACTGCTGGGACTTTTGTTTCTATATTTGCCTGAGTCCTTTTATCTTTGTGCATAACCTTGGGATGAGGCCCTGGTAGAAGTATTTCCTTCTTGGCATTTGGCACCATTAAACTCAAGATTCTGTCCCCTTGACATTTCCCTTGTTGTAGTCCTTGCTCTCAAGCAGTATTGTTAATAATTCAGTACAGCTTTCCATACTATATCCAGGTTGATCAAGAGTAAATATAATTGAGATATAAAAAAACTACATAGTTCAGAGATAGAGTTCAGGAGCTGGTATGTATTTGCATACAAGTCCAGCTTGTATTGACATATTGCACACCTCCTCAGGAGAAGGCTGACTGGGCAGGGCCACCTTGGCTCCCTTCTGTGAAGCCTTGCTTTGCTGACATATATTGCGTTGGATGGAGAGACTCCAAGCAGCAAAACGTTTTGCATAAACTAAGAAAGCGGAGGGGGGCCCCCACTTCCAGACAGAGCTGGTAGCTTTCTGGGTGGAGCAGAAAGAGGGTATAAGGGGCATCTCTTTCTTGGATGAACTCATTCAACAGTCACTGTGTGCTTGTCCTGTGTCAGGTATAGTGTAAGTGGGGATTCAGAGGTAAACAAAACAGGACAAACTCCCAAAGACTTCATGGTCTAGCTGCAGAAACAGAGCTGCAGACAGACAAAAACAGTACAAATACTAAGTGGTAATGGAGGCCTGGTGTGTGTAGGGGGAATAGGGGGTGGCATGTCTTGGGTGTGGAGGAGGGGTTAGCTCTGGCAGAAGAGAAGGACAATCTAGGTAGAGAGACTAGAGAGACTAGTGAACAGAGGCTTGGGGCTGAGAACAGTGTGTATGCTGATATCCGGGTGTGGATTACAAAGCAGTTCAGTGTTACTGGAGAATAAAATGTGAGACATGGAAGCTGGTATAGTTATAGAAGTGCTTGTTATTAATGTAATAAATAACAATATATAGAAACAACTCTCATAACCATGGCAAGTTGAAAGTAATGATAATTGTAAACATATTTAAAGATACCTGTAGTAACAGTAATGTGACATAAAATTGTGATTTCTATTGGGGACAAAGTCACAGGTACCACTAACACTATCGTGATCTGTTCTCTGCATTTGTAGTTGAAGGAAATCTAAATTTTAGTTAGAGGTTGGTGAAAACAAAGATGTAATATTTTCCCATCTAAGTTAATTTATCCCCTGAATATTTATTTATTTACTTTTTTAGAACGAGTCTTGCTTTTGTTGCCCAGGCCAGACAATGGTGCGATTTTAACTCACTGCAACCTCCACCTCCCAGGTTCAAGCGATTCTCCTTCCTCAGCCTCCCAAGTAGCTGGGATTACGGGCATGTGCCACCACACAGGGCTAATTTTGTATTTTTAGTAGAGACAGGGTTTCGCCACATTGGCCAAGCTGGTTTGGAACCTCTGACCTCAGGTGATCCACCCGCTTCGGCCTCCTAAAGTGCTGGGATTACAGGCGTGAGCCACCGTGCCCAGCCTATCCCCTGAATTTTTTTTTTTTTTTTTTTTTTTTGAGACAGAGTCTCGCTCTGTCGCCCAGGCTGGAGTGCAGTGGTGCGATCTTGGCTCATGCAAGCTCCACCTCCCGGGTTCACGCCATTCTCCTGCCTCAGCCTCCCGAGTAGCTGGGACTACAGGTGCCTGCTACCACGCCCGGCTAATTTTTTTGTATTTTTAGTAGAGACGAGGTTTCACCATGTTAGCGAGGATGGTCTTGATCTCCTGACCTCGTGATCCGCCCGTCTCGGCCTCCCAAAGTGCTGGGATTACAGGCGTGAGCCACCGCGCCCAGCCTCCCCTGAATTTTTAGGGGTCCCTGTTCTAAGGCCAGGTGCTGTGGCCCATGCCTATAATCCCAGCACTTTGAGAGGCCGGGGTGGGCGGATCCCTTGAGGCCAGGATTTCAAGACCAGCCTGGGCCACACGGCAAAACACTATCTCTACAAAAAGTACAAAAATTCCCTGGGCATGCTAGCGTGCATCTGTAGTCCCAGCTACGCAGGGAGGATCACCTGAGCCCGGGTAGGTTGAGACTGCAGTGAGCCATTATTGCTCCACTGCACTCCAGCCTGGGAGAAGAGTTCTAGACCAACCTCCTTATATATATTAATAACAATATTAGATGAATGAGTCTTTACTATATGCCAAGCACTGTGCTAAAACCTTTATAGTCATTTTCTACTGATTCATCATCACAAGCCTGTGAGGCAGCCTTGTTTTCATAGCTCTCGGAGACATGGAATTGTTTTCTAAGGTTACACAGCTGGCAAGGGGCAGAAATGGGACTTGACCCTGAGTCAGTGTCACTTAAGCCCCACCCAAACTTCAGGCCTTGGATCTGCACCAGGATGGCTACATTAGAATCACCTGGGAAGTTCACTTTTTTTTTTTTTTTTTTTTGACAGAGTCTTGCTTGGTCACCAAGGCTGGAGTGCAGTGCCACAATCTCGGCTCACTGCAACCTCTGCCTCCCGGGTTCGAGCGATTCTTGTGCTTCAGCCTCCCGAGTAGCTGGGATTACAGACACATGCCACCATGCAGGGCTCATTTTTGTATTTTTAGTAGAGACGGGGTTGCTCCATGTTGCCCAGGCTGGTCTTGAACTCCTGAGCTTAAGATCCACCCGTCTTGGCCTCCCGAAGTTCTGGGATTACAGGAGCCACCAAGCCCGGCCTTATTATTATTATAATTATTGAGACAGGGTCTTGCTCTGTTGCCCAGAGCTGGAGTGCAGTGGTACAATCTCAGCTCACTACAGTCTCGACCTCCTGGGCTCCAGGGGTCCTCCTGCCTCAGCCTTCTGAGTAGCTGGGACTGCAAGGGTGTGCTACCACGCCCAGCTAAATTTTGTAGAGACGAGGTCTCGCCATTTTGCCCAGGCTGGTCTCAAACTCCTGGCTCAAGCAATCTGCCTGCCTTGGGCTTCCCATAGTGCTGGGATTACAGGCATGAGCCATGAAGGCCGGCTTTTTTTTTTTTTTTTTTGGACAGTATTTGGCTCTGCCGCCCAGGCTGGGGTGCAGTGGCACGATCTCGGCTCACTGCAGCCTTGGCCTGCCTGCCTGCCTGAAGGGGTCCTCCCAACTCAGCCTTCTGAGTAGCTGGGACTACAGGCGTGCAATCTCTCCTCACTGCTACCTCCGCCTCCCGGGTTCAAGCGATCCTCTCATCTCAGTGTCCCGAGTAGCTGGGACTACAGGTGAGTACCACCACGCCCGGCTAATTTTTTTTTTTTTTTTTTTTTGTGGAGATGGGGCTTTATCATGTTGCTCAGGCAGGTTTTGAACTCCTGAGCTCAAGCAATCCGCCTGCCTTGGCCTCCCAAGGTGCTGGGATTACAGGCGTGAGCCACCACACCCAGCCTGGGATCCATCTATCATTCTATCTATCTATCTATCTATCATCTATCTATCTATCTATCTATCTATCTCTCTCTCTCTCTCTATATATATATATATATAGATCTATAGATATCTATAGATCTATATATAGATATCTATATATAGATCTATAGATATCTATATATATAGATCTATAGATATCTATATTTATATATAGATATCTAGATATCTATATATAGAGAGATATATATATTTATATATATATATTTTTTTCTTTGAGACGGAGTCTCGCTCTGTCTAATTTTGGTATTTTTAGTAGAGACAGGGTTTCACCATGTTGGCCAGGCTAGTCTCAATCTCCTGACCTGAGGTGATCTGCCCACCTCGGCTTCCCAAAGTGCTGGGATTACAGGTGTGAGCCACTGCACTGGGCAGAGATCTATACTTTTAAAAGATCCCCAGATGATTCTTAAAGGTAGCCAGGTTTGGGAGCTTTAATGTTCTCAACCACAAACTTTTTGTTTTTATTTTACATTTTAATTGAAATTGTATATATTTAAGGTGTACATCACGGCTATATATATATATATAAATATATATATATAAATATATATATATAAATATATATATAAATATATATATATAAATATATATATATAAATATATATATAAATATATATATATAAATATATATAAATATATATATATAAATATATATATAAATATATATATATAAATATATATATAAATATATATATATAAATATATATATATATAAATATATATATATATATACCCACACATATATACACACATAGACTACAGTCAAGCTAACATATCCATCTCTTCACATAGTTATCTTTGTGTGTGTGTGCGTCTGTGTGCAGTGAGATCTACGCTATTAGCAAATTTCAAGTGAACAATACAGTATTGTTAACTATAGTCACCATGCTGTACATTACATCTCTAGAACTTATTCATCCCATGTAACTGAAGCTTTGAACCCTTTGACCAACATCTCCCAATGTGTTCCCCACCCAACCCCTGGTAACCACCATCTACTCTCTGCTTTGATGAATTCAGTTTTTTTAGATTCCACATATAAGTGAGATCATGTAGTGTTTTTTTTTCTGTGTTTGGCTTATTTCACTTAGCAAAATATCCTCCAGGATCATTCATGTTATCACAAATGGCAGGATTTCCTACTAAGGCTAAATAATATTTTATTTTATATATACATATACATATATACACATAATATACACACATATATACACATAATATACATATATACACATATATATACACTCATATACACATACATATACACATATGCACACACATACATGTGTGTATATATATATATACACACCCCACAATTTCTATATTTAGAAATTGAATTTTTTTAGAAAAAATTAGGAATTCATTTAGAAATTGAAATGAATGGATAAAAACTCATTTTTATCTATCAATGGACACTTAGGCAGTTTCCACAAGCTTTCTTAGCACAGTTCTTGGGCATGGTAGATACCTAATAAATATCTGATTAACCAAGGGGAAATAAAATATGGAGATGGGGAACTGAGGGAAATTGAAAAGCTGTCCTCGAGGGCCAGGCACAGTGGCTCACGCCTGTAATTCTAGCACTTTGGGAGGCCGAGGCAGTGGGATCACTTGAGGTCAGGAATTTGAGACAAGCCTGGCCAACAGGGTGAAATCCTGTCTCTACTACAAATATAAAAATTAGCCTGGCATGGTGGCACTTGCCTTTTTTTTTTTTTTTTTTTTTATTTTTTATTTTAGAGGGAGTCTCACTCTGTCGCCCAGGCTGGAATGCAGTGGCGCGATCTCCGCTCACTGCAGCTTCTGCCTCCCGGATTCAAGCGATTCTCTTGCCTCAGCCTCCCGAGTAGCTGAAATTACAGGCACCTGCCACCATGCCCAGCTAGTTTTTGTATTTTTAGTAGAGACAGGGTTTCACCATGTTGGCCAGGCTGGTCTTGAACTCCTGACTTCAAGTGATCCATCTGCCTCGGCCTCCCAAAGTGCTGGGATTACAGACGTGAGCCACTGCACCCGGCCAAGAATTGTATATATTTAAGGTGTACACCATGATGTTTTGACATACATTGTGAAACGATTACCACAATCAAGCTAATTAACATATACATCAACCTGTCTTTGTAGAACTGTTTCATGGAGGCCATATATTATTACATCCTAATATCTACAGTGTTTTCTTCTGGAGCTCACAGTCTGGTGTGCGTATGTGTGTGTGTGTGTGTGTGTGTGTGTGTGTGTCCAGGGTGGGAGCACAGGCAAGTAAAGAGACAATCACAGTATATATGATAAGGATTGTCATGGAATGAAGCACAGAATGGTGATGGAAGGAACAAAGAGTGGGCATACCAAACACAGATTGGAAGGGTAAAGGAAGGCTTCCTAGAGGAGATGATGGCTTGAAGGATGAATTGAGAAGGACAAAGTACTTATCCAAGCCCATTTTTAGTGCCTAGTAGGCATTCATCTAATGAGATGGTGGATGTATAACACTTGGTACCTACCACATAGTCACAACTCAATATGTGGTAGATGTCATTATTGTTACCTGACCTTTTCAAACAAACTTGAATGGCAAGTTATGTTTACTATGAGGAGTATGTAAGATAATGCATGACATGTTAAGTACTTAATATAGTGTCTGGCATATAATAATTGCCCAGCAACTGGTGGCAGTTGATAGTGTTATTGTTGCTGCTATCATTATTTTTAGGTTTGGCTGGACTGAGATAGATGGAATCTTCCATCTCTGATCTTTTGGGTCATTCAACTCTGCAATTTGTTACATGTTACATTATTTCATATTACATGAAATTACATATTACATATTTATATATGTAATATGAAATTACATGTTACACATTACATTTTTTCAGATATAATGTCTGCAAGCATGCTTATGTTCAGAACTTTTCCCGATAACAATCTCTGGCCCCAACCATAACAATCTCTGGCCCCAACCACCGCTACCACCATCACCAGCCACATGGTGTTCTCAAGTTGTGGTCTCCACAAAGCATATAGGAAATAGAGGAGCTGGGCAGATGCGGTGGCTCACGCCTGTAATTCCAACACTTTGGGAAGCTGAGGCGGGTGGATCACTTAAGCTCAGGAGTTCAAGACCAGCCTGGGCAACATGGCAAAACCCCATCTCCACAAAAAAAAAAAAAAAAAAAAAAATAGCCAGGTGTGGTGGCATGCACCTGTGGTTTCAGCTACTCAGGAGGCTGAGGTGGGAAGATTGCTTGAGCCTGGGAGGTTGAGGCTGTAGTGAGCTGTGATTGTGCCACTGCACTCCAGCCTGGGCCACAGAATGAGACCTTGTCTCAAAAACAAACAAAAGAAAGAAGGAAGGAAAGAAAGAAGGAAGGAAGGAAGGAAGGAAGGAAAGAAAGAAAGAAGGAAAGAAAGAAAGGAAGGAAGGAAGGAGAAAGAAAGAAAGAGAAAAAAATAAAATAGAGGAATTGATGGTAGAAGAAGTGGAACAGAGCTGTTGTTGCCTCTGAAAATATTTTCTTTATAGTAAAGGGATGACATTGGTTTTCTGATGAGCCTCTGTATTTCCAATCTAAGGACAGTTGGTAGAAGTGAATCAAAATCTTTCCCCAACTTTGTTGGGCACTTTTGCTGTTCTGGATAGGAGGGTAGAGTGTATGTAGATTATAAATATGTTCCTCAGTCCAACCCCATCTCCCTACAACAGCTAGCAGAAATTCCTTCTCCATTAGCAATTAACAGTCCCTTTTCCCCTATTTTCCGTAGCTAGTGCAAGTTTTAGTTTTTTGTTGCAAAGCTTCATGGATATTTTAATGGGCATTCCTAGATGGTGGGTATCAGACTGTGTTATCTTGCTGCCATGTTAACCCAGAGTTCCCCCAGATACAATTGGTTTTCTTGCTAACAACTTCAGGGAGAAGGCACAAAAGTCCTTTGCTTTTTCATGGTCCTTTCTTACTGTCTTTCCAGCCCTCTCCATCCTGGGGGCCCTGTTTTCACCAGTCATCTTATTTTACCCAATACAGGAGTCCTCATCCTTTTTGTAAGGAAAAACTGTGTTGTATATTCCTGATGCCTTGATCTCCCTGGGAAGACGGAAATTAAAGGTAGAGGGAAGTTTACTGAATCTGGGGGCTGGCTACCAGGGTGTGGGAGTGAAGAGGATTGGGGAGATGCTGCTTACTGTCTTCCTCTCTGAGCTGAGAATCCAGGTAAACTGCAGAGAGCAGGGCAGGAGAAGGGCGATCATGTTGGAGAGTTAGCTTGCAAGGCCTTGATATTGTTTGTAGATCCCAAGCTACCGATTAGGGGCCCCTGACCTAATATAGTAAAAAAAAAAATGGTTTGTGTTGTCATTGTGGCTATTTTTTAATATCCTTCCAGAGGTATATCTCCCTTCCTGTATTAGCTTTCTAAATCTTGATACTGTGCACGCAGATTGATCCATTTGCCCTACTTTCCACTCCTTGTAGCATTGTCAATTGTCTTTCAGCCACCTCTGGAATTCTGGACTTGGTTTACCTAGCCTTTGTGACCACTCCATATATTGACATACAGGGAGCCTCCAAGCTGCAGACAGGCTGAGCTCTCAAAGTTCACTCTCAAGTCAATTGTTTGGAAGGTGACATGCATTTTTCCATAGGAGAAAAAAATTGTTATAAATTGAACTACATTTCCAGACCAGCCCACAAAAGATGTTTTTAGCTTTAATGTACTAAAAATGTGGGCCATTTGCAATGACAAAGTAGGAAATCTTGGTAATTCAGCAAAAACAAGAAGACAATCCAAGGGAATAAGAAATACTTTTGCTTGACTGCTGGTACTGGAGTCAAGAAAGCTGAACTGGATGAGGTACACAGGGCTTTCCGGAGGCTCTCCAGAAAGACTCATGGGGACTTTGAAAGTCTGGAATCATAACATAGTTCTAAGTTTACTTCAGAACTGATGGCTTTCAATAATAATGACTACCACATACTGAGCACTTACTGTGTGTCAGGCGCTGTGTTAGGCAGTTTACATACCTTCCCCTCATTTCATTTCATTCTCACAACAACACTATGAGGTAAATACTATAATGACCCTTATTTTACAGACTGAGGCTCAGAAGGGTCAAGGAACTTGACAAAAGTTATACAGACAGCACAATTAGAGGCCAAGTCAATGGTTTCCTACTGCCCAAACCTGTGCTTTACAATATATATCTGACCACTCTTTTCTTTTCTTTTCTTTATCTGGATATATTGGGAACACTACTTTTGGGGCTATCAGCCATGATTAGAGTTATGTGCCAGATCACAAGGAAACTAAGATTGGGAAACTAGGAGAGGTGGTACAAGGGAGAGAAGGAAGGAGGAAGGGACAGAGAATTTTGTTAGGCAAAAGTTCAACTAAGAAACCACATACGTCAGTGCTTCTCAAACTGTACTGTGCACTCAAATCACCTGAAACTCGTTAAAATGAAGATTATTATTCAGCAGATCTAGGGAGGGGCCTGAGATCCTGCATTTCTAAAAAGCTCCCAGGTGTGCTGCTCCTGCTGGCCCACGGACAACACTTTGAACAGTAAGGCCATATAGTGCAAATGATAAACAAAAAAATTCAAGCATCCATTAACACCTGCTTCCTAATTTAATCCAGATCAGCTTCTACACTAAACAGTCACTTATTATCCTCTTTTCTCCTGTAGCCTGTCTCAGGCCATTGTCTCCGCTTTAGTTCTGCCAGTCTGTTTCAGCTTATGTTTGTTTATTTATTTATTTGTACAAATTTAAGGGGTTCGAGTGCAGTTTTGGTACATGGATATATTGCAGAGTGGTGAAGTCTGGGCTTTTAATGTAACCGTCACCCAAACAGTGTAGATTGTACCCATTAAGTAATTTCTCATCTCTCACCTCCATGACATGTTTATGTTTAACTACTCATTTAAATACAGGTGTTAAATACATATGAACATCTTCTGTCACTCTGAGCACTAGGCAGTCTCAATCAGACATGAATTTCTCTTGGCACAAAGTAGATATTTGGCCACAGGGTTCCAGTCCTCAACAATGGCTCTCAGCTCTCTCACCCATTAGGAACAGTCTTATAAAGGTAAGGCATGTAGTAACACTACTGTCCCAGCGCTTTCTAATTTCCTTTCTTAGAGCTACTGCCTTCATCTGGAGCAGAAAGTAGCCTGGCTTTTTAAAGAGTCCAGATCCTTGTTCCTTTCACATAGTTGAAACAATCCCAGCATTAGTTTAAGGCAACCATTGAAAAGATTCTTTGCAGAGTCCTGCCAACTCCAAAAGCCCAGTGAAGTTTGTTTCCTGGAAGATAATTTACTTTATTTTGCCACCTCCTCTCCTCCGTCCTCTTAGGATTTTGACTGATCATTTTGAGCCATTCTTCATGTTTTTCTTCTATTTTTAGACTCTCTGACTAATTTTCTCCAGTAGCAAGAGTCAAGGAAAGCTTTCCACTCCAACCAAGCTCTACTTTTTAGGTAGGAAATATTCTCTCACAGTGTTTACAGATCAACTTGGTGATCTGTGGTCCCTGGCAACTGGATTGCTTTTCTATCTTCTCTTTAACCTTTGGGGATGTTAACCTTGGGGGTGACCCTTCTAACACCTTTAGCAGGTAGGTGTTCATTGCAGCCTCCACATGAATAGATTAGGTAAGTTCACATTCTATCACTGGATGAATTAAAAACTCTGCTAAAAAAGAATTGTAATCTTCTGTTTTTAACTTCTATCCATTAATCTTACTTTTATCATATGGAGCAGAAATAGCACTTTCAATATTTCAAGACATTTGTCATATCCTCCTTTAACCATCTCTTTGCTAGACTAAACATCCCCAATTTCTAATCAGTCCTCAGTTACTTCTTGACCCTTCATTCATTCAATAAACATCAGATGCACTATGATTTGTAAATGTTCACTTTAAAATACAGTACCTCGAAATGGAACGTAGTGCTCGCTGTGTAGTTTGACCAGCATGGAGCACATTGGGACTGCCACTCCTTGTGATGGTCTGATGCAATTTCATGATCATACCAGCTTAAAAAAGAGTAACTCACTTCTTCACATCTAGTGAGTACCTACTTTGGGTCAGGTACCTAACATCAACTAGAAACCTCTGTTTTCAGTGGTAGAGGTTCTCTGTTCTTTCTTACCCCATGGGGCCTGGAGATGGTACAGCCACCCTCTTCCAATCCTTCCTACTATCATCTGCTGTACTTTAGTTCTCTCACCTATTGAGGACTTCACCTCCTCACTGATAGTCTTCCTTTCCACCCCAACTCTAGCCACCATCCTGAGTGATCTTAATGTCCTCATAGATGACCCATTTATAAGCTTCATCCTTTCAATCATTTTACCTCCACTCTGCTTCACCAACTATTTTCAATGATCCACTTTATTCTCAGCAGATGATCTCACCTCTTATTCCATTATGAAAATCTAGGTCGTTGGATGCTAACACTCATTTTCCTGTCCTAACCCCACCCTGCCACATAGTTGTGTCCCTACATGTCCTAACCTCTTTTTTTTTTTTTTTTTTTTTTTGGGCTTGCAGAAATACACATAGCTTCTCCAGTTCAAGGCTAATTTCTCTACGTATGCTTTGGAGCCCATTCTTTCTCACCTCCATGAGGACTTACTTCATCAGTTATCCCTCCTCTCATCTGTGTCTTCAACAACTCCTTCTCTACTTACTGGCTGCTTCCCATCAACCTTCAGGCATGATCAACTTTCACTCTAAAAAAAGAAACAAACAAATTTTCCTTCGCCTCTATCCCCAACTGGCATTTGCCCTATTTCTCTTCTTTTATTGTTATGGAATCTTTTCTAAAGTGTAGACACTCTCCATTTCCTCACCTCCTGTTAAAAACTCAGCTCCCACTATGGCTTTTCTGTTCCCAGAACACCACTGTTATTTCTCTTTTAAGTAAACCAATGACATCCTAATTGCCAAATCTAATGAACAATGTTAAGTCTTTATTTTACTGGACCTCTCTCTGATGTATTTAACATAATTGATTGCTCTCACCCTACTTCTGTCCTCATGACTCTCATGACCTACTCCTTGGCTTTGGTGATGTTGCACATCTTCTGACTGTCCTCATTCCTCTCTGATTACTCCTTCTTATGCTGTTTTGTGGACTTTTCGTCTGCCACCCCTTAAATGCCAGTCTTTCCCAGGTTTTTTCATTCCTCACCTTTCCCCTAGATCATCTCATCCATACCCATGGTTTTATCTACCATCCTATTGAGCCCCAAATCTGTGTCTGTGGTCCCAGACACAGACCTCTCTTGAGAGCTCCAAACCCATATACTAGTTAATACTTGACACGTGTAATATGGCACATCCTACAGGTACCTCAAGACCAAACTCAGTATGTTCCAAATTCATCTTTTTTATTCCAATCTGCCCTTCCTCCTCTGTCTGCCCAACTGACACCATTTTGGTGACTCAGACCTCTATCTACACAGTTGACCTCTATCTACACAGTGCTGAAACTCGGTAGTCATCCTGAATTTCTCATTCAACCAGTCACCAAGACCTGTTCAGTCTGTCTTCTAAGTATCTATCTGAGATGTGTTTCCTTTATGTTACTACAGCATATTATTAGTCCAGGCTTTCCATAATCTTTTTGTTTTTTAACCATTCAAATAGCTCCGTAACTGGTCTTCCTGCCTCTTGGCCTGCTCCCCCTTAGTCTATCCTTCACACTGTGATAGAATGCATTTTCTCTAATGCAAATCAGATCACATCACTCCTCTGCTTGAAGCCCTATCATGGTTCCCACTGCTTACTGGTACAGTCCAAGCTGCTCCACAAGGCTTACAAGGCCCCTCACAATCTGGCCTTGCCTACCCTTCCAATCTTATCTCCTATCATCTTTTCCTTATTTTCTTTGCCCAAATAACGTCAGACTGAACACCCCCCATCACGCCTTCATGCCTTCATACACACTGTTCTCTCTGCCTAGAATGACCCCTTGGTCTTCCAGTCAAATCTTTATTCAGCTTTCAAAATTGGACTCAGACTATGTCTGGGTAGATACACAAGAAACTAGTGACAATGATTGGGTGGCTGGGGCACAGGAGTGGGAAGAAGACTTCCTTTTTCCACCTATTTGTACATTCTGCATTTTGTAACACAAATCTGAATTCACTATTCAAAAAAGTAAATACTACGTAAATTTTTTGTTAAAAAAGCTCAGGAATCAGGTCCTTTAGAAAGTTGTTTTCCCCTCCTCATCCTCCTCTGTAGTTTTGTACTCCCTTCTTTGTGCTACCTCTGGGCCTACTGTGTGCTCCTGTGATTAGAATAATTACATTGCATTGCAATTTGTATGTTAAGTTGTCCATCTCCCCAGATTGTGAGCTACCTGAGGGAAAGGGCTGCATCTTACTTTTTATTGTTTCCCCAGAATTTAACATAGTGCTCTATAAATGTTGATTGAATGAATGGAGAAACAAGTGAAGAGAAGAATAAAGTAGAGGATGCCCCACATTATAAAACAAAGCTCCCATGCCAGTTATCTTTCCCAATATCCATCAATCTGTCCTTTTGCCACGTGTTGAGCTTGAAAGTAATACTTTACATTTATACTTTTTTTTTTTTCTGAGACAGGGTCTCACTCTGTCACCCAGGCTGGAGTGCAATGGCACAATTATGGCTCACTTCAGCCTCGATCTCCTGGGCTCTAGATCCTCCTACCTCAGCCTTCCAAGTAGCTGGGACTATAGTCACATGCCACCACGCCATGCTAATATTTGTAATCTGTTGTAAAGATGAGGTTTCACCATGTTGCCCAGGCTGGTCTTGAACTCCTGGGATTAAGCAATCCACCTGCCTCGGCCTCCCAAAGTGCTGGGATTGCAGGCGTGAGCCACTGCACCCGGCCTTACATTTATTCTTAAGTACTATCCATCAATTATCTTGTCAATTTGGGCTCAGCATCATGTAAGACTGCCCAGATCATTTCAAAGTCCCTCTTATTTTTGTGTTATGTGTAGATTTGATATGTATTTGTATATCCTATTTTGAATCACTTGATCAGAATATTGATACAATACCTATTGCTTATTGAACACCTACAGTGTGTCAAACACTGTGCTGGGTGTTTTTACATATGACATTGTCACAGTATTTGTTGCAAGATAGGTATTTTGCTCTCCAGTTTACAGATGAGAAGATTGAAATCAGTATTGTTAAGTGCCCTGCCTAGGGTCATATTGCTAGTAAATGGTGAAGTTGAGATTTGAACCAAGGTCTTTTGACTTCAAAATTCATGCTTGAGTCATAACACTACATTGATTCAAAGGGGCATCTCCACTGCTTCACTACTGGGTGCCTAGCTCAAGGCAGCCCATTGTCTTTGGACTGCTCTGACCATTTTAAAAGCTCTTGTTTGTAGTGAGCCAAGTTATAAATGAGCCAAACAAGACATGGCCAATAACAGAGCCTTTGGCTCTCTGCTAGAACCTTCCTTCCAGTCTGACACCAAACCATGTGTTCGCTTCTTTGGCTATAGTTGTTCAACTAGTTATAGGCTCATCTCAACAAATGCCTGAAGCATCCAGCTTATATTTTGCCATCTCATCTACAAGGAAATTATGGCAAACTTTGTCCAATGCCTGGATGAAATGAAATCCACTATAGCTATCACATTCTCTGGTAGCTTATCTAGTAACCAGATCAAAAAAAAAAAAAAAGGAAATGAAGTCTAGGAGGGATATTTGTTTTTTAACGGGGCAATTTGTCAATGACTTAAAGTAATGAGTTTCCAGTGGTATACTTTCAGACATCCTTGACAGGCTGTCAGGAAGATGATTTTTGGCCAGTGGGCTTCCTACTTCTCTTCAAATGACATCTAAATAGGGACTCCCATTTTCATTGCTTTGAATTGCACAGCACTGTTGTTTACATCTGGTTTTATTTAATCTTCCATTTCAGTTTTCTGGGCTTTTATTTTTTCTTTGTGTTCTGCCCTTGCACATGTTCCCTCTGCCTGGTTCATTCCCTAAACTCCTACACCCCCCAGCCCTGCAACACACACATATACATACCTTCCTTGTCCTTTGAGAATCAGTGCATGCAGTCCCTTCTCCAGAAGCCTTCTCTGTTGTCCCCAGGCTGAGGTAACTGCTTCTCCTCTTGGGTGTTGTAGTGGCAAGTGAGCACAGTGCCTGTCACAAAGTAGATCCCCAATAAATGTTAACTCCCTTCTCCCCTTCCTCCATGAATATCTCTAAAATAGTATTGATTACACCATATTGTATTTTCATGTTTACTTGTTTGCCTTCATCACTCAATTATGAGCTCATTCATTCATCCAGTCATTAACAAATATTTATTGTGTGTCTAAGGTGTACAAGGCATTGTTCATGTAGGTACTGGGGACACAGTGATTTCTGAAAATTGTATTTTCACTGTGTCTTTTCATTGTTGTACTTATAGCACCTGTCATAGTGTCTGGCAAGTAGAGTGCTTATTAAATGTTTGTTAAGGGAATGCACTTCCTTAGCAGAGTTTCTCAAAGTGTAATCTTTGGACCATTTGCATCTGGATCATTGAGGGGTGTAGGTTAAAATGTTAATTCTTGGGTCCCTCTCCAAACCTACTGAATCAGAATATCTTAAGAGTGGGCTGCAAGAATCTGTATTTTAATCTCGTTTTGCGGTGTTTCTATCATGCTAAAATTTGGGAACCTCTGCGAAACAGAATAGAAATAGGGAGACCCAGTGCCTCCCTATATATGCCTCCCTATAATAACATTGAAAAGTGTAGCTAAAACCGACTAAATCGTGTTTAATGCCTCCGAATGCTGCAGTAAATTTTAGTAAAAGAGAAAAAGGAATTAATTAAAATTGTCTAGAAAGGTTAATTACTATTTACCTTTTGAACAAGTGGAATTATTGCCAATAAAATCTAATCTTAATTTAGGTCAAATTTATGATACCAGAGAGTTTTCATTTCTAAAGTGCTACTTGTATATTTGATGGTATATAGGGACCCATTGTGTAACCCAACAATACAATATATTGATTCCATGTTATAGACTTGAATTGCAAATTAAGAAAGAGTATGTCCAAACTGTACTTGTGCTTTAACATTGATTATATATGTGATTTATCTGATGCTTAGTCCTTAATCAGAATTGTTAGTGCTCATTCTCTGTGCAAATTTGATCCATTTAACTGTTTTATGCCATATTTTCCAAGAACATGCTGTTATTAAAAGTGCTCTTTGGTAATAGATCAGGCATATAAGATCTAAGTCTCAACCAAAGACAGCACAACTTCCCTTTCAGGAAGACTTGACAAATTGGATTTTATGACCATGTTTTGGGGATTGGAGCTGTCTATTTTTAGTGTGCCTTGACATGATCCTTATGGTCAGGAGCTGAAGTGTTCTTGTATCTGAACACAAATATGTTAAATATTCACAGGTTTATACTTCTGTTTCCCTCCTTTTGACTTCCCTCTTTTTTTCAACTCAACTTAGGTTTTCAGTGGTGGTGTCACTGCTGCCAAGCTGGACCGAAAACGGCCATCGGCATGCTGCCCAACCAGCACCATGTCCAAAGACCTGAAAATTCTATGTAAAGACCCTGCTTTGGAGCTGAGCTGCTACCGGGACCATCAGTTCAGTGGCCGTAAATTTCAGCAGGAAAAATTACTGAAGGAAAGCTCCACATTGAATATGGGGAATCTTTCCTTTTATACAACCGAAGAGAAAATACATGAACTCTTTAGTAGATCTGATATCAGGAATATCTTTATGGGCCTGGATAAAATAAAGAAAACAGCATGTGGTTTTTGCTTTGTAGAATGCCATAACAGAGCTGATGCTGAAAATGCCATGCGGTTTCTAACTGGGACCTGCCTAGATGAATGGATTATCTGCACTGATTGGGATGTCGGTTTTAGAGAGGGTCAACAGTATGGTCGCGGTAAATCTGGGGGTCAGGTAAGGGATGAGTTTCGTGAAGATTTTCATTCTGGTAGAGGAGGCTTTGGAAGACAGACTCAGATCTAGAACAATCCATAGAGAAAAAGTTTTAACTCTAACCCCTTGAAAAGTGTGTTATAGACCAACCTCAAGTCTGCAAATAGCCAATTCCAAGTTTAAATTACCTTACTTGTTGATGTATTTTTTTCTCTGAAAATTTGTTAAATAGCAGAAACAAAAAAAATCCATTTGTTTTTGTCTGAATTTTGAAGATGCTTTTCAGATTACCAGTTTGACTGTTAGGTGGTCCAAAGTGAAGTGTTCTTCGGGAACAAATTAGGTATGTAAGATCAGAGTCAACCAAAGCACAACTTCCCTTTTAAGAAGATTTCTGTTGGATTCTATGGCCATGTTCCTGCAGCCCAAAATTATAATTTTTTTTAGAGCTTGCATAAAATACAGTCAAATAAGTGGAAATTTTAAAAAGTTATCAAGAGAAACACAAGCACTATTATTTGAAACCATAGAAAAGTCTGGAAGAATTTGTAATAAAAACAAAAATCCTCCTGCCCCACCTCTTCCTATCCTACGCCTATTCCCTGGACGATAACGCTTAATTATTTTTATTAGTTTTTGGTTTGTTTGTTTCTTGGTAGTTTCCTCCATATCTCCAAATAACATGACTACTTACTTTCTTTTTAAACGCTACGTACTGACTTCCTACTTTCAGAGATGAGGATTTAGCTCACTTACACCCCCATTTGCACTTCTCTACTCTCCATCCTCTCAATATAGTTCACAACACTTTACAGAGGGTTCCTGAGTTACAATGGCTTGGCTTACAATGTTTGGACTTTACAATGGTATAAAAGTGATGTGCATTCAGTAGAAACCATGCTTCAGGTACCCATACAACTATTTCGTTTTTGACTTTCAGTATAGTATTCAACAAATTGCATGAGATACTTAACACTTTATTATAAAATAGGCTTTGGGTTAGATGATTTTGCCCAAGTGTAGGCTAATGTAAAATGTTTAAGATAGGTTGTGCTATGCTATATTTGAGAGGTTAGATGTATTAAATGCATTTTCAACTTAATATATACAATAAGCTTATTAGGATGTAACCCCATCATAAGTCAATGAGCATCTGTACTTACTTTCTTTACTGTTACATAGCATAACTTAGGTTATACTGCAGTAATAAAAAATCGAAAAATTTTAGTGCTTAAAATTACTAAGTTCTGTTCCTCCCACTACATTCCCATTGCTGATTACATGGTGCCGGGGTCTGCTCCATGCCATGATTGTCCTCCTTCTGGGGCCTAGGCTAATAGTATACCCACTATCTGGAATGATGATGACAGAGGGAAAAACAGAGTGACAAATCATGTCCTGGCTCCTCAAGCTTCCACCCAGAAATGATATCCGTCACTTTTGCTCACATTTCCATTCTCAAAACATGTTGTCAAAACTGATTCTGAGGGAGTGGAGAAGGATCTGTAGGAAGAGATCCTGAATATTAGTGATGAGTTATACAGTTTACTACAGGTTCTCCTATAACTTTAATATATACAAATATAACCCCATTTTTGTTTTGCTCCACCATATAGTACTTCCCACTTTGTAAGATGAAGATGTTAATGTCCTTTTGCCTTTTCTTCATCTTTCTTCCTCCCCCTTCTACTTTCTAGCTTTTTTCATCTATATTTCTGTTTTTACATTGTCAAACTTGATAAAGTTGTCCGTGCTCTGTCTTTCAGTTAATTCCAAAAGTTTACAATTAGTAAAGAGTATTTTATTACTGTGACTATATAAATATTGTTCCCTGGTCAGGCGCAGTGGCTTATGCTTGTAATCCCAGAATTTTGGGAGACTGAGGTAGGCAGATCACTTGAGGTCAGGAGTTCAAGACTGGCCAGGGCAACATGGTGAAACCCTGTCTTTGCCAAAAATACAAAAATTGCTGGGCATGGTGGCATGTGCCCGTGGTCCCAGCTACTCAGGAGGCTGAGATGGTAGGATAGTGATCCCTCCTGAGCCCAGGAGGCGGAGGTCGCAGTGAACTGAGATTGTTCCACTGCACTCCAGCCTGGGTGGCAGAGTGAGACCCTATTTCAAAAATAAGTAAATAAATAAATAAATAAAGTTCCTTGCAAAGCCAGGGAGAGTCCAACATCTATATCTTTTCTGCTGGAATTTTTATTTACCATTCTCTCTTTCTTATATTTGCCTTTATTGCACCCCTTAATTTCCTTCAAACTCTGTAAAAAATTAAGCTTTCCATGGATATTCTCCTACTTTTTTCTTTTTTGAAGTCTCACTCTGTCGCCCAGGCTGGAGTTCAGTGGCACAATCTTGGCTCACTGCAAACTCTGTCTCCTGGGTTCAAGCGATTCTCCTGCCTCAGCCTCCCGAGTAGCTGGGACTACAGGTGTGTGCCACCACACGCAGCTCATTTTTGTATTTTTTTTAGTAGAGACGGGGTTTCACCATATTGGCCAGGCTGGTCTCAAACTCCTGACCTCCTGATCCACCCGCCTTGGCCTCCCAAAGTGCTGGGATTACAGGCGTCAGCCACTGCACCCGACAATTCTACTTTCCTCTCCATGGTCTGTCTGTCCTCCTATTCCAGTTTGGATTTGTTACTCTCTAGACCAGGATTTCTCAATCTCAGCCCTACTGATGTTTTGGACCAGAGAATTATTTGTTGTGGAAGGCTGTGTAGTGCATTGTAGAATTCAGTATCCTTGGCCTCATATACCCATTAAATACAGTAGCACGCATTTGTGCGCGCACACACACTTCAACTTGTGACAACCAAAAATGTCTCCAGACATTACCAGTTGTTTCTGGCAGGCCAGTGGGGAGGCAAAATCACAACTGGCTGCAAACCACTCCCTAGACAACAGTTTCCATCCAGAGATTTTTCTTCACTATAGTCCTGAATTGGACTGACTATTTCATGGATCCTGTGTTTATCCCTTTTGTGATTTACTTCTATATTAGTCCATTTTCACACTGCTGTAAAGAACTACCTGAGACTGGGTAATTTATGAAGCAAAAAGGTTTAATTGACTCACAGTTCTATAGGCTTAACAGGAGGCATGACTGAGAGTCCTCACGAAACTTACAATCATGGCAGAAGGTGAAGGGGAAGTAAGCACATCTTACCATGGTGGGCAGGAGAGAGAGTGAGAGAGCAAAGGGGGAAGTGCCACACACTTTTAAACCATCAGATCTCAGGATAACTCACTATCACAAGAACAGCATGGGGGAAATCCACCCCCATGATCCAGTCACCTCCAACCAGTCCTCTCCTCCAATTAGACATGAGATTTGGACAGGACACAAATCCAAACCATGTCATTCCACTCCTGGCTCCTCCCAAATCTCATGTCCTTCTCACATTGCAAAATACAATCATCCTTTCTGAATAGTCCCCCAGTCTTAACTCACTTCAGTATTAACTCAAAAGTCCACAGTCCAAAATCTCATCTGAGACAAGATAAGTCCCTTCTACCTATGAGCCTGTAAAAAAAAAAAAAAAAAAAAAAAAAGTTAATTACCTCCAAGATACAATGTGGGTACAGGCATCGGATAAATGCTCCCATTCAAAATGGAAGAAATTGGCCAAAACAAAGGGCCTACCGGCCCCATGCAAGCCTGAAACCCAGTAAGACAGTCATTAAATCTTAAAGCCTTGTATCACTTATTTGTAGTTTCTTCCCTTCTGTTTCCTCTGCTGTTTCTGTAACCCCTATTAGCTGGATACTGGGCATTTTGGATTTATTCCCTAATTTTCATGGCCCTGATTAGTGTAAATCAGTTATGATAATCCTCTCCTTCTTGCTAGTGATTGGTTTAGGAACCTAGGCTTAAGCCAATCAGAAGTGGGCAATCCTAAAATTATATTAATAAGCTGAGGGATGGACAGCGACCAATTGAGACCCCAGTGAGATCGAATGAAAGATTTTTAGTTTTAGCTTAAAGGAGAGGCTGTATCTCTCCTTCCTATTGGATATGAATAAGCATGCATATGGTGATTACTGCAGATAGCTTTCTTAAAACCACAAAATAAACTAGCCCTAGGATGAATAGGATATTTTAGATGGCAGAGAGAAGGCCCAAAGAACCTGTGTTGTTCATGAGATTATCTAGTTGCTGAGTCAACTAACCTTGCAGCATACACTATGTCTGGATGTTCTGTATGTGAGATAATACATTATATTTTATTGTTTAAGCCAGGTTGTGCAGGATTTTCTGTTAACATACAGTCAAAACCACTCTGAGGAATCAACCCAAATGCCCATCAATGATAGACTGGATAAAAAAAATGTGGTACATATACATCATAGAACACTACGTAGCTATAAAAAAAGAACGAGATTATGTCCTTTGCAGGAACATGGATGGAGCTGGAAGCGATTATCCTCAGCAAACTAATGCAGGAAGAGAAAAACCAAAAACCGTATGTTCTCACTTATAAGTGGGAGCTGAACAACAAGAAAACATGGACTCAGGGAGGGGAACAACATACACTGGGACTTGTTGGTGGGGGTGGGGAGAGGGCATAGGATAAATAGCTAATGCATGTGGGGCTTAATCTGTGCAGCAAACCACTATGGCACATATTTATTTATGTAACAAACCTGCACGTCCTGCACGTGTATCCTGGAACTTAAAATTAAATTAAATTAAATTTTAAAAAAGCACTCTGATACCAAGACTTACACACTTTCCCTTTAGTTTAATCCTTGTACAAAGAAATTAATTAAATTGATACCTCATGAAACCAAGCATGTATCTCCAGGGTTCATGACCTTTTGTCTGGAAAGTTTGAAAAAATAAATGTCTCGCTCTTGAATTCTTTACCCTATGACTTGAATTAATTCTCTCTGATCAGTAACTTTTTTTGTTTTTGTTTTTGTTTGTTTTCTGAATCAGGGAGGAACTGGAATGCCCATTTTTACAGAGTGACTATTATGTGCTAGGCATTTTGCCAGAGGCTTTAAAACACAATATCTTATTCTTAACCACTCTGTGCCGATTATATAGGTGAGGAAACTGACGATTGAAGAAGTAAAGTAATTTGCTCAAAGTCACTAACTAGGAAGTGGCAGAGTTGGGATTCAAACCAAAGGAGTCTGTGTCAAAGCTGATGGCCTTAATCAGGGTACTATATTGTCTCTTTCCCTTTCCTTCACTCATGCCATAGGTGCAAACCTCTATTTGAGTTTCCTTTTTCTCAGGGAATTATCCCACTGACTATATCACATTTGAGCTTTGTCTCCTTCAAGCAAACGTCTTAACTGTGCTCTCCTTTCTGCCTTGACATCCAGAATCACTCAGACTCCACAATCTAATGGGGAAGGAAGAACATCCAACACGTATTTCTGGCCAATTTAGCTTATTCTGCATATAGCAATGGAGTTTACTAATGTTTGAGTATCTCTCCTCTGCAACTTTCCCAAAATAAAAAAAAGGGATTTGCAAAGTCATACAACTAAAATTTGTTGTTATCACAGGGTGTTTCTTGAGGGGTATATTGGAGTATCTTTCAACCACTCCTTCTAGTGGCTGTCCACTTGGATTGCTCCCAAAGAGCAATTGTTTTCCTAGGCTCAGAAAAAGCTTTTAACAATGTCTTGTGAAACATATTTTTGGTTAAGTAAAGGGACTTTCCTACTGTGTGGCTAGAAGACTCCTCCAGTAGTTCTTATAATATGTTCTTCAAAATCGTGCTGAGAGCATCAATAGAATAAAGGATAAAAACCACACAGTCATCTCAAAAGACCCAGAAAAATTATTTGAAAAAATTCAATACCCTTTTCATGATAAAAACACTCAACAAACTAGGAATAGAACAGAACTTCCTCACCCTGAAAAAGGACATCTGAAAACCCCACAGCTAATATCATCAATTGCGAAGGACTGATAGATTTCCTAGGATCAGGAACAAGACATTTCTATTCAACATTGTACTGAAGGTTCTAATTAGGACAATTAGGCAAGAAAATGAAATAAAAGGCACCTAGATTGGAAAAAATAAGCAAAATATCTTTATTTACAGGTGGCATGATCTTGTACGTAGAAAATCCTAAGGCGTCCACAAAAAGGTCTATTAGAGCTAACAGTTCAGCAATGCTGTAGCATACAAGATTAATATACAAAAATCAACTGTATTTCTATACACTAGCAATAAATCCAAAATCAAATTAAGAAATCAATTTCATTTACAATAGCATCAAAAAGAACAAAATACTTAAAAACAGGTTTAACAAAAGAAGCGCCAAACATATACTCTGAAAACTACAAAACATTGTCAAAAGTAATTAAAGAAGACCTAAATAAATGGAAAGATATTCCATATTCATGGATTGGAAGACTTAATATTGTTAAGAGGACAATAACCCACAAATTAATCTATAGATTCAGTGCAATTCCTATCAAAAATTTCAGCTGGCTTTTTTTGTAGAAATTGATAAGCTCTTAAGTGATTTTTCAAACTACTAGGAAAAAAACAAAAAAATTTGACAAGCAGATCCTAAAATTCATATGGAAATGCAATAGTCAGCATAGCCAAAACAATCTTGAAAGAGAAGAACAAAGTTGGAGGACTCACACTTCCTGATTTCAAAACTTACTACAAAGCTACAATACATAAGACAGCATGGTACTGGCATAAGAATAGACATGTAGGTCGGTGGGATAGAATTGACAGTCCAGAGGTAACTCTCATATTTACAGTCAATTGATTTTTGATAACAGTGTTAACGACCATTAAATGGGAGAAAGAAGAGCCTTTTAAGCAAATGGTGCACAACTGGGTAGACACATGGTGGACAATGGACACACATGTGCAAAAGAATAAATTTGGGTCTATACTTCACACCATATACTAAAATTAACCCAAAATGGTTCAATGAGCTAAATGTAAGAGCTAATACAATAAAATTCTTGGAAGAAAACATAGATATACATTTTCAAGACCTTGGGCCGGGTGCAGTGATTCATGCCTGTAATCCCAGCACTTTGGGAGGCCAAGGTGGGTGGACTGCTTGAACTCACGAATTCAAGACCAGCCTGGGCAACATGGCAAAACCCTGTCTCTACAAAAATACAAAAATTAGCAGAGCGTGGTGGCACATACCTGTATTCCCAGCTACTCAGGAGCTGAGGTGGGAGGATGGCTTGAACTTGGGAGGCAGAGGTTGTAGTGAGCTGAGATCATGGCACTGCATTCCAGCCTGGGTGACAGAACAAGACTCAATCTCAGAAAAAAAAAAAAAGTAGAAAGACAGCCCACAGAATGGGAGAAACAGTTTGCAAATCATACATGTGATAAGGGGCTTGTATCTAGAATATGTAAAGAACTCTGAGAACTCAACAATAAAAAGACAAATAACCCAATTTAAAAATGGGCAAAGGGTCTGAATAGACATTTCTTTAAAAAAGAGATACACATAGCCAATAAGCATGTAAAAAGATCTTCAACATCATTAACCATCAGGGAAATGCAAATCAAAATCACAATGAGATACTAGTTCACACCCACATGATAAATGTAACTAAAAAGTCAGATAATAATAAGTGTCGATGAGAATGTAGAGAAATTGGAACTCTCATATACTGCTGATGGGAATGTAAAGTGATGCAGCCATTTTGAAAACAGCCTGGCAGTTTCTTGAAATGTTAAACATGGAGGACCATATGACCCAGCAATTCTACTCCTAGTTATATACTCAAGAGAAATGAAAAAAAATATGTCCACACAAAAATTTTTTATTTCATTTTTATTTTTTATTTTTATTTTTATAACATCAGCTTTTATTTTAGATTTGGGGGTTACATGTACAGGTTTGTTACTTGGGTGTATTACGTGATGCTGGGGTTTGGGGTATAACTGGTCCTGTCATCCAGGTACTGAACATAGTTTCTAAGAGTTTTTCAACTCTTCTCCCCATTGAGAAGTCACCAGTGTCTATTTTTGCCATCTTCATGTCTGTGAGTACCAAATGTTTAGCTCCAACTTATAAGTGAGAACATGTGATGTTTGTTTTTCTGCTTTTGCATTAGTTATATTAGGGTAATGTTCTCTAGCTGCATCCATGTTGCTGCAAAGGACATTATTTCACTTTTTTAAAGGCTGTGTAGTATTCCATGGCCACACAAAAACTTGTACATGAATGTTCATAGTACCATTATCCATAATAGCCAAAAAGTGGAAACAGCCCAAATGCCTGTCTACTGATTAATGGATAAATAAATGTGGTATATCAATGCAATAGAATATTATTCAGTCATAAAAAGGAATGAAATATTGATACATGCCACAAAATGGATAAACTTTTAAAATATTACCTTAAATGAAAGAAAGTAGTCAAAAATGACCACAGATTGTATGATTCCACTTATGTGAAATTTCCAGAGTAGGTAAATCTGTAGACAGAAAGCAGGTTAATAGCTTCCAGGAGCCAGGGGTGGGGATGGGGGAGAGAGTGACCACTAATGAGTATAAGGCTTCCTTTTTTTTTTTTTTTGAGATGGAGTCTCACTCTGTCACTCAGGCTGGAGTATGCAGTGATGCAATCTTGGCTCAATGCAATCTCTGCCTATCGGGTTCAAGTGATTCACCTGCCTTAGCCTCCCCGGTAGCTGGGACTACAGGTGCCTGCCACCACACCAGCCTAATTTTTATTTTAGTAGAGAGGGGGTTTCACCATGTTGACGAGGGTGGCCTCAAACTCTTGACCTCAAGTGATCCACCTGCCTTGGCCTCCCAAAGTGGTGGTATTACAGGTGTGAGCCACCGTGCTGAGGCTTCCTTTTAGAGTGGCAAAAATGGCATTTAAATCCATGAGAATGGGCTGGGCATGATGGCTCAGGTTTGTAATCCTAGCACTATGGGAGGCTGAGGCGGGCAAATAGCTTGAGCCCAGGAGTTCGAGACCAGCCTGGACAACACGGTGGGACCCCATCTCTACAAAAAAATACAAAAACTAGCTGGATGTGGTGGCATGTGCCTGTAGTCTTAGCTACTCGGGAGGCTGGGGAGGGAGAATCTCTTGAGCCCAGGGGGCAGAGGTTGCAGGGAGCTGGGATAGTGCCACTGCACTCCAGCCTGAGAGATAGAGTAAGATCCTGTCACAAAAATAAATAAATAAATAAATAAATAAATGCATTACATTTTTGAGAATGGAAGTGATCACCCAATGAAAGAATGTAGAATGAAAAGAGGAGGGTATAGGGCAAATCACTGAAGAATACTAATATTTAAACATAAGGTAAAGGAAGAACAGGTAGCAAAGGAGAGTGAGGAGTGGCTAAGAAGTTAGGAGGAAAACCAAAACATTATGGTGTCAAGAAAGGCAAAAGGAAAGTGTATTTCAAAATGAAAGGAATGGTCAACAGTGCTGAATGCTGCTGAGAGTGTGAGTAAAATGAGGACAGATAAGTGCCCATTCGATTTGGCAACACGTAGGTCATTGGTGACAATAACTGTTTTGCTGAAATGGTAGGGGGTGAAGGTCTGACTGAAATGGATTGAGGATTTAATGGGACAGCAGGAAGTGGAGACAACATATGTTGACAACTTTATATATGAGAAGTTGGTAATATAGAGGAACAAATACATGAGATAGAAGTTGGAGGTAGATTTATCTTGGTCAAGGGAGACTGTTTATTTTTTAAGATTAGCAGTACTAGAGCTTGCTTGAACTCTGATGGAAATGATCCAAAGGAGAGGGAGAGATTGCTATTGCAGAAGAGAAAGAAGATAACTGAAGGAACAGATTCCTTGAGGAGAAAAAGAGGGATGGGATTCAGAGCACAATGGAGGAACTCTTGAGCTTTGTGTTTAATGGACTGTAAGGGACACTTTAAGATCCATTCTCATGGATCTAACTTAAAGTGAAACCAATCAGCTCAGTTGTGTGATATTCTCCTGCACTATTCAGCAGTTTGGGTGCAGGCTCCAAAAAGACAAATTACAAATTTCATGTAGGGTTGGAGCTTTGCCAGTAGAGTAAAATGGAGAAGTGGGCAAGGGAGTTGAGTGTGTATTTGCAAAGATGAAACATGGATTCAGAATGGTTAAGTAAACAGACAGTCTACTGAATGGGAGAAAATATTTGCAAACTAGGCATCCAACAAAGGTCTAATAACAAGAGTCTATTATATAAACCAGTTAAACAATTCAACATGCCCAGAGCAGTGGCTCCCGCCTGTAATCCCAGCACTTTGGGAGGCTGAGACAGGCATTTGAGAGCCCAGAAGTTTGAGACCAGTCTGAACAACATGGTGAAAACCCGTCTCTACAAGAAATGCAAAAAATTAGCCGGGCGTGGTGGCACGCACCTGTATTCCCAGTTACTCAGAAGGCTGAGGTGAGAGGATCACTTGAGCCTGGGAGGCTGAAGCTGCAGTGAGCCATGATTATGCCACTGCACTCCAGCCTGGGCGACAGAGCGAGACCCTGTCTCAAAAAACAAAAAAAAATTCAGCAAGCAAAAACCAAGTCACTCCATTTAAAAATGATCAAAGGACATGAACAGACACTCACTCTCATCACCAACAGTGAGAAACCTGACTCCCGTTATCCACAACACATCATATACACTTCTATGGGGTATTGTTATGGTGCCCCAGCAGGTCTTGAACTCCTGGGCTCAAGCTATCCTCCCACCTCTGCCTCCCTAAATGCTGGGATTACAGGCCTGAGCCACTGCACCTGGCTGCAGTCTCTTCTCAGGTGAATTTATCTGCTCTTGTAATTCCAGTGCGCATGCTCATGACATCCACATCTGTGTCTTTAGTTCTTATCTCTCTTCTGAGCAACTCATTCAAGTATCCATTTGTCTTCTCAACAATTCTACTTAGTTGTTCCATAGACTACTCAAATGCGACATGTCCAAAACTGATCTCATTATCCTTCCCCACCCCCATTTCTTTTTAAAATTCTATTTATTTTATTTTTATTTTTTCTTATCCCAATTTCTTCTGAAAGTCTGCTCCTCTGTCTGCATTCCCTATCCCAGTTAGTGGCACCACCTCCAGTACCCAATCAGAAAACTGACTCTTCACTTCTCACTTACTTTATTTATTTATTTATTTATTTATTTATTTATTTTCAGAGTCTCACTCTATCACCCAGGCTGGAGGGCAGTGGCATGATTTCCGCTCACTGCAACTTCCGCCTCCTGGGTTCAAGCGATTCTTGTGCCTCAGCCTCCCAAGTAGCTGGGATTACAAGCATGTGCCACCATGCCTGGCTAATTCTTGTATTTTTAGTAGAGACAGGGTTTTTGCCATGTTGGCCAGGCCTGTCTCGAACTCCTGGCCTCAAGTGATCTGCCCACCTCAGCCTCCCAAAGTGCTGGCATTACAGGCGTGAGCCACCTTGCCAGGCTTCCCTCACTTATTATGTCACAAAATTATATTCAACTTTTAAAATTTCTTTTATTTATTTATTTATTTATTTATTTGAGACGGAGTCTCGCTCTGTCGCCCAGGCTGGAGTACAGTGGCGCGATCTCGGCTCACTGCAAGCTCCGCCTCCCTGGTTCACGTCATTCTCCTGCCTCAGTCTCCCGAGTAGCTGGGACTACAGGCGCCCGCCACCACGCCCGGCTAATTTCTTTTTGTATTTTTAGTAGAGATGGGGTTTCACCATGTTAGCCAGGATGGCTACGATCTCCTGACATCGTGAACCGCCCGCCTCGGCCTCCCAAAGTGCTGGGATTATAGGCGTGAGCCACCGCGCCCGGCCATTTCTTTTAAATATATGTTCTCCTTTTTATCTCTTGCTTAACATAGTGCAATTGTTTCTCAGCAGCTTTCCTGCTTCATTCTCATTCCCTTCAAATCCACCCTTCCCACAGCTGAGCAATTTTTTAAAAATAAAAATTATATCGTGCCATTCTCTTATTTAAAACCATTCAAAGATTCTGGATAATGTTCATACTCCTTGGAATTTCATAATTCTATCCATAGTTACTGGATAATGTCCATACTTTTTGGAATAGCATAAAGAACGTTTGTGATCTATCCTCTGACTACTTCATCTACCTTTTCTCTTCATTCCACTCCACACTCAACCTATGTTCGTACAATATTGTCAGAAGTTATTACATTCTCTTTGGCCTTTGTGCTGTTGTGCATGCTGTGCTATCTTTCTGAAATACCCTTCTTCCCTTGGATAACCGCTACTCTACTTTCAGGACTCATCTTTCCCTGACTACCCTCCTGCTACTTCCGTGGTGTATTATGATACCATCCTACACGCACTGTAGCAGCTTGTATTGATATCTCAGTATTTCATCACATTTTATTGCAATTGTCTGTTTACTTATCTTTTCTCTACTAGAATGTGGGCTCCTTGAGAATAGGGACCCAATAAATATTGAACAATTAAACTCCAGAGTAATGAGTTTGATTTATGTAAGGCATCCAGGAGAACCAATCAAATTGCTTTGGAGTCACAAGTTTATATCTTGTTTTATTACATATGCATACATTAAAAATTCTTTGAAATAAAAGATTCATATATTAATTGTCATATTTTTGGTATCCTATATTTCCTAATCCTCTGATTCTGTCCATCTGCACTCCATTTTCACTCCTTGAAACTTTTATTTCCTTAGAAAGAAACTTAAAGTCACTTCTAAACTATTATCTTCAGCGAACAGGTAAGTATTTATTCATAGTCACACATAACTGAGTTCTTCATCTTCTCCTGAAAATGTGTTAGAAATTAGGGACTCTAAGGGTTGAACACGACCTTTATTGGTCTCATTTTTTAGTGTTTCCCAACCTGATAGTTCATCAGAAGAAGCCTGTAAATATATAGATTCTCAGGCCCCATCGCAGAGATAAAATACTATGCAACTTGAGACCAGTATTTCTAAATTTCCCTTGATAAATCCAAATGAACAACGGATTTTTAGAAACCTCCAGCCAGTCCAGCCATCCTTCCAGGGCTTACGTACCCTATATAGCAGTACACTCAGCCTTCTATAGCCATAGGTTCCACATCAGTGGATTCAACCAACCACAGATCAAAAATATTTGAGGGCGGGGTATGGTGGCTCATGCCTGTAATCCCAGCACTTTAGGAGGCTGAGGCGGGAGGATAACTTGAGCCCAGGAGTTCAAGACCAGCCTGGGCAACATAGTGAGACCCCCCATC
This sequence comes from Homo sapiens, assembly GCF_000001405.40. Lineage (NCBI taxonomy): Eukaryota > Metazoa > Chordata > Mammalia > Primates > Hominidae > Homo > Homo sapiens. Next base: position 107,807,785 of record NC_000023.11, read on the forward strand.
TTTATTAAAAAATATATTTGAAAAAAATTGTGTCTGTGCTGAACATGTACAGACTTTTCTTGTCATTATTCCCTAAACAATGTAGTGTAACAATGATTTACATAGCATTTACATTGTATTAGTTATTATAAGTAATCTAGAGATGATTCAAAGTATACAGGAGGATGCATGTAGGTTATATACAAATACTGCACCATTTTATATCAAAGACTTGAACATGCACAGATTTTGGTACCTGCAGGAGGTCCTGGAACCAATCCTCCATGATACTTGTGGGACAACTGTATAGCATATGCAATTCTTCTGAAACTTTAATGTGGAATTTCATTTAGTAGGTCTGAGTAAGGGCCTGATATTCTGCATTTCTGGGAAACTATCCTGTGATAGGATGCTGGTGGTCCTTGGGTCACATTTTGAATAGTAAAGGCATTAAAAGCACACAACAGTGGAGTCAGAGAAAACTGGGTTTAAATCCTACTGCCTCCAATTAGATGTTCAACCTTTACTTCATTTGTCTCATCCTCAGTTTCCCCATTTCTTTTGTTGTTTTGTTTTGTAACTTTTTAAAATTTTTTATAGAGACAGGGTCTCCATATGTTGCCCAGGCTAGTCTCCAATTCCTGGACTCAAGCAATCCTCTCGCCTCAGCCTCCCAAAATGCTGGGATTATAGGCAGCAGCCACCATGCCCAGCTGGTTTCCCCATTTCTAAAAGTGATATAATAGTGCCTCATTGAGCTGTCCTGGAGATTGTTTTAAAGTATACAAATTGGCACACATATATTCTTTTGAAAATTACGGCAATTCAAACAAAGTGGACTCTCTCTTCATCTTAATTATGCAGACTAGTTCGTAAGTAATATCTTTACAATACTGTGTCTTTTAATACAGGAGTATGCCTGTTTTTATTGAGGCCTTTTTTATGTGCTATGATTAAATTAAATGAGATAATGCTTTAAAAGCACTTAGTATGGTTCCTAGCACATCACAGGTGCTCAGTACATGGTAGCAGGTATTTTTTTTTTTTTTTGAGACAGTTGTCACTCTGCCGCCCAGGTACTGGAGTGCAGTGGTGCGATCTCAGCTCACTACAACCACTCGGGCTCAAGCAATCCTCCCACCTCAGGCTCCAAAGTAGCTGGGACTACAGGTGCTAACCACCACGCCCAGCTAATTTTTCGTATTTTTAGTAGAGACCGGGTTTCACCATGTTGCCCAGGCTGGTCTTGAACTACTGAGCTTAAGTGGTCTGCCCACCTTGGCCTCCCAAAGTGCTGGGATTACAGGCATGAGCCACCACGCCTGGCTTCAACCCTACGTATGAATCACTTCCCCTGAAAACAGAGGCATGGATGCAGCCACACTCATCAGAAGATGACCCTGTAATTGCTGCTCAGGGTCCTGGCAACCCGTGTGTAACAGGTGGCCTATAACATTGGAGTGTGAGTGCAAGCCCACCTGTCCCCTAACCTATCTTCGCTGGTCTGCCCTTGCACCCACATGCCTCTCGGAGGGAGCTAGGGATGAAGCAGTATATGTAGATGGAAATTTGTGGGCTGAGCGTTATGTCCAATAAGCAGCCTTCAAAATATGCATGTGCTCCCAGGTGGTCCCCTCATCCTCTACCATCTGCCCATTGTTATGGGACTCCCTGTGCTCCTCCACCTGGAGCCTGAGCCCCCCAGAGTATGTGGCAATGTGCTGGCAGACACAAAAAGCCACAGTTACAATGTGGCCCATACTCCTGACACATTTGAATTTTTCTCCAAGGTTTTGGAGGAAAATATCATTGTAATGACGAATTAAATATTTCTATCTAAAAGTATCATGTGAGGAAGGCAAACACTGAATGCCTTTTAAAGAATACATCTGCCTCAATCTGCCCACCTTGGCCTCCCAAAGCGCTGAGATTACAGATGTAAGCCACAGCGCCTGGCATCCCCTGAATTATTTTAAAGCAAATACTAGACATCCATATAATTTCCTCCATGAAAACTTCAGTGTATATCTTTAAAAGATGACGCCCCTCCCCCTTTTTTCTCACTCTCCCTCCTTCTCTCTCATTATAACCATTTTACTATTATTTTCACCTAAAAATGAACATAAAATCCTTAATGTAATCAAATATCCAATCAGCATTCAAAAATTCCCAATTGTCGCCGGGCGCGGTGGCTCACGCCTGTAATCTCAGCACTTTGGGAGGCCGAGGCGAGTGGATCATGAGGTCAGGAGATGGAGACCATCCTGGCTAACACCGTGAAACCCCATCTCTACTAAAAATACAAAAAATTAGCCGGGGGTGGTGGCAGGCGCCTGTAGTCCCAGCTACTAAGAAGCCTGAGGCAAGAGAATGGCTGGAACCCGGGAGGCGGAGCTTGCAGTGAGCCAGTCGCGCCACTGCACTCCAGTCTGGGCGACAGAGTGAGACTCCGTCTCAAAAAATAAATAAATAAATAAATAAATAAATAAATAAATAAATAAATAAATATAAACATAAAATTCCCTAATTGTCATAAACATCTTTTCAAGGTCGTCTTGAAAAATGTTTATGACAATTAGGGATTTTTGAATCAGGATAAAGATGGTATCTGTATTATTACTGATCATATTATCATTGCAACCCTTGCCAAAGAAACTTCTAGCCTATACATTGACCTCTAGTGAGACGGAGCTTGCTAGCTCCCATGGCAGCTCATTTTAATCTTTAGATAGCATGACTATGAGGTTTTCATTCAACATAAAGAAATATTTTTGTCTCCCTATGTCTCCCATCCATTGGGTGTCACACAGAACAAATCTGCTCCCTCCACTCCAAGACAGCGCATATTAGTTTCCTGTGACTGCCATAACAAAGTACTACAAACTTGATGGCTTAAAACAACAGAAATTAATTATCTCACAGTTCTGGAGGCTGGGCTGGAAGTCTGAAATCAAGGAAGTCTGAAATCAAGGTGTCGGCAGGACTATGTTCCCTCTGAATGCTCTAAAGGAGAATCTTTCCTTACCTCTTCCAGTTTGTGGGGGGGCTCCCATTCCTTGACCTGTGGCAGTGTAATTCCAATTTCTGTCTCCATCTTTTCATGGCTGTCTTCGCTCTATTTCTGTGTCCCAATTTCCCTCTTCTCATGAAGACACCAGTCATATTGGTATAAAGGACCACCCTATTCCAATATGACCTCATATTAACTAGTTATACCTGCAAAGATCCCATTGTTAAATAAGGTCACATTCTGAGGTTCTGGGGGTTAGGACATCAACATATATTGCAGGGGGCACACAATTCCACTCATAACACAGCCCTTCAAATATTTGAAGAAAACCATCAAATACCTCACAGTCTTCCCTTATACTGGCTAAACCTTCCCTGTTCCTTCAACTTTTTTTTTTTTTTTTTTTTTTTTGAGACAGGGTCTCACTCTGTCACCCAAGCTGAGTGCAGTGGTGCGATCATGGTTCAGTACAGGCTTGAACTCCCAGGCTCAAGTGATTCTCCCACCTCAGCCTCCCAAGTAGCTGGGACTACAAGCATGTTTCATCATGCCCAGTTACTTTTTTATTATTTGTAGAGCAGCCTCGGTCTCACTATGTTGCCCAGGCTGCTCACAAACTCCTGGGCTCAAGCAATCCTCGCATCTTGGCCACCAAAAGTGCTGGGATTAGACGTTTGAGACACTATACCCAGCCCCTTCAACCATTTCTGAAGTTTAGCTTTATTTTTTCCAAACCATTGCCATTTATTGAATAATCCAACTTACCTGTTATTCAGGTGTAGTTTGGCCATGCAGCATAGATCCACACTATTTCCTCTCTGGATTTGTGTACTCTATTTCTATTACTGCTGCCTAAGTTTGAGTTAGTGTATTTTCTGTATCTCCTCTTCCTTCCATTCCACTCACCTCAGGCCAAGTTAGGTCTCCCTTTTCTGTTCTTTTGCTGTACCTCTATCATTGCACTTACCACATTATGTAATAATTGCTTGTGTGAAAAAGAATTAAGGTTGTTATAAGTCAACTAAATGAAGCAGCAATGTATGGTGGTCATAAAATAGCTGACTCATTAAGCATTAATTGAATTCTCTCTATGTGCCAGGCACTGTACATAACACTGTGGGTACAACTGTGGATAAGCTGTAGTTCCTGCTCTGAGGAACTCATAGTCTAATGAGGGATACAGGCATGTGAACAGGCAAGAAAAATACAGAAGAATAAGTGCTGTGATAAAGGCAAATTTAGAATGTCTTGGCTGGGCATGGTGGCTCACGCCTGTAATCCCAGTACTTTGGGAGTCTGAGGTGGTAGAATTGGTTGAGCCAGGGAGTTCCAGACCAGCCTGGGCAATATAATGAGACCCTGTCTCTACAAATCATAACTTAAAAAATTAGGTGGGCATGGTGGTGCATGCCTGTAGTTCCACCTACTCAGGAGGCTGAGGTGGGAGGATCTCCTGAGCCCGGGAGTTTGAGGCTGTAGTGAGCTAGATTGCACCACTGCACTTCAGGCTGGGTGACAGAGTGAGACCCCATCCCCCCAACCCCTCAAAAAAGGATGCCTTGAAAGCATAGAAGATGGACACCTAACCCAGCCCAGGACAGGGCATGTTAAGGGAAGCCTTCTTGGAGGAGATAGTGCCTGGGCTCAATCTGAGAGGATGATAAGAAGTCAGCCAGGCAAAGTGGGAGTAAGTGGTAAGGGTTGGGATGAGCCTCAAGGCAGAAGCCACAGCATAAACAAAGGCAGAGAAGTACCTACATGGAGAATTGCAATGTTGCACGCAGTTTGGAATTGTGGAAATATTAGCTGGGAGTGAGCTAGTATAACCACCCGACAGATTCTTCCTGCCCACTGCACAAACAAAATCAATTCACAGAGCCCATGGCATTACAGTGAAGAAAGTTTAATTGATGAGAGGCCAGCTATGCCACCTGGAAGACAGAGTTATTAGTCAAATCAACCTCACCGAAAGCTTAGAGGTTAGGAGTTCTTAAAAGTAGTTTTGGGGAGGGGGTGGGAGTGGCTAGATTATGGGTGCTTGCTCTTGGTTGGTTGGGGATGCAATCATATGGGGGTGGGAAATGGTCCTCTTGCACCTTGAGTCACTCCTCTGTGGGGTCACAAGAGCAATTGGGGGATCCAGGTGGAGCCATCCGTGGTCAGATCTGCAAAAAACCTGAAAACATATCTCAAAAAACCTATTTTAGGTTCTACAATTGTGATGTTATCTGCAGGAGTAATTAGGTAAGTTGTATATCTTGTGACATCTGAAATAATGACTTGTAATTGTGTATGTCTACACCTTAGCAGAATTCAAGCTCCTCTATCCTCCTAAACTGTTGGTCTCTCATTAACTTTACAAAGGCGGTTGGCTGAGTTTTGGGGAAGTGCTTTTATCATTTAAACTATAAACTAAATATTTCCCAATGTTAGCTTGGCCCAAGTCCAGAAAAAATTAAGGGCAGCTTGAAGGTCAAAGGCAAGATGGGGATTGGCCAGATCAGATCTCCTCCACTACCATAATTTTCACACTGTTATAATTTTTGCAAAGGCAGTTTCAATAGTAGCTAGCAAGTTTGAGGAGATTTATATGGTCTTGATGTAACTTGGACTCCATCTTGTAGGCAATAAGGTGTTACATGATCACGTTTTCATTTAAAAATTCTGATGGCTGTGTGGAGAATCAGATAGGGTCAAAACAAGAGGCAGAGAGACTGGCGAAGAGTTGGTCATGGCTAGTAGGTGTGTGGAGTTGAGAAACATTTAAGAAGTAAAAATCCTTTAGTTTGAGTCAGTGTTTAGATATGGGGTGAGTGAGAGAGGTGAGGGGGCAAACATGACTTTCAGGTTTCTAGTGTGGGGGCGACTGAGTGATGCTATTAATAGAGACTGGGAATATAAGAAAAGGAATAGATTTGAGGAAGAGATCATGAGTTTGGTTTTGGACATGTTAAACTTGAGGTCCCTGTGTGATTTTTTAGGCTTGGAGTAAATTTCTGGCCTGGAGCTATAGATTCAGGTGTCATCAGGATGAGGGTAAAAATGGAAGCATCCACATTTTAGGGGCTGATGATGAAGGAGGATCACACAAAGGACAAAGTAAGAACAGTAAGGTGTTCAGGAAACTAGGAAAGTGTGGTGTCATGGAAATCAATAAAGAAAGCATTAAACATTTAACGGCAATAAATTTAACAGCATTACATGACAAAGAAAGTTCTAGTAAGAAAAGGGTTTGAGAAATGCAAATCAAAACCACAGTGAGACACCATCTCATGCCAATCAGAATGGCACTTATTAAAAAGTCAAGAAACAACAGATACTTGCAAGGTTGCAGAAAAAAAAGGAATGCTTTTGCACTGTTGGTGGGAATGTAAATTAGTTCCACCACTGTGGTAGACAGAGTGGTGATTCCTCAAAGATCTGGAAGCAGAAATACCATTTGACCCAGAAATCCCATTACTGGGTGTATAGTCAGAGGAATATAAATCATTCTATTATAAAGATACATGCACATGTATGTTCATTGCAGTGAAAAACAATAGCAAAGGCATGGAATCAACCCAAATTTCCATCAACATCACACTGGATAAAGAAAATGTGGTACATAGACACCATGGAATACTATGCAGCCATTAAAATTAACAAGATCATATACTTTGCAGGGACATGGATGGAGCTGGAAGCCATTATCCTCAGCAAACTAATGCAGGAACAGAAAACCAAACACAACGTGTTCTCACTTATAAGTGGGAGCGGAACAATGAGAACACATGGTGGTGGGGGGAACAACACACACTGGTGTCTGTCTGGTAGAGGGCTGGGGGAGGGACAGCATCAGGAAGAATAGCTAATGGATGCTGGGCTTAATTCCTAGGTGATGGGTTGATCTGTGCAGCAAACCACCATGGCACATGTTTAACTATGTAACAAACCTGCACATCCTGCACATGTACCCTAGAACTTAAAATAAAAGTTGAAAAAAAAAGGTTTCAGGAAAGATCTTGTTTAATGCTTTGCTAAAATCCAAAGAAATGCGATTCTATTCCCATTTCCTGTTTCCTCTATCTATTAGCCTCATCAAAGAAGGAAATTAGGTTAGTCTGACTCATTCTTAGTAAATACTGTCTCCCTTTAGTAATCTGAGTGTCTTAGAATTTTTATTAAATTGGCAAATATTTATTGACCTCTTATTATAAGTCAAACATTCTTCTAGGGTCTGTTCTAGGGTCATCAGTAAACAAGACAAAATCTCTGCTCTTGTGGAGCTTATAATTGAGTTGTAGTATAGCACAATGCTTATGAGCCTGGACCTAAATCCTGAAATCACCACTGGCTAACATATGTGGTTGTGAATAAAATAGTTAATCTCTCAGCCTTTGTTTCTTCACCTATAAAATGGGGAGATTAAGGATTATTGTCAGGAGGTTATTATTAAGATGAAAAGAGTTAATATATATAAAGTGCTTAGAACAATGCCAGGTACATGATAAGAGCTTAATAAATGTTACTTATTATTCTGGTTTGTGTGCGGGGAGGAAACAAGTCAATAAACAAGAAAATATCAGTTAGTGACGTGCAGTGGAGATAATTAAAATTGGAATATTTGAAAGCAACTAAATGTGTAATTACTTTAGATTGGGTGACGTAATCTGAGAAAATGATGTTTGAGCTGAATTCTGAACATAAAAGATTATTCATGTGAGGGTCCTGGCAAAGTACACTCCAGATGGAACAGCTATGGCCCTTGAGCCAAATCTGGTTCACAGCCTGTTTTTGAAAATAAAGTTTCATTGTTTATGTATTGTCTATGGCTGCTTTTGCACTCAACAGCAGAGCTAAGTAGTTGGGCCAGAGATCATATGGCCCACAAAATCAAAAATATTTACCATTGGCTTATTACAGAAAAAGTGTGCTGATCCCTGCTCTATGTAAAGAGAACAGCAAATGCAAAATCCTTAGGCAAGGATGAGCACAGAGGGATCAAGGAAGAGGAAGAAGCCCTGGAATGGGTAAGAGGAAGAGTGGTATGAATCTTGTCTCAAATCAACATTAAGCCCACTGCACTGGTCTTTAGTTTGTAGAATCCACCCTTCCCCTTTTGAAAGCTGGTCATTTGTAGTCTTTGGGGATCTGATACTGATACTTCTCCCAGTTGCATATTTCCCCAGAAATCACTGACAGGGATTCATCAGTATTATGTACAGGTTCTCAGTGGCCTAGGGGTAATTCATTCAGGCCAGAATATTTGAACTAATTTAGAGCAATGCTGATAACTAACTGTAAGCCAATATCCTCCTAAAAGGTTATTAATTGAATGCACTATCTCCAATTGTTGCCTTGCTGTAAACTTGAATTCCCTCCATCTCATCTCATGGACATCTTTGAGTTGGAATTTATTGCCACGAATCTTAAGTTCACTTTGATTAATATCCATAATATAGACACACACATGCACACATGCAAACACACACACACACATACATACATACACACACATCTCCATCTTTATATTATATATCTAGACAGTGTTTCCAGAACTATAGTTTGAGAGACACTACTGACCGGTGAGATATTAATAAGTGAGTAGAACATAAATGTTCCTTGGTCAAATATGTTTGGGAAATGCTAAACAAACCTAAAATGCTTTTTATTTCTGACAGGACTCCTTGGAGCCTTAATATGCGAATGTGTATCGTGAGTCTCCAAGAGAAAGATTCAGTCTGCAGCATTCCCTAAACATGTTAGATCAAGTCATTTTTTTTCCCTCAGAACACCAGTTAATATCTTGAGGGACTCTAGTGTTTCTTGAGTAAGTTTGTCAATTGCTGGCATATAGGCAGTTGAGGCCCTGAGTAATGTGTCTGGCCTCCCAGCATGAACCTGCTGTAAATGCACTAGTTCTGCCAAAAGGACATCTCCGAGTGTGATATTTTTATTGCAGATTGAAGATTGGTGTAAGTCTATGTCAGGGTTGTGAAAGTCATCTCTGAACCATACGTTTCCCTCTGTTTACTGCTGTTCATCCAGCAAATATCAGCACCTACTATGAGCCAGGTACTGTTTTAGGTGTTGGAGATATACCAGTGATAGAGACAGACAAGGTTCTTGCTCTCATGATATGTATATTTAGTGTGTGTGTGTGTGTGCATGTGCACACGTGCATGGGCACACATACAATAATTTTAGCTAGTGATAAGTGATCTGTAGGAAAGGAATGGAGTGCTATATTAGAGAATAATGCAGAAGGGTTACTTTATATAGGGTGGTTAGGGAAGGCTTCTCTGAGAAGGCGATGTATATAACCTGAGAGAATGCACTACATAGCCATGAGAAGATTAGAAGGAAGAGCACTCCAGCAGAAGGAAAAGAACATGTAAAGTTCTTGGGGTAGCCAGGATCATGACAAGATTCAAGGGATGTTAGAAGGCTAGTGTTTGGATTGTAGTGAGCAAGGGTGAGAGTGGAATAGGATGAGTTCAGAGACGAAGGCAAGGACCAGCTAATGCCTGGTCTTATAGACCACATTAAATAATTTGAATTTTACTCTAACTGCAGTGAGAAGAGACTGAAGGGTTTCAAACAGGGGATGAGGATAAAATGTTCAGATTTCCATTTGAAAAGATTACTTTGGCTGCATTACTGATTGGAAGTGGAAGTGGAGAGACCAAAATAAGACTCGATGATGGATTGGATGTTGGACACTGGGGAGAGCAAGGTGTCAAGGACAACTTCCCAGTATCTGGCTTACACAGTTGGATGGTGCCATTTACTGAAATGGGGAGGAATAGAAACCAAGAGTTCTGTTTTGGTTGCATTAAGTTAGTACTGTCTGTATGATAGTCAGGTGGAGATGTAAAATAGGTAGATATGCAAGTCTGGACCCAAAGGGAGAAATCTGAGCTAAAAAGGTAAAATTTGGATCCATAAGCTTATGGATTATACTTAAAACCATGGGACTAGAGGAGGTCACCTAGGAAGTGAGTGTAGATGGAGAAGAGAGTCAAGGACTAAGCCCTGAGGCACATTAACCTTCAGGGGTACAATAGAAGAGCAGGAGGAGGAATCAACAGAACCAGAGGAATAGGCAGTGAGATGAGAGGAAAACCAGCAGGATGTAGAATCATGAAAGCCAGACTCTAAGTGACCAGGTGCTGCTGGTTAAGAAGGCATGGCCAGCAGTAAGGTTTAGGTTGATGACACATTAAAACTCCAGAATAATGTTTACCAATGTAATATAGTTATCCAACATACATGTTTATTGTAACAAACATAATTCAGGTACGTTCAAAATAGATAAAGGCAATAGCAAAATATAGATCAAAGAAGACTAAAAAATAGCAGGGTGATATGGTTTGAATTTGTGGCCCCACCAAATCTCATGTCGAAATGTAATCCGCAGTGTTGGAGGTGGAGCCTGGTGGGAGGTGATTGGATAAAGAGGGTGGATCCTTCATGAATAGTTTAGCACCATCTCCTCCATTGTACTGTCCTCACAATAGTGAGCTCTCGTGAAATCTGGTCCTTTAAAAGTGTATGGCACTTCCCTGTTTGCTCTCTCTTCCTTCTGCTCCCACCATATGAGATGTCTGTTTTCCCCAGTCTTAGGTATTTCTTTATAGCAATGCAACAATGGCCTAATACAGAAAGTTGGTAACAAAGAGTGGGGCATTTCAACAAAGACACCTGAAAATATGGAAGAGACTTTGGAACTGGGTAACAGGAAGAGGTTGGAAGACTGTGGAGGGCTGAGTAGAAGACAGGAAGATGAGGGAAAATTTGGAACTTCCTAGAGACTTGTTGAATGGTTGTGACCCAAATGCTGATAGTGATATGGACAGAAGTGGCCAGTCTGGTGAGGTCTCAGATGGAGATGAAGAACTTATTGGGAACTAGAGCAAAGATCACTTTTGTTATGCCTCAGCAAAGCAATTGACTGTATTGCGCTCCTGCCCTAGGGATCTGTGGAACTTTGAACTTGAAAGAGATGATTTAGGGTATCTGGCAGAAGAAATTTCTAAGGAGCTAAGTGTTCAAGATGTGGCCTGGCTGCCTCTAACAACCAGCAAATAAATGACCTGGAACTGGAACTTATATTTAAAAGGGAAGCAGAGCATAAAAGTTTGGAAAATTTGCAGCCTGGCCATGTGGTAGAAAAGAAAAACCCATTTCCAAGAGCAGAATTCAAGCAAGCTGCAGAAATTTGCATAACTAAAAAAAAGGCAACTGCCCCTAGCCAAGATAAAGGGAAGAAGGCCTTGAAGTTATTTCAGAGAACTTAACAGCAGTCACTCCCATCACAGGCCCAGAGGCCTAGGAGGACTAAATGGTTTCCTGGGCCAGGGCCAGGGCCCCTGCTGCCCTGCACAGCCTTGGGACCCTGCTCCCTGCATCTTAGCTGCTCCATCTCCAGCTGTGGCTCAGAGGGGCCCAAGTACAGCTCAGGTCACTCCTTCAGAGGGTGCAAGCTGTAAGCCCTGGTGGCTTCCACATGGTGTTAAGCTTGTGGTGCACAGAATGCAAGAGTTGAGGCTTGGGCACCTCTCCCTAGATTTCAGAGGCTGTATGAAAAAGCCTAGATGTCCAGGCAGAAGCATGATACAGAGGCAGAGCCCTCATGGAAAACTTCTCCTAGGGCAGTGAAATGTGGGGTTGGATCTCCAACACAGATTCCCCACTGGGGTACTCCCTAATGGAGCTGTGAGAACAGGGCCATGATCCCCCAGCCCCCAGAATCATAGATTCACTGACAGCTTGCACCCTGTTCCTGGAAAAGCCGCAGGCACTCAATGCCAACCCTTGAGAGAAGTCACGGGGACTGAACCCTGCAAAGCCACAGGGGTGGGGCTGCCCAAGGCCTTGGAAGCCCACCCCTTGCATCAGTGTGCACTGGATGTAAGATGTAGAGTCCAAGGTGATTATTTTGGAGCTTCAAGATTTAATGAGAACCCTGCTGGGAGCCTGTAGCCCCTTTCTTTTGACTAATTTTTCCCTTTTGGAATGGGAGCATTTACCCAATGCTTGTAACCCTATTGTATCTTGGAAGTAACTAGTTTTCGATTTTACAGGCTCATAGGTGAAAGGGACTAGCCTTATCCCAGATGAGACTTTGGACTTTGGACTTCTGAGTAAATGCTGGAATGAGTTAAGACTTTGGGGGGCTGTTGGGAAGGCATAATTGATTGCATTTTGTAATGTGAGAAGGACATGAGATTTGGGTAGGGCCAGGGGCAGAATGATACAGTTTGAATCTGTGCCCCACTCAAATCTTGTATCAAATTGTAATCCCCAATGTTGGCAGTGGGGCCTGGTAAAGGGTGATTGGATTATGGGAGTGGATCCTTCATGAATACTTTATCACCATCCCTTGCATTGTACTGCCCTCACGATAATGAGTTCTCATGAGACCTGGTGCTTTAAAAGTGTGCAGTACCTCCCTCTTCACTCTGTCTTCCTCCTGCTTCCAACCATGTGAGATGCCTCTCTTCCCTTTTGCCTTTTGCCATGATTGTAAGTTTTCTGAGGCCAAGCAGATGTCAGCATCATGCTTCCTGTACAGCCTGTGGAACTGTAGCCAATTAAACCTCTTTTCTTTATAAATTACCCAGTCTTGGGTATTTCTTTGTAGCAATGCCAAAATAGCCTAATACACAGGGGCATGCCATTTCTTCATACTGGGGACATATTTATTTTAAACCACTCTCTCTTAAGCAGCCTGTAGGGCTTGTTCACAACTAGTTTTAGGACAATGTCCTATTGATGAGTCCATGGCAAGAGTGCTTCTCTTCTCACCATCCTGTTAAAAGCCCCTGGTTAGAAAAGCCTTTGGTCAACCTCTGGATTTCAGACAACTAGCTTCTTCTTTTGAGAGCAGTATGAAGGTCCCCTTCTGCAGAATCTCTTACACAACAAAACCATCCTCTGTGGTTTTCCTTCTGGAACAGTCTGGGCTCTGTGCTGCTCTCTGTAGAAAGTATCTGGAGCCATTCCTCCAACACCCTCCCAACAGTCTTAGCAGGAAAAAGCAGCCCATGAGCTGTCCCTTTCATACTGTAGGTCTGTGGTCCAATTAGCTTGCTTCAGATTAATTCAGTTAAAACACCTCAAGCTGAATCTGTCGAATGTCTTTTTTTTTTTTCCATGGGCCAGATTTATTTTGTTAATAGGATCAACATATATTATATACAAAGGTAACCATTAAATAATTATAAACAAATAATTTCATGACATATTCCCAGCCAATTTTGCATCTCCTGCCAGATACAAAACATTTACTTTTCATAAATTTACAGTGAGCAATTTGATAAAACCAGTGAAAGTGGGGATATTTTCAAAGCAGCTGCTTATGTGATGTGATTAGCAAAATCTCCCCTCCCCACCCCATCATCCCCACCCACACACGCTATTAGTCATTCCTTTGAATTAATACATTGAAGGCCTGTGTTAAAATTAAAATATTATCTACTAATAGGGAGACAAATGAAGCTATTAAGAGTTAGCTAAAATTGGTTGATTGAATTCCTTAATCATTCAGCGAGGTCTTTTGTGAAAAGGAGCCAGAAGCAGTTAAGTTTTGACAAGGGAAAGGAAATGTCCAGAACATGGGCTGATGCTTGGAGAGGGAAGATGGGGTTTGGGAGCTTAGTATAGAGCTCTGGTAAGCCAGAGACTAGCTTGAAAGCATTGGCAGCTCAGGTGAAAGGGAGACTGCAAACAAGTGAAGGCTAAGATGATTTCTAATGGATGGTAAAGGTCATTAAAAGCAAATCTTTACTGCCTGTTTTGCTAAGAGCTAGCTTGCTTTGTTCAGGTATGTCCATAATGAAAGAGATCACTTCTTCATATTTTTAGAAAACTCTCCAGCTCTCTGTGGGGATCACACAAAGTGAGATTGAAGAATTTTTAGAGATCAGTTGACTTCTGACTCAACTTTGGGTTCAACTTCTTTTTGGAGACATACCTTAAAATTTTTTTTTTCAAACTACAAAAGAAAATGTCATTGCAGAATATTCAAACAGTTATAAAATAAGTAGAATCAAAATGGAAACATCCTTTCAAACACCCACCCCAATTCCAGGCCCACACTGTTTACAGGATGCTCCTTACAGGTTCTTTTCTTTTCTTTTTTTGAGGCAGAATCTCACTCTCTTGCCCAGGCTGGAGTGCAATGGTGCAATGGTTGTGATCTCAGCTCACTACAACCTCCGTCTCCCGGGTTCAAATGATTCTCGTGCCTCAGCCTCCCAAATAGCTGGCATTATAGGTGCCCACCACCATGCCCAGTTAGTTTTTGTATTTTTAGTAGAGACAAAGTTTCGCTCTGTTGGCCAGGCTGGTCTGGAACTTCTGGTTAGAAAAGCCTTTGGTCAACCTCTGGATTTCAGACAACTAGCTTCTTCTTTTGAGAGCAGCATGAAGGTCCCCTTCTGCAGAATCTCTTACACAACAAAACCATCCTTCTGTGGTTTTCCTTCTGGAACAGAATGGGCTCTGTGCTGCTCTCAGCCTCCCAAAGTGCTGGGATTACAGGAGTGAGCCACCGTGCCCAGCCCCTTACAGGTTCTTTTCTATGCATTTGCCAGCATATAGATATGTCTGTTTTCTTTTTTTAATTTTTTGTTTTTTGTAAAAGTAAAAAGACCCACATTCTCACTATGTTGCCCAGGCTGGTCTTGAACTTCTGCGCTCAAGTGATGCTCCCATCTTGGCTTCTCAACGTGCTAGGATTACAGGCATGGGCCACTGTGTCCAGACTATATGTGTTTTCTTACACAATAGAATAATCTGTACTTGTTCTGTAGACCTCTTCCTTTCATTTTTTTGATTTGTTTTATGGTGGTAAATATACATAAAATAAGATTTACCTTTTTTTTTTTTTGAGACAGAGTCTCACTCTGTCACCAGGCTGGAATGCAGCGGCGCGATCTTGGCTCACTGCAACCTCCACCTCCCTGGTTCAAGCAATTCTCCTGCCTCAACTTCCCTAGTAGCTGGGATTACAGGCACACACCACCACGCCCAGCTAATTTTTGTATTTTTAGTAGAGATGGGGTTTTACCATGTTGGCCAGAATGGTCTCGATCTCCTGACCTCATGATCCACCTGCCTTGGACTCCCAAAGTTCTGGGATTACAGGCATGAGCCATTGCACCCAGCCAAGATTTGCCATTTTAACCATCTTTGAGTGCAAAATTCAGTGGCATTAAGTACATTCACAATGTTGCATAACACTATTTTCAGAATTTTTTCATCATCCCAAACAGAAATTCTGTATTCTTTAAATAATAATTCCTCATTTCCTCTCCCTTCAGTTCCTGGTAACCTCCACTTTACTTTCTGTCTCTAGGCTCCTTGCTCGTAATTGTTTTTGAAAAGGTAATACATGAATATTATAAAAAACTTAAACAATACAAAAGAGCATATGCAATGTTAAATACTTCCTCCTATGCTTGACCCCCAGGCAACCAGTGTAACCAGTTTCTTAGGTATCTTTCAGAAGAGTCTATGCTCATACAAGCATTCATAGACATATACCTGCCTGCTTCTGTATGCGAATAGTAGGAAATCATACACAGTTCTGCACTTTGCTTTTTTCATTTCATAATATCTGAGATTGTTTTATATATATATATATATATATGTATTATCATACAAATGCATATATGTAATTATTTTAATGACTACATATCTTATTTATCCCCTCTTCTATCAGGCTGGATTCAGCAGACTTCTGACTCATTAACTTTTAAAAAAATAATTTTTTGTGCCAAAAACCACATAACATAAACTTCATCCTTCCAACAATTTTCAAGTGTACAGTACAATATTGTCAACCACATGCATATTGTTGTGCAACAGATCCCCAGAACATCCCCCTCATCCTGCATGACTGAAATTCCACACCCACTGAACAACTCTTTCCTTTTCCCTCCTCGCAGTCCCTGACAACCAGCATTCTACTTTCTGTTTCTATGAGTTGACTATTTTAGACAGTCATATAAGTAGAATCATGGAATATTTGTCTTTTTGTGACTGGCTTATTTCACTTAGCATAATGTCCTCAAGGTTCATCAACTTTGTAACATGTGACAGGATTTCCTTCTTTTTTTGAAACTGAATAATATGCCCTTGTGTATATATACCATATTTTCTTTATCTATTCATCTCTTGATGGACATTAAATTTGCTTCTGCCTCTTGAATGATGCTGCTGTAAGCGTGGGTTTGCCAGTATCTTTTTGAGATCCTGTTTTCTATTTGCTTGGATATATATCTAGAAGTAAGATTGTTTAATCATATAGTAGTTCTATTTTTAATTTTTTGAGGAACCTCCATACTATTTTCCATAGCAGCTACACCAGTTTACATTCCCTTGCATAGTGGCTGTACCTTTTTACAATAGTGTGCAAGGGTTCCAATCTCTCCACAACCTTAACACTTATTATTTTCTGTTCTAATTTTATTTTTTGTAGAGACACGTTCTATTCATGTTACCCAGGCTGATCTCTAACTGCTGGTCTCAAGTGACTCTCTTGCCTCAGCATCCCCTCCTGAGTAGCTGGGATTACAAGTGTGAACCACACCTTGCCGTATTTTCCTGTGTGTTTGTTTTGTGTGTGTGTGTGTGTGTGTGTGTGTGTGTGTGTGACCATCCTAATGGATGTGAAGTGATATTTCATTGGGGTTTGATTTGCATTTCCCTAACAATTAGTGATGTGGATCATCTTTGCATATGCCTGTTGGCCACTTGTATATCTTCGTTGGAGAAATGTCTATTCAAGTCTTTTGTCCACTTTTAAGAGTTTTTTTTTTAATTGAGCTATAGAAGTTCTTTATACATTCTGGATATTAGCACATTATCCGATATATGGTTTGCAAATATTTTCTATCATTTTGTAGGTTGCTTTTTCACTCTGTTGATTGTGTCCTTTCCTGTGCAGATGTTTGAAAGTTTTATGGTCCCATTTACCTATTTTTGCTTTTGTTGCCTGTGCTTTAAGTGTGACTCACTAACTTTTACTTCTCTTAGGGGCCAGACTTTCATCAGGAGAGCCTGGTTGTGACTTTTGTCTTGGTTTCCACCTCAGTGCTCTCTAGCACATTGTTTAACAGGAGTGTTGACTGATTACTATTGGTTCCCTGAAGGGATATACCAAGAGATACCTCAATTTTTCTGGACTTGTTCCTATGCACAATGATGGGAGGCGTGTGTGTGTGTGTGCTGGGGTGAGTCTTCCCATTTTCTCATTTCTTTCCCCTTCTTCTCCCTTTTTGCCCCAAGTTAGAAACAGAGTCTCTTATGGGGCTTCCTGCTCTTTCCCTCTCCCATCCACCTTTTGAGTCGGGTGGTGGTCTCTGAGCCAATGACAGGTCAGCAAACAGGCTGATTCCAGACCAATGGGAGGATGCTGGATTCCAAATGGACCAATTAGCTTATTAGGGACCTGGAATAGCTGGATAGCTAGCATCTGCCTCATTGTCCATGTGGTAACGACCCTCTTGTTTTACTGGTCAACAATTTGAAGGTACAAGAAAAATCCTACTTTTTTTTTTCTTTTGATGGTTTTAATCCACCTCCACAACTTCTGCCCGAGGCCAATAAAACACAGCCATTCTTTTTTTGTAAAAAGAAAGAGAGGTTCGGTTTCCTTCAATTGTCTGCCCTTTTCTATCTCCTCCACTATTTTTGTTTTACTCTGTAGTTAACTTTGCATAGAGCAGCTTCATAGGGAGGATCTCTGCGGTGGACCCGGCTCTCTCTTCTTATTACCCGTTGCAAAGGCCTCTTTCTTGTTCTAACCTGGGGGTTTGTGGGGTTGGGGGACAGGGGGATTGGGGAGTGGGAGAAGAGTTTAGCCATAGCCTTCCTTCTGCATTTCACACACATTTAGCTATCTCTGTCGCTCTGTCACACACACACACACGCACATACACACCATACACACACACACGCACACCCGTCCGGGTCCCTCTCGGTGTGTCTTCCTTCAAGATGACAGGGCGCTGGAGAAAAGGCTGCTGGAATCAGCTGGTAGGTACAGTAGTAACCCGAGCCCCACCCACCGGCTGCCTTTGCTTGCTCAGGTTTCTCCGGTCACTCCTGCCAGGGGAGAAGACATGTAAACGTGCCTCCAGAGGAAGGGCTGGGGGAGCTGGGAGTGGCGGGGGCGGCGGAAGGTGAGCCTGGGAAGGTGGCCGAGCACCCCTTCTTCTTGGGCCCTTCCCAGTGCTCCCTTGGGGTGTCAGCCCCAGCCCCGTTTGCCCCCACTCCGCCTCCCTTTTGGAAGGGATTGCCTTTTTTTTCCTCTGCGGCGGCGGAAATGACAGTGTGGTGCTGCCGTGGTGTCATGGTGCTGCCCCTGGACTGAGGGGCGAAAACTCTTAAGTTTAGCTCGGGAGGCCCAGCTGCGGTAGCATCGCGGCCGCCGTGCTGTCCCCTGCGGGGCGCGCGGGCTGGCGGATCCCGGCTGCTGCGCGGCGTCGGCGACGGTAGCGGCAGCGGCGGCGAAGGCGGGCGGCGGCCTACAGTGGTAGCGGCGGCGGCGGCGACCGGGGCCCGGGAGCTCGCGCCGGAGCCCGAGCCAACCCGCTGCGGAGGCAGACGAGAGCCCAGCGCCCTCGAGCGAGCGGAGGAGATGGCTGGCACCTGGGAACGCTATGGGTAAAACGCGCCCCCTCGCCGCGGCCCTGGAGGTCGAGCGTCGTAGCCCTCGCAGGGCTAGTCTCCGGCTCCGGCCGCTTTTCAGGTGCCGCCGGGGCCCGGCGTTGGCCGAGGGCTCTCCGGCTCGGCGAGGCAGGGTGATGGGGCCCGCGAGGCTCGAAACGGCGACGGGGGCCCCAGCTCAGCTCCGGCTCTCAGTCATGCTGTTGGGGCCCGGGTTCCTGCCACTGCCCTCCTGGGACGGAGTTTGCACTCCGGGGTGCGGGGCGGGGGCGGCCGAGGCCTCTGCGCAGCCTGGCCGGGCCCGGCGCGGGCAGTCGAGCGAATCCCCCGGCGCCTGGGCGCGAGTCTGGGAAAGGGCACGGCCGCCTTCCCACGCTCCCGCAGCCGGCAGCCTCCTCGGCCCAGGCGTCGCCCCTTGGCCGGCCGTCTGCCGGGCGGTGCTGTCGCAGCAGCCGGCGTGGCTGCGGACGCCCTGCCGGCGGGGAGGCCCGGTGAAACTTAATCCCTTTTCTGCCAGGGAGCGATCCTCGAGTCTCCGTCTGGATGGTTCCTTATTTCTGGCCTAGCTGTGAAATCAGCTCTGTGGGGGAGAGGGAAAACTTACATATGTCCACAGGACAGACTGCGACGCAACCAGGGAGAGTGGGGATTTTCCATTCCTGCCTTGTAAGAATTAAGTAAATAACGGCGGAGTAGATTTACAGAAACATTACTGGTGATGATAAGGTTTAGGTTACTTAGCACTTCGTGTGTTGCACATTATTTTTCAGAGGTGTTTCTTCTTAGAGCAGGAAATTGAAATCCTGCAGTCGTTGTACTCTTTACTTTCTCTCTTCCACGGTCCCCTACCCGTTTTCAGGATCACTCACCTTCCTATGTCACAACGCTTACTTGCCTACCCAAATCCCCCAGCAGAGCCCCTTGGACCCCAGCCTTTCCCCATCAACGTGTGCACTCCCAGCCTCCCAGCCATGCAGCATCTTACTTCTCAACCACTTTGCCTTTTTGAGGATTTCTGAGTGTGGGGCGGATAGATGGTGATGGTTGTGTGTCTCTGAGGATGAGCCCTTATAAAGGAATATATTGGAAACTAAATAGAGAAGTACTGTGTGTGGGTTGATCCCTCTGATTCTCAAGTTGGGCCAGAAGGGCTGCCTTTAACCCCATTCTGCTCCGTCCCAGTACTCTAATCAGTTCTCTGGCAATATTCCAATAGAAGGGAGTTGCTGAATAGGGAGTTCTCCTCCCCTACTTTTCTTCTGTTTGGGGAGTGGTTTCATTGTACCCCAGATGGTTAGCTTCCCCCTGCCCACCCCCGACCCTCACATCCCCCTGTCTGTCTCCTCTCATGACTGTACTGAGGGAGAAACTGTCTTTGCTATTTTTATATATTCTTGCCCAATCAATGAACTTAACATGGATATGTAATGTGAATTAGATTTTTCCTGGTTGCTCCTCACAACTTGATTTATGTGTTTGTTATAGTTTGGATATTTATCCCTGCCCAAATCTTATGTACAAATGTAATCCCCAGTGTTGGAGGTGGGGCCTGATGGGAGGTGACTGCGTCATGGGAACAGATTTCTCATGAATGGTTTAGCACCATCACCTTGGTTGACTGTGAGTCCTTGTGATAGTGAGTAATCTCTCCTGAGATCTGGTCGTTTAAAAGTGTGTGGCACTTCCCCCCAGCTCTCTTTCTCCCTTGCTTCTGCTCACACCGTGTGAGAATCTCCTGCTCCCCATTCGCCTCCCTCCATGATTGTAAGCTTCCTGAGTCCTCCCTAGAAGCAGATGCTGGCATCACACTTCCTGTACAGCCTGCAGAACCATGACCCAATTAAACCTCTTTTCTTTTCTTTTCTTTCTTTCTTTTCTTTTTTTTTTTTTTTTTTTGAGACAGGGTCTTGCTTTGTTACCCAGGCTGGAGTGCAGTGTCACATTCACAGCTCACTGCAGCCTCCACCTCTCGGGCTTAAGCAATCCTTCTCCCTCAGCATCTCAAGTAGTTGGGAACACAGGTGCATGCCACCACACCCAGCTAATTTTTGTATTTTTTGTAGAGATGGCGTTTTGCCATGTTGCCCAGGTTGGTCTGGAACTCCTGAGGTCAAGCTGTCTGAGGGCCTCGCCAAGTGCTGGGATTACAGGCGAGAGCGACAATGCCCAGCCTACCTCTTTTATTTATAAATTACCCAGTTTCAGGTATTTCTTTAAGGCAATGCAAGAATAGCTAATGTAGTGGTTAAAACACAGGTCCAGGAGTCAAGAAGATCAGAGTTCATCCCAAATATGATGATACATTGGCTTATGGCTTTAGGACATTCCTATGACTTTTCTTTCATAGTTGGTGCACTTGTGTAAAAGCTATAATATTGTGTACTGGGTATTGTTAGTCTTGACTTGGTCCTTTGAAGATGAAAGGGTTCTGTAAACCCTCAGCATTATACTTTTTTTTTCCTTTGAGACGAAGTCTCGCTCTGTCACCCAGGCTGGAGTGCAGTGGTGTGATCATGGCTTGCTGCAGTCTTGACCTCTCTGGCTCAAGCAATCCTCCCATCTCAGCTTCCTTAGTAGCTGGGACTATAGGCACACACCATCACACCCGGCTAATTTTTGAATATTTTGTAGAGACAGGATTCACCATGTTTCCCAGTCTGGTCTCAAACTCCTGAGCTTAAGGGATCCACCTGCCAAGTCCAAGTGTTGGGATTACAGGTGTGAGCCACCACACCCAGCCAACATTATACTTTTCAAAGAAAGCACTTCCTTTACCTTTTACTGAGTTAGTGGATTGACTGGGTGTAAGCAGGAATCTTAGCTTACTGAAAACCTTTAGCTTCCCACCCCCAGAGCCAAATCGTATCATTGTACGTAGGTCCTAAATCTGGTTTTTCTCCAATACATGTTCAACTGAATGAAAACATACATGCAACTAGGCATACAGAGTAATAATGATCAATTTAAGTTGAGGCTTGAATCATTTCTAATGCACTCTAACCTAACAATCTGAGTCAGACTAATTTGAAGACATAACCTCACCCATTTTTTAGCCTATATGGGGGCAGTTTGTTAGCTTCTAATGAAAAGTGTCATAAATAATTTGGGGTATGGCTATATAAGCATGATTAGCACCTAGTAGCAGAGTCAACAATATTAAGCACCTATAATGTGCAGAGGACCTCTGCTGATTGGGCTGAGGCCCCAGATTTAGCCCAGTATTTTGGCCTCCTGCTTGTTCCACGCCAAACTCCATACTTGCAACTCCAGGATTAGGTCAGGGAGGGGCTGTGCAGGACATGGGTAGAGGCTAGGGACATGAAAGGGTGGTTGTGTCCCTCTTATTTGTTTTCATGACTACTAGAATTCTCGTCTGGCATGTTGCACCCTGCAAGGCCACCTCTGGGAAGTACTCCTGTAAATCAGAGTGACTTGATTGCTTTATGAACATATCATCTGAATGGTGCAAATTGATTTAGATAAAACTGATTTAGTTAATCCCTTCCCTAAGAGCAGGGAAACTTGCTTCAACTCGCAGATCCTAAAGTGGTGCCAGTGGAGTCTCACAATTGCATCCAAATATTGCTCTGAGTAGTGAGCCTGTCCATTCCTTCATCCCTCCTCCCATAAAATCTGCTGACACCACAATAATTGACAAGGGAACTACACAAGGAGTATGTCTGTCTTCATCATTCAGCAAACCTCATTGGCTTGGTGAAGAGGAGAGAATGTTGTCTTCTCATTCTATCCCATAGAACTCAAGCTCTGTCTTTTCAGACAGGGACACAGAGCCCTTAAAAGGGTGAAGACAGGGCTGTGGGCACAGAATATGTCTCAAATGGCTGCTCTTGGAAATACCTGCTTGGTCTTGTGTGTGTCTGCCATTCAATCTTTATGAATCTTGGTAATATCCTTGCTGTTAGGCCATGGGGCTCGGCTGCTAGTAGAGGCCAGGGGGTGCTCCATTTCCATTTAGCATTAAGTTTTTGTCCTCTCTTTGGCACAAAAGCGAGAATGAAGCTCTGTGTTCATGAAGCACTCCTTACTCATTAAGCTGGGTGTCTTGACTTAGAACATTGCATCATCAAAATATGAGATGTAACATGTTGATACTGGATATACAACAGTTTTGGATAATTCAAAATTGTTTACATTTTGATAAATGAAATTTTGGTACCAAGATGGTGTTGCACTAACATCTGTACTTCAGGTCTCTCAAAAAATATTGTGTTCATCACTAAGCAGTGTACAGAAGAGACTAGAAAAGTGTTTCTCAACTGGTGTGTTGGGTCATGCTAGCAAGTGAGAAGACCAGATGAGTGGTGTTGAGACAAGAAATTCCAGCTGTAATTATCTTCTTGTACAGATAGCTAATCTACTTTTTATTTACCTCCTCAATATATTAAATATGTTCCTTTCTCCACTTTCATGTATTAAAACTCTGCTAAGAGTTTTCTGTGGGCTTAAGTAGTCTGTGGCTGTTTCTATTTGTTTCTCTCTTTCTGTCTTCCCCTTCTTTATGACCATAGGCAGATATAATCCTTTTGATGATGAATCTCCCAGATGCTGAGTTTTCTTTTAGAAATTCTATAAATTACTAAGACTACTAGATAGTATAAGATGCTTAAAGTGTGGGTGGTG
The DNA here is from genome assembly GCF_000001405.40 of Homo sapiens. NCBI lineage: Eukaryota > Metazoa > Chordata > Mammalia > Primates > Hominidae > Homo > Homo sapiens. Next base: position 107,831,075 of record NC_000023.11, read on the forward strand.
GAGGGATTTTGAGTAATGTGCCAGCATCCCATTATTTCCTTTTCCTTGTGGGATTCACCTGAATACACTCTAGGATGCTGGTTCAGCCTAAGTGGGTTGGCAAAGTATCATTTGTAAGCATTATCCTACTTGGGTTCTGGCCTCCCTGCAGAGCTCTGGCTGCCTGACCTTGGGCTTTGTCTCAGCTTCCTTCCCGTAGGTCAGACTCCGCTGGTTGATGAACGGCATCCCCAGTCTCTGGATCATCGTCTTACTGAGACCGAACAATCTGATAACAAACCCATCATACAATCTGAAATCGTCCTGAAACATGAAATCCCAGTATTTGCAATTTGCCTGGATAGGAGCATAATGTATGGGCATGGCAGACAATGCTAATTCATGACAGTGAAGTGTCTTAATATATACAGCACAGAGATAGAAAAATGGTTTACGATCCAGATCCTTGATCACTTTGTGTATAGCCCTTTGTTCAGTGTTGCTAGGATCCATGTGGTTCCCAGGGAAGTAGAAGCTTGATTTCAAATAGGCCTCTGTTCTCTGTCCCTTGTTTCTGACCTGAACTTGGGGTCCTCTCAGCCTAACATTCAATAACATGTCTTACATACATATATTGCCATTTTTATTGTGTAGATGACTGCCTGTCCAGGTGAACCACTGAACATTTAAAAACTTACAAATATTTTGTTGGGTAACAGAGGTTAGGAAAAGCAATCCTAGAGGAGATGGAAAGCTGTACCAGTAGTCATAGGTAAATTAAGTTTGTTTTCCATTTGTTCCTCAACCCTGCAACTGCCAGTGTAATCTGCATTAAGATAAAGGTGTTATGAATTGTATTTAGGATTCCTGTCAATTATCATGTGTTACCTTGGCAAATCCATTTGTTGGTTACTTGGATTAACCTTTTGGGTTTGTAGCAGATTTAGGACTTCTAGTTCTGCTATTTTGATACTCATTTTAATGTTTATATGATGACTATCTTGTATAAAATACTCAATGTTTGGATTTAAAAACTAATTATTGAAAAGAACATACATTAATTCCATGTACTATAAAATATTAAGTAGGCTTTAATAACCTATTAGACAGGAGCTGGCACTGGTGCTCTCTGCCAGTCGGTAATCAGCCTCCAGTTCTGAGTTCTCCCTGTGCAGGATGAAAGTTTAAGAGAAAAGAAAAGAGACAGCCCTTCACTTGGAGAGGGGTGGGGATCCCAGTCTAAAAGTGAAGACATGAGCATAACAAATACCATGATCAGTCCCATGATCTTCCAGAAGTCTTGTGGAGGAGTGTGATTGTCTGCCATTATGTCAACCATGTGTTTGGGATGAATTTCCAAACATTTTTGGCTTTTCTTAATAACTTGCTTTGTTTCTATAATCTATGAATGTATGATGAGAATACCTGTATTTGTAAAGTAAACTAATACTTTTATTTTATCCTCGTCTGATCCTCACAATAGCCCGTGAGATGGGCAGGGCAGGTATTTTTCATCTGATAGATGAAAAAGCTGTGGCCCAAAGAGTTTAAATGTACCTAGGATTGCTCGGCTAATTTGGTTTAGATCCAGGACTACAACCAGGCTGTATTATGAGGGTCAAATGAGATAATGGCTTTGAAATAATTTGAAAAGTATAAATTGATATACAAATGTAAGGTGGCTATTATCAATTATTATTACTGACCACCTAGCCTCTTCTGTCTAGGTTTCTATTTTCAGTTCTTATCCTATAGTGTGTGAATTCGATGCATTGGTTGCCTTTTGTGTTCCAAAATGATCTGCTTTGAGCTTCAAGGGGTTCTTTTCTAATCATGGTGTTCTAGAATTTGGATTTTGGTTTCTTTTACAGCCCCCAAATATATTCTCATTAGTTTATATTCCCATGGGACTCTTCTCCCCTTTAGTTGTCCTCTGGAACATCCATTATGTCTTTTTTGAGATACAACAGACAAAAACCACTGTACTTTGAGCATCTTAGTAATGCATTTTGTTTATGTCCTGCTCCAGTGGCTGTGATGTCTATCACTTGTTAGCCTTCCTAGTCACACTAATAAATAAAAGTTGTGTTTTTAGGAGCTAGTTTACAATAATCCAAGCTGTCTTTTTATGTGGTAACAGATAGCAAGAGCTCTATAATAATCGGATGTCAGAGCTGGAAAGCATCTTAAAGAGATCGTCTGGTGATTCTAGTTTAGCTTGAACATTTTACAGTTGAGGAAACATCAGACTAGGCCAGGACTCATTTGCTCCTTACCCCAAGGCAGGGAGACAGTTTCTAATACTTTAAGGAAGAACTCATGGGACATTAATTTTAATATCCTGAAGAATGTTTATTTTATATATATATATATATATTTTTTTTAAAAACCTACAGCTCAGCTCATTTCTCAATCTACAGCCCAGAGATCAGGCTTGGTTTCACACTCATGGATTTTCTATGAAGGGAATACTATAACTCCTCAGGAAGGTAGTGGGAGCTCAGATACATGCTTTGCAGACCCGGAAGAAAAAAAATTAGATGGAATAATAATTGTTAATTAAGTGGGCATTTAATTATGCTCAAGTAACCTTTGAAATAATAGAATTATGCAAAGTACAGATCACGACTTCTCTCTTGATCAGAGTTAGCTAAAGGCTAGATTTGGAGGACAATGCTGAAATCAGTCTTTTATTTCATAAGTGTAGGATGCATTATTTTTACGTTTTTGAAATTTATTTTTTATTTTTATTTATTTTGAGACAAAGTCTCATGCTGTCACCCAGGATGGAATACAGTGGCACAATTACGGCTTACTGCAGCTTCGACCTGCTGGACTCAAGCGATTTTCCCACCTCAGCCTCTCAAGTAGCTGGGACTACAGGTGCATGCCACCACACCCCACTAATTTTTGTATATTTTGTAGATATGGGGTCTTGCCATGTTGCCCTGGCTGGTCTCGAATTCCTAGGCTCAAGCAATCTGCCTGCCTCTGCCTCCCAAAGTGCTGGGACTACAGGTGTGAGTCACCACGCCAGACCCATTATTTTTTATCTTAATCACCTTCATCAAAACTCCTTTTGTATTTCTACCCAGTTATACAGCCCAATGGTACCTTCTTCTAGTTTATGCTCATCGACTTCTTTTTTCAGAGGTCTCACCCTGTAGTAAGGCACAAGGTAAAGAAAAGCCATACAGAAACAAACATACATATCTGACTATATATGGCAGTAACTAAATGGTTTGGAAGGGAACTAATCAGGGTGTGTGGATGTGGACATTTGTTTCTTAATATGGCAATTGATCGTGCCCTCTCAGGTATTTCATCAATGCGTTTTTATGACAAATTGTAAAAACTTTCAAGATTACCTGTCATTGAGTTGCACCCTATCAGATTCACATCCTGTCTTCATCCTTAGCATACTCTCTAACTCTGTATAGATTAGTGATTCACAAACTTTTTGAAATTGCAACAGTTTGCCATTGTTTAATTTTTGTCATGCCACTTCCTCCTGCTAAAAGTATTTCATGATAATAGGAGTCAAATATTTTTCAGGAGTCACTTATATACTTTTTAAAGTGAATAAAAATTGGGAGCTGAGAATTTTGTAACACTCATTGATCACTAGAGATATCCCAGGGTATTGCAAAACCTAGACAGGGAATCATTGACCTAGAAAAACAATTGAAAGGAACAAGCAATCCAATAGAATTTATAAATACTATATAATCACACAGTTGTTAGTATAGTATAGTGATTTGCTGTTTACACCCTGGAGTCAGACAGACCTGGGATTGAATCTCTTCTTTAAAAAAATTAGATGTAATTCACATGCCATAATATTCACTATTTTAAAGTATACAATTCAGTGGTTTTTGGTATCTTCACAAAGTTGTGCAATCATCGTCACTATCTAATTTTAGAACCTTTTCATCATCCCAGAAAGTAACTCCATATTTGTTAGCAATCACTCCTCATCCCCCATCCTCCCCTGCCCTGCTCCTGGCAACCATTAATCTACTTTCTGTTCCTTTGGGTTTGCCTATTCTGGATATTTCATAAAAAAGGAATCATACACAAAAGGAGCCTTTTGTGACTGGCTTCTTTTACTTACTGTTTTCAAAGATCATCCATGTTGAAGTATGTATCAGAACTTCATTCCTTTTTATAGCCAAGTAATATTCCACTGTGTCTATCCTTTCATCAGTTGATGGACATTTGGGCTTTTCCCTTTTGGCTACTATGAAGACTGCTGCTATGAACATTTGTGTACAAGTTTTTGAGTGAACACATTTTCCATTCTTTTGGGTATATACCTAGGAGTGGAATTATATGGTAACTCTACATTTAGCCTTTTGAGGAACTGTCGAACTATTTCCCAAAAGCAGCTGCACCATTTTTTATTTCTACCTGCAATGTATGAGGGTTCTAACTTCTCCAAATCCTGGCTGACGTGCTGTTTTCCGGTTTTTGTTTGTTTTGTTTTATTATATTTTAGCCTTCTTAGTGTGAAGTAGTATCTCAATGTGGTTTTGATTTGCATTTTCCTACTGGCTAATTATGTTGAGCACCTTTTCATGTGATTATTGGCCATTTGTATATCTTTGGAAAAAATCTATTGAAATCCTTTGCCTACTATTAAATTGAGTTACTCATCTTTTTTAATCTTGAGTTGTAAGAGTACATTTCTAGAGACTAGACCTATATCAGATATAATAATATGATTTGCAAATATTTGCGCCTAGTCTGTGGGTTGTCTTTTTACTTCATTGATGGTGCTTTTTGCAGCACTCAAATTTTAAATTTTGATAAAGTACCATTTATGTATATTTTCTTTGGTTGCTTATGCTTTTGGTGTCATCTGAGAAACTGTTGCCTGCCTAACCTAAGTTCACAAAGATTTATGCCTATCTTTCCTTCCAAGAGTTTTATAGTTTCAGCTCTTACATTTAGATCATTGATCTGTTGTGAGTTAATTTTTATAAATGATATGAAGTAGAACTCCAACTTCATCCTCTTGCATGTGGATATCCAGTTGTCCAAGCACCATTTGTTGAAAAGAGTATTCTTTCTCCATCGAATGGTCTTGGAACCCTTGTTGAAAATCAGTTGACCATAGATATATATAGGTTTATTTCTAAAGTTTTATCCTAAGTTTGATTCTTAGTTTTGCCACTTAGAAACAAGTGTGACCTTGAACAAGTTACTTTTTTTTTTTTTGAGACGGAGCCTCGCTCTGTTGCCAGGCTGGAGTGCAATGACACGATCTCGGCTCAAGCAACCTCCGCCTCCCGGGTTCAAGCAATTCCCCTGCCTTAGCCTCCCGAGTAGCTGGGACTACAGGCATGCGCCACTACGCCTGCTAATTTTTTGTATTTTAGTAGAGACGGGGTTTCACCATGTTGGCCAGGATGGTCTCGATCTCCTGACCTTGTGATCCGCCTGCCTCAACCTCTCAAAGTGTTGGGATTATAGGCGTGAGCCACCACGCCCAGCCTACTTTTTTTTTTTTTTAAATAATGATAATACCTACCTTTTAGAGAGTTGTTGTGAAAAGTAAATGAGGCAATGCGCATAAAGGGTATTGTTCAGGTGCTTAGATAACCAGAAAGGTAGGGGAAATGGGGGATAATTGAAAGGATTCTAAAATATTAGGAGTACCCAGAACAAGAAAGCCTCATAAATTAGAGATGATTGAACACGTCTGAAGAAGTTGATAAAAGTATTCAGTACCCGAAAATTGGCTAAAACAGTTAATATATGATAATTAAAAATCAAACAGATTCGAAACAGTCTAGAAAAGCTAAAATAAGCAAGAGGCAGTAACTATCTTAAAATATTCTTTACAGAGCTGAAATAAGTTAAGGTAGGTTATTTTAGAGTACTAATGATTGGGTTTTTTTCTTTCAAAGACTCTTGAGAATCTTTTGAAAGCTATGGGCAACCCTTTCCCCAGGAAAAATGCATATATGACATACAAACACATTCTGCAAACAGTTCTAGGAAGTTCAGAAGTCCCCGGTTAATAAATCCTATTTTGACCTTACCCAAAGCAATCCTGACCCATAGCGTGCTTTCCCAAGCTTAATTTCATAATGAGGTTCAAGTGTCACACTGACTTGGAAATAAATTTTAGATTTCCAAACAAAATTTAAGAGCTTTTCCTCTGTACAGGACAATTTATATGGCACCCTCTTAAGCCTTAGGAAAGCTGTGGTACTCTAATTGTTGTTATATAGTTTTCAGCATACATAGACATGGCTTTCAGCAATACATGTGACCAACCCAGGTAGCTTCCAACACAGACATTGAGGAATGCAGGCATACAGTTCTAGAAGAGATAGTAATAGAAGTGCAGTGTGAGGTGGAGATGGGCCTAGAAGACAGAGATATGATTCTGGAAGGAACTCAGAATGAAATAGGCAGATTCAGAGAAAGTAAGAGAGACAGAGAGAGATAAAAATAGACGTAGAAACATGCTGTTTAAAAAAAAAAAACTCTATAAACTATGTTAAATATACCAAAGTAAAGATTTCCAGAATTCAAAAAAAAAAAAAACTGTCTTGTAAATGGTCCAGATAAACCTCAGTGAAGGAGGTGAGATGATTGAAATAAAGGTAAGGGAAAAGAGCACAGGCATTGGAATTATACTGACCTGTGCTCTGGGTATGTATGTTTTTGGTTGATTTATTTAATGATTCTAAGCCCTAGTTTCCTAACTGTAAGGTGGATACAGTAATAGTAACTTCCTCACAAGTTTCCTGAAAGAATTAGTGAAATAATGTGTAAAGTGCTTAACATAGTACTCAGAATACAGGAGATGCTCAATGAATGCTAGACCCCTTCTTACTCCTAGTTTAAGTGATACTTCATTAACAATTATTGAATACAGTTTGTGTGAAGCACAAACTTGTGCTGTGAATGAAAATATAAAATAGTTGATACTCTCAAGGAGAAGGAAGAGTTAGCTGGAAATACAGCTATGTAAGTGAAATAAAACAGAATGTTCTGGAAGCCACCAGTGGTTGAGGTGATAAAAACATGTAGATGAGAGATCTCTTAGATTTCTAGGCTTGGATGGTGATATTCACCAGACAGGGAAAATCAGAAGAGGAGCAGGTGTTTTTTGTTTGTTTTGTTTTGTGGAGGTGAGGAGGAGCACAACAAGTTCATTTATAGACATGTTGAGTTTGAGAATCTGAGTAATATATCAAATGGAGCTCTCTAAGGCAATATTCCTGCTGTCAGTGGAAGTTGGAATCTTCATCTCTCAAAAGTCTCTTCCAATTCTAAGATTCAATGATGTATGTACATTTTAATTGTTTACTTTTTCATCTGTATGGGTGAACGTTGATAGATGTTATAAGCTACAAAATACTGGCCAACAACTTTCAAGCACCTGTAAATTCTAAAAGAAAAATACCTTGTCTCACTTAAAAAAACTGGCTGTACAAACATCTGAATCTACTAAACCAACTGAGTGACTGATTTACAAAAAGATTCTTCACTTTTATAACCTCATTTCATATAGATTTTCATTAAATAGGTAGTTAGTTCAGTGCATTTAAAAGGTTTGATTTAGAAACAGCTTTTAGGTGTACATCTATTGTACTTAGGCATAAAGTATAATTGTACTCAGTACTTATGTATCCTGTGACAATATCTGAACAAATACCAATGGCAGAGCAAAATTTTCAAGCTCTGATGAGAGTCTCCAATGATGACAAGATAATAAACAAAAGCTACTCAAAAGCAAACAATGCTTTTCTTGGGCTTGGCTCTGTGGCTCACTCCTGTAATCCCAGCACTTTGGGAGGCTGTGGTGGGCAGATTGCTTGAGCCCAGGAGTTCAAGATCAGCCTGGGCAACATGGCAAAACCACGTCTCTACAAAAAATATAAACAAAAATTAGCTGGGCTTGGTGGCATACCCCTGGAGTTCCAGGAGGCGGAGCCCAGGAGGCTGAAGCAGGAGGATCGCTTGAGCCCAGGAGGTGGACGTTGCAGTTAGCCAAGATTGTACCACTGCACTCCACCCTGAATGACAGAGGGACACCTTGTTAAAAAAAAAAGCAAGAAAGATGCCCTTTTTCTTTCCTATACATAGGATTAACATTTTCAGTCAGTAAGATATGTTTTATATTTTTCCTTAGTTAAAGACAACTTAGAATATTTATGTGTGTGTATTTTAATTAATGGAAGACTCTAGGCAATTAAGAATTAGGTACCTGTGTGTTCAGCACAGAAATGCCTGTGGAAAAATAGATAGAGTTACCAAGAGGTTGGTTTCTTGTCAGTTGGGTGGCTTTTTTTGTTTGTTTTGTTTGTTTTTTTTTTTTTTGGCAGTCTCACTCTGTCACCCAGGCAAGAGTGCAGTGGCATGATCTCGGCTTACTGCAACCTCCACCTCCCAGGTTCAAGCGATACTTCTGGTTCAGCCTCCCGAGTAGCTGGGACCACAGGCAAGCGCCACCACGCCCAGCTAATTTTTGCATTTTTAGTAGAGACAGGGTTTCACCATATTGGCCAGGAAGGTCTGGACCTCCTAACCTCGTGATCCACCCACCTTGGCCTCCCAAAGTGCTGGGATTACAGGCGTGAGCCACTGTGCCCGGCCGGGTGACCTCTTTTACTCACTGATGCTCACTAAATTGAAGGTTACCAGATCTTAAAATTTCTGGAACTTTGCTAATTTCTATCTAGATATTGATTTGCATCCTGTTATGTTTTAGAAAGTATGAAAAGACACATGGGAGGTGAGCTTCATAGCTGGCTTGTGCTAGTTCAGCAGGTGTTTAGTAATGAAACCAAACTGAAGCCACAAGGCAATATGACTTTATTATTGATCAGCAACTATTGCTGAGTAGGTTGAAAAGTTTGAAATCATTCCCCATTCAGCTTGATGAACTGAAGGGGTTTCTGAAGGTGAGGGAAGAAGATGAAAGTGAAAACTATCATCTTTTATCTCAAGTAACTCAGTTTACTAGGAATAGAATGGAACGGAAATTTCCATGTGTGATAATAAGAAGTAATTCAAGTTCACACTCTGAGGAAAAACTTATTATCCTGCACCAAGGGCTACATTTTTCTAAAGCTCTCTCTTTTTTATGCAGGCTTTCAGAATGGAATCATTTCAGGAAGTAGAGAGTTACTTTAAAATATGGCATTGTTTTCCTTACACTGGATGTCACATAGAAGCAGCCCTACAGTTTACCTTGAAGTGAAATAGAGAACAATATTGGAGAATAGAGATTGGGAATTTTGCAGGGTCTCAGCCTTATCTTAGTCTAGGAAAAGAGATGTCAGTGGAGAATATGTGAGAGAATGATCCATGCAAATATTGTGAGCTGGAATGGTAATGTTAATCAGTCTATCAGGATTCAGAGGTGGCCATTTGGTTTTATCTATTTGTGCATGAAAATAAACATAGGCATTTGTCTAAAACAAGGTTTGAAGGGGAAGAAAGTCTTCCTGATTAGTTCCCAAATTGCTTTTCTATTGCTTAAGCATCTCTGGGGAATCCAGCACGTAAACGCGCCCATTGGTTAGTGTATAATTGTGTTATATCCATTTTCCTTTGGAAATGCCTAATGACTCTTGCTTTGTATTCCTTGCAGGTGAAAGCCCAGCCTCCGTGGTTCTTAATGCCTCAGGAGGACTATTTTCACTAAAGATGGAAACACTGGAGTCTGAATTGACCTGTCCAATCTGCCTAGAGTTGTTTGAAGACCCCCTTCTGCTCCCTTGTGCTCACAGCCTCTGCTTCAGCTGTGCCCATCGCATTTTGGTATCAAGCTGCAGCTCTGGTGAATCCATTGAACCCATTACTGCTTTCCAGTGTCCTACCTGCAGGTATGTTATCTCGCTGAACCACCGGGGCCTGGATGGCCTCAAGAGGAATGTGACTCTGCAGAACATTATTGATCGCTTCCAGAAGGCTTCAGTCAGTGGGCCCAATTCCCCTAGTGAGAGCCGCCGGGAAAGGACTTACAGGCCCACCACTGCCATGTCTAGCGAGCGAATTGCTTGCCAATTCTGTGAGCAGGACCCGCCAAGGGATGCAGTAAAAACATGCATCACCTGTGAGGTCTCCTACTGTGACCGTTGCCTGCGGGCCACGCACCCCAACAAGAAACCTTTCACCAGCCACCGCCTGGTGGAACCAGTGCCAGACACACATCTTCGAGGGATCACCTGCCTGGACCATGAGAATGAGAAAGTGAACATGTACTGTGTATCTGATGACCAATTGATCTGTGCCTTATGCAAACTGGTGGGTCGTCACCGAGACCATCAGGTCGCATCCCTGAATGATCGATTTGAGAAACTCAAGGTAAGGGATCTGGGGAGCATCCCCTATACAACTTTGTCGCATAAATGCAGTTAGCAAGTTCTCTAATAAAATAGGTGACTTTTCCTATATGACAAGTGAGTTAACTTTAAGTTGTTCTCATGAGGAATAACCTGCTCTCCTGCAAGCTCTTCCTGGAGCCTATCTCATCTGTTGCATAAACATTCTTGCAGTCACACACTTCTGGCTAACTTTTGGGGAGTCAGCTCATGGCCTGCAACACCAGTAGTTCATCCAGGGAAACACACCCTCTATCTTCTGTCAGTGACATATTGCTTATTATATATCTTTGCTATGATCTTTCCACCTCTTCTTTTAAGTATGTGAGTACTTGTGTACGTGTACTACAATTAGCATATGTGTCGATTTGCATATGTAGGTATATGGCAATGGGAAGGCAGGGTGTGTCTCTGTGTAGGTGTGGGTGGAGGTGGCTGAGTGTATCTAGGTAGGTGAGAGATTTTTGTGGAGGACATTATTGTATGTTTGTGTTTGTGTACTCAATACACTAAAGAAACAAAAGTTTGGCATTGGCCATTACAAATTGCCATTAAGCCTTTAACATAGGGCTAATTCTAAGCCTGCCTTTAAAAACAAAACAAAACAAAACAAAACAAAGAACTGAAGAAACTTCAGTATACCACGAAATTGGGAGGGATAATTAAATATCTGAATGAACAATTTAAACTGAAGGCAATAAATATTTTATCCAGTATCAAATTTTGTGACAGTGCTCACTATTATGGGCTACAAACTGAAGCATTTGTTTATAGTTCCTGCCTTACAAGTTCCTAGTCATTTATGTGTATTCAATGGACAGAGTTTTCTAAAGTTGTTGTGTCATATAATATGTATGTACAAGTCTAAGTGCCCATAAAAAGTCCTCCTACCTTACACTGATGATCCAGCGAATTGTTTTATTCCCATTGCTTGTCTGCTATGTTGTATAATTTCTCTTAAGAAGGGAGCTACTTAGCAGATATTCTAGAAAAATAAAATGTTTAAACGGATAGTAAAATTACCACTCCAAATAGAACCTGAGTACATAAGCCAAGCTAGAAGAAAGACCCAGATAGGATAAAAGGAGGGCAAGAAGGGAATGGAGATTTTCCTCCTGCCATGCAGTGGATGATTCATTGTAACTTCTGTAAAAAGTATAATGTTGGTGAGAGTAGCAGTACTCAGAATAGGATATATTTGTCCTGTAATTTGTTGCAAATAATATTGAGAGTAGTCACAATGACTATGGTTTGTGCCTCTTTTGGTTATTATTTATACCTGATATGTATAAATGTGTAGCAAATTCAATTTTTTTATTTCACTCAAGTTGATACTCTCATTCATATCAAGGCTGCAGAGGGAAATAATCTTGTTAACTTCAGTTCTTAGACTCATAAGATATTAGGCCTTTGACTTGGTCTAGTCGAAGCGCTCTACTTTAAAGTTGTATAAACAGACCTTGATAGATGAAGTGACTTGGTCAAAATCAAAGAAATGATTAGTAATGGGAAAGCTAGAACTGGGACTTAGCCTCTAGATTGAGTAACTATCCTTTGTACTGTAGCCGGCTGCCACTTTGTTTTGGATCTAAGTTTTCCCCATGAAATGTGATTTGAAACTTAACTTTATGCTCCCACAACTGTACATTTCGTGGTCATAGATAAATGATTAATGACATCAAGGAAGGGACAGATTGTATAAACTTACAGCTGTATAATGGCAAAAGATAGGAGCGGGGTTATAGGAAGAGTGGGGGATGTGAAGAGGACAGAACAATCTCTGCCAAATATTTGCAGGTGTTGGGACTATAATAAGTCATTGGCCTTGAGAAATATTCCAAACAGAAAAATCTGTGTCCATATGCACTGTTGAGATAACAAAAAGACTGGCTAGTGTAAGCTTGTATTACAGAAAACTAGCTATTTGAAAACATCCGAAAACATGATGATTGATTAGATATTTGGCATCATGAAGCTATAGCCCTCATCTCCAGGGATGGATGGAACATGGACATATTTTACCAAGATATATTTTAGTCTGTGACTAATCGGTAATTTTTGGAGAAAGAAAGCCAGATTTTGAATAGTTCCCCTTTCATATTTTAGGAAATGTGCAGAAAATTCTGATTATAAATTAAGTGGAAACTATTTTTACTCATTTTTGGATGGAGAGTGGAAAATGAATCATTCCCAACTGTGTGGTTCGTTATGTTGTCTGAAACATCTTGGACTTTGGGGAGGTGAGAGAGGTACTGGTTGTGTGTGTGTTGCGGGGGTGGAGGGGTCACTTTGGTTTGGTGCCAAGTGTAAAAGAATATTAATTCTCCATGTTAAGCAGAGAGAAAGTCTGACTTTTAGTGTCACATATACTCACTTCTTTGGGTTAATTTTAAATTGGAAAATCATTTAGGATTACCCCCTTAGTCTGCTTGATTCTTCCCCAAGGAGAAAGGGAGAAAGTTGGCTGGCAGGAGCTATGGGAGAGTCTGCCTGAGTATATTCCCCTGGCCCTGGCCCTGAGAGAAGCACAGGAGTCCTGTAGGAGATATATACTATACCCTATCATTCTTCCCCATACTATCATTCTTCCCCTGTATCTAGGAGGTTGGCTTTTTAGCCAGTATCTGATAACAGGGTTTATTTTTACTTTTTGGTTCTGGAACTTCACTGTTGACATTTGTAACTACTTTTTATATACGAACCTCCCTGATTAGGATTAGTGGCTTCTAATATTTATTTGTTCAATAAAGAATAAATAAACCATTATGTTATAGATGAAAAGTCAGAATAACCAGAAACTAGCCTGTCTTTTTAACATGTTCTCAAAGTGGATTAGAGGGCTTGGGGTACTTAGTTTAGTTTCATGATCTTATTTAGTTGTCCAGTCTACCAATAGGGTTGAGACGCAGGACACATGTCTTTCAGCAGGCTACCAGTAGTTCAATTAATTATTCAATTTTAAATAATATTTTTATTCACGACAGTTATTAGAGCAGTAAGTCCTATCAGAGTAATTATTTTCTCCATCACCTCTCACTTTTCACTCACTAGTCCCAATATATATCTTAGTTCATGATATATGGGGCATTTCTATAAAACGGCTTCATATTTTAGAATTTTCATTATCACATGAGTTTCCATCCTTATAAAAGATTGTTGTTATCGTTTTAATAAATTTTGGCTTCATAAAAGAGGCCAAATTTCGGTGACTGTCTATTGCTGATAGACTTCAACTCAATATTATAAGTCCCATACAACTTTTTTCTTGTGCTGCCCATGTATTTTCCCCTCTACTCCTCTAAAACATGCTACCTTCATCTACCCCAGTGAGCCTCCTGTCTGCAAAATATACCATTCTCTTTTCTGATTCTTAACTGTCACTAGTGTTCTTCTCTTGGCCTGTTTACAAATCCTACGTATTCTTTAATGCATAATTCAAACCCCATAAGACCACTCCAAAACATCACAGCTACGTCATAATCTCCTTCAGGTCAGAAATAATGTCTTGTATTTCTTTAGTATTCTCCTTAGTTTCTAGTACACATAGTATTTTCTCAAGAAATCCAAATGAATTCAGTCTTCATAATGGATTTGCAGGAAATATACCAGTGCCTATAGCTTGCTTTGGATCTCATCTAAGAAGATATAAATCTGTCTTGCCATTATATATACCCTGAAAGTCTGAAAAAAGATCTCCTGTGAACTACTGACAATGTTCAAAACCAGAGTGCTAGCAAAAGTATGGCATGTCCTTAATTTTAATTGCCTATTCATTTTGATCACTGGATTTTCCAACTGCCTACCCCTATGGTGACATCTGTATAAATCAGATGTGATTATTATAATTCTCTTTGAGAGTGATGTCTTCACATTTCCATGCCCACAGCCTGCCAAAAATATAGCTGATGAAAACCAGGGGGAATAGAGGAATTTCCTGAAAGGAATAAACAAGCACATTTTCTTTTTCTCATTACATTTCCACAAATTCATTACTACAAATAATTCTTAAATGCAGTTACATTTACATATCAGGGATCTTGTTATAAAATATTACCCAGCACTGGAGTAAGCCTTTTATCATGGGAAAGTAACACACACACACACACACACACACACACACACACTCTCTCTCTCTCTCTCTCTCTCTCTCTCTCTCAGCAAGACTGGGACAGAGAAAGCTAATGATTGCCAGACAATGAGAAGGGAGATATGAGACTTGGAGGATGTTCAAAGGAACGCCACAATGAGAGTTAAAAGGTTGGAAAATATAGTGCTCTAGAATCTTATCACAGTTGATTACTTGTCCTTCTTCCTATTCAGTCACTCTGTCATCCACCCACCCATTCTCACTCAGTCACCACCTTCTCCCAGTCATTTATCTACTCACCCACTTGACACCCACTACTGTCTGCCAAGACAGATACCCTCTCAACTAATGTACTAATGGGCATATGACTTTCTCAACCAGTGTAAGTATAAATATAAGGGAAAGAAAGTGAAGTATATTTATGAGAGACTAGGTTGAGAGTATATTTGCATACACATGTATGCATCACTGTATATGAGTGTGTATATTCCTGCATAAATATGTGGCTGAGAATGACTCTGTGTCTGTGTATGAAAGTATATCTATAAAATGTGTATCATTGTATGTGAAGATGTGAGAGTGTGTAAATCTTCTGATAATTTGGGTAGGAGGGGGCCATGAGTGTAAGGTAAGCTTTCTGTTGTCACCCTAGGGAGTGTTAGAGCCTCAGCAGAACCCATCCTGAGGCTAAGGATCAATCTAATAAATGAGCCAGATCAAACATATGCATGATAAGAAAAATCTTCAATGGAGGCCAGGGTGGGTTACCATAGGTGAGGGAAAAGAAAAATGTTGTTTCTCACTCTCAGTCAGGTACTAAATCACAGTAGCTAAATATAATAAGAACAAAACATTTGAGACCAGATTTATGCTCTTTAAGGTCTGGTGGTAATGGTGGTGAACATGTGTGTGTGGGGTTGGGGACAGTATCTGACAGGTTTCTCAGCTAAACCAGCCTTCAACTCAATGCTCATAAAATCATTCTTGCTTGTAGATCTGCCTTCTCTGTGGTCTCTTAACTGTTCCAGACTTGCTCCCCATCACATACAATATGTGTAAATCTGTACATATTTCATGTGTGTATGAGGATAAAACACATTTCATTTCATCTCTACCCAAACTGTGCACTAAGACTCATTTGAACCCCTATTCTTTTCTCTGCAAGACTTATATTGATTTCTCTGTCTCTGAACTCATTTATTATTAACAGGACCCTGTTTTGGAAGATGTTTTCCATTGTTTCTTTGGTTTGAGAGCAAGTTTAGCAAGTAGATACTCCTATTATCTGTACCCTTATCTTTCTGTTTTTCTGTTATTTCTTTTGGCTCAAGTTTTCTCTTCACCAATATTTGAAAGGAGCTAACAATCGTTTGTTTGAGAACAATTTACAAAATGTTGACACAGAGATTGTTCTTGGGTGGATAGAAATCCTGTCTGTTATTGTTGGGCAAAGAAACATATTACAGAAATATAATATAGGTGAGGAAAGATCAAGGAAACAAGAATTACTGAACACAAAGAAGTGAGGTTTAAAGGGAAAAATGTGATAATGGCCTTCAAGTTCATGAAAGGTTGATATAATGAGGTAATGCCTTATTCTTTGTCTCACATGAAGCTAGAACTGACAATAACTTAAACCGTAGCATCAGGGATTTAGGCTAGGGATTCATTCATTCATTTAACAAACAATTAATGAACATTCACTTTGTTTACTAAACACTTTGACCACTGTGGTAGGAGCTGGGACACAGGAAATAAGGCACAATCCCAGTCCTAAAGGGACTTTGAACTTAGTAGGGGAGATAGACAAGTGGGAAATTCCAATTCAGTATGGTAAGTGCCATGACAGAGGTTTGCACAGGATGCTCTGAAGCACAGTGGAGGGGTCAGGGAAAGGATATCATTGAGTTCAAAAACAGGGAATCATGAGTGAATTTATTGGAGAAGAAGGACCAAACCGGAGAGAGTCCATGCGGAAAGAATTGACAAAACTTGGTGAATGACTATGATGATTATACACCATGAAGAGAATGAATTAAAAAGGACTTTTGAGGTGGAGATGTCTTGAAGGATGGTGGTATTGAGGAGGACAAAAATGAAATTAGGAAGGGGTGGCAGTTTTTTGGGGATGCTTTGACTTTAGATTTGAGTCTGATGTGATTGTGGGTCATTTAACAATCATTCATTCATCAAACATTTCTTGAACATCTATTAGGTGGCAAGCACCCGGATAGGTATTAGGGTTACAGTGATTAAGAAAGCACAGCCTCAACCCTGATGGAGCTCTCAGGTTAGTGTGGGGAGGCAGATAATTAAGGACACAGTTATGAGATGGTGTGGTAAGTGCAATGACAGTGGAAGAACAGGGGCTGTTACAGAACATAGGAGGAATAGCAAGATAGAATTTGGGTGAGTTTTTGAATGCCCTGTTAGGGGACAGGAGTTGAGGCAGGGAAGGGGAGTGCTCTAGTCAGGAGAAAAGAGTTTGTTGAAACATCTGGAGGACAGAGAGCATGGGGGTTTCTCAGAACTGAAAGGGCAAGTGTCCTAGAAAGGGTTAAAATTTAGGCTTTACCAGTGGCTGAAAGATTGGGTCTGGAGAAATAGACTTGGGAGTCCTCAGCGTGGTGGTAGAGCCATGCAGTAGTGAGCTGAGCAAAGGCCAAGGATTGAGCCTTGCAGAACACTCGTGGTCTAGAAATTAGGCATGAAGGAATAGAAGTTGAAAGAGAAAGAGGGGGATGTGTATGAGAGGCAGGAAGTGAAGAGGAATAGTGCAAGTGGAATACAACCCTGAGTCCTCCAGGAAAGTAGAGTTGGCTTTGGCTCACTAGTCTGAGGGTTATCAAAATAAACACTAGATTTAAGTTTTTAGTACAGGTTTACTTTTAGAATGTCCAAATAATAATGTATCCATTTGAGCTAGAGATGTAATCATGCTATGCACCTGAAGATGGGGGAAAGAAAAGAATATGGGAAGGTTTGGGCAGCATTTCTGATAAGGAGAGTGGGGGAGGTGTGGGTCTCAGCTGGATGATCACAGAGCCTTTTGAAAAGATGGCAAGTCTTTCACCTGGCTTGAGGGTCAGGTTATTCTTTAACAAACCTGAAGTAGAGTAGACCTATATGATATACATCCAGTGTATCACCTTCATCTCATTCTGGGACGTAGCCTGTGTCTATACAACAGCAAATAAATGTTTGGGGAAAGAATAAATTCTGGCATAAGGGTGTGGGCTTCAGTTTGTGAACCAGATGGCATGTTCTGTTGTTGAGAGGCCATATGTAATTGATACATAAAGTGACAGACTGAAGCAAAAGCAAAGTAAGTATTTTAAGACAAGCAGTTAAAAAAAGAAAGCAGACTGTGACCCTAAAAGCATGTGAAGATTCTGGCTTCTGGCTTTTGGAAGAGCTGAAAATGTCGGTGCATAGACAGGATGTCAAAAAAGAGCATGTCAAAGAATAGTAATGGGGCCACTGGCTCAGATTATTTTTAAAGATGAAGTTGTCTTCTGTCAATCAGGAAGACTCAGGTTTGGGATGAATTGGCCTTTCTGCCCTATTTCACTTCTCCCCTTCCTATGCTCACCCCAAGGTTCAATTCCCACATAAAAGCAGTCAGGATCTTGTCTAGGTTTAGATAATATTCCCCTTGTACCTTTTAGACAGCAAGAGAGAATACAGACATTCTATGACAGTGCCATGTTTCAGTGGAAATGATATGTTTCAATAGAACTAATACAGATTACACCCCCTTTTAGGCTTCAGTACTTACTGTGTCAGGTTGATGTGTGTAGGAGTGCTCATATATGTGCGAATACATATGCCTTCATGGAGTATGACAAATGGAGATCATGGTCCAGTTTGTGCCATAATGGGGTAATCTACCTCGCTTTAATAAAGAGGTGGTGTCTTGATGTACGCCTAGTTTTCTTGAGAGAGTCAATGAGAAAGTTACCTGAAATAATCTGTGTCTAGAGAAGTGAAAAAAAAAAACCAGCAATTATTTGAGGGTTGAAGAAGCCATTTCTGTTAATGGGATGCTGTCTGGAAGAAGAATAGCCTGTGCCCAGCTTTCTCAGATGGCAAAACATTTTCCTCTTTGGGAAGGGAATAAGAGAGCACAAAGAGGCCTAATCTATACAACACAATAAAACTTGGGTAAAAATGGAATCAGTGTAGACTGCCAATTTAGCTAACTGAGGCCTTTTAAAATCTGTTATGCAAATCAGCCAAATCTTTCCCTTACTTTGTGCTGTTTAGACACATGTACAATTTTGTGTGAGCTAGCATAATGTAGTCATCTGGAGGTGAAGAAGGTATCACAGTTTCATAAACTAAAATGGCTTCTGTAACATCCATAAAAGGGAAGCACACAAAGACCCAGAGGTAACCTCTTGCAGCAGGAAATGGGAGCTTCATCCTGCCCCCTGGCTGCCAACCTCCTGTCCTGTTTCCTACCAGCAGATATCTCCATTCCAATCTCCCCTGCCACTTTGGCTCTCTTGCTGTCACGGTTTAACTGTCCTGAGAAAGTTGCACTAACCGGGCTTGAACATAAGGAACCTGGCCCAGTCATTAACTACATTGCACAGGAGCAGAGCAAAACACACCAATATTTCAAAACTGAACAACAACGAAGAGACATGTTTACTTTTATATAGAGATTTTAGACACACACATCCACACACACACAGACACACACACACACACACACACACACACCCTCTTTGTTTACTCAGCCAGAGTACAGACAAGATAATTACTTGGCCAAATCAATCAAATTATTCAAACCTAGAGTGGCCCAGAATTTTTTGTTCTAAATGACTCGTCAGTGCTAGGCATGATAAGGAAGAGTGACTTCCTTAGATTGCATAATCGCTTCAATTCTCTGTTTCCCTTTGCATATGTTCATTATTGAGAATAAATTCCAATTTGAGAGGAGGCTTTAATTCCTTGTAAATGAATAGGAAATGAGTAAGTAAATGTTCGGTGTTTTCCTCAAATTATGTCTCATATTGTAAGAAAACAGTGGCAAAAAGCCATCAACAGATGGTGTTTTCATTAGCCAAAGATTTATTTTTCAAAGCATTTTCATATTAATGAAGTAAGGTTGAAATTAGAGTCATCTTGTCAGATCTAGCTCTGTGTTGTTAACATGTGCTGGCATTCTGCAAATTGCTAGGGGCAAACTAACCATTTGCCATAATTTTGTGATGGTAACTCAAGGCGCATAGTCTAACTAGACCTCAAATTATGTGTTCAGCCCTAATTTTTGTTTTCAGTGGCTTTATAGAAGCCATGAGTCTCAGTTCTGGGCCACAAAAGAGGAACACATAGCAGAGATTTTGCTATGTCCTGCTCTGTACTGTGAATTATTTATGAGATATCAGTTTTGTGATCAGTGTTGCAACAGGTTGAGGTACTTGTTAAAAACATTATTCTCATGGAATCCCATGTTTGAATGGAAATGCATTACAGTTGGAAACACAAATTTCTAATATTGTATTTGCTTGGCGTTCATCAATCTACATTATATTTGCCTAATATATCAATATATTCGCCTAATATATCAATATATTCATTTGTGATACATGGAATTTCCATTGATAGGAATTTGGGCCACTGCTAGAGAAAATTATCAACTGGATTCACTACCAATTCCCACTGCCTAACTCAAGCTAGACCCTTTCATCACACTACAGAGTTATTATATTCACCTTATGGCCAAATTTTTGAAGAGGAGTCTAGACTTGCAGCCTCTACTTTGTCACTACACCATACTCTAACCTCAGGATTTCACAAATTCTTCCAAAACCCTACTGAAACACCTTTTCAAAAGGTCATCTGTGACCTCTAATTACCAAATCCAGCTGCCTTTTATCAATCCTCATATTTCTTGCATTCTCCGCATATTTGACAGTGACAAATCCTTTCCTGAAACACATTTCTTTCAATTATCCTCAGTTTGGCCCAGACTTGCATTACCCTACGGCCTTGAATAGTGCAGCCTTCTTCTAACCAGTGTCCTTCCCCCATCCCCTGCCCTGGGCTTTCCTATTTCAGTCTGCCCCACATTTTGCTGCTAGGTTAATCTCCTAAATGCAGCCCTGATTATGCCATTACCTTGCTCAACAGCTTTTGGTAAGTCCTCAGTGCAAACAACAACAACAACAACAACAACAACAAAAACAAACAAACAAAGAAACTACAAACTCCTTATCTAGGCACTTAAGACCTTTATAACAGGACTTTGGTCTCCATTTCCAGCTGCGTCCCCCACTACTCTCTTTCTACCCTCTGTTCTAGCCAAAGGAAACTACTAGTCCCTGAATATGCCATATATTTTATTTCTTTATACTTTTTATTTATTTATTTATTTATTTATTTATTTATTTATTTATTTATTATTTTTTTGAGACAGAGTTTCACTCTTTTTGCCCAGGCTGGAGTGCAATAGTACGATCTCGGCTCACTGCAACCTCCGCCTCTGCGGTTCAAGTGATTTTCCTGCCTCAGCCTCCCGAGTAGCTGAGATTACATGTGTCTACCGCCATGCCTGGCTAATTTTATATTTTTAGTAGAGAAGAGGTTTCACCATGTTGGCCAGGCTGGTCTTGAACTCCTGACCTCAGGTGATCCACCCACCTCGGTCTCCCAAAGTGCTGGGATTACAGGTATGAGCCACCCACTGCTCATGGTCTTATTTCTTTGTACTTTTCTCATTACATTCCTTGTGCCCGGAACATCCTGCCCCCATGCATCTCTGTCTATTAAAATTCTGTTTATCCTTCAAGGCCCATCTTAATTTTACTTCCTCTTTATCTGTGAAGTCACTGTACCTTGAACAGAGTAGGTGTTCAATACATTTTTGTATTAAATTTCTGAACTGCCACTTTTTTTATTCCTCTGACATCAATTTAGCTTAGAGATCACGTCCAAATCAATGATTGCTTCCTGTATTCTTCTTCCTTCCCCTTTTCTTTGCCAAGAAGACCACAGATTGAGATGGTAGTGGGATTAAAGGAGGCCAGGGGAGACATTGTGCCCCAATACAAGAAAAATAGAATAAATGGTGAAAAATCACTTCCATGGGAATAAAGCCAAGGAAGCCAAGAGAGACCTGGCAGGAAGGGTAGCAAGGGTTCAGCTGGTCCTCATAATCCAGTTTGAGAAAATGTGAAATCACACTACCCAGCCTGCAAACACGTGTATCTATGTGAATATATCCATCTATTCATGGGAACAGTGCCAAAGATATTAAGGAGCTACAGGTACTTAGCAGACAGAAAGGGGCCAAGTACACAAATCTCTTCTTTTCCTTCATGTTCCCTCTCTCCCCCACATCCCCCCATCCACTTTTTCAAAAGCACGAACTTTGAACTACAAAACATAGGAACAATGGAGATAGCAGCGTAGCACTTAACATGACTGAGGGAAGGACTGCTAGCAGAATGAGGGCCAGTAAGTTGGGGTATTACATTTGGAACAGACTTTATGGGGTATTGGGATAGTGGGTGAGAGAGAAGTAGATATTGGGGTGAGTCTTAGAGGAAAAGCAGCTACCAGGGCTGAAAGACTTGGGAGTGGGGAGAAATAAAAAAGCCCATGATTAATCTAGAGTGAAATGATACTCTTTTTCACATAACGAATGGGAAACAGTAGCTTGCTCAACTGAAAACATGCTAGAATTCCGGCTACTGTTGTAACAACATTATATTCAACAGATCTGCAAAGTACCCCTAATATGTACCTGAAAGAATCTATGTACCAGTAAATGATGATATGCAATGGATATCTTCTCTTTTTAAAATATTTATTTATTGAGATAGGGTCTCACTCTGTCACCCAGGCTGGAGTGCAGTGGTGTGATCCTGGCTCACTGCAACCTCTGCCTCCTGGGGTCAAGTGATCCTCCCACCTCAGCCTCCTGAGTCACTGGAACTATAGGTGCATGCCACCACGCCCAACTAAATTTTGCATTTTTTGTTGAGATGTGGTTTTGTTGTGCTGCCCAAGCTGGTCTTGAACTCCTGGGCTCAAGCGATCTGCCCACCTCAGCCTCCCAAAGTGCTGGGATTACAGGCGTGAACCACCGTGCCTGGCTGATGTCCTCTCTTGATACAGTCAGGCTTTGCATTTTGAAGCCCTGCCTCTCTTGTGGGTGAAGCCTCGGTGCCAAAGAAGGAAAGCTGTGAGATACAATGCTAGATTTTGATGAATTCCACACTCAAAATACTCTTTTTTTCCTGAAGGACCCTACTGATAAATATAAAATATTATAATCAAAAACAAAAAAAGTCATGGAATACTGCAGCAAAACTGTGACTGAGGGCTGGATACATGGGTTCCAGTCCTAGTTTTGCACATGCTAGTAATATGACTGTGCAAAATACTTTAACTCCACTTTGAAGCTTGGTACTCCCATTTGTAAAATACTAGCATCTTCTACTTTGTGAGATTGTTATGGTTTTTAAATAGTATATATGAAATTGCCTGGCATAGTGTCTGGCAATCATTCAATAATTACAGATGGTCCCTGACTTACCATAGTTCAACTTACGATTTTTCAATTTGACAGTGGTGTGAAAGTAATATGCGTTCAGTATGCTTCTTGACTTATGTTAGGGTTACATCTGGATAAGTCCATCATAAGTTGAAAATTTCTTAAGTTGAAAATGCTCTCTCTGGAACATAACTTCATCATAAGTTGAGGGACATGTGTAATAGTTTTCTTAGTCTACTCATCTGGAAAAGAGATAATAATATCTGTTCTTCATATGCTGTGGGATTACTATGAGGGCGAAATGAGATATTGCCTATGAAATACTTTGAAAAGTTAAAGATATTATCTAAAACATAAGGTTTCTTTAATGTCAATAAATTCCTACATCCACAAAGTCATGAATGTCATATTTTCCCCAATAGTGAGCAAATGTGCAGCATTATTAATTTGTACGTAGATTAGTGCTTGGCTCATGGCAGATGCTAAATGAATCTTTGAAACATTTGTCTACTGACTAACCGATTTTCACATGACATTGGTTCTCAAGCTCATGGTTCTTTTTTCCCCTCTTCTCGGTTCCCCTCTGGATTCATACCCTCTGCGATGACAGCAAACTCTGGAGATGAACCTCACCAACCTGGTTAAGCGCAACAGCGAACTAGAAAATCAAATGGCCAAACTAATACAGATCTGCCAGCAGGTTGAGGTATGTAACAGAAACATTTGTGATTTTTCAGAGGACCTGAAATGGGTGACCCTTTGGGAGGACTTCAGTTTTGTCAGAGTGTAGCCTAGTCATTTGGAATGAAGGATTGAATGGCAGTTTTAGAAAGTCTCATTCCTTTAGGATGCTTGTTCCAAAAAAAGTGTCAGAAACCTATGGTTTAAAAAGAATAGACGGTGATGATGGACAGTGGGGGGATAATAGTTCAAGGGGCAACCTATTCTCCTTTCCAAACAGCAGGCAATATGAAAATCAGACATGAAGTGTGCTTCATCCATCATCAAACTGGACATTATCACTCCTTAAAGAGATTACTGGAGTGTCATAGGGAAGTTGGGAATCCTGGGTCCTTGGGGTAAGGTGAGGTTAATTCAGCACAATATTGTTTCTGTAACAATATTATCAGGACTGCTTCTCCTCTTTCGAGCCTCTCCCCCTCTTCATCCCCTGCCCATGGTCCTATCTATACCATGCACCCCACCTGGTCCTCACTCATTACCTTTCCACTTATTCTTGTCATCAACAAATCATATCTATTTTAAAGTTGTAAATTGTAAAGTGCTGTAAAGTGTGAGGTTTTAATCAATTGTCATCTACATCAAATCTTAGAGCAGAGCTTAGAGGAAGAGCTGACCTCTTCTTAAATGGACATAATAAAATAAAGATGTTATTTCTCTTTCTCAAGAGCATGAAACTTATACCATTTGGTTTTGTGTTGATTTTGTTGAAGAGCTGATGGTAGGGCTTCAAGTGTAAACAGGGTTGGGTAAAATATTATAGGATTCTTCATGGGCAGTGGTTGGATAAAAATGTTTCTAATTCTATTTAGAACCTGATAGTCTGGTTCTAATCTTACTTGTATGACAGACAAATGTAACAGTTCAAGTTTATTTTATTTCAATTTTATTAAGATCTCATCTCTTAATCCAATCTATAGATTCCTATTTAAGAGACTGTGGAGAATCTTCTTGTAAGGCAAAGAATCCTCTTATTATATGAGTAACCTTCTGACCCCCAATCATTTGGATTTCTTAAAGTATTGAGTTTCTTCAAGTAGAGTGTACTTGTATGATGAGCATACCATAGAAATTTAATCCCTGCTGGGCACTCCATTTGTGGAAGAGAGTGGTGCTCTACGTAGGGTCCATAGAGTACTGGTCAAACTCAGATATGAGACTATAAAATGAAGTGGGGGATTAGGGAAGAAGCATAAGGAATGAAAAGAAAGAGCACTAGAGTGTGATTTGGAAAACTGTGCTCTAGACTTGGCTCTTCCATGAAGTGGTGGTATGAATCTAAGTCATTTAGCTTCTCAGTTTCAGTGTTCTTACCTATAAAATGAAGAGTTGAACTGATAACATGACCTTCGACTTCTTTCTAGGTATCACAGGTCATGATGCTGTGAATGGTAACTTTCTTTATTCTATTCTTTTTCTCTCCTGGCTTATTCTTTCCAAGAAGGGAGAAACAAAATATAAAGTATTTCAAAGTGGCTTTCAGCTAATCAGAATCCCTCTAATGTTCCACTCTGTCAAAGTTTCTCATTATGCTGTTAGATTACAGTATAAGACATCCACACTGGCAAAGGGACAAGGGAGTATTGTAAGCAGGAGACAAGATAAGAGATCCCTTGATTTAGAATTTGCATGATTGAATATAGAGTAACAGCTAATAGTGAATAAAATGTGGTTAGAAATTATAATCACCTTCCTTGTTCTCATCAAAAAGACTATTAAGTACAGAACAAGTTGTAGTGAAAATAGCAAAGTAAGCAGTTTATTTTTATAGCTCATTCACTTTAGGACCTCTCTAAGGTCTCATCTTGCCACTCTGAAGAGCTTATGACCCTGGCCAGCCTCACCCAAACATAGCCTGTTCCAACCTTTCCCAGCCCATCCTGCCAATCAAACCTTTATGTTCAGGGCCCTACTCTTTTTAAGTGACAAGTCTCATAAAACTATCCATCATTGTGTTAATAGGGAAGGAACCACTTTGGCTTTTTAGGTAACAAGCAGTGTTTTAACAGTTCCGTCCTGAAGTTAGTATTCTTGCCTGAGTCTTAATGAGGTGACACTAGTGCTGCCACATGCAAATAGAGTAAGGGGAAAGAGTAGCCCATACAGTAGATATTCAAGAAGTGTTCTTTTATGGATGCTTGCTAAATCCGATCATGTAAGCCACTGTCGGCTCTGGATACACAAAAGGTCTGCTTTTACTAATCCTTTTTTATGCCTGGCATTGTACCAGGTATAAAGAAAACAGCATAGGCACAGTATCTACCCTCTGAGGGCTTACATGCTGCAAAAATCCACCCTGATGTGGATACACATGTGCAAGAAATACAGACAATTGAATATAAACATTAATTGAGAACTGGGAAAGAATAGTGAGATATTGTTGAGAGTGAGAATGTATTTTGGGATTTAACTTCATAGTCTATTGGGTTTAGGATTCTGTCTTTGATGACAGGGACCCTACAGGATGGCTTATGGAAGGCCATTTCTGTCTTCTATGACATCATCCATTCTGAAAGGTTAGGGATGTGCCCTTAACTTCCTCTTTTTTTTTTTTTTTTTGAGATGGAATCTCGCTCTGTTGCCCAGGCTAGAGTGCAGTGGCACAATCTCGGCTCACTGCAACCTCTGCCTCCTAGGTTCAAGTGATTCTCCCGTCTCAGCCTCCCGACTAGCTGGGATTACAGGCACACGCCACCATGCCCGCCTAATTTCTTGTATTTTAGTAGAGACGCGGTTTCACCGTGTTGCCCAGGCTGGTCTTGAACTCCTGAGCTCAGGCAATCCACCCGCCTTGGCCTCCCAAAGTGCTAGGATTACAGGCGTGAGCCACCGGGCCCGGCCAACTTCCTCTTAATAATAACAACGGTGAATCCAGGTTACTTATTATCCTCATTCAACACAGAGCCTGTCTCTCCAAAAGCCTTCAGGACAAACCTCAGGATTAGAAATCTAGTTAATGGAGGGACTTGAGACTTCATAAATGCTTAAAAATACAGTAGAAAATGAAATGTATAGTAGAATACTGTCAGTCATGAAAGTAAGACACTGATGGGTGATTTGGAATTTTTTCATTATATGTAATCCAGATTCATCTATAGGGAATGACTATATTCACAGTGTATACCAGGCATTTCACATTCGGCGGGGGCGGAGGATACCAGCTAAGGCGCTTCTGAGAAAACTGGAATAGGGTATTTTCCTGTCAAACCTGTTCCCCTTCTTTATTGTCTGTAAATGTTTTTGTCACAAATTGCCTTTTCATAAAAGGGCCATAAATACTGCCTCCCTATCATGGTTCTTTCTCCCTGTTCTCTATTCTCCTCAGAAAGTAAACAAAGCTGCAGTCTTCCTATTATAACAGAAACAGAGATTAAGATCACTACAGATTTGTTAGCTGACTTCTATGGTAATGTAGCTTGTTATAATTGCTGCTGAAGGTTTCAGAATTCAGTAGATGGGTGGTTGGAAAATGTTTTCTGCTGCGGCTGGAGAGCATGGGAAGGAGGTAGAGGCAGCTCCAAGACTCCCTTTAATCTAATTAAGGAAGGGCATGCTTTGACCTTGCTATGATAACCACTTGATCTCTATATATAGTTCTTTGTCCTGGCTCATCAGGCATCCTTTGTTTACATTTCCAAAGGAAACCTCTGTATAATGCATAGCCAAGGGAAAATGTATACCAACAGATGAATACTTCCTCTTCGCTTCCAATACTCCATGGTTCTGTGAATAATAGGCATTCTAAAACATAGCGAGGGGCAAATATAGTTAAATACTTAGTAATCAGTTGGTCAACAGCATTTATTGAGCATACGCTGTGTACTCTGTGGTGGGCGATTTGGGGGCTACAAAAGAAATATATGTGGTTGATGACCTCCAGGAACTTTCAGTCTAGTTAGGGAAAACAGTATATAGTGAGAAAGAGTATTTATAGAGCAGCATGCAGTGCAGAAAATACAAATGAATGTAGTATAGCCCTTTCAATTTTACTTATTTAGTCTTGTTCTTAGCTTTTAGGGCACTGAGTAAATTAAAACACTTTCCTGTATATTTTGTGTGCCACCTTTTTCTTCTTTCCAGAACTGCTGTGATACAATGGCTTAATCCATCCCAGAAGCTCCATGGGCAGGTTGATTTCCTTCTGGCTCTTCTCAATCCTTTTAAAGAGCTGGACGGCACTGCTCTTTAGCATTAGGAGAAAGAAGAAAGAAAGGAGATGAGTTGGAAGAGAGGGAGAGGTTTCCCTTAGTCTGGGGAATTTCAGCTTTCTGTCTTGCTACTAGGTCTTAGCTTCATTCACTTTTGGAAGTCTCTCTCTTTAGAGTTCAAACTTCAGATGGGCTGGTATTTTCTTCTTTCTGCTCGTATTGCCCATTGGAAGGATATTTAGTTTGGGAAGGGCAAGAATCTTGGAGTCTATGTAATAGATGTCTGGCTGCTTCTCCAAGCATAAAATATAAATATTTTAAAATAAATTAATTTAAAAAACACTGCTATGGATGATTTCAGCAGATGATCCTTAAATATTTTTGGGTGGTTGAGCTAGAAGAAAGAATAGAATTTAAACCATTAGAGCACAAATACATTTGTTGGTGGAGCCCTCTTTAAGGAGCAGTCAGTGAAATTAGTATAATTGGAAAATTTAATGGAGAAAATGCATTTTAGCCAAATGTTGAAGGAGAAAAAAAATTACTCCCTCTGGAGAGACAGAAAGCAGAGGTATTAGTGGAGGTGTAAATGAGCACATTTTATGGGGAAAATGGTGCCTTAAGCACTGGGTGTATACAGATAAATAGGAAATGGCACCTGCCCTCAAGGAACACACAGACTGGCTGAGAACCTGACAGGTAAAATGGCAAATAGAATGTGAAGTGATAATTACTGTAATGAATGTAAATGCGTGATGACAAGTTAGCATGGAGGAGGAAACACTCAGGCCTGCCTGAGAAACTTAGGAAAGGCTGCAGAATGGAAAAAAAATGAGTTATCTTGAAATAAGAGTAGAATTTTGCCAATAAAAATGAGATAAGGGAGTGAAGGGGACCACATGTGAGAACACAGAAGGGTGATCAGCATGGAGACGTTCAGGGAACTATCAGAAGTTTGGCTTGGCCAGAATGTAAGACATGAGATTGCAAGAGGTGAGTATGGAGAAGTGAGTAGCTTGGGCCCAAATAATAAAGAGCCTTGTAGGCCATGTATAGGTGTTTAGACTTTAACCTGAGAAGTCTGGGGAGCCATGGAAGGATTTTAAGCAGGTGAATAACTGAATAAAATCTGTATTTAAGAAGGATTGCTATGGCTGTAGTATGGAGTATGGAGCAAAGGTCAAGGGTCCAGGGTAAAAAGTGAGGACAAAGAGACCAGTTAGATTTTTACTGATCCAGGGAGAGATGAAGGCCCAGCTTGAGACAGTGGCAGTAGGATTAGGGAAGAAGGGATACATTCAAAACATTTCTAGGAGGTGGATCAGTATTAATTGGTGATCAGTTAATGGGTGAAGGAGTGAGGGAGAAGAAATACTATGATGATCCACAGGGTTCTGGTTTAGGTGACCAAATAGGTCTATGGCCTTTAACTAGGTTAAGAAATATAAAAGGAGTTCTTTTTAGACCTGCAAGGTTTATTGTTCTCTGGGTCAGAAAGGCAGGTAGGAAATGTCCAGTAGAAAGTTGGCTAGCTGGATTTAGAGGTCAAGAGAGAGGTCTGGGAAAGGGATATACTTGGAAGTCATTAGCATCTAAGTAGCACTTAAAGCCATGGAGAATGTATAGATTGAAAAGAGGGCCTGTGACAAATCTCCAGCCCAATTGTTTGTCACTCACAATACAATAACAAACTGACTTTCCAAAAATAAATAGAAAGACGGTGTTGCTTTTGAGGAGATTACTGAAGAATGCTGTGCATTTTGAAAATTAAATATCAAAGTAAATTATTCATTTGTGGAAAAAAATCAAAGGTTTAGGGTATTATTATCTTAAAGACTACAATAATAAGTAACACTTACTGAGGATTTCCTCTGTTCCAGCTGAGTGCTTAATATGTGTTAACTCATTTAATTCTCACAACAGCTCTGTGAGATAGACACTGTTAATACCCCTACTTTACAGATAAACAGAGACAAAGAAATATTTAAGTGTTTTGCCAAGTTCATGCCACTGGTAGGTAAGAGAGTGGGGATTTGAATACAGGCACTTTAGCTCTGGAGCCTGTGCCCCTGACCACTCCATTACGCGTTGTTTTGCAAGACCAAGGTACACGCCACTTGGATGTCTCTTGTTAATCATGGGTGGTTCCTGGACCCATTGTGAGGATGACTTGTAGTGAGCAAGGGGTATGGGATAGGGATGTGAATTCTGAAGGACAGCAAAGGAGAAACAAAGAGCAGTCAAGAGACGAGGAAAACCAACAAAAACAGAGGATCAAAATCTCAGAGGAAGGAGAGGCCTTCAAAATGTGGAAGATTTGATGAGTCAATTGGAGCAGAAGCATAGAAGATTTCATTAGTCATCTTTGAGGGAGAAGGTTCTACGCAAATATGAAGATGGAACATAAATTCAAAGAGGTCAGGAAGAAAGTAAGTTATAAGGAAATGCAGGGCTGGGCGCGGTGACTCATGCCTGTAATCCCAGCACTTTGGGAGGCTGAGGTGGGTGGATCACCTGGGGTCTGGAGGTCAAGACCAGCCTGGCCAACATGGTGAAACCCCATCTCTACAAAAAATACAAAAATTTGCCAGGTGTGGTGGTAGACACATGTAATCCCAGCTACTCAAGGGGCTGAGGCAGGAGAATTGCTTGAACCCAGGAGGTGGAGGTTGCAGTGAGCCGAGATCGTGCCATTGCCCTCCAGCCTGGACGACAAGAGGGAAACTCTGTCTCAAAACAGACAAACAAACAAACAAAAGGAAATGCAGGTTGCAAGAAGTTTGATCACGAAGGTGAAGCAAGAAATAAGGTGGTAGTTATTATCCTTTCGAAGAGCAGAAAAGTCAGACTCATAAATGCTCTGTTTGTGTATTATTCTGCTACTGGTGAGTTAACAGTAGGAATCACTAGATCCACTGCGTTCATCCACATATGCTTCCCTTCCCTCCCTGACTTGGTGTCCAGCTTTATCTCCAACCCAGGACACTGTAGCCTTAGTTTCTACAACTTGCCTGTCCTAAAAATGGTATGTACGTCCTGGGAGGCAGTGTGCTGTGACAGCTTTGGAGTTGGACAGACAGGAGTCATGTTAGCTGTGCAACCTTGAACACATACTTTTTCTGAGCCTCAGTTTCACCATCTATAAAACTTGGACTAATAATACATTGAAGAGAAAGGCAATACATGTAAAGTACCTGCTACTGTGCCTGGCATATATAGTCAAAGCTCAATAAACGGTGGTGGTGGTAATACTAGTCATAGTAGCAGGAGGAGGAGGAGGAGGGAAAGAAGGAGAAAGAGGAAGAGGAGGTGTAATAGCAGGAACAGTTGCTAGTAGCAGTAGTACTAGTAGTAGTAATTTTGGGCACTACACATTTTGCCAGAGATTCCTAGCCCTGACCTCAGGACTTCCAAAGCTTTTTATCACTATCTCTGAGAGTGGGGAGAACAATCATTCCCAAATACTCATAACCAATTTCAAATTTTACATATATCAACTAAAACTTTTCTTGGGAAGAGGGAGTGGTAATGAAATTGCAGCAGCAAAAATATTGGGTACCTTGGCCATGTGACTCCACCTAGCCCACCAGTAACTCTGCAGATGTGATAGACTAAAAAGGGTTATTGTGCTCAATAAGCTGCTAGTTTGCAGTTACTAATTTAAACAAATTTTATTTAGTAAGGAAACATTTACTGCCCTTCTGCAAGAATATCCAAAAGATTCTTCGTGTTGATACTTAAGTAAATTTGCCCATTATCCTGCCCAAATTCTTCTTGATTACTGCCTTTAAGCAAAGCCAAAAGAAAAGTTTTAGGGAGGGTCACATGCTTTCATCTCTAGTAATTTTAAAAAGAGAGAGTTCTATAATTTTGTATTTGCGATTTAAAATGTTTATTAGCAAAAATGTTCTGTGAATATTTTTGTTAGAGATGGAAGAGCAAGGGGAGCAGACTTAAGAGCTCCTGAGAAAGATTTGAACTGCTAGTGTCTTGTGAAAATGAAATACCTAGTTTGAAACCACTGTGGAATTATAGATGGAGAAAATTGTTTCCATGAAAAATGGAAAATAAGTTCAGTGATCCAGTCAATCTATTCATTTATACTACTGTAGTGACTAATTCAGAGTATTACATTCAATCTTATTAAGAATATAACGATTGACATTTAATATAGATGAAAAACCTAAGTTAACTGTGCAATCCAGTGTGTGGTCATAGCCTATTTTTATACTAGAAAAGAAAGTGCTTTATAATTTTTCAGAGACCTAATGCATTCAATCCTTTTTAAAAAATACTTTGTGACAATTCTTCATTTATGTCAGTAAAGTAACATTTTTGAAGACATTAAATGTTGCAGTTGAAATACTTGGAGGGTATTAACACATGACAGGGTTTAAGGATAAAATTAGTTAGGATTAATATTGTTTTCCTCGCCCTCCTCCCTCACATCTATAGGGCAGGTAAGCTTTCAGGTGTGGTCATGTCTTCATAGCCGAAACAGTTCACATAGGAATGCACTTTCATCCCACTTTTGCACTTTTCCTTTGGCACAGTGAAGCTTATCTTACAGTCCCGTTTCCCATCCCTCCTCTAGTTCTCATTTCTGTGTTCAAATTCCAGGTCACTCACTAAATGACCAGAAGACTTGCTTAATTTTGGCTCCTCTTGTTTGCTCCACTATTTTCACAATCCACCCAAATTCCCCATTTCCAGTGTGCTCTTGGAAAGTTAATGGAATCTTAATAATTCAGCTAAGGCTCTATCAAGCTTATCCTATACCTTGAAATGTTTCTAGTTCCACTTTTACCTCTAATCTCTCCTGCCATCAACCCAACTAAAACTAAACAAATGTTTTAAAAACCCAGACTTGAAACCAAAACAACTATCACCACAGCAGATAGGCACACAGCCATTGAGATGTCCTTACTGTCTCTGCCTGTCTAGAGGAGTCCAGCTCTGTGGTACGGTAAGCAAGGATTGGGAGGAAGAGAATCTTACTTGAATAATTTGTTCTGGGCACTGTGCTAGAGACATCATTTCTAATCTCACTTAGTGTTTATGACAATCCTGTGATACAGCTGGTTAATATTCCCATTTTTCAAGTGAGGAACTTGAAGGCCAGAGATATTAGATGCCTTACTCAAGGTCACACATAAGTAAGCTGGGATGCAGTTCTACATTTCTCTCACTCCAAAGTCTATGTTCTTTCCATTGCATTGTGCAGCCTAGTGGAGAAGTTGTTGGTTTACTTGCCACCGATTCATTTGTGCTCAGATAGGTAGGAGGCAGCTCCAGAAAACCCTTTGTTTTTCTCCACTAAATAGCTCTAGCTCTAGAAAAACATATGGTCTGTTTGGGGGCCTGGCGTTCCTGAATCTGTGGTAAGCCTCTTATGTACTCCTGCCATTGGCCTACCTTTAATAGCCCAGAGCAGCTCTCCATATTCTGACAGCCCTTCATGGGGTACAGAGGAGAGGGAGTTGCCTAGAGTTGGCAGAAGGAAGCAATAATACCCACAATTAGGCATTTACTTGCTCAGATTATTTTTGTGCCATGAGGGGTGGAAATAGTGTGGGCAGCTCCAGGTATCAACACTGTCCTCAGCCATAGAGTTTACGCTGGGACCCATATTTTCTTGCTGAGACTGCCGGGATGGGTCCTCATTCTAGGGCTGTACATGACCATGTTTCAGGGTAAAAGTAGTCTCCATGAGACACAGGGTTTCTTAACAGTTACTAAGAGTTTGACAGTAAAGATGTACTCTCAAAAGTATAATTAATGTTTGCACATTTAAAACAGGATATAAATAACAAATATAATACCACAATGACTGCAAATATATAGATTTCCTCAAAAAAGAGTGAATGCATTGCTATTATTAATGGTGTCTTTTGATGGAATGATTACTTAGAAGTACACATACAGCCAGGAAATCAGCTATTTACTACCTCAAGACAGAAAGAGAATCCAATGCCTCTGTCTATTCTCACTACCTCTCCTCTCACCTAAATCAAATCTTGAATCCAAGTTTACCCTATCTCAGCCAGTCCTAAGAACTCTTAATTATTCCTAAGAGCTTTAAATACATTAGCTCATTTAATCCACACAATAACCCAATGAAGTACATATGATTCTCATTCTCATTTTACAGATGGGGTAACTGAAGCACACAGGGGTAACTTATTTGTATAAAATCACAGGTGGCAAATTAAGAGTTTGCATCCAATTTTACTGAGGTCCTTGCTCTTAATGACTATGCTGTATTAAAAAAGATGGGCAAAACTAACAACCCATGGCTCCATGTGCAGTGTTTTGCAAGTCGCTGATTATTGTGCTTATGGTCTGGGTAAGGACAGAAAACCAGAAAACCAGTATTATGTGAGCGTGTGCCCATGTGGGAATGATGTGGTGTGATACTAGAGCAATATTTGGGCAAGCCTTTCTTTGTGATGATAATCTCTCCAGAGCATGCATCATAATGCCTCTGCACGTGCTATGCATCTGTCTATCTATTTCATAGATGGCTGTGCCTGGCTGTTCATCTCTTATGTGTGTCTGGGGAGGGGGTTGTATGTGTAAAGAGGATATATGTGGAAAAAAGGATATATGCCCAGTGAGAGAATTAGTGTTTAAACTGGGTCATGAGGATTGCTTTGACCTGTTTCCCTCCCCGCCCACCCCAAAGGGTTCTTTTCAGTCCTTTGATGTTTTCCCCATATAAGGGGAGAAACTGGGACACAACTGGAGGATGTTGCCTTTTGTTTTCTTTAATGAGAAACATTGACTCTTTCCTTGAGAGAAGGTTTTCCTCCTCTTCTCCATATCCCAAGCCTGTTCCAGCTTCTCCTTAGTAACATCAAAGGCACAAAACAATCACTGGCTTTGGAATAATTTCTAAACCAATAAAACTCTAGCTAAAAGTGTATAGCACCAGTGCTAGTCGCATAGAACAACATAGTTCCATCCTGAGCTCCCTCATCCCAATCTATATATGGGTAGTTTTGCACTGGCATAGAATGGCAGGTTTACGAATGTCCAAAGATGTCTTATTAGAAAAATCTCAGGTACAGGGGAAAGCCCAGGACACGAGGAGGATTAGAGAAGAGGGTGAGTGACCTAGGCAGGGAAGGATAACAATGCTATGTGAAAAGGAAGGAGAAACAATTACACGATGCCAGTTTACTCTATAGTGCACATATAATGAAACTCCTGCCAAATTTGTGGTGTGTTCTAGCATCTGAAGAGCTTTGAATCTTCTAGCACCCTGGGGATATTCTGGGATTCCAATTGCCACCCACTCAACAGTCAAGAAATTCAAACCATTTCAGGAGGATTCCATTGGCTTTAGAATGAAATGGAATTTATATTATATTGGTAGCTCACAGAGAACACTTACATTTAAGAAGTAAAAATATATCACAGATGAATACGCAAATTGCATATTGTCTGCAGGCCAGAGAGCAAAATTAAACACCTTCATGCTTTCGTACTCCATTTCTGTCAAAAACAGGATATCAGCAGCAAAGCCACTGAAAACACACACACACACACACACACACACACACACACACACACACACACACACACACAACACTGACCTACAGTGAGTACTGCCAAACCCCATGCTAACCCAGTGACACATCATTAGCTCAGAAGTTGAAAGCAAATGGTGTTCCTAAGTGGACCTTTATAAAAAATATTAAGCTCCACTGTGGGTTTAGCATAGTGTTATGTGATACAGAGGAATATAGTAGCAGGTGTATTAAGTCTCTATCCCTGTCTTCAAGGACTTTATAGTCTAGTTGAGAAAGCAGAGCTAACAGT
Organism: Homo sapiens; assembly: GCF_000001405.40. NCBI lineage: Eukaryota > Metazoa > Chordata > Mammalia > Primates > Hominidae > Homo > Homo sapiens. The sequence continues at coordinate 107,866,712 of NC_000023.11, forward strand.
ATGAAGCATTGCCAAGCAATATAAAATAATTTAAACTGTGTGACAATAACTGTAAGTGCTGTAGTAGTTCGGGGGAGAGGGAGATGGAAGAAGGCTAACATCATTACCATCATTAACATCTATTGTTTATTAACACTTAATGTGCTCCAGGTGTCATGCCAAGTGCTTTACATGTATTATCTCATTTAATCTTCTCAGTTACCTCTGAGACAGGCACTATTATTATCCCCATTTTTCAGATGAGGAAACTCAGATAGCTAAATGATTTATCCAAGGGGAGTGTAGAAATGAGACTAGAGAGGCATGGAGGGACCTGATTACAGAGGACATTAAAAGCCATGCTAAGAAGTTTGGCATTTATTCTAAGGTCAAAGGGAAGCCAATTGAAATTTAGTATGAAGCCATTTTAAGCACGGGTGTAGTGTTTTTTGTTTTTTGTTTTTGTTTTGTTTTGTTTTGAGACGGAGTCTCCCTTTGTCTCCAGGCTGGAGTTCAGTGGTGAGATCTCGGCTCACTGCAACCTCCACCTCCCAGGTTCAAGAGATTCTCCTGCCTCAGCCTCCCAAGTAGCTGGGATTACAGGCATGTGCCGCCACGCCCAGCTAATTTTTTTTTTTTTTTTTGTATTTTTAGTAGAGACGGGGTTTCACCTTGTTGGCCAGGATGGTCTCGATCTCCTGACCTTGTGATCCGCCCACCTCGGCCTCCCAAAGTGCTGGAGTTACAGGCATGAGCCACCGCGCCCGGCCTGTAGTGTGTTTTTTAAAAAGTTTATACTGCCCCTCTGCTGGGTTAAGTACACATTGGGAAAATAAATGATTGGAGACAGAGGGGCCAATTAGGAGACTGTAGTAGCATTGTGCTTGGCACATAGTAGGCACTCAATGTATATTTGTTGGATGGATATATGAATTCAGGGAAGAGATTTTGGTGGACAGATCTAGTGAAATATAAGGGAAGATGATAGAAAAGGATAGATTTGAATTATATTTATGAGGTAAATATAGGGGATGTGATGATTAACTGGATGTGGGGAATAAGAAAGAGAAGTTAAGAATGAAGCCCTGGGTTTCTGAGGAGCTGGTGATACCCTTCATTCATTTAGGGAACATTAGAGAAGAATCAGATTTAATGGAACAGGATGTAGGAAAGAGACGAGTTCAGTTTGGAAACACTGAGTTTGTAGTGCCTGTAGTTATGCAAATGAAATGTCCAGTAAGCAGTTAGTTATATAGGTCTAAATTTCAGGAGAGAGACTTAGGATAGACATAAATATAATTAAGGCAAATGGAGATCTTTTTGAGGTGATGGAATTGTTCTAAAATTGGATTGTGGTAATGGTTACAAAATTCTGTAAATTTACTAAAATTATTGAGTTACCCACTTAAAATGGGTGAATTTTGTGGCATATACATTATATATCAATAAAGCTCTTAAAATTAAAAAAGTTAAGCAAGGTACTGGCATGTAGAGAGTAACTGAAGCCTTAGAAATGGATGAGGTCACCTAAGTCAGTGTGCTAGAACTCTCAGAATGCTGACATTTAAGGGACAGACAAAGGAGTTGGAATGATCAGCAGGAAAACTAGGAAAATTTGTCTCATGGAAGCTGAAAGAAGAAAGTATTTTCAGAAGAAGTGAATAGATGATCTTTTAAATAATGATTTGAAAGACTTAAATATCTTGAAATGTCAATGGGAAGGAGTGGAACCAGAAGAGAGGTTGGCTGAAGGAAAGGGAAGAAGATTAATCAAATGAGGACCCCAAGAAGCTAGAAGAGGATGGAATGCAAAGCCTCTAGGAGAGGACTGATGAACTTTCTAGAGAGATATATCACTTCTTTGTAATAGGAGAAAGGAAAGATGATTGTTTCCTTATTGTTTTGTGAGAATTTAAAATAATTCCCTGGGATAAATTTTATTTTCTCTGTGACAAAGGAAGTAAAATCATTTACTACGATTTTACTATGAGTGAGAAGGGAGGTAGTAGGGTTGAAGCTTTGTGGATGGTAGAGATCGCTGCTGTGGAGATATAGAGAGAGCTGTTAAGAGAAACACAGAATTAATAAGAAACTTTGAGAGCCTGCTTGAAGTTGGACACCACAAATTTAAGGGGGATCAATCTATGCTTCCATGATTAGCATATAGGTCACACTTAAAACCATGAAAATGAATGAATTTGGCCAGGAAAAGTTGATTAGGTGAGGAAAAGGACATAGATATAGATTAGATAGAGATAATATATATTATTAACTTTTTACCTGTCACGTGTTGTGATATTTTCCCCCCAGTTTGTCTTTTGTCTTTATTTTCTGTATGGCTTCTGGTTTTTCTGGCTTGTGAAAGGTCTCCCCCTCCTCAAACTTTCTTTTCATATTTTCGGTGGTTTTATTTTTTATATTTTAAGTCTTTAATGTACCTGGAATTTGTTTTAGAATATGAGATTTTGAAATGTATTTTAGGGCATGTAGTTGTGTTTCCTTTCAGATAGATAACTATTATGCTAAGCCCATTTATTAAAAGAACAGTCCTTTTCCTGTTGAGTGGATATGCTACCATTGCCATATATTGGATTTCCATATGTACTTGCTTCTATTCTAGACTCTATTCTGTTCCATTGATTTAATTTTCCATTCTTACGCCAATACCTTACTATTTTGATTATACTGACTTTTTGGTAATATCTGATATTTCCTTACTATTCTTAGATATTTGTTTCTCCATATTTTTACATATTTGTGTCTCCATATGAACTTTTAAATAATTTTGTATAGTTACAAAATATACTCAGTTTGGATTGTGATTATCACTATATTACAGTTGTGTATTAGTTTTTAGAAGAAAGACATTCCTATGATATGTCTTCCTATCCAGAATCACGGTATATCTTTGCATTTTTTCAGGTTTTATTTTTGGGACCGTCTCTTTAATATTTAGTTGTTTTCTTCAAATAGGTACAGTACATTTTTTTGTTGTTGTTGATTCCTAAGTACTTTGTACTCTTGTCCGTGCTGTGAATGGGTTACTTTTCTATTTCCATTTTTAAAAGCATATGGAGAAAAGCTTTTGATTTTATATATTTTCTTGTGTATTACAATCTTACCATATTGGCAACCTTATATTTAAAAAAAAAACCTAGAGTCTCGGGTTTATCTGAGGCACTTATATCTCCTTTACCAATATTTATACCAATTATTTCATGTTCTAACTTTCTTTTGCCTCAGCTAAAACATTTAAAACACTATGGTGATATCAGACATCCTTGCCTTGTTCATAATGTTACTGGAAAGGGCCTTAGCATTTCACCATTTAGTATGAAGTTTGCTATTTATTATATTTGAATGCTGTTTTATTTAGAATTTTCACTTGGACTGGCTACTGATTTTGTTTAAAAACCTTTTAGAATATATTAATATAACCCTATATGTTGATTTTTTCTAATCTTGAATCATTCTTTTATATTTGGAATAAAAAGTGTTTGGTTATGGTATTTTATTCTTTTGTTGCCCTGCTGCTTTTGTTAAACATTTTTCTCTATATATTCAGAACTGAAATCAATCTATAGCCTTACTATTTCTGATATCATTTTTAGGTTTCTGATATTGTGGAATTATACTAGATCTAGTAAATGCATTTGAGACCTTTTTGTCTTTCTCTGTGGTCTTAAATAGTTTAAGTTGTGTGAGAATGATTTGTTCTTTCAAAGTTTATGGAACTCAGCTCTAAAACCATCTAGGCCTGGAGCCTTAAAAAAATTACAGATTGTTAATCACCCTTCCAATCTGGTCTAAAGTTATTAGATTCTTGAGGTTTTGTTACTCCTTCTTGGGTAAAAGCATTTAATAGATTTTAAAATCATGTGGTATACATTGCATATGATAGTCCCTTATAATTAATATCTCTCCAATGGTGTGCTGGTGCTGACTTTCCAATTGTGTGCATTTTTCCCATATTTTGGTTTGGTGTCTATACATTGGTAGCTTAAAATCCACTAAAGTGTAAGTTTTCACGCCATGGAAATCAGCAAGCACTACAAATTGCGGCTTTTTTTTTTTTTTTTTTGAGAGCCAATTGTTAAATGGTTATCAGCATACTATTGTCTATATCTATAAGTGTATCTCCTTTTCCATTGTTAGTATTGTATTTTTGTTTTATTTTCTCCCTTTTTCCTTAATAAGTAATTTCAAAGAAGCAGCTTTTGATGTTAATTATCTGTTAATTATCCCTTGTAAGTTAGTTTCATTTTGATTTTATTAGTTTGAGCTTTTTAAAAGTGAATTTCCTCCTTCTATTTACTTTCATTTTTTTGTCCTTTTCCAGTTTCTTAAATTGAGTGAATTCCTGTATTTTCCATTTTTATATATTTTCCTGAGTAGAGGTTTAACTGTATCCCGTATATTTTGGTATTTAGTGTGTGCTCTTTCATTATTTTCTATAAAATTAACAACTTTAGTTTCATTTTCCTCTTTGATTACAAGGTTATTTAGGAGTATTCAAGCAGAAAATTTCCCTGACCCCTTTGCTGGCAGGAACTGGAGTGCACGGGTGCTAGAACTAGTCAGCCACTTCAGTGCCAGCAGGGGCAGACTCCACTTGCTTGGCCCCACCGTGTTCCACGCCTTGCAGGAGGGGGAGCGCAGGTGAGCAGGTGAAGGAGCTGGGGCAAGCGCTTTTGGGTGCTGGCAGGAGCGAAACTGTGCTTCCCCACAGCAGCATCTAGGGGGGTGTCCATATCTCCTGAAGCTCCAGAAAGAGTGTTACAGTCAGTGCTCTTTTAGCTTTGCTGTCCATGAATGGCTTAAGTGTTAACAGCTCAGTGGAGGGTCAGTGTGACGGCCTTTTGCACTTGCACTTGAGTTCTTGTTCAACATCCAAGAGGAATGAGGTCGCATGAACAAATTGGAGATGGTCAATGTGGGGGATTTTATTGCCAATGAAAGTGGCTCTCAGCAGGAAGGGGAGCTGGAAAGGGGACAGAGCAGGATGATCATTTTCCCCCAGAGTCTAGCTGTCCCCAGCTGGACTCCTCTTCGAAGCAACACCGTAAAGCCGTCCCTCTGAAGTCAAGCTGCTTCTTTCCAACTTCCAACCATAGTCCCCAATGTCCAGCTGCTTCTCCTCTTCTCTCTGCTGGTGAACCCTGGGGTTTTTATGGGCACAGGATGGGGAGCAGGGTGGGGTATGGGTGGTTTTGGAAAAGGCAGCTTTCAAGCGGGAAAATAGGAATGCGTGTTCTCACTTTGGGACACGGTTCCAGGCTTGAGGGCAAGACCTTTGCCAGAGACCTATCCTCTTCTGCCCAGAATTTCCCTGCCTCCTGCCCCTGTCATTTCCCTCCTCTGAAGAGGCTCATCTAACTGCTGGTGTAATATGGACGATGACTGGTCTTAGCTACTTCCTGTTTACAGGGGGTGTGAGTATGGGAAGAACAGCAGTCAGATTCCTCCCCAAGGTCTACCTAAGGGTCCCCAGCAAAAGGGAGCCATTGTCTGAGGTTCTGGTTGCCTGACTGTTTGGAGTTTGATGGCCTCTAGGTGCAAAGAAACAAGTTTTACAGGGTTAAGTATGCATGGACCAAATATATGTCCAAAGAGGAGTTAAAAGGAGAGAATCTAATGCTGAAGATTACAGAAATAAGAAGTGAAATATACTAATCATTCTGAAATCAACATTATACCCCATGGTATAGCACAGAATGGAGGTAAAAACAACAAGCCTAGGCAAGACTATAAAGAGGATATCCATGGAAGGTTAATTATTAACACTTATCTTTTGTGATTTTTAGCTTGAGTTCCCCAATCTCTTCACATAGGTACTTTGGGTGCTCTTCTGGGTTGATGCAGGTAACTCTGTCAGCTTCCCAGGCCTTTACTCGGGTATAGTGAATACAATGATCTATTCCAGTGACTTTCAGTGCCATAAGAGTAGAAAGAAGTATAATCCCTCCCAATCTGGGCTTATAGAGGGAGAAAGGGAAGCAAGTACCTTTACCAGTATTAGGTCCACTGGGTTGAATAGAGGTGGCCCTAGTTCCTGGGATTGGACCTCCAACAGTTGTTTCAGTTCCTGTTGGAAATGGGCCAAAGAAGTTATATGTTTAATCAAATCAGAGGATTTTTGGTCTAGCAAGAAATCATTCGTGAGAAAAGGCCATCCATACATCATTTCAAAGGAACTCAAACCCAGCTTTGGAGGGGTGTTTCTAACATGTAGTAGGGCTATGGGGAGAAGGGTAGTTCAGGGGCGACGAGTCTCCTAAGACAGCTTCCTGAGGTGCATTTTGATAATATTCATCTTTTCTACCTTTCCTGAGGATTGTGGTCTCCAAGCACAATGAAGATGGTACTGTATGCCTAGTGCCTTTGAGACCCCCTGGGTGACGGCTGCCTTGAACAGGGGCCATTATCACTCTGGAGGTACTTAGGGAGTCCAAAGCAAGGAATTATCTCATTAATTAGTACTTTTATCACCTCAGAGACTTTCTCCGTCTGACAAGGAATTGCTTCTACTTAGTTAGTGAAGGTATCTATCCACACTAGGAGATACTGGATGCCTCTTGCCTTTGGCATATGGGTGAAATCCACTGCTAGTCTTCCCCTGGATAGCCTCCTGTCCTTTGGATTCCTGGGGGAAGAAGCTGTCGATTAAGGGGATTATTTTAAAGGCAGGTCTAGCAAGCATTAACGATCTGTTTAACTGTATCAGGTTTTTACCTGAGAGCAATTTCTGGGCCAACTGATGGGTTTTATCCTTACGTAGGTGGAAAGCTTGGTGAAGGATTTTAAGAACTTTCCATTGGTCAGCAGCCTGTAGATGAAGCTTGCTGTCCTCCAATTGTAGCCATCCTGGGGACTGAAAGATGTATCCCTGAGAGATTGCCCATTCTATTTCCACAGGAGAATATTTAGATTATATTTCTCTTAAGGGGCCCTCTCAGATCAGTGAGGCTTCAAGTGGATCAGAAATCTGAGGCTTTGTTGCTGCTGATTTAGCTGCTTGGTCTGCCAATCTATTTTGCTTGGCTACTTCATCCATACCTTTTTGGTGGCCTTTACAATGTATTACTGCCACTTCACATGTGAGAAAAACCGAGGATAATAGTCTATTAATTTCCTGATGGTATTTAATGGGACTCCCATTACCTGTGAGGAAGTTTCTCGCTTTCCAGATAGTGGCATGGGCACAGAGGACTAGGAAAGCATACTTAGAATCAGTGCAAATGTTAACTGTTTTTCCTTTGCTTAATTTGAGTGCCCTTGTGAGGGCAATTAGTTTGGCTAATTAAGCACTTGTCCCTGAGTAGAGAGACACACTCTCAACAATATCATTCAGAGTAACTATTGCATACCTTGCCTTATGTATCCCTTGTTCTACAAAAGAACTTCTGTCTGTAAAGAGAATCCAGTTTGGGTTCTCTAAGAGGGTTTCCTTGAGATCCTCTCTGGTCACATAGGTCTGTACTACTAGCTGTTCACAGTCATGTTCAAGCTTCCCAGCTTCCTCTGGGAGGAAGGTGGCTGGATTTAGGGAGGGACAGGTTCTTAATTGGACTTCAGATCCCTCTAATAGCAGAACTTGATACACGAGGAGGCAGTTGTCTGTTAGCCAGAGATTCCCCTTAGAAGACAGCAGTCCTGACACATTATGTGGAGTGCAAACAGTTAAGTTATTCCCCATGGTTAACTTAGTAGCCTTTGGTACCAGCAAGGCTACTGCTGCATCTGCCTGGAGGCAGGCTGTCCATCTTTTGGCTACCAAATCAAGCTCCTTACTTAGGTAGCCTACAGGCTGCTGGGCTGGACCAGGGCTTGTGTTAGCACTCCCAGGGCCATTTGCTTTGCTTCTGACACATAAAGATTAAACATCTTCCCTATGGGGAGACTAAGGGCTGGTGCCTTAAGCAAGGTTTGCTTTAGTTGGTCAGAGGCTTTTCTAGTCCCAGGTTCCCAAATTAGAGAGTGAGTTTTAGCTGCCTGAGTATCCTTTATTAGGTGATATAAGGGACAAACTATTTCACCATACCCAAGTATCCATAGTCTGAAGAATCCTGTAATACCTAAGAATCCCCTCAGTTGCTTGAGGGTTTTGGGGAGGGGAAAGGAGGAGATGGACTTAATCCTTTCTTTGCCCAGTGCTCTGGTCCCCTCTGACAAGATCAGACCAAGGTACTTCACTGAAGTCTGACAGAGCTGAGCTTTAGATTTTGAAACCTTATATCCTCTATTAGCCAGAAAATTGAGAAGAGCCTTACTACCCTCCGAGAGGTTTCCTCAGTTCGAGCACAGAGGAGAATGTCATCTATATATTGTAAAACTTTAACCTGAGGATAAAGGAACTCAGAGAAGTCTCTTGACAATGCCTGCCCAAACAAGTGAGGGCTGTCTCAGAATCCCTGAGGTAACACTGTCCAGGTTAACTGGGTAGTTTGGTTAGAGGGATCCTCAAATGCAAACAAATACTGGGAGTCAGAGTGTAATGGTATGCAGAAGAAGGCATCCTTTAGGTCCAGGACTGTGAACTGTTTAGTTCCTTCAGGTACTTGAGATAGCAGGGTATACAGATTGGAAACCACTGGGTGTAATGGAACCACAGCTTCATTAACAAGGTGGAGGTCCTGAACTAGTCTTCATTCCCCATTGGGTTTTTGTACTCCCAATATCGGAGTATTACAAGGGCTGTTGCAGGGTTTGAGGAGGCCCTGCAACCTTGTTATCAATGATGGCTTCTAGTCCTTTCCTAACTTCTGGTTTCAGGGGATATTGTTTCTGATTAGGAAATGAGGTGGGATCCTTAAGGTGAACCTGGACTGGTATGGCATTTGTGGATTGGCCAATTTTCCCTTGAATTGCCCAAACTTCTGTGTTAATATCAGTCTTCACTAGGGGGAGACAAATAGTTTGTTCAGAGGCCACCAGAATGGTGGTCCCCATACTGGCCAGAATATACCGGTTCAGCAGAGGAGTTGGGCTCTCAGGTATAATTAGAAAGGCATGGGTGAACAACAAGTCTCCCCAGCTACAACTAAAGAGTTGGAAAAAATACCGGATTAAGAGCCTTTCTGAGATACCCCTCTCATTTGTGCTAAGAGAAGAGAAGGGGCCCGGATTGGAGAGGAGAGCTGAGAGACCAACCCCAGTGTCCAAAAGGAGGTCCACTTTCCTCCCTTTGATTTTCAGAACTACCTGGGGCTCCTGGATGGTAATGGTGGTCTGGACCACTGGAGCTACAGAGAGGAGCCCTGGGACCCATCAGTCCTGCTGAACCATTTGGGAGATTGGCTCTGGACCTGGTGACCAGCCTCCCTGGGGACAGTCTGCCTTCCAGTGGTCCCCACTACAGATTGGACAGGGTCAAGGTGGCTTCCTCATGCTGCCTTGGCAATCCTTTCTAAAATGTCCTGGCATACTATATCTGTAGCAGTTAACAGGTGCACCTCAGGAATCCTGGGGTTTGTGGGCTTTCATGGTGGCCATTAAACCCTCTGCTTCTTTCCTATGTTTTCTCTCTCTCTCCTGGACCTCCCTATCTCTATTATAAAAGATCAAGGTGGCCACTTTCAGGAGATTCACTAAAGTACTATCTGGTCCCAGGGTCTGTTTCTGCAGTTTCCTCCTAATATCAGGGGCTACCTGAGTAATAAATTTATCCTTTAGGATTAGTTGTCCCTTGACTGAATTGGGAGATAGAGAGGTGTGCTTTACCAAGGCCCCTCTTAGCCTCTCCAGAAAGGCAGTAGGATTCTCATCAAATCCCTGGTCTGTCACGGGTAGCTTCGTATAACTGAGAGGCTTAGTTCTGGTCCTACGTAAGCCCTCCATCATGGACACCTAAAGTGTCTCCTCTTCCACTCTCCCATCTCAATATTGGGATCCTATTTAGGGTCATCCAATGGTACTGCTTCCCTTCCAATTGGATAAAGTTTGACTCCTTCCCTGACAATATATGTGATACTAAGCTCATCCCCAAATCCCTCTGTCAGCTGCAGAATGGCGTGCTTCTCAGTGTTAGGGTTTGATTCAAAAGTAACATAATGTCTTTCCAGGAGAGTTCAGATACTTGGGTTATATTCTGGAAAGCCTCTATACAACTGTCAGGGTCATCTGAAAACTTGCCGTGATCCCCCTTAATCTGCCTTAAGTCCTGTAGAGAGAAGGGCACCTGGACCTTACTGGGGTCAAATTCACCAGGCATCTGTTGGAGAGGCAGGAGTGAGACTGGGGCTTGTCCAGGGTGAAGATTTCTAGGAGGGGGCAAGTGAGAGAGAGAAGCTGGATGGGGAGGAAGGGGTGGACCCAGAGGAGCAGCGCTGGAGGGAGCTGGCTGTCCTGCTGGAGGTGTCTCTGGGGTTCATTTCTTTAGTTCCTTGGGATTGCCACTTGCAGCCTTCCCTGAGATGGCAAACCGGAGGGCTGAACCAATCCTACACTATCAGCAAAGGTCTGGATTACTTGCAAGGAAAAGAAAGTCTGCATGTATGGCCTCAGACCATCTGTCCTCATGTTTACAGAAAAGGTCCAACTACACGATGGTATTGAAATGAATGGTTCCTTCCTGAGGCCAAGACAGTCCTTCCTGCAGATCACAATTTGGCTAAACCTTTGTGCTATGAGGCATTTTACCTCCAGAGTATGAGGGTCAAAGCAGTTCCAGTGATTCAGGATACCCTCCAGAGGAGTACAGACTGGGGTGGTGAAGATAGCTGGTTACCCATTCCGAAAGACAGGGAAATAGGTGTCTCTCATTTCACTTCCTTCTTTCAGTGAAAACTTGAGGTATGAGGGAGAGAGAAAGTGAACCTCCTCCTTTTCTCTTCCATCATTTTATCCCCAAGACTTGGCAACCTTAGATGGATGCCACCCACAGGTGCCATTGCAGCCTGCACTCATAAAACAAGGAGGGCCTAGAGAATAGGAATTGTCTGCACTCACCTATGCCTTCATCCCCTTTACTGCCGGCAACCTTTGGGTTCCCAGGGCTTTATCTATGCCGTGGAGCATGGCCTCCTTCCATGAAGCAGAGGCTTAATCAGCAGGAATTTGTCCTACCCATTTATACTGTGCCTGTTGCCTCACTTGGGATTCTTCAGATCTGGTTTTCCTTTCTAGGGCTTCAACCCAAAGTTTAAAATTGAGTTTAGGGCAAAAAGGTGCATCAGTGGGTGCATGGATTCATTTAGATTAAGTCCATGATGGGTCCTGTCAAACTTGCAGTTATCAGCCAGCGGGGCCACTCCTCCATTGCTGCCCTATCATAACCAGAGTGCCGAGGTAGGAAAAGAACCCTATCACATAGAAAAAGAAAGGAAAAAAAAAAAACAGCTGAAGAGAGGGGGAAGAACCCCTTGCTCTATGCAAATGGGTTCCTTTAATCACTGTATTCTTCCCCCGCTTTGGACTGAGCTGAACTCCTCAGCCAGAGGAGTAAAGGCTCTATGGGCGTGTGATGGGAGGGGACGGTGAGTGGGAAATGCTGGACAGCTGCCCGTGTGGGGTCCCTGGGCCCCAAGACTGCCCTGGGGCCCTGGCTGCAGCTGTGATTTTCTCCTGCCCTCCATGGCTGTTGGAAGTGGCACATGCATGCTTTGGACATGCCCAAGTGCCCCAGCCAGGAGGGGAGGGGATGGAGAGGAAACTCACTGCGTGCCATGCATGTCTGCAGCTGTTGGGGTGGGGGTGGGGATGGCACCTCTAAGAACAAACGGAAATCACATTGTTCTGAATTGCATATCTGATTGCTGGGCCAAATGTTCATTCTACTTAATAACATTTCTGCAGTTTGCAGCAAAACTCTTAACATTATAAAAGAAGCAATAGGAGCCATTTCAAACCATAGAAGAAGAAAGGAAAGATACCACAGAAAAATCTGAGCATCTTGGCGGACCACCTATTACATTGGGGATGGGGTCCAGTTCAGGGGCCTTCTGGCAACAACGAGGAGTGGCATTGGCCAGATGCCTTCAGCTGCCCCAGGACTTTATTCTGGTCCCACATGATGGCTAGACCCATGTGAAGGGAAGCAGAGCCTTTTACCCAAAAGAGAAATGGCAGGGTTGCATCCTGCCCCCTGCAAGTGGCATAGATCAGAGGAAAGTCTGAGGACAAGAAAAGACAGATCCACATTTTTGCATTTACTCACCCTTCTGACGTATCCCAGACAAGGCCCTAAAATGGAGCAGGAAATTTCCCTGACCCCTTTGCAGGCAGGAACTCGAGTGCAGGGGTGCTAGAACTAGCTGGCTGCTTCAGTGCTGGCAGGGATGGACTCCACTTGCTTGGTCCCACTGCCTTCCACCCATCACAGGACGGGGAGTGCAGGTGAGCAGGTGCAGGAACCAGGGCGAGTGCTTTTGGGTGCTGGCAGGAGCAAAACTTCATGTGGATCTGCAGCAGCATCTGGCGGGGGTGGGGCCATGACCCCTGAAGCCCCAGAAAGAGTGTTACAATCAGTGCTCTTTCAGCTTTGCCATCCACATATGGCTTAAGTGTTAACAGCTCAGTGGAGGGTCACGGTGACTGCCTTTTGCACCCACACCCGAGTTCTTGTCCAGTGTCCAGGAGGAATGAGGTCACATGAACAAATTGGAGATGGTAAACTTGGGGGATTTTATTGCCAATGAAAGTGGCTCTCAGCGGGAAGGGGAGCTGAAAAGGGGACGGAGCAGGAAGATAGTCTTCCCCTGTAGTCCAGCCATCCCCGACCAGACTCCTCTCCAAAGCAATGCTGTCAAGCTGTCCTTCTGAAGTCAAGCTGACTCTCTCCAACATTCAACCATAGTCTCTGATGTCCAGCTGCTTCTCCTCTTCTCTTCTCTCTGCTGGCGGAGCCTAGGTTTTTTATGGGCACAGGGTGGTGGGCAGGGTGGGCCATGGGTGGTTTTGGAAAAGGCAGCATTCAAGAGGGAAAACAGGAATGGATGTTCTCACTTTGGGCCACAGTTCCAGGCTTGAGGGTGGGACGCTTGCCGGGGACCCACTCTCTTCTGCCCAGAATTTCCCTGCCTCCTATCCCTATCAGTATGTTTCTTAATTTTCAAGTGGTTAAGGATTTGGGAATTTATCTTTTTGTTATTTTATTCTTATTTTACAGGATAGTGATCAGAGATGGTAAACTATAAACTTTTTCTTCATGATCAATTTTAAATGCTCCATGAATATAAGGGAAGAATGTATTATTCTGTATGATGCAAAGTTTACATGTAACTATTATATTGATGTATTGATGGTTTTTTTCTATAGTCTTATTTTTGTTTAAAACTTGTTTTGTTAGTTTCACACTAAAACTATAACTGTCCAGTGGGTTCCTCTTGTCTGCTGCCCAGATAGAGCTGACTTATCAAGCAGAAGAATTGGCAATACAGAGAATTTAATTGACATGAGGTGGGCCATGCCTCTCAGAATTTGGGGACTAGGGTTTTTCTTTCTTTTTCTTTTTTCTTTTCTTTTTTTGAGACAGGGTCTGGCTCTGTCACCCAGGCTGGAGTGCAGTGACATGATCTCAACTCACTGCAACCTTGACCTCCCTGCAACCTCAGACTCCCGAGTAGCTGGGACTACAGACACATGCTGCCATGCCTGGCTAATTTTTAAATATTTTGTAGAGACAGGATTTCACCATGTTGCCAAGGCTGGTCTCGAATTCCTAGGCTCAAGCGATCTGCCCACTTCAGCCTCCCAAAGTGCTGAGATTACTAGAATGAGTCACTGTGCCTAGCTTAGGGTTTTCCAAAGGTAGTTTGGGGGAAGGGGTGGGAGTGGTTAGTCATTGCCATTGGGAAGTGGTTCTCTTGCATGCTGAGTCGCTTCTGGGTCGGAGCACATGAGTGATTGGCAGGTACAGGTGGAGCCATTCATGGTCAGATCTACAAAAAAACCTGAAAAGGTATCTCAAAAGGCCAATCTTAGGTTCTACAATAGTGATGTTATCTGCAGGAGTAACTGGGGAAATTGCATATTTTGTGAACTCTGGAATAATGGCAGGTAATCATTTATGTCTACATCTTAGCAGAATTCAGGCTTTTCTATGCTTTGAGCCTGGTGGTCTCTCATTAGCTTTACAAAGATGGTCGAGTTTTGGGGAAGGGTTCTTATCATTTAAACTATAAACTAAGCGTCTCCTAAAATTAGCTTGGCCTAAGCCCAGGAATAATTAAGGGCAGCTTGAAGGCCAAAGGCTAGATCCAATTTCCATCACTGACATCGTTTTCTCACTGTTATAAGTTTTGCAAAGGCGATTTCAAAATTGTATCTTTTTTCTATCTTATCCCTTTCTATTTTTAAGGATATTTATTTCCTAGAAGTGGAATTGACAGTTTAAAGTAAAGCCACGTTTCAATGTATTGACACATATTGTCAACAGTCTCTATTTGCCAAGGCAATTTATACTCCCACCAGAAATGTACAAGGGGGCAGATTTTCCTTTACCATGCTGTTAGAGTGCTACTAAATTCAGTCACCTACACTTAGCCTTTTTGGTCATCTCTCAGAGAAAGATTGTTGGATGCTGGGCAGTAGTAGAGAGCAGGAGCTCCCACTGGGTTAGGGTTAGGTCTGACAAAATTGGTGAAGGTCATCCAGTGGGCATAGTACCCCTGTTACAAATAAGACTGTTGAACTTTTGAGGTTTGGGTTGCTTCAATACAGAAAGAGGTCACAGAAATCAGAAGCAGTTTTGATTAAGCAGTTAAATGTCCCCATGTTCGACTTAAGTAGTTCCCTCCACACTTTCTGCCATCCCTGCATCCTCTAGATTTCTCACTCTCTTTGTTCTGCCCAGTGATGACCTTTTCTTCTCTCTGGTGTGTCCTTCAAAACTTGTTTTCTGAGATACTGAAATTCACAATGACATATGAATGAACAGAAACCACTGTACAGGGATCTGCCTTTTCATAAAGGACATACGTTCCTGAAAGTAGAATTTTAAGCATGGATGGGGTGTATAGTACCAATGAGGTCTTCTATTTCTTCACTAGGAAACAGCACTCATTAATTATTCATTAGAAATATACATGGTATTTGAAAAACCAGTATTAAATTCCTCTTCATAAAATACCTGATTCAAACAAATCAACTGTAAAAGTACACTTTTTTATGTAATCAGGACAATTTAAGTATAGAACAAGCATTAGATGAATGATATTAAGGAATTATTTTATTCACTGTGATTATGCAAAAAGATATACTTTTGTTTCTGAGATACAAACTGAAGCATTAGGGGTGAAATAACATAACGTTTTGGATTTGCTTTAAAATGCCTCAGCAGACAGTAACCAAAGCAGCATGGTACTGGTACCAAAGCAGATATACAGACCAATGGAACAGAACAGAGGCCTCAGAAATAACACCACACATCTACAATCATCTGATCTTTGACAAACCTGACAAAAACAAGAAATGGGGAAAGGATTCCCTATTTAACAAATGGTGCTGGGAAACTGGCTAGCCATATGTAGAAAGCTGAAACTGGATCCCTTCCTTACACCTTATACAAAAATTAATTCAAGATGGATTAAAGACTTAAATGTCAGACCTAAAATCATAAAAACCCTAGAAGAAAACCTAGGCAATACCATTCAGGACATAGGCATGGGCAAGGACTTCATGTCTAAAACACCAAAAGCAATGGCAACAAAAGCCAAAATTGACAAATGGGATCTAATTAAACTAAAGAGCTTCTGCACAGCAAAAGAAATTACCATCAGGGTGAACAGGCAACCTACAGAATGTGAGAAAATTTTTGCAATCTACTCATCTGACAAAGGGCTAGTATCCAGAATCTACAGTGAACTCAAATTTACAAGAAAAAAAACAAACAACCCCATCAAAAAGTGGGCAAAGGATATGAACAGACACTTCTCAAAAGAAGACATTTATGCAGCCAAAAGACACATGAAAAAATGCTCATCATCACTGGCCATCAGAGAAATGCAAATCAAAACCACAATGAGATACCATCTCACACCAGTTAGAATGGCGATCATTAAAAAGTCAGGAACCAACAGGTGCTGGAGAGGTTGTGGAGAAATAGGAACACTTTTACACTGTTGGTGGGACTGTAAACTAGTTCAACCATTGTGGAAGACAGCGTGGCAATTCTTCAAGGATCTGGAACTAGAAATACAATTTGTCCTAGCAATCCCATTACCCAGCAATCCCAAAGTATTATAAATCATTCTACTATAAAGACGCATGCACACATATGTTTACTGTGGCACTATTCACAATAATAAAGACTTAGAACCAACCCAAATGTCCATCAATGATAGACTGGATAAAGAAAACGTGGCACATATACACCGTGGAATACTATGCAGCCATAAAAAAGTATGAGTTCCTGTCGTTTGCAGGGACATGGATGAAGCTGGAAACCATCATTCTCAGCAAGCTATCACAAGAACAGAAAACCAAACACTGCATGTTCTCACTCATAAGTGGGAATTGAACAATGAGAACACATGGAAACAGGGAGGGGAACATTACACACTGGGGCCTGTCGGGGAGTGGGGGGCTAGGGAAGGGTTAGCATGAGGAGAAATGCCTAATGTAGGTGACGGGTTGATGGGTACAGCAAACCACCATGGCACGTGTATACCTATGTAACAAAACTGCATGTTCTGCACATGTACCCCAGAACTTAAAGTATAATTTAAAAAAATGCCTCAGCAGAAAAAGGAGGGAATAGATCAAACAAGTATAGAAAAATGTTGGTGGCTTTTGAAGCTGGGGGATGGACACACGGGGCTTCATCATATTCTCTAGTTTTAAATATGCTCAGTTTCACAATAAAAATGTTTAAAATTGCAATAGTAACATATTTTCACTGCAACCAGTTTTTTAAAAAGCCAAAATGCATAAAGCTATCATTTTTAAGTTTTCCTTGCCCTCTTTTCACACAATCTATGGCATAGCTTATTTTTATACCAAATCCATTTTTATCAAAGTCCTATATCCCCATTCTCAGGACTAGCCTAGTTTTCTCCCATGCCCAATTTATCTTCCTTTTCATTACATTGTTTGAAGCTCCTCAGTGAGGAGAATGTGATGATAGGGAAAGATCCAGGTGTAAGAGCTAAGCCATATTATTGTTTGAACATAGTCTATGGGAAAGTGGCTGCTAAGGAGATGCATTCTTTATTAGAAAATATATTTGGAATCTGGTGCTGAGGATGTGAGATCTGAACTCAGTAAGAGATCATAGACCTGAATTGCTACAATATATTCAGACCAAAGTAGCTGAATAAGTTAGCTCACTATCCAAATAAGGACGACTTAGCCTTTTAGGTTCTAGATTAGATTAAGAAGAATGATCTATCCACATTTTACAGAATGGAAGTCATTTCTGAGTAAAAACTTAAGTCTTTAAATTATTTAGAAACATTTTTATCTACATACATATACACAAGTTATAAGTTCCAAATCTACCGCAAATAACCAAGAAAATATCCTGGAGTTTATCAGTTGTAAATGATAAACTCTCAAGAGTTGAAATGCCAGCTATCCTATAGATGAGTAAGTAGAGACATAAATCAAAACCTGAATTTCAGCTTTTTGGGAAAGAAGTACTTTTTGGGAAAGAGGTACCAGACCAGCGTAGCAACTTGGAGTTGGAGAGGAGTAGGCATGGAAATCAATATTTATTTAATTCCTACTATGTTCCAGGTAGTGTGCTAAGACCTTTGTCTCTGTTATCTCATTTGATTCTCATAACCACTTGTGAGGTAGGTAACATTGTTTCTATTTTACCAGTCAGAAAGATAGCTCAGAGATGTTAAGTGACTTGTCATGAAGTCACTTGGCTTTCAAGCGTCAAAGCAGGAATGCAGATTCAGGCCAGCCTGGCTTACAATCCAGACTTTTTCCCACTCTACTCTGCTGCCTGAGTAGAAATGGAAACTTAGCACAGGAAAATCCTCAAAAAAAGGGAAAGGTGGTTTTCCTCAAAAATAAAAATAAAAATAAATTTTAGCTACAAAGAGACCAAAAACAAAACAAAACAAAACAAAAACAGGGCAGATTAGAATGGAACATGGCAGAAGTCTTGGCCTTGGAGTTAGGATGCCCAGTTTGGTTGTAACTCTGTCATTTGCTAGCTTATATGACTTTGATAATTTACTTTACCTCTCTAGATCTCAGTTTCCTCATCCATAAAATGCAGACAGTAGTGTCTACCCTATCTAATCAGGTTGTTGTGAAGATCAAATATAGAGATCAAATATATCTGAAAGCACTTTCTAGGCCAAGCCATAACAACTACACAGCTGTAATAACTATACAACCATAACTAATTATTTCTTTTACTAGCAGTAACAATGTATTAAGATGGCCAGATTTTTGGAATTTCCCAGCAGGTTGAGATCCCTTCCCGTTTTTGTTTTTGTTTTTTTTCCAGGAGAATCTCTTATTTATTTATTTATTTATTTATTTATTTTATTATACTTTTAAGTTTTAGGGTACATGTGCACAACGTGCAGGTTTGTTACATATGTATACATGTGCTGTGTTGGTGTGCTGCACCCATTAACTCGTCATTTACATTAGGTATATCTCCTAATGCTATCCCTCTCCCCTCCCCCCACCCCACAACAGGCCCCGGTGTGTGATGTTTCCCTTCCTGTGTCCATGTGTTCTCACTGTTCAGTTCCCACCTATGAGTGAGAACATGCGGTGTTTGGTTTTTTGTCTTTGCGATAGTTTGCTGAGAATGATGGTTTCCAGCTTCATCCATGTCCCTAAAAAGGACATGAACTCATCATTTTTTATGGCTACATAGTATTCCGTGGTGTATATGTGCCACATTTTTTTGATCCAGTCTATTATTGTTGGACATTTGGGTTAGTTCCAAGTCTTTGCTATTGTGAATAGTGCCACAATAAACATACGTGTGCTCGTGTCTTTATAGCAGCATGTTTTGTAATCCTTTGGGTATATACCCAGTAATGGGATGGCTGGGACAAATGGTATTTCTAGTTCTAGATCCCTGAGGAATCGCAACACTGACTTCCACAATGGTTGAAAGAGTTTACAGTCCCACCAACAGTGTAAAAGTGTTCCTATTTCTCCACATCCTCTCCGGCACCTGTTGTTTACTGACTTTTTAATGATTGCCATTCTAACTGGTGTGAGATGGTGTCTCATTGTGGTTTTGATTTGCATTTCTCTGATGGCCAGTGATGATGAGCATTTTTTCATGTGTCTTTTGGCTGCATAAATGTCTTCTTTTGAGAAGTGTCTGTTCATATCCTTTGCCCACTTTTTGATGGGGTTATTTGTTTTTTTCTTGTAAATTTGTTTGAGTTCATTGTAGATTCTGGATATTAGCCCTTTGTTAGATGAGTAGATTGGAAAAATTTTCTCCCATTCTGTAGGTGGCCTGTTCACTCTGATGGTAGTTTCTTTTGCTGTGCAGAAGCTCTTTAGTTTAATTAGATCCCATTTGTCAATTTTGGCTTTTGTTGCCATTGCTTTTGGTGTTTTAGACATGAAGTCCTTGCCCATGCCTATGTCCTGAATGGTATTGCCTAGGTTTTCTTCTAGGAGTTTTATGCTTTTAGGTCTAACATTTAAGTCTTTAATCCATCTTGAATTAATTTTTGTATAAGGTGTAAGGAAGGGATCCAGTTTCAGCTTTCTACCTATGGCTAGCCAGTTTTCCCAGCACCATTTATTAAATAGGGAATCCTTTCCCCATTGCTTGTTTTTGTCAGGTTTGTCAAAGATCAGACAGTTGTAGATATGCGGCATTATTTCTGAGGCCTCTGTTCTGTTCCATTGATCTATATCTCTGTTTTGGTACCAGTACCATGCTGTTTTGGTTACTGTAGCCTTGTAGTATAGTTTGACGTCAGGTAGCGTGATGCTTCCAGCTTTATTCTTTTGGCTTAGGATTGTCTTGGCAGTGCAGGCTCATTTTTGGTTTCATATGAACTTTCAAGTAGTTTTTTCCAATTCTGTGAAGAAGGTCATTGGTAGCTTGATGGGGATGGCATTGAATCTATAAATTACCTTGGGCAGTATGGCCATTTTCACGATATTGATTCTTCCTACCCATGAGCATGGAATGTTCTTCCATTTGTTTGTATCCTCTTTTATTTCATTGAGCAGTGTTTTGTAGTTCTCCTTGAAGAGGTCCTTGACATCCCTTGTAAGTTGGATTCCTAGGTATTTTATTCTCTTTGAAGCAATTGTGAATGGGAGTTCACTCATGATTTGACTTTCTGTTTGTCTGTTATTGGTGTATAAGAATGCTTGTGATTTTTGCACATTGATTTTGTATCCTGAGACTTTGCTGAAGTTGCTTATCAGCCTAAGGAGATTTTGGGCTGAGATGATGGGGTTTTCTAAATATACAATCATGTCATCTGCAAACAGGGACAATTTGACTTCCTCTTTTCCTAATTGAATACCCTTTATTTCCTTCTCCTGCCTAATTGCCCTGGCCAGAACTTCCAACACTGTGTTGAATAGGAGTGGTGAGAGAGGGCATCCCTGTCTTGTGCCAGTTTTCAAAGGGAATGCTTCCAGTTTTTGCCCATTCAGTATGATATTGGCTGTGGGTTTTTCATAAATAGCTCTTATTATTTTGAGATACGTCCAATCAATGCCTAATTTCTTGAGAGTTTTTAGCATGAAGGGTTGTTGAATTTTGTCAAAGGTCTTTTCTGCATCTATTGAGATAATCATCTGGTTTTTGTCTTTGATTCTGTTTATATGCTGGATTATGTTTATTGATTTGTGTATGTTGAACCAGCCTTGCATCCCAGGGATGAAGCCCACTTGATCATGGTGGATAAGGTTTTTGATGTGCTGCTGGATTCGGTTTGCCAGTATTTTACTGAGGATTTTTGCATCGATGTTCATCAGGGATATTGGTCTAAAATTCTCTTTTTTTGTTGTGTCTCTACCAGGCTTTGGTATCAGGATGATGCTGGCCTCATAAAATGAGTTAGGGAGGATTCCCTCTTTTTCTATTGATTGGAATAGTTTCAGAAGGAATGGTACCAGCTCCTCCTTGTACCTCTGGTAGAATTCAGCTGTGAATCCATCCGATCCTGGACTTTTTTTGGTTTGTAAGCTATTAATTATTGCCTCAATTTCAGAGCCTGTTATTGGTCTATTCAGAGATTCAACTTCTTCCTGGTTTAGTCTTGGGAGAGTGTATGTGTTGAGGAATTTATCCATTTCTTCTAGATTTTCTAGTTTATTTGCTTAGAGGTGTTTATAGTACTCTCTGATGGTAGTCTGTATTTCTGTGGGATCGGTGGTGATATCTCCTTTATCATTTTTTATTGCATCTATTTGATTCTTCTCTCTTTTCTTCTTTATTAGTTTTGCTAGTGGTCTATCAATTTTGTTGATCTTTTCAAAAAACCAGCTCCTGGATTCATTGATTTTTTGAAGGGTTTTTTGTGTCTCTATTTCCTTCAGTTCTGCTCTGATCTTAGTTATTTCTTGCCTTCTGCTAGCTTTTGAATGTGTTTGCTCTTGCTTCTCTAGTTCTCTTAATTGTGATGTTAGGGTGTCAATTTCAGATCTTTCCTGCTTTCTCTTGTGGGCATTTAGTGCTATAAATTTCCCTCTACACACTGCTTTGAATGTGTCCCAGAGGTTCTGGTATGTTGTGTCTTTGTTCCCATTGGTTTCAAAGAACATGTTTATTTCTGCTTTCCTTTTGTTACGTACCCAGTAGTCATTCAGGAGCAGGTTGTTCAGTTTCCATGTAGTTGAGCGGTTTTGAGTGAGTTTCTTAATCCTGCGTTCTAGTTAGATTGCACTGTGGTCTGAGAGACAGTTTGTTATAATTTCTGTTCTTTTACATTTGCTGAGAAGTGCTTTACTGTGGTCAATTTTGGAATAGGTGTGGTGTGGTGCTGAAAAGAATGTATATTCTGTTGATTTGGGCTGGAGAGTTCTGTAAATGTCTATTAGGTCTGCTTGGTGCAGAGCTGAGTTCAATTCCTGGATATCCTTGTTAACTTTCTGCCCGTTGATTTGTCTAATGTTGACAATGCGGGGGTGTTAAAGTCTCCCATTATTATTATGTGGGAGTCTAAGTCTCTTTGTAGGCCTCTAAGGACTTGCTTTATGAATCTGGGTGCTCCTGTATTGGGTGCATATATGTTTAGGATAGTTAGCTCTTCTTGTTGAATTGATCCCTTTACCATTATGTAATGGCCTTCTTTGTCTCTTTTGATCTTTTTGTTGGTTTAAAGTCTGTTTTATCAGAGGCTAGGATTGCAGACCCTGCCTTTTTTTGTTTTCCATTTGCTTGGGAGATCTTCCTCCATCCCTTTATTTTGAGCCTATGTGTGTCTCTGCACTTGAGATGGGTTTCCTGAATACAGCACACTGATGGGTCTTGACTCTTTATCCAATTTGCCAGTCTGTGTCTTTTAATTGGAGCATTTAGCCCATTTACATTTAAGGTTAATATTGTTATGTGTGAATTTGATCCTGTCATTATGATGTTAGCTGGTTATTTTGCTCGTTAGTTGATGCAGTTTCTTCCTAGCCTCAATGGTCTTTACAATTTGGCATGATTTTGCAGTGGCTGGTACCGGTTATTCCTTTCCATGTTTAGTGCTTCCTTCAGGAGCTCTTTTAGGGCAGGCCTGGTGGTGACACAATCTCTCAGCATTTGCTCATCTGTAAAGGCTTTTATTTCTCCTTCACTTATGAAGCTTAGTTTGGCTGGATATGAAATTCTGGGTTGAAAATTCTTTTCTTTAAGAATGTTGAATATTGGCCCCCACTCTCTTCTGGCTTGTAGAGTTTCTGCCGAGAGATCCGCTGTTAGTCTGATGGGCTTCCCTTTGTGGGACCCGGCCTTTCTCTCTGGCTGCCCTTAACATTTTTTCCTTCATTTCAACTTTGGTGAATCTGACAATTATGTGTCTTGGAGTTGCTCTTCTCGAGGGTATCTTTGTGGCATTCTCTGTATTTCCTGAATCTGAATGTTGGCCTGCCTTGCTGGATTGGGGAATTTCTCCTGGATAATATCCTGCAAAGTGTTTTCCAACTTGGTTCCATTCTCCCCGTCACTTTCAGGTACACCAATCAGACGTAGATTTGGTCTTTTCACATAGTCTCATATTTTTTGGAGGCTTCGTTCATTTCTTTTTTTTCTTTTTTCTCTAAACTTCTCTTCTCACTTCATTTCATTCATTTCATCTTCCATCACTGACACCCTTTCTTCCAGTTGATCGAATCAGCTACTGAGGCTTGTGCATTCATCACATAGTTCTCGTGCCATGGTTTTCAGCTCCATCAGGTCCTTTAAGGACTTCTCTGCATTGGTTATTCTAGTTAGCCATTCATGTAATTTTTTTTCAAGGTTTTTAACTTCTTTGCCTTGGATTCGAACTTCCTCCTTTAGCTCGGAGTAGTTTGATCATCTGAAGCTTTCTTCTCTCAACTCATCAAATTCTTTCTCCATCCAGCTTTGTTCTGTTGCTGGTGAGGAGCTGCGTTCCTTTGGAGGAGGAAAGGCGCTCTGATTTTTAGAGTTTCCAGTTTTTCTGCTCTGTTTTTTCCCTATCTTTGTGGTTTTATCTTCCTTTTGTCTTTGATGATGGTGACGTACAGATGGGGTTTTGGTGTGGATGTCCTTTCTGTTTATTAGTTTTCCTTCTTACAGTCAGGACCCTTAGCTGCAGGCCTGTTGGAGTTTGTGGGAGGTCCACTCCAGACCCTGTTTGCCTGGGTATCAGCAGCAGAGGCTGCAGAACAGTGGATATTGGTGAACAGCAGATGTTGCTGCCTGATCTTTCCTCTGGAAGTTTTGTCTCAGAGGAGTACCCGGCCTTGTGAGGTATCAGTCTGCCCCTACTGGGGGGTGCCTCCCAGTTAGGCTACTCGGGGGTTAGGGATCCACTTGAAGAGGCAGTCTGTCTGTTCTCAGATCTCCAGCTGTGTGCTGGGAGAACCACTCCTCTCTTCAAAGCTGTCAGACAGGGACATTTAAGTCTGCAGAGTTTTCTGCTGCCTTTTGTTTGGCTATGCCCTGCCCCCAGAGATGGAGTCTACAGAGGCAGGCAGGCCTCCTTGAGCTGCGGTGGGCTCCACCCAGTTCAAGCTTCCCAGCTGCTTTGTTTACCTACTCAAGCCTCGGCAATGGTGGGTGCCCCTCCCCCAGCCTTGCTGCCACCTTGCAGTTTGATCTCAGAGTGCTGTGCTAGCAATTAGCGAGGCTCTGTGGGATTAGGTCCCTCTGAGCCAGGCGCAGGATATAATCTGGTGTGCCGTTTGCTAAGACCATTGGAAAAGCACAGTGTTAGGGTGGGAGTGACCCAGTTTTCCAGGTGCTGTCTCTCACCCGTTTCTTTGACTAGGAAAGGGAATTCCCTGACCCCTTGAGCTTCCTGGGTGAGGCGATGCCTCACCCTGCTTCGGCTCACGCTCGGTGCGCTGCACCCACTGTCCTGCACCCTCTTTCTGAGACTCCCCAGTGAGATGAACCCAGTACCTCAGTTGGAAATGCAGAAATCACCCGTCTTCTGCGTCACACACGCTGGGAGCTGTAGACTGGAGCTGTTCCTATTCGGCCATCTTGGCTCCATCCTCCTGTTTGTTTTATACCTTTTTTTTTTTTTTTTTTTGAGAAAGAGTCTCACCTTGTCACCCAGGCTGGAATGCAGTGGCGCAATCTCAGCTCATTGCAACCTCCGCCTCTCAGGTTCAAGTGATTCTCCTGCCTCAGACTCCCGAGTAGCTGAGATTACAGGCATGCGCCACCATGCCTGGCTATTTTTTGTATTTTTAATAAAGATAGGGTTTCACCATGTTGGTCAGGCTGAGCCTAAAACAGACCTCAAGTGATCTGCCCGCCTTAGCCTCCCAAAGTGCTGGGATTACAGGTGTGAACCACTGCGCCCAGCCCATCCTAATCAGGGCCTCTGACCCCCTTGGGGTTTTCCCCGTAGAAACCCCTTTGTTTATTTCTTGACTCACAAGGTAGTTGAGACCTCTGGAAATATGTTCTCAAGACCTCTTTGTTGCCCAGTCACAGAGTTCAGCGTTGGTTATTATTCTGAGGCTTCCCTTCCCTCTGATGCTTACAAACAGAATTCCTCTGGTCCTTGTCTTTCAGGCTCTTTCCTGGTACTTCCTATTTCTCTACTCCCTCAGCTTAGAAGCAACATAGGCTCTTCTTCAGCTATTTTCACTCTTCTACTTGGGCCCTTGCTTCTTCTGTTGGGCTGGAATCAGACTGTTTTCTGTCTGCCTGGAATCAGATTTTTTCCCTTTTGTCATCCAGAGTTCCCTGTCTCAGAAAGAATGACCTCTTTCTCATAACAATGCCCTTTTCGACCTTAGCTATGAGAGTTCAAATTTCCCTGGCCCTCCCAGTAGAAATTCCTTGCTCTGTATATATACAGGGAGTATCACGATGGTGAATCCATCCCTCAGAAACAAATGTCTTGGGAGGAGTGCTTATGTCAGACTTGAGTACAGAGAGTGGCTAAATGCTCCCCACAATCTGATCTGAGACTTAAGAAGGCGGAAACATTCACTGGCTTGCTTTGTTCTCCTCCCTTTCCATAATTCCTTGGTTGTGAAGGCAGTGAAAAGGATGGCCTTGGAAAAAGCCCTAGACTAGAAATCAGGAAACCTGGGTTCTGCTGCTGGCTCTGTCACCCACTAGTCACATGAACTTGGGTGGAACAGCCTGTGCAAACCTCTATTAGACTGCTTGCTCTTCCATGAAGGAATTTCTTGGTTACAGGCTGTTTCCTTGGTTGGACTAGAAGCTTCCTGAAGGTAGCAGCCATGGCCATGCCACAATCATTTTGGAAACTGCAGTTTCTAACTGGTCTCTCTGGCCCATCCTGTTCCCCTCCTATCCATTTTCCACATTGCTGTGGAAATGAACTTGTAAAATGCAAAACCTGTCATGTCACTCCCTACCACAAACCCTTTAATGGTTCCCCCACTGCCTTTAAAACCCATTATGATCTGGCCCCTACCTACCTCTCTAGCATGGTCTCCCAGACCTTTTTGCTGTCTTCGTCTTCTCTGCTGTGAATCTCCCCTTCCTCTAGCTAACTCTCATTCATTCCTTAAAAATATCACATCCTTAGGAAGCCTTCCTTGACCATCTAAGCTCCCCACTTGACAACTGTTGGTTAAATCCCCATCTTATAAGCACCCAAAGATTATCCTTTTTACGTGATAAACCTCTTTTGTAGCACTCCTCAAACAGGTAACTGCTCAGTATCTGCTTCCCTGCTCATTATAAGATTCACGAGATGATGGCAGAGGCCTTATCTATCTCGTGTATTGCTAAGTGCTTACTAAAATGCCTAGCACATAATAACAGTAAAATTTGTTCAATGGTAATATGAAATGACCTGTAATGTATCCACATAAATGAGTGTTGACTGCTTCAAGAATTGGGTGTATCCTCCATGGTAAGAGTGATGTCTGTCTATAATCTTTCATGTTCTTACGGCTTTCTGAAAAACAGTGCTATTATTGAAATATCTCCCATAAACATTATAAAACAGTAAAACAGTTAATGTCCTTTTGATCCTATAATGTAGTATTACACAGATCTTCTCACTTCGTGTAAAAAACACAGTCTTTGTCAGTGCTTCTTTTTACTGCTAGACTATGAAACTATGAATTTTGCTTATTAGCTGAAATATTACTAGAATGTTTTTATTTTGTTAATATCTCAGGTTAACAGTCTGCTATTTGATTCTTTAACCTGTCTTGAAAAGGCATGTATATGTCTCATTATTACTTAAAGAAATCGGGTAGCTGATTTGAGAATATACCATTATGTTAACTTTTTAGTTGATTCTATTTTTAACATGAAAATAAACAAGTCAATTTAAAACTTTTAAAAAGGAACGATTAAGTAGATATATTTTATCTTGTTTTTGGAGGAATGTCAATATTGTGAAGCACTTTTCCAAGTCCTTTTAAGCAGAATATGAGTTGACTTATTAATAGTAATATGCTCACTGGGAGACAGTAAGTGGAAAGAAAAGTGATAGACTTGAGTCTGTCTGGCTCTGTTTTATAAGCTGCGTACACTGAACCTCATTTTATTCATCTAAAAAATAGGATGATAGTATGTACTTTGAAGAGTTATTCTGAAAGTTGAAAATAATATAAAGTACTAGCACATCTAATGATGTCCTTTTGCCATCTGTACTTTATATGCTGTTCATTCATTCCAAAAATATTTAAGCGCATTTCTGCATTGGGCCAGGCACTGGCAACATAATGGTGGACGTCGCACCTGTCTTCACAGAACTTACACTCCTTCGATTTTCCATCTGTAGGAGTACTGCTCAGCTCAGCCTTCACCTCCTTTAAGAAGCCATCACCCATGCTCTAAGCCTCATTCCCTGCCTCCCTCATCTGGTTCAGGTGTTCCTCCTCTGTGTCTTCAGGGTAACCTGTGCATACTTTCATCATAGCACTTCTATATACCGATTTGTCTCCCCACCAGACTAAGCTCTCAGGCCGAGTATGGTGTCCTATCCTTTTTTTTTTTATACCCAGCACATGGCTTGGTACACGAATAGGTACCGAGAAAGGATATTTGGATAAACATTGCCATCTGGTGGCCAGATGTTGTAAGTACAATCTTTTATGCATCATAAGGGTGAGTAAAGCCCAGGTGAGTAAAGCACCTAGGAAAGGCAACTTTTTATTTATTTTAACACAGGGAAAGGAAATATTTCAGAATATGTGGTCTCCTAGAATCTCCTAGGTCTCCTAGAGGTGTTGTTATTCCAACGTCTCTCCAAATCTTTCATAATTCAGAAAACAATATTTAAATGACACAACAGATAAAACTATTTTGAGTGTGCAAAAATAAAATGAAAGAGAAATTTGTCTCATGTAATAAAGAAATGTAACATAGTATACAATACCTTTTTTCATAATACCTTTATTTCAATGCCTACACACATTCATTCATTCAACAAATATTTACTGAGCATTTACTGTGTGACAAGCACTATTCTAGGTGTTAGGGATACAGTGAACAAAAAGTGCTTAAACTTAAGGAGCTTACATTCTAATGGGAGGAGACACACAATAAACAAACATATTTTTATTAGGGATTATAAGTATTACGGATAAAAATAAACTAGGTTACAGAGTGGGGTGAGTGTGTGTGTGTGTGTGTGTGTGTGTGTGTGTGTGTGAAAGAGAGAGAGAGAGAGAGAACGCCAGTTGAGCAAAGGCCTGAAGATATATTAGAACTTCAGAAAACTACAGAAATGTTGGTTGACCAGGCCTGCCTAAAACATTATGGGACTTCTAGAGAGTTTTCTTTCTTTTTTCTTTTTAAAAATAAGTTTAATCTTACATAAAAGTTGCTAAAATAATACAGAGAGTTCCCACATACATTTAACTAACCTTCTCTAATGTTAACATCTTACATAACCACACAACTATCAGAACTAGGAAACTGTCATTGGTACAATAATTCTATTGAGCAAACTATAGACCTCATTTGATTTTTACCAGCTTTTGCATGCACTCAACTTTTTTTGGGGGGGGGGTGGATAGTTCTATTAATCTTATCACATTTATAGATTCTTGTAATCACCACTGTAATTAGGACATTATTGTTTTATCATCCCCCCAAAACTCATTTGTGCTACTTCTTTATAGGCACATCTGTCCCCCAGCAACCACTGATATGTTCATCATTACTATAATTTTCTCATTTCTAGAATGTTATGTAAATGGAATCATATAGTATGTAAAATACTGTGATTTGCTATGTCACTCATCATAATGGCCCTGAGAGCCACTGAATTTGTTGTGTACATCAATAGTTTTTTATTTTTTATTACTAAGTAGTATTCTACTATGTGAATATTCTACAATTTGTTTATATGTGCCCACGGTGAAGAGCATTTCAGTTGTTTCCAGTTTTTTGCTAATAGAAACAAAGCTGTTATGACCATTCGTGTAAGGTTTTTGTGTGGACATAAATGTTCATATTTCTAGGGTAAATACACAAGGATGAGAGCTAGAGAGTTTTATTTCTTCAGAGGGATTTATAAGCAAGTGCCATGCTTTACAAAACAAGCAGTAGATTGGAAAGAACACTGGATAGGACTCAGAAGATCTGGCTCAAGCCTTGCCCTGTCATTTAGTAGCAATGTGATGCTGGATAAGCCTCTCCCCTCTCTAGGCCCCATATTTCTGTCTCTTAAGTGATGGAGTAGGAATCGATTATTTCTTCAGTCTTTTTAAGATCTAATTACATGGTTCTGACGAGATAGAAAGGAGGTTTCTGCCTCATTTCACAAAAAATTTTATAGCTATGTACATAAAATACCAGATGAAAAACATAGGTTATATCTCCCACCTTTTTCTTCCATGTTCCAAACAGTTACTTGGTGGCTTACACCTGTAATCCTAGCACTTTAGGAGGCCGAAGGTGGATGGATCGCTTGAGGTCAGGTGTTCGAGACCAGCCTGGCCAACATGATGAAACCCATCTCTACTAAAAATACAAAAATTAGCCGGGAATGGTGGCGCATGCCTATAGTCCCAGCTACTCGGCGGGGTTGGGGGGGTTTGGGGGCTGAGGCTGGAGAATCACTTGAACTTGGGAGGTGGAGGTTGAATTGAGCCGAGATCATGCCACTGCACTCCAGCCTGGACAACAGAGCAAGACTCCGTCTAAAAAAATAAAAAATAAACAGTTACTTTGCTTACAAAGAGAATATGGGGGAGACAGTAACTAAGCCTAAGGCTATAAAGGTTTGGTTGTCTGTTCCCTGAGGAGAAAGGACTCCAAAATCAACACAGAATGGCCACATGGCATAATGCCATTCCTAAGGCATGTATATGAAGCAGATTGTCCTCACGCTCTGTCTCCATTATTTTTATTAGTTAGACATAGAGTAAAGTACATACAAAATATATGTGTGTATATATATGTGTGTGAACTGTCTATGCTTTTAAAATATGTTGTATTATGCATTTCTATACAGGTACTATTTTTTTTCAAAAGTCAGGAAGGAAATACACAAAATATTTGCAATGGTTAACTCTAGAGATTGTGATTGTCGTGAGAGGCAACTCTAAAGGAAAAAGAAGTATATGTTTGTGAGCACAGCCTCTCTCTCTCTCACACACACACACACACACGCACGCATACACACAGTGGTTAAAACCATAGACATGAGCCAGACTGCCTGGGTGCAAATCCTGGCTCTGATATTTACTAGTTATATGACCTT
The DNA here is from genome assembly GCF_000001405.40 of Homo sapiens. Lineage (NCBI taxonomy): Eukaryota > Metazoa > Chordata > Mammalia > Primates > Hominidae > Homo > Homo sapiens. Next base: position 107,896,924 of record NC_000023.11, read on the forward strand.
GGGCAAGTTACATAACCTCTATGTTTTCTCGGTTTCTTCTATAGAATGGGAATGGTAATAATAGTACCTACCTTATGGGGTTAATGGGAAAAGTAAACAAGTGAAAATACATGAAGCAATTAGAATAGTGCCTAACATGTGGTTAGCACTATAAAAGTATTAACTCTTATGTACTCCTCCCACAAGCAGATAGAAAACTTTTCTGTCAGTCATTGTCTATCTGAAGGCCTCACGTAGCATGAGTCCCTGAGCCCAATTCACTACGATAGTTATACTTCTAGAAATGGCTTGGCTGCCACCTCCCCATCCACACTACTTTTCTAACTTTAACAGCCAATCTCCCAGCTACCTCTACTCTCCTAATCCCTCACCCCTTCCCTGGCCAAAAAAATTACACACTGAAGCTGTAGATTCCTTAACTATGTCTCAGTATTTTTTTTGCTTGCTAAACTGTAGTTACTCCAGTACAGGTGACTAAAAATTCTATTAATAATTTCATTTATTTCTTGCTCCTTTAAGTGACCACCCTCCCTCAAATCTAAAGAAACAGGTATAACCAATTTTTTTTAAATCCCTGCTTCATTTAGTCATACTTACGTAAAGCTGGAAGGACCATCTTTGAAATGTTGCAGTGTTTACCTTTAGAAAACAAAAAAGAAGATTGTCTCTTCTTCCTCTTCCTTTTGTACATTTGAAACTTCCTGATATAACAGGGCTATAGTGCTGGTGGTGATCATGATGCTAGTGCTAGTGGTAGTGATGTGTGTGTATGTGTGTGCGTGTGAGAGAGTGTGAGGGTGGGAGGAGAGAGGGAGAAGGATCCTTAAAGTGTGATCTGGGTTAACACTTTAGCTTTGATGCTGCCACAGCAAATGCTATGTCTGTTCATAAACATTGTGTTTTCTTAAATGCATCATTTTAAGAAAGTAATGAATTCTTTGCAGCTCAGTAAGGTGACAAGGCTGTTCATAATAATTTCTTGATAATTCATCAGATGTCCAATTTACCTCTCACTTTTCCTTCTCATCTCCTTTGCACAGAAAGTGACTGCTTATTAAATAAAGCCAAACTCAGCCTCTTTTTTCTGTTATGGAGTCTCAGAAGGTGGGATAGTGATCACCTGAGTGGTCCTGGGCAATAATGGGAAGTGGGAAGTTTGTTGTGTCCCCCTCCCAGTTCTTCATGTACTGTGTCTGCCTTCTCTCTTCACCTTGCTCTCAACTAAGATGTCAATTAACAATTCTTAAGGTGTTACTATAATGCTAAGATCCTGACATTTTTATCCAAGTACTTTCAGAGACTCAAAATGACAGCACAGCTCTCCATAATATATCTCCAACCCTTGTTTCTAGCCTTGTTTGCCTCCATTACATCTGTCAGGCTGATCTGCTTTAACCAAGCACGTTTTCTATTTTTCTGCTTATGCTTTTGCTCATGCTATTCATGTAATTCATTCTGCCTAAACTTGTCTCCCCTTAAGCTCCATTTCTAGCTGCCCAAGTCTTGCTCATCCTTGAAGACCAGCTCAGCTACATGAAACTTTATCTAATCCTCTGATTGTCCTTTTCCAAATTTTCTCTTTCCTATGATCTCATACACCTTTAATTGTATTCTATTATATTACTTGTTTTGCTGGTCTTTAAATTATAATTAGTTGTATTCACACTCATAGTCTCTACTAGACTGTAAGTGCCTTGAAGGCAGAAGCTGAGTCATTTTCATCGTTATATCCCACTCAGGGAAACCCAGCACTATGCTGGATACATGTGGGATATACTGTGGTATGTGGGAGACACTCAATAAATGTTTGTTGAAATAAAAACTTCCCCAAATGAACTTTAATGCCAAAATTTCACAATATTCTGGTGAAAGGGAGATCTATTTGGGCAGAAGATTTCAGAGAATAAACTAGGCTGGCATTTACTGTGTAGAGTGGAGAGCACTGAGACGGAGAAGCCAGTGAGGAATTCCTTGCCATATAATTATTATTATTATTATTGCATTTCACTTGAGTCTGGGTATATGGGATCATCTACTATTTCATATATCTTGTTCCATCTGAACAGGAAATCTCAGTGCCTTCTGAACTCCTGTGCAATGATGCACTATAGGACTGATGGATGTGACTAAGCTGAGGTGAAAGTGGAAGTGGGGAAGTTATCGTGGGAGTGGGTTGGAGGGAAGGCTGATGAACTTTAAACCCAGGAATAAAATAACTATAGAATGAGCAATGGAATATCTCCCCTGCCCCCTCCCCCTCCCCCCCCCCAAAAATCCTAACTATCAAATAAGCTCTCTGAAAGAAGCTAAGGGTAAAAAGGTCTAGTCCATTTACATTTCAATACAGAAGAGAAACAATTGCCAAAATAACTTTTTGCAGTTTCTTAAATCTTTGCAACTTATGGCTTTGGCGAACTCCCACCTATTTATTTCCTAGTATTGAACAGTGGTAAAGTCCTTCCATCAGGGGCCTTATGTGTTTGTATTAAGAATAGGTGGAAATTGGGGAAGACTAGGTCTTACTCTACAGTCAGTCTTTGGGCTGGGAGGTAATAGGGTAGGATGGGCAGTTGGAAAGAAATATGCAAGTCAAATTTTTGCTGCCTTAAGAAGAAAGTAAAAGAGCAAAGAGCAGAGAAGAGGACCTGGAGACTTACCAGGGAGCCTGTGTTGCCTAGTGTTTAGGACTTGGAAGATTGAGGCTAAGACTCTTAGTCATAAACATCACAAACTGCCTCCCAAAAGTCTTTTTGGGGTGGGTGGATTTATACAAGTAGGTTGCCAAGATTGACCTAATGGTATTTTCAAGGAGGATAGATTTTTTTTCCACAGACATAAAGCCATTTAGACAAAACCACTAACCTAATACAAAGAGCGAATGTCAAATAAAGAGCTAGGGTCTTCCACAAACCAACCAACCAGCCAAGTATGCTTATTAAGGTAACCCAGTTATTTTCAATTAAGCGTTAATAAGCAAGTGAAATACCTCAATGTATTATGTCTTCAAACAAAGAAAATACCAGGGGCTTTCAAATGTCTTCCAAGCAATTTGAGTTGTTTTATTCACATCACAAAGACCGGTTTTCCCTGAAGTATTTCCTGTTCAGAAAACACTTAAGGACCCTGCTCTTCTGGGGTGCTTCTTGACATGAAAAGATTTTAATGTCATTGCTTTACCTTTAGTTTGGAATTGTGCCTCTTCAGCCAACTTTTCATTCTATTAGTTGTGCCTGGTTTTATCTCCCCTGATGTGACTGTCCAAAAAACATTCCCACCCTAGCTCCCTCATTTCACCTTATATTTTCTCTACAAAATACACTCACTGGAGTATATTTTATAATGCTTGGCATTCTTATTTTGATTTTTTTACTGTGCTAAATCAGTCAGTAAATGTTTGTTGTAAGGCTTTGTACCAGTTATAATGGGAGAGACAAAGTAGTGTAAAATCTTCCCTCAAGGAGCTTGCTGTCTAATTGAAGATATGTAAGCAAAAGAGTGCTTCTTATATTTGATATTTCCTTTCTATTACTGATATTCTCCTTGGGTATGCCCTGTCCACATCACAACAGCCTCCTAAATAGTCCTCAGGTTTACTATTACCCTCCATCAAATCAGTCCCTGTTCATCTTCTTAAACAAGTTCACTGTGGTACTTCTCGCACCACCTTACCTTTCCTCCCCTCAAAAATACTACTTAAAGATACCATATTGCCTAAAAATAAAGTTCAGTCTCATTTGTTTGGCTTGAAATTTCTCTCCTTCACACCTTTTTAATCTAAGTCTTATTCCATCTTTAAGATTTAATTCAACTTCCATTTCATCCATGCATCTTTCCTTCACTTACCCACCAAAAGTAATCTTTCCTTTTAATTTCAGTAGATTATAGTCTACATCACCCATTCAGTATTTAATTTATGCTACCTTGATTGGTTTCTTTTATATGTATATGGCTCTTCCCCATCCAGTTTGCAAAGTTTTTGAGGGCAGGGCCTTAGCATAATGCTTTGCACAGAAAAGATGCTTGATAAGATGTCTGGTAATGAAGACATGATTTTTCCTGGCTTCAGAGTAGAGGAAGGATTATGAGGATGGGTGGCAAAGGAAATATTCTGGAGGTAGGGAGATTAATTAACGAGGTTTTTGCAACAACAGTCCTATCACAATAGGTGATAAGGGCTTCAACCTATTGGTTCCTTGGCTCAGATCCTCACTATATTAACGAATAAGGGTAGTCAAGTGAAGCAGTGGGAATGGAGAAGGAACAAAGAAACCTGTAACTATTTGCGATCAGTTGGTTGTAAACACTACTGCACTTGGACCAGCCACTGAGGAAATTTAGCATGATTAAAAAGGAAAGGAGGGAAGGACTTTGGGACTGCTGTGAATTTATGTGGGGACAAAGGAGAAGTAGCAGTCAGAGTTTACTGAACCTGAGTAACTGCAATAATGATAGTAGCATTGACACAAAAATAGGAAAATCAGAGGTGGAAGCCAGATCTGGAGAGAAGGTGATAAGTTTGTTTTTAGACTTACTGAGTTTAGGGTAACTTGAGTAACAAAGTGGACATGTCTAATGAGGAGTAAAAGATACCTTTTTTCACATTTAATTCAATCCAACAAATAATTACGGAGCATCTACTATGTGCCCATCATGATAGTGGAGCTAGATATAGTCACATAAGACACAATTCTTGCCCTCCAGAACTCATGATGGAGTGAGGAAGACAGACTAATATGATAAAATATAGGAAATGGTATAATTGAACTATATATAGAGTATGTGAAAATATAAATAGGGGATCAATTGCTTGTGTCCAAGCAAGTGAGAAAAATCATAGAAGTGATGATCTTTGAGAAGGGCCTTAAAAGATAAGTAGAAATGTGTTCAGTAAACAGATGGGGAAATGACTTTCCAAGTAAAATGACAATCTCGGGCAAAGGCACAGGACATGAAAGTGCATGGCATTCTAGGGGAACAACAAGGAGTCTGAAGTGACTAATGAGAAACGGATGACAGAATAAAGATGGATGATTTGAAAGAGATGATGATTTTCAGAAATTGAAGAAAAGGGTGTTGTTACACTCAACTGGAGAGCAGCATATGTGTAAGGTTAAACGTGTAGTCTCTAGTATTGCACTCTCTCAGCCCAAATCTCATCCCTGCTATGTACTAACTGTGTAACCTTAAGCAAGTCACTTAATCTCTCTGTGCTTAGTTTTCCTCATCTGTCAAATGTAGATAAAGGTACCTACCTCGGGACTGTTTTGAGGATTGAGAGAGCCAATATATGTAAACTAATTAGAGCAATGCCAGGCATATAGTGTTATGTAAAGGCTAGTCCGAGGATTACATTTTAAGAAACCAGGTACGACATCATTGTGTACTACACCAGTAGCCACCTAAAAAAGAAATTATAAATGGCAAGTGTCTAAGTTTCTAGATACTGTAAGCAAGGACCCAGAGAAAACTAAATGAATCTCTTAGTCTCAGATAAAGGAGTTCGTGAGCTGGTGAGATATCTGCCTTGGAAAGGTAGATCCAATTTAGGGAAAGGGTGAGGTGTCTGAGAAAAAAAAGTAGAATGGCTAGAGTGCCATTCAGAGTAAACAGAAGCCCCAGTTGTGACATTGCCCTAGAAAATGGAAAAAAGCAACATAAGATTGTCACTCAGCAACAGACATATTTTATTTCAGTTAAGTAGGAAACAGAAAATTAGCCATCAGTGAGCTTCAAGTATGAGAGAGGGGGTAGTAGGGTCCAGTGACAGGTATTTTGCTCGGGTTGGAGAATATGGAGCAACCCTCTGAAGAGGGATAGCAATTGGAAATGCAGCCCTACCTTGCTAATGAAGCACATCTAGCCCCTTGAGTTTTGATGCTCTCAAGTAACCCATTGTCTGTTCCTCAGCCTTCTAGAGCTCTGCTCGAGTGATCCTTGAATAGACTCTTGGAATGCTTGTGCTTCCCTGTATGACTGCTCTGTGTGCTGCTGAAATGGAACTGAACCTCGCCCGCCCACCCAGCCAGCCCAGGGGTTTCACTTGACAGAACTCGGTTTGAATTCTGGTTTTACCACTTACTAGTTGTGTGATTTTTGAGCAAGTCACTAAAATTCTCTACGCCTCAGTTTCCCCGTATGTGAAATGGGAATAAACATGGTTCCTATATTGTAAAATTGTTATGATAATTACATGAAATAATTTACCTATGAAGTGCTTGGCAAGTTAAGTACTAAAAAGATGTTAGTTCTTTTCTCCTTCCTTTCCTGTTATACTTGGGCAGCCCCAAAATCCCCTGCTCTCATTTTAGCCCCTCCTGGGGGCTCTGTACCATCTAGTGTCAATAATAATAGAGATGAGGAGAAGGAGAAATCAATCCATGGAAAGAAAATGCAGAATGGTAGTTTTTTTTTTTTTCCAACCCTGACTTTGCAGTAAAGATGTTTTGATGTAGCCAGTATCCCAAAATAGGAAAGGTATTCAGATACTGGACAGCCCAAGGTGAGAAATACCCACTAAAACACGACAACTATCTGAAAAATATATACACATGAATATATGTTTAATGATATATTTAATGTGAAAAATTAGAAGGGAACAAGGAAAACTGAAAATATTTTTGTTAGCACAATATATTGTTGTAATGTTATCTTAATATTGTGCCTGTGGAGGAGGATACTCTTTTCTTGACATACATAAATCTCCTTACCCTCTTTCCAAAAGAACAGCAGGAGGAAAGGGTACTGGAGTAAAGGGAATTGTTCAGTGGGAATAACATGCCCCCATCTCATCTGTCCTTCTGCCCAGCCTTCCATTAACCATCATGATCTACCAGAGGCCTGGAGAGCTTCCTAACTGTGGTGCTTCAATGCCCTTGCATCATTAATATCATCATCTCTACCCTTCTTCTAGGAGTGGATCTTATGAGGGAGGTATGGAAGAAGTTGTGCATGCTTAGCTGTCAGTCCGAACCTTTTAGAGCCAGCAGGGGACAAAGGCAACAATCACTGTGTAATACTCTGAAATTTCTTGGCAGGTGAATACTGCTATGCATGAGGCAAAACTTATGGAAGAATGTGACGAGTTGGTAGAGATCATCCAGCAGAGGAAGCAAATGATCGCTGTCAAAATCAAAGAGACAAAGGTAAAGCGCAGCACTTCAGTGAATCCAAGGAAGGGTTGACTTTACAAATATCAAAGTTTGATCCAGATGATTCTGGTTTGATCATGAAATCAAGAAGAAATGAGATTATAGGGGGAGAGGCAAAGAAGTGATGTTTGGCCTACTGCTCTGAATCCAGTAAAAACGATGGCCATTCTGGGGTGTTAGAAACGTTCTATATCTTGACCTGGTTTACGTGGGTGTATGTGTAGGCAAAAGTTCATTGAGCTGTACACTTAGGATTTGGGTGCTTTACTGTTGTATGTTATAACTCAATGAAAAGGAAAAAAGTAATGGTAGAAATGTGAGTCAGGATTATGGACCATGAATTCCAGGATGAGGACTCTGGGCTTAATCTGAAAAGTGTTGGGCAGCCATTCTCGTTTCTTAGGAAGGGAGAAAGACGGATTGATATGGCAGAGGTATGCAGGGTAGATCAGAATGGGATGATACCAAAGTCAGGGTAGCAAGTTATGAGACTTATGGAATGATGCTTTGTAAGAGTTGATAAAGACCTAAACCAGAGTAGTGGCAGCACAAATGGGAGGGAAGAACACAACAGGCACTGCTAGAAAGGAAACGATAGGAAACATTGAACTTTTAAATATAAAAGACGAATGAGAGAGAGGGAAGACTCAGTGAAGACATTCAGGTTTCTAGCCTGGGAACTGAAGAATCATGATCATAAGCGTCAAGTGTGAGCCTCCATACAGCTATATGGTTTTAGGCTTGTTGGCTTGCTCGTCAGTGTTAGTGGTTATAAGTTCATGCTGTGTGTATAATGTGAGATGTTTTGAGAGGCTAGAGTGATCACTAATAATTTGTGCCATGCTGAGTGGTTATAGCTTATCCAGGAAACTAAAGTTTCCAAGAATACAGATTTGTGAACACACAGGTATGCATAAAGACACTTAGAGAAATATGTACATAGAACTGTAGATACTCATAAAGAAAAAGATGGTACTTTTTAGTAAACATATATGTGAAAATATATTGACAACAAAATGTAAACAAACAAAAATGTAAACAATTATAATCTCTGGGTGGTAGTGTTTCTTTTATACTTTTTATTTTCTGAATTTTCTATAATGGGCATGCATTGATTTATAACCAGAAAAATTAGTGTTACTAATACACAGAGGAGGTAGATAACCGAGAGTATATGACTGTGTTGCAGCCTAAGTATGCAAGCAGTAGATAAGAGAAGGAGGGGTTGGCACAAGAGACACAGTGGGTAGGGTGAGAAGGTGAGTGGTTAGTACAGGGACCATGGAATATTAATAAACCTTATTTTTAGAATCACTGCAGCATGCCTCCTTCATGTTGTTTTTTATTGTTTTTAATTAAGCACTGCATGTTTTATCTTATTTTTTTCTTTTACTAATTCCTTAAAGGTTATGAAACTGAGAAAGTTGGCACAGCAGGTTGCTAATTGCCGCCAGTGTCTTGAACGGTCAACAGTCCTCATCAACCAAGCTGAGCATATCCTGAAAGAAAATGACCAGGCACGGTTTCTACAGTCTGCAAAAAATATTGCTGAGAGGTCAGTTCCTTATATTCTTTGGAAATGCCTGCTCTTGTGAAAAGAGGCCAATTTAAAGTCACTTAAAGTTCAGGCATGTATCTAACAGCTGCCACCTGAAGATTTTACCAGTTAAGTAGTTATTGAGCCTCAGTGGTAAATTACCCTTTGGATTTCTGGACCCTTGTCTCTGTCTCTGCAGCCTATCAGCTCTTTTAAGGCACAGTCAAGTACCAGCCGTAGCTATTGCCATAGCTCCTTGCTGCTCACTCAGCGCATGAGTTTTCTATGATGGTGTTGGTATAAGGGTAGAGAAACTTTTAGCTATATTGATAGGTGCGTGCTCTTCTCAGTCTGCATGCAGTTTCTATTGCTTTCATTTAGTTATTCTGCACATAAATCCTTTATGGCAGTAATTTTTAGGCCTTTATTTAATCACTCACCCCTTTCTAAATTAGATGAGAGTCATGAACCTTCTTCCAGAGGAAAAACAATGCATTTAATAAATATACACAGATAATTTTCTATACTATTTCAGAGGACTTGCAGATCCTTAGAAGCCCATCCATAGACCACTGGCAAAAAAACCAGGGTCTAAAGTGAAACATTGTTCAGTATAGTCACCAAGACTTCAAGGGGCTGCAGAGGCTCATAAGGCCAGATTTGACCTCCATATATCTCCTTCTCATTCATTGAAGACCTTGGCTCCAGGCTCGCAGTGTTCCTCCCATTGCCTCTGCCATCATTTTGGGTGACTTCAGCAACAACCACATGGCTGACTCATCTAATGCTTTAGCCATCTAGCTTCTTTAACATCCCCTCCAACAGTGACTCTCACCTCAGAGCTCCATCTCATCCACCCATTTTCATGGACCACATGCTGAATGAACTTCACCATCACTCAGAATTGCACTGAAATCATAACTTAAAACATGCCAGTTTTTAACTATACCCTCTACTTAACAACTCTTTTTTCTTATTTTTGTTTTGTTTTGTTTGAGACAGAGTCTCACTCTGTTGCCCAGGCTGGAGTACAGTGGTGCGATCTTGGCTCACTGCATCCTCTGCCTCCCAGGTTCAAAGGATTCTCCTGACTTAGCCTCCCAAGTAGCTGGGATTATAGGCATGCACCACCATGCCTGGCTAATTTTTGTATTTTTAGTAGAGATGGGGTTTCGCCATTTTGGCCAGGCTGGTTTCGAATTCCTGGCCTCAAGTAATATGCCTGCCTCAGCCTCCCAAACTGTTGGGATTACAGGCGTGAGCCACTGCCCTCGGCCAACAATTCTTTTTTTCTTCAAATACGTGTATACTTCAACTTTGTTGAGACTGCTAAGGCCTGACTCCTATACTTTCTTCCGACCTACCAGCTATTTCCTGTCTTCGCTTCTTTCTTTAGCCTATTTAGGATCTGTGATTTCTCACTTCAGATACTCTCTTTTCAATATTCTCAATCCCCTTGCCCCATTGTCCTTTTAACATACCAACCTGATAAAGTCCTAATCCTGAATCAGTCCCACTTTTTCCATTCCTATATTTGAGTTGCAGCACCCTACTGGAGAAAATCACATAACCAAAGAGGTTGGTACTACTGCATCACAAATGTATAGCTTCTAAACCTCACCTGGGCCTTCAGTGCTAACCTGAAATCCTTCTGCATTGCTTTGGTCAGCTTTCTTTTTAACTTGTCATCATAATGGCTATCTCAAATCTTTTGTACTTACCTCAAAATTCCAACTCTGCCACTTTTCTGCTTATGCTCAGTAAATGCCCTCTTATTTTACAAAGAACAGTAAGTGTGAAATAGCGAATTCAACTTCTCATATCAAACTTCTGAACACACTTAGGTCCACATCCATTAACTTCTGCCTTCCTTCTGATTAAAATGGAAGAGATGTCTCTTCATTTGTGCTTTGGCCAAATACACTCTTTTTTCCATAGCTTCAATTTATCCCTCTCTATAGTTGACTTCACATCCATTTTTAACCCACTCATGTCTTTCCTACCTAAAACCAACCAAACAAAAAAACCCCATGACTTTCCTCTACTTCATATCCCCTCCAATTATCACCTGTCCCTCTCCTTCCCTGCACAGCAAACTTCGCGAAAGACTTTACATTTCTTCACCCCTAATTTACTCTTCTGAAATATTTAAAATGTATTTATATCCAAGTAATACCTTGTGCATAGTTAGAAAGTAAAATATTACTATAAGTCATATTGCAAGAAATAGCAATCTCCTCATTCTCAATGTCTGCTCTCTGATAATACCATTATCAATAGAGTTCTTACTTTGTACTGGGCATTATTTTAAGCCTTCATAAGTATTAACTCACTTAATCCTCAAAAAAACTTTATGAGGTAGATACTACTTTTATCCCCATTTTATAAATGAGAGAACGATGTTCAGAGAGGTTAAATAACTTGCTTACAATTGTCCAACTAGTAAGGGGCACAGGCAAGATTCAAATTTAGGGAGTCTAGTGCCACAGTCTACACTTTTACAACAAAGCCAAGCAATTTCAGCTCTATCAGATGTTTTTATTGGCATGACCTTACATTTCTAAATAACATCCTTACATTGGTAGTTTTAATTTTTTTCAACTTTAGACAGTATCAATTAACTTCTGCAAATTTGGACTTTTTTTCTGCCACTACTTCTACAAATATTTTTATGCCACTTCCTTCCTCTCTATTCGGGATTCCAATTACATGTATATTTGGCTGTCTGAAATTGTCCTATAGCTTACCAATGCTCTATTTTTGTTTTGCAGTCTTTTTATTTTTTTGCCATTGTGAAAACACATGCAAGTGTGTTTCATTTTGGATAGCTTCTATTGATATATCTTCAAGTTCACTAGCCTTTTCTTCTGTGATACCTAATCTGCTGTTAACCCCTCCAGTGTATTTTTTATCTTAGATATTATAACTTTCATCTCTAGTTTGATTTGGGTCTTTTAAAAAATGTCTTCCATATCTCAAGATATTCAGGCTGGGTGTGGTGGCTCACACCTTTAATCACAGCACTCTGGGAGGCTGAGGTGGGAAGATCACTTGAGACCAGCCTGGGCAACATAGCGAGATTCCATCTAAAAAAAAAAAAAAAAAAGCCTGCATCTGGTGACATGTGCCTGTAGTCCTAGCTACTTGGGAGGCTGAAGCAAGAGGATCTTCTGAGCCCAGGAGTTCAAGGGTACAGTGGGTCACGATGCTGCCACTGCACTCCAGCCTGGGCAACAGGACAATGTCTTGTCTCTGAAAACAAAAAAAGATATTTAGCCTTTCCTCTAGCTTTCTGAACATATGGAATACAGTTAAAATAATTGCTTTTATGTCCTTGCTTGCTAATTCTAATACCTGTGTCATATCTGGGTCCGTTTCAATTGGTTGCCTTTTCTTCTCATTATGGATTGTATTTTCTTGATTTTTTGCCTATCAGGTAATTTTTTACTGGATATCAGACTTGTTAATTTTCTCTTTCGGGATGCTGTATATTTTTGTATTCCTATAAATATTCTTAAACTTTGTTCTGAGACACAGTTAAGTTACTTGAAAACAGCTTGATCCTTTCAAGTCTTGGTTTTCAGATTTGATAGGTGAGATCAGAGCAATGTTTAGTCTAGAGACAATTTTTCTCCACTACTGAGGCAAAACCCTTCTGAGTACTCTATTCCAGTGTCCTGTGAGTCATGAGATTTTCCAGTTTAGCTGGTAGGAACACACACTATTGCTAGACCTATGTGAGTACCAGGGATTGTTCCCTCTTATCTTTTTGGGTGGCTCTTTCCCCAGCATTATGCAGTTTCCTCGCATGCATTTGTTGATCAGTATTCTGTTGACTACTAGAGGGAAACTCTGAAGGTCTCTAGAATTCTCTCTGCAGCTTTTTCCTCTCTGGTACTATGTCCTGTGAACTCCAGCCAACTTCGTCCACTTGGATTCTCAGCTCTGTCTCCTTAATTTTAGGGAACTCATTGGGCTCTGCCTGGATTTCCCCTTCCTGTACCACTTGATTCCCTTAAGCTTTTCAAACAAACGCTCCTGTAGTTTCTTAAGAAAGAGTACATGGGAAGTAAATTTTCAAGAACTTTTTGCCTAAAAATATTTCAAGTTAATTTTCACACTTGATAGGTTGGAAATAAATTTTGAAGGCATGACTTCATTGTCTCCTGGCTTCCATTATTGTGTTGAGACGTTCACTGCCGTTTTGAATCCAGATCTTTTGAATATAACCTATGTTTTAAAATCCAGAAGCTTAAACAAAAGTTAATATTACTTTTAATTGACAAATCATAGTTGTATACATTAATGGGTTGCAATGTGATGTTTTCATATATGCATACAATGTGGAATGACTAATCAAAGCCAATTAACATATCCATTACCTCACCATTTTTTGTGGTCAGCCATTGAGATTTACTCTTTTAGCTATTTTGAAACATACAATATGTTATTATTGATTATATTCACACTGCTGCACAACAGATCTCAGAAACTTATTCCTCCTGTCTAACTGAAACTTTATACCCTTTGTCCAACAACTCCCCATTCCCTCCTCATACCAGCCTCTAGTAACCACCATTCTACTCTCTATTTCTATGAGTTTGATTTTTTCAGATTCCACCTATGTGCGAGATCATATGGTATTTGTCTTTCTGTGCCTGGCTTATTTTACTTAGCATACATCCTCCAGGTTCATTTATGCTGTCAAGGATAACAGGATTTCCTCCAACTTCAGTGGCTGAAAGGTATTACATTATGTATCTATACCACATTTTCTTTATCCATTCATCCATTGATAGAAACTTAGGTAGATACCATATCTTGGCTATTCTGAATAATGCTTCAGTGAACATGGGAATGCAGATATTTCTTTGACATATTGATTTCAACTTCTTTGGATATATACTGACTAGTGGGATTGCTGGATCCTACAGTAGTTCTATTTTTAGTTTTTTGAGGAACCTCCATACTGTTTTTTATAATGGCTGTACTAATTTATATTCCCACCAACAATGTATAAGGGTTCCCTTTTCTCTACATCCTCACCAGCACTTATCCTTCCTCCTTTTAATAATAGCCATTACGATCTAGAAGTTTTAAAGATCTTATCTTTAACCCAGTTTTTCTGAAATTTCATCAAGATTTGCCTCTGTTATAGATTTTCCTTTCCTTTCCTTTCCTTTCCTTTCCTTTCCTTTCCTTTCCTTTCCTTTCCTTTCCTTTCCTTTCCCTCTCTCTTTCTCCCTCTCTCTCTCTTTCCTTCTTTCTTTCTTCTTGTTCTGTTGCCCAGGCTGGAGTGCAGTGGCACGATCTCAGCTCACTGCAATCTCTGCCTCCCAGATTCAAGTGATTCTTCTGCCTCAGCCTCCCTGGTAGCTGGGACTACAGGCTCACGCCATTACGCCCGGCTAATTTTGGTATTTTTAGTAGAGATGTGGTTTCACCATGTTGGCCAGGGTGGTCTCGAACTCCTGATCTCCAGTGATCTGCCCACCTTGGCCTCCCAAAGTGCTGAGATTACAGGTGTGAGCCACCGTGTCTGGCGCGTTGTGGACTTTTTGTCATTCATTTTTCCTGGGCACTCAGTGAATCTTTCTAATCTAAAGACTGGTGACCTCTAGCTCTGGGAAATGTTCTTGTATTATTTGCTAATAATTTCCTCCCCTTTATTCTTTCTCTTCTTTGTTTATGGGACTTTGATTAGTGAACTGTTGGACATCCTAGACTTTTTTTCTCTAATTTTATCTTTTCCATTTTCCATGACTTTGTCTTCTTATTTTACTAAGATACTTCCTTAATTTTTCATTAAATCCTTCTATTGAAATTTTAATTTCAGCATTCCTAATTTTATTCACAAGAGCTCATCCTTCACCTTGTTTCTTTTTTAGCATTCTGTTTTTGCTTTGTGGATACGAACTATTTGGTTTTCTTCTTGAGAATATTGTCATTTTTAAAAGTTTGCTTCTAAACCCTGCATTGTCTGGGTTTCCTCCCAGTTCCTTTTCTCTGTTAGTTTAAATTGCTGTCTTTTCCTAAATATCTGGCAAACTACTGGCTGTGTGTTTGAGTTTAAGCACTAAAAGATGACTGGAAACTCTGAGTGGATGGGAATAATTTATGGGTTGGTGAACTTTGCTATAGGATTATAAGGCGGAATGCTGGCTTTTTATTGATGGACTCCCAAGTGTCAGTTCTGTAGGTCTTTTCTCTTGGGTCAGTTTCCCTTGGATGAAATCCTCCAATCTCCTGCTTTTGATTGGAGGGGCAGCGGTGTGGAAGGTATAAGCCTGGCTGCCAGCATTCTGGGAGCCAAGGAGGGAAAAGGAGCTGAGAGTTTTAAGACTGCTTTTAGTATAATGTCAAAGATCAGCAGAAAGTAAAACTCACATATCCTGCCAGAATGAGGGAAGGGTAGTCTCTGGTTTAGTGTGCATGGATCTGTGGATCTAGTTGTTCCTCATGCAAACTTTCAACTTTCTGTGGCACTAAATCAACTTGATGTTGTTGGCTTCCTGATCTAGCTTTCTCTGGACTGTTATTGGTTACCACACATTCATCCCTTTCTAGCTTCCAAACATTTGTTGACAATCTTTTACTTGTTGGCATCTCTTTTCCATTCTCTTTGTCTTTGTGGGTTTATGACATTTCATTCTTTGACTGTTATTTCAGTGAGATTTCATGAAAGCAAAAATAAAACATATATTCAAACCACTGTATTTAATAATCTCTGCTCTCCAACCCTCTGAAATGTTTTGTCCCACTACCACACCATTGAAAGTATTCTTTTCAAGGTCATCAAATGAATACCTTGTTGCTAAATATAATAGACACCCCTTTGTTTCATCTTACTTGATCTCTCAGTAGCATTTGTCCTCCTGAACATTTTTACTTGAAATTTCTCTGCCCTTACCTTCCATGAACACTCCTGGTTTTCTTCCTACTTTGTTGTTTTTGTTTTGTTTTGCCTTTGTGAGCAATGTTTCCTTGGCCTATTCCTTTAATGCTATTGTTCTTTGTGATTGTGTCTTAGGTTATTCTCTTCTCTCATTACACGTTCTCCTTGTTGCAAACTCATTGGTTCCTAGGGCTTCAATTACCATCTAGATGGTTATGATTCCCAACTCTTTATCTGAATCTTCTTTGCATAGGCTCAGGTATAACCTGAGGTGTAGGTGGAATAGATGACTATCTATGTAGTATGACTTGAGAATCATCTACTCACCTTCAATACTGGTCTCCCACAGGGTCTGAAATTTTCCCCCACCATTATGCATTGTATTGTGTTAAGCCACCATGACTTCAGTTAAAATGAAATTTTAGCTGGGAGAGATATGCCTTTCCCCTTACAAATGACACCTTATATTATGTGCAATAGAAACCAAGGCCTTGAGAGACTGCAACAAGATCGCTAATGTTGTGTTTTGCTTAAATAAAAAAACACAGACAGTCAGATACACACACACACACACCCCACCATGTCACTTTTAACCCATTCTTAACCTTTGGTCCATCATTAACATTTAGGAATATGGTATTCTAATATTTCTATTTAGATATATTTCACAAACATGATATGCTATATATACTATATTATACTCTACATTTGAAACAATGTATCACAAACTTTTCTCTATATCATTGGATATTATAAAACCTGATTTCCAATTGCTTCATGTTATTTTATCTTTTGATGTATAGTACATTACTTAACTCAGTCTCCACTGTTAGACAATCAGGCTACATATGGTGTGTTGAGTGCCCTTGTAGTTCTATCTTTGCATACATCTCAATTATTTCCATAATAAAAATTTTATGAAATAGAACTGTGGTGTCAAAGAAGACTTATATTTTAAGCTATTTTGAAATTTAATGCTAATTTGGCCTTCAAAATATGTATCAATTTCAATCCTAATACAAATATGTAGGCATTATTGACTATAGGCATAAAAGCTCCTATGCTGTCATTTGTTTGTAATTTAAACGCTATCTCATTTTAATTTACATTTCTTTGATTTCTCATAAAGTTGGACTTTTTAAATATATTTATTGGCCATTTGTTTGCTTTGACTTTGTTTTCTTTGATGCTTTGTGAATTAACCCTTTTTGTTTTGTTTGTTTACACTCATGCTTATTCCAAGACACTTTAAAATCTGGTCTCTTTGCCTCCAATTTTGACCCTTTCCAATCCCTCCACTGAAGCCATAGTAGTATTCCTGAAACATGAATTTCAGCATATTATTTCCCCACCTAATGCTTAGTGACCCCCATCGTTCTTAAGATAAAATCCAACGTTTGTAACGTGGCCTACAAAGTCCTGCATGATTTTGTCTCATTCTCCAGGCTTCAAACAAGAGAGAACACACACACATCCACATAGTCTTTGCTTAGTTAACTCTTACTCATTACATAGGTCATTGGTGAAAATCGACTTCCACATGGGAGATTTCCCTTAGCTCCCAAGTCTCTTTAGATAACTCCTGTGTATGCTCTACTCCCTTTGTAGCAGCACTTCTATTGCCCACGTAATGTCTTTCTCCTTCATGATGTGTGAGCTCTTGAAGGCAAGAACCACAGCAAAGCTTGTTCACTTTGTGTATCTCCAGTGCCCAGTACAGTGCCTGGCACATTAGTTGTGCTTAATAAGTATTGGATAGATGGATGGAGGAAATAAAGAAGATTGGAGAGGCCAGAAAGAAATTCCATGAGCTAATTTTCTAGATTAACTGTTATCCTAAAGAAGTTGTTGTCTCCTTACTCACCAAATCCTGGCTATTCATGTGAGACCTTATGATTGTACTGAGCTAGTCTTTCATTTGGCCTGTAGTTTATCACTGAAACA
Organism: Homo sapiens; assembly: GCF_000001405.40. Lineage (NCBI taxonomy): Eukaryota > Metazoa > Chordata > Mammalia > Primates > Hominidae > Homo > Homo sapiens. The sequence continues at coordinate 107,914,448 of NC_000023.11, forward strand.
TCTCTATTTTCAGAAACAATAAGAGGTGTTGTTGGTAGATGTATAGCAGGGTATATGTACATGAGGATATGTATTTTTCAGTTTCCCATTCCCTTACAACTAGTTCACCATAAAAGTTTCCTCTCTGGTCTTCCTACATTCAATGCCTTTTCTCTCTCCTCTAACCTACATATTATTGCCAAGTGAATTTTTCTTTCCTCACCATCATTTACATGTTCAAGGATCTCATTGGCTCTGATTTAGAAGATCTTGCACAGGACTAAAACATGTATATTTTGGCAAAAGCTCCTCCAGATAATCCTGATGTGTAGCGATGGCTAAAAATTGCTGAAATATATAAAATATACCTCAATTTTTTGAAGAAAAGAACAGTCTAAATGGTTAAGGTTATAGAATTTAGAATCAGATGGACATGGGCTCAATTATATTTCTGACTCTTACTGGTTGTGTGATCTTGGACAAGTTACTTAGCATTTTAATGTGCCAACTTTCTCATTCGCAAAATGGAAATAACATCTACTACATAGTGTTATGGTAAAGAGTAAATTAGATAGTGTATGTAAAGTGAATGCACAGAGCATTGTATATACTAAGCACCCAATAAATGTTAGCAGTTATTTTGTTGTTAGTCATTCAATTGTTCATTCAACAATTATTTTTTCACTATGTGTCAAATGCTGTGTTAGGGCCATGGAAGATATTAAGAGGTACAAAATATGAACCCTGCTCTTGAGACTCCTAGATTTAGTTGGGAAGATAAAACTATCATAGCACTATACAATCTGAGGATAATAAAGTGAAATATAAATATTATAAAAGATCACATAGGTCAGGTGCGGTGGCTAGCTCATGTAATTCCAGCACTTTGGGAGGCCAAAACGGGTGGATCACTTGAGGTCAGGAGTTTGAGACCAGCCTGGCCAACTTGGCAAAATCCCGTCTCTACTAAAAATACAAAAATTAGCTGGGTGTGGTGGCGGGCCACCAGCTAGGGAGGCTGAGACATGAGAATTGCTTGAACCTGGAAGGGGGTCGGAGAGGCAGAGATTGCAGTGAACTGAGATGGCGCCACTGCACTGCAACCTGGGTGACACAGCAAGACTCTGTCTCAAAAAAAAAAAAATCACATAAAGGATATATTTAGGGAAGGTGTTAACCTAGCATGCTGACTTGCTGACTAGCATAAACAAAAAAGAAAAATCTCTCTTAAACTGTTTTTACCAAACCTTTAAAGGTCTAGTTTTGATGCTGTCTGCCAGATGGAAAATGATGCAGAGGGGAAAAAATCCTGTATTTACTTCTCAAAATTAAGACCGGATGGGGGAGTGTGTTTGAGGGGTGAACATATGTGAATAAATATGGTATAACTCTTAATTGGTTCCTGATGATTAAAATTTAAATAGTTTCCATTGGAAAGGCAGAGATATGATATTTTCACTAAATAAATCAAGCCTTACAAGTCATTTATTTTCTCCTTGTTAAACCAGAAATCAAACACTGGGTGAAAGTTGCAACCTATTTTGATGTATATTGATGTACTTTTCTCTTTTTCAGGGTCGCTATGGCAACTGCATCTTCTCAAGTTCTGATTCCAGACATCAATTTTAATGATGCCTTTGAAAACTTTGCTTTAGATTTTTCCAGAGAAAAGAAACTGCTAGAGGGGTTAGATTATTTAACAGGTGTGAAAATACTGTGCTTTCCTTTCCATTTAATTTTTTTTCTTCTGGTATGCTTTTACTTAAAAATAATTTGAAAAAGACAATATTTATAATTTACATATTTTATAATCTTTAAAATGATGCATGTGTCTTTTCAGACAGAATATATTTTAGTTCATGTAACAGAAAAAAAGATGATTTATGATTTGTTAACTATTTCTAGGGTCAAAATGGGTATACCATCTGTACTTAAGAGTAAAACACAAGAAATTGCTGATAGATTTGTCCTTATGAATCTAACAGTAATGTATTGTTGCTAGTTATGAGAGTAGAACTCAGGTGACAATTAGGGAATATTAGAGAATGCCTTATGTGGGTGTAAGTACAACCAAAATGGTTTTAAGGAAAATTAGGAGTTAGTAGATCAGGAAGAAAAATGTAAGAAATATCTGGCTCTCAGACAATTTTAGAAAATGAGGGATGCAACCAGCCTGTTAAAAATGCTGGCTACTTTCAGGATTATTTAATGATCATTTCATGAAAAAAATATACACAAACAATTTTTGAACTGTTTTGTTACTATATTAAATAGCTGCTCCTTATTGAACATCTACTTTATTCTAGACACTGTATATTAATTTTGTATCTTTAAACCTTACAACAAATCTATAAGTTAATTATCACCCCTATTTTATAGATGAGGGAACTCATTATTTTGCACTTGACTATACAGCTAAAAATATATAATGGGGCTGGGCACAGTGGCTCACGCCCATAATCCCAGCACCTTGGGAGGCCGAGGTGGGTGGATCACCTGAAGTCAGGAGTTCGAGACCAGCCTGGCCAACATGGCGAAACCCTGTCTCTACTAAAAATACAAAAATTAGCCAGATGTGGTGGTGGGTGCCTGTAATCCCAGCTTCTCAGGAGGCTGATGCAGGAGAATCACTTGAACCCAGAAGGCAGAGGTTGCAGTGAGCCGAGATTGCGCCACTGCAGTCCAGCCTGGGCAACAAGAGCAAAAATCTGTCTATATATATATATACTCATTTTGAAATTTAAAAAAATAAGTTGAAGACCGTATGTTAAGAAAACCATATAATCACTTTAATGTCTACATAAGTGTTTATGCAGGCAGACTAGACAGCTGGGGCAGTCATCACAAAAATTTAGGCTTATATCTTTGCTAAAATATTTTTATTGATGTAGCAAAAGTGGTTTTAGGGAGCTTGAGATCCCAGCATTTTGCTTCAGGTTGCATGGTTCATGCAATCTAAAGATTCTCTATTAAGAAAATCTCTTCAAGAGATGTTGGGTTACGCAGGAAGAGTAACAATTGTAAAATTCCAGAAGAGAAAGTATGCTTTCCTTACTTTCTTTTCCACCTTTCCTTACAGCCCCAAACCCACCATCTATCCGAGAAGAACTCTGTACTGCCTCCCATGACACCATTACAGTCCACTGGATCTCGGATGATGAGTTCAGCATCAGCTCCTATGAGCTTCAGTACACCATATTCACTGGCCAGGCTAACTTCATCAGTAAGTCATGGTGTAGTTGGGGCCTGTGGCCAGAGATAAGGAAATGTAAGGAAGCAGTAAGCTGCTCAAGATTGGCCGGGGCGCCACGAGGCAAGTGTTTGTAAGACATGTTAGGTTGTTTAGTATAGTGTTTCATAGACAGTGTAAGCTCCCCAGGGCATTGCAAAGACCTTACTGATGGGTAACAAGCAAGTTGTATATTTCCTTGCTGGGCAGTTGCTGGGGCCATTCCCATTCATTTATGTAACCCTTAGCCTTTCCTCAATTAATCCATGTCACTCCACTTTCCCAAGGAGAGTACAGCTTGGTACTTGTTCCTTGCCACCATCATTGCTGGTTCTGTGTGTATGAACATCTCTCTCCTTGACTCTTCTTCTACTTCATTATCGTGGTAAAATACATTATGTTCAAAGACTTTTCCTTTACCAAACCTACCTCTATCAGTGAATATGGTGACAAGCCTCCTGCCTCTGTCACTCTTCCCTTTACTTCTTCCTTTCCACCAAGAATTATGCTAAATATGAAAACATGTCAGTGGGCCACAAAATGAAAAAGGTTAACAAAGCTGTTGTTTAGCTCACATGTTACGGTTTCACTTTCTGGTGAATTGGAGCAAGACAAAACAGAGTAGGAACTTCACTCATGCCAGTCAAGAGGGGATGAGCTGAAAGTTCCCCTCAATGCCCTGGGTGCAGTGAGGGCTGGGGTGAGGGATGGTGGAAATGGAAACAAAAGCAAAATTAAAGCTGGATTCAAGACTGGAACAGATTCCCAACCTAAAATAACATCTCCATAGCTGCAAATTAGTATTTTCTTTTACTTTTTTGTTCCTGCTTTTGTGTCTGACTTCACAGGCCAGCATGAGAGTAGTTTTTCCAACTAACCCCTTCAAATAGGCTTCCTTTTCCTGTTTTGTGACAAATCTGGGGCAGAATTCTGTTTTGTAACAAGGTGGGGTGGGGAGATGAGAGGACATTTGGGGATCAAACTCTAAAAAACATTTGCTTCGTGCAGCTCCAACCTAAACCACTTGGCCCATGTAACTATGTTCCTGGGTGTTTCTTCAGATTGTGAAGTCACAAACTCTAATGCTTCACTGATTTATTTGTCTCTCCTACTCTGGAAAGTCTTAGCGCCAACAACTGTGCTTCTTTTTCCTGATATGGGGAAAGCAGTCATCTCCCAGGAATTAAGAAGAAGTCTGAGAAGTGACAAAGATCTAAAGGTTGTCACCTCTGTTTTCAAGGTTATATAGTCCTTTGTAAAGAAAAGCTTAAAGGATAATTCTTAACAGTGATAGGATCATAGCATCTTAGAATTGGAATGGAGCTTAGAAGTCATCTAGTCTAATCTTCTTCCCTTCTACCAGACACCCAGTAGATAATCATCCTGTCTCTGCTTGAACATTTCCAGTGATAGGTACCTCACTTCTAACAAAACAACCCATTTGATTGTTGTGCAGCTATAAATAATGGCCAGTGCTTCCTTATAAGGGGCTTAACTCTTCCTTTTAGTAAATAATAACAACAATAATAATTTACATGTGTATTATGCTTTGCCATTTACAAATGCTCCCACATACATTATCTCATTTAGTCCTTATGGGTGCTTACTTAGCCTTATAAAATGTTATTAACTCTACTTTATAGATGAAGAAACTGGGGCTCAGGTTGAGTGAGTTGCCCAAAGTCACAGAGCTACGAAATGAGGGAGTCAAGGTTGCAGCTTGAGCCTGTCAGACTTCAAGTTTAATGCTCCTTAAAGTAAACCACAGCAACCAATTAGTCCTAGTTCTGAACTTTTGTGCCTCACTAACAAACCTAATCCATCTTTCACATAACAGTTCTTCAGATAATTTTAGTTAGTTCCTATGTCCTTCTAAATTTTCTCTTTTCCAGGCTAGGCATCTTCCTTTCTTTCAATTGCTCTTCATATGGCATAGTTTCAGATCTTTTGTTATCCTAGTATCATTTTTAAGAACACACTCCTGATTATCACTGTGCTTTATAAAATGTTCTGTCAATGAAGTGAATGTAGTACTCCCAAAGTGGTCTGAGCACTGCAGAGGATAGCTGGATTATTTCTCTTGTACATTAGCTGATTCCCAATTGCCCTGTACCTTTTTTTTCAGCAGCCACTTTGACTACTGACTGTTTACTGAGCATATGATCAACTGAATTTTCTATGTATTCCAAATCCTGTTCTTATACAATTGAATGTCTAAAACAAAAATACAAAGCCTTGAATTTATCCCTAGTACATTTTATCTGGTTAGTTCTGCCACTTCATTTCAGCATGCTAAAATCCTTTGGGATACAGATTCTACCTTCAAATATACTTGCTTACCCTCACAGCCTGCCTTCTATTTCTTCCTCTAGTTATTGATAGAAAATTTTGTTAGAACAAGGACAAGGGCAGAGGCCTGAAGCAAAATTTTGGATGGCAATGAGAAACTATTTTACTAGGAATAAGTATTTTTGAAGATTCAGGATCCCAATCCTACCTGCCGGTCTGGCCTGCCACAGTTGACTGAACCTCCGTTCTGAGAGCTACTTTCCTTTGACGTTTTTTCACATTTTCTTTATCCAGAAATTTCATGCTTGTTGGTGAGGATTATTCCCCCTTCACCTTTTCTTTCAACTTTATTTCCTGATTTTTAACTTTCTTCCCACCTCTTCTAAGATTTGAAATGATCACAACCAATGATGTTTCAGATTATGCTGTGAGGTGAATGAGAATTCCAACAGATATTTGAGTGTGTTTGTCTTCTGATTACTTTATTATCTTTCCTCCGTTTGAATTTTGTGTTTTGCATTACAAAAGCATTAGCCGTAAACTCTGCCTAGCCAGGCGGACCATAACATACTACCAGAAAGACATAACTTCTATTTCCCTTCCTTTTCATTCTCATGCAAATACTCTCTACCACACATTTACACTCAGGTTCAGGGATTTCCATATTGTAATTTTTCCCTTTTGAACAAGAGGTATACTTCCACTGACATAATTCAATCATAAGTCCCATCTTACTAAATCTCAGTAATACCTAGAGGATCATATATTTACCTTTTTAAATTTAGAAATGATTTCAAAATCACAGAAAACTTTCCAAGACTAGCACAAAGAACACCCATATATTCTTTACCCAAATTCACCTACTGTTAATATTTGTCCCATTTCCTTTAGCATTTGCTAACATTCCCTGTTCTTTTGGAACCATTTTAGAGCAAATTGCATACATCATGGTCTTTCACCTCTGAATTCTTCAGTGTATATTTCCTAAGAATAAGGAAATTCTCTTACATAACCACAGTATAGTTACCAACTTGAAGAAATTTAACGTTGATGCAATACTTTTATCTAACCACCATTTATATTTCAATTTTTGACATTTGACCAAATAATATTCTTTATGACATATAAAGAACCCAATATTGTCCTTTATAGTTTAGGGTCAGGTATTACATTTAATTGTCGTATCTCTTTTGCCATATCTCTTTTAATCTGGAACATTTCTTCAGCCTTTCTTTGTCTTGAACAACATTGACATTTTTTAAAAAGTGTTCTTTTATGTCTTTATTATACTTCATTATACTGTTCCTTATTTTGATTTTTTCTGAAGTTTTCTCATGATTATATTTAGCAGTACAGTTCTTTCTTAGGGTATAATATCTGGAGACACATGATGTCCACTTGCCCTTCACTGATGATGCTAATTTTGATCACCTAGTCAAGATGTCGTCTGATTTATTCACTGTAGTTGCTACTTTTTCTTTTGCCACTAATAAGGAATCTGTGTGGTATGTTTTAAAACCATAAAAATACCCTGCTGCTTCATCAAACCATCTCATCCCTACCCCCACCCTTGTTTTATTATCAGTTGATGATACTTGCCTGAATCAATCATTAATATGATGATTGCAAAATGATGATTTTTCCAGTTGAGTATTCCCTCCCACATTTTCAAGTTGGCACTTGGCATTCTACTATAAGCAAGAGTTCCACTCCCCATTTCCTCCCATTTGTTTATATATCAGTATGGGCTGATGAATTATCTTTTTTCAATTGTTAATAATTATTTACAGCCCTTACTTGTGTTGGTGTTCAAATTGTCAAGATTTAGCCATTGGGAGCCTTTCAAGGTGATTTCTGGGTCCTTATAATATTCCCCCATCATTTTCTTGAGCACTTCCTTACTTTCTGGCATAACAAAATGTTCTAGGCTCATTTTGACCTTATTCTGTCCCAGCCTTGAAATCAGTCATTATTTTCCAAGAAACCCTGGTTTCTTTTAGTGGGACAATATTAGAGACCAAGACCTGAGTGCTAGATATGCTAGATATAAACACAAATATCCATACATGTAAGCATATGCACACATATATAATAACACATGCATACATACTTTATATATGTGCATATTTATGTGCACATACACAAACATATATATATTTTAGAAATCATGAGTTTACACCAATACCTTAAATTCCAGTCCATCCCCACAGGTTCCTTCCTGCCTTTCTCCATTCTGTATTTGTATGTTCCTTCTTCCACAGTATGAACCCTGGCTCCCAACATCAACACATGTACTCATTTGCTCAATCCCATAATACATCTAAAATAGTTTCTGAATTGCTCTGTCCACGCCACAACAAAAACAAACTGGCTAACAATACTTCAGGATTTGTTTGAGGTTTTCCTCCCACCCCCACTACATTGATGTAATTATGCTGTTCGTCTGAAATGCAGTTGGGTTTGTTTCAGTTTGCCTTCAGCTTTAGTCCCCAATTTTCCCATCTGTATTCATTTAATTTTATTTTTTTGAATTTGTAAAACAATGTGTTTCCCAAAGAGGATGCTATACAAAAAGGTACATTCAGAGAAATGTCATTTCCTCCCACATCCTTTTAATCCTGTTCCTCCACCCCCTACCCCTTGTGGATAACCAACTTCATGAATTTTTTATTTATCTTTCCTGTTTTTATTGTTGTTGCTTTGTAAATCCAAGCAAATATATGGATGTTTTCTTATTTTTCTTTCTCTCAAAAAAGTAGTGTACTGCATATATACTACATATACATATATACTTTTGGAATTTGCTTTTTTCAATTGACAATATTTCCTTGAAATCACTCTATATCAGTTCATAGTGATCTTTTCCTCATTTTTTTCACAGCTGCATAGTACTTCATTGTGAAGTTTGTCTTTGTATTGTTGGGTGTGTATCTGGAGATTATATGTTTTCCTCTTTGTATTAAAATCTTATGTGCAGCTTGTGATTCATACTGTGTATTGGTAACATAGGCAAGGCCTCAAACATTGCTCCTACCCTTTTAATCCATATTGTCTTTTCATTAGAATCACTGGGCACCTCCACCAATTCTTCCTCCTCTTTCTCCTGCATATCTGTTTGCCCTCCATCGTTTCTTTTACTAGTTTTAACTTAGGCTCTTCAACTTCCTCTCAGATTAATTATAAGCCCTTTGATCAGATCTCTTGCAAAACATTCATGACTTATTATTTTCAATTTTCAACCTCACTAAATTTTGTACTAGAGTTGCATAGAAATGACTGAATTCACTGCTTATATTCCTCGCCTTTCCCTTTCTACCCTCTAGTAGAACTGTGGCTAAAAAGTGGTAAACTAACTGAAAAGCAGATAACAGTAGAAAGAAGTCTAAATAATCTGCAGACTAGAATGTTGGTTTTTCTTTTACCGAAAGCTTGCCAAATACATGTTTTAATTATTTACATTTCCCCTGTTTAAGTTAATATTTGCAGTCTAAAATATATCAAAAGCAGAAGCCTAGTTCTCTGATCCCTTTCCCTACTTGGAAGGGAGGAAGATTCCAGATAACAATGTGCTCCTGGACCACTCAACCCAAAATGAACATGGGAATCACACAACAGAATGTGTTGTGTAATAGTGGGGAGATGATATCTTGCTTTGGTTATCATGTCATCTCTTTGGCTTCCCTACGGTACTGTGGAGACCGGCTAGTTTGGGAAGTAAGGGTAAGGATGGAGTAGGAGAGTGGAATTGTAAGCCCTGAGAGCCTCACTACCTTGCAGAGACAAAAGAACATTGTTGTTCACCCCATGAACTGTGATGTAGTAGAGAGAACACTGGGCTACCATTTTAAAAATACCAGGGTTCTATTCTCAGCACCATCACTGACTATCTGTGGCCTTGGGCAGGTCACTTTTCTTCTCTCAATCCTAGTTTCCCATTTGTAAAATAAGGGAAATACAGTATCTATGTGTCCCTTTGGCTGAGTTTCCATGTTTCCCTGCTCTGCACAGGATTGCTCCATCCATACAAGACCAAACTCAGCTCTCAGAGGAGTGGACGTTTGGAGTAAATATCCAGAGACTCCATAAGAGTGATGATTCCGTGACTCTGTATAGTAGCCATTCCTGTGTTATCTGGGAAAGAAATTGAAATAACCTAACTTATGCTAGTAGTTCCATTCAATTGCCACAAGCAAGGAGCCTGGCCTAAGCCTAGTTCTATGGGAGTAATGAAATAGTGGAATCATAAGCCCTGGTTCATCTCATTACATCTTCTAAGACTCAAAAGAAAACAAAATGAATTCACTTTTGAGGGGGTGGCTTATGATGAATTTTCAGTGTGTTTTTCATTCTGTCTCTCTTACCTGCTGGTTAATGTCCTTGTCTTTCCCCATGTTACAGGCCTGTATAATTCAGTAGACAGCTGGATGATTGTTCCCAACATTAAACAGAACCATTACACAGTGCATGGACTCCAGAGCGGGACTCGCTACATCTTCATCGTTAAAGCCATAAACCAAGCCGGCAGCCGGAACAGTGAACCTACCCGACTAAAAACAAACAGTACGTTGTGGTGATTTCAAAAGGAAAGATCAATTTTCTTCTCCATGCCAGGGGAGTACACAGCCTGAGCAGGCACTCACAGCAGTGCATGGGGAGCAGTGGTACTGGGTAGAGGAGCTATACTGTTGTAGTTTGTACTTTGGGCAAGGAGTTTGTTGGTGCCCATGGGAGATTTGTGGACTCAGAGATATGCACAAAAAGACTGTTAGCTTGGGAGGATGTTAGTGAAGAGTTTTCTCTGTACTCCACCCCTTATATTTGGGGGACAATTGCATAAAAGAGCATTATTTGTGATAATCTAGTAAAATCTTACTACAGAGAAGCCATATCTGTTAGGAATGCTTTTGACAGCAAATAACAAAAAGTGCAACTAACATAGCTTAACAAATAGCGTTTGTTAATTGTTTAAATGAATAGTATATATTTTATCTCTCACACATACACATAGGAAGAAGTTTGAAGGTAGGCAGTTCAGGGCTAATGCAGCTGCTCTGCGATGTCATAAAAGATGCAGGCTCCTTCTCCCTGTGTGCATTGGCTTCTTGCCACATGGCTGCAAGATGGCCACTGCAACTTTCAGATGTCATATTACCTCTCAAGATAGGAAAGAGGAAAGAGTTGGTACACATAATGGTTATCCCTTTTATCTGGAAATCCAAAACTTTCCTAGAACTTTCCCCTGCTCTGTCTGACTTCTGCTTCCATCTGCTTCCATGTTCTTAGCCGCCCCTAGCAGTAAGGGAGGCTGGAAGATTGAGTATTTAGCTTTTCCGGCCTCTATAGTGAAAGTGAGTAAGAGAGAAAAAGTTGGGAAAGGGTAATGTGTTAGCCAACAGTGTCTGTCACAGAAGCATTCTGTATAAAAATCTCTTGCCACACCCAGCAACTGGTCCCTCAGTAACAATGCCTTTGTCATATGGTTATAAAGAATTATCTGTTGTGAATGATCCTACACAATAAATGTTTTCTCTGATCATTGATGATGCAACAGTCACTCTAACAAAATTGCCTAATTATATGTTATTTACATCCCAATTGTAAGAGGGCAAAAATAATTGTTCAGTTGCTGAGTTCTCAGGGTTTTCCGGTTCTGCCATCAAGCAGCAATTACATCAATTCCCCTCACCTCAGACATCATAACACTCTTTCTGTTAAAATCTACCCAAATCCCAAACAACCCACTGAAATTAAGCAAAGTACAAAACATATTTGAGAACATGAAACTTTGAGCACTCCCTTTTACTTTGATAATATATGATGTGGGGGACAGCTTATTAGCTCCTCTTTGCTTGGAATATGACTTCCCTCAAATTGCTTTTAGGAGAGATCCACATTTTTTCCCACAGTGGGAAAATAAACGCCGTTATGAAGGTCGTTTTATGGGAGATTGGCCTTTATTCTTATTTTATTGAAAACTCTGGTTTCTGGCCTGTTTTCTTAATAAAATTTAAACAGCAGCCAACTTGCACTGGACCAAGAGTGATCATGTTATCGAGCATACCCTGCCAGTGATGATGCTGGTGGAAAAGGTAGAATTTTAAGATACTTCATAGTGCTTTTTCTTTTTTTTTTTTCTACTTATTTTTCAGGCCAACCCTTTAAATTGGATCCCAAAATGACTCACAAGAAGTTGAAGATCTCCAATGATGGATTGCAGATGGAGAAGGATGAAAGCTCTCTAAAGAAGAGCCACACCCCAGAGAGGTTTAGTGGCACAGGGTGCTATGGGGCAGCAGGAAATATATTCATTGACAGTGGCTGCCACTATTGGGAGGTGGTCATGGGTTCCTCAACATGGTGAGTGGATCCCATTTTCCTTTTCTTTTCTGTCCTCTGTCATTAGGTTCCTAGGAGATTCAATTCTATAGCACAACCATAATACCAATAAGTCAAGGTTAAAAGGTATGTGATGAAAACCACTCCTAGAAAAATTTGCCAGCTTTTTAATAAAATAATGGAAAATATACTGGGCTAGGAGATGGAAACTGCCACATTGCTCTAATTGCTAACTTTTTAAAGCTCTAGTGATATCAGCATTATGCATCTAAGTGTAAACTATTTAAGGAATAAACATATATCCTATTTGTTATATATCATATATGGTGTCTTACACAACTCAGATAATTCATAAATGTTTATTTCTCTCTCCTTTCCACTGTCTCACAGGTATGCAATTGGCATTGCCTACAAATCAGCTCCAAAGAATGAATGGATTGGCAAGAATGCCTCCTCATGGGTCTTCTCTCGCTGCAATAGTAACTTCGTGGTGAGACACAACAACAAGGAAATGCTGGTGGATGTGCCCCCACACCTGAAGCGTCTGGGTGTCCTCCTGGATTATGACAACAATATGCTGTCTTTCTATGACCCAGCTAACTCTCTCCATCTTCATACTTTTGATGTGACCTTCATTCTTCCAGTTTGTCCAACATTTACAATCTGGAACAAATCCCTAATGATCCTGTCTGGCTTGCCTGCCCCAGATTTTATTGATTACCCTGAGCGGCAGGAATGCAACTGCAGGCCTCAAGAATCCCCTTATGTTTCTGGGATGAAAACCTGTCATTAAGTTTCAGGAGAGTATATAATTCACTGGCTCTCTAGTTCAGCAGTTCTTCCCCTCCTACACCTAAGTTAGCGTTCAATATACGAGACACAAAATAAAGTTTGTTTGAAGCATCCAAAATAACTAGATATTGCAGATTTAATTTTTGTGCATTAAAGCTTGTATTTGAATTAATTTATTGAGTTTTTCAGAACAAATTATCTGAGTAGTCTGCGTTCAAGCCATTGGAGAAAAATTTAGAAAATGCCTCTGTTGTCATTGGAGAATTAAAAATTCCCAATGATTTAAGAATATAAATTATATTGGAAGCAATTAGGGTAATTCTAGTTAAATAATGTGGAAAGGTGCCCTGAATAAGGAGCTAGCAAGCCAGAGCGGGGGGTGGTCAGCCTTTCTAGTACTGGCCAGTTTGGCCATGTAGAATTTTGAACAGTGTCAAATTATCACATATTATATTTTACTTTTGATGAAAACCTATCATCAAGGGTTTGTTAGGAAACCATGAATGTGTATATGTAATATATAAAGTGAACATATATGTACTTTATATATATTCACTTGTGTATGTATGTTTATGCATATTCACTTTATATATTACATATACACAAAAAACTTTTTTTTCCAAACACCACCTCGAACTAGAACAAAAAACTTTTTAATTTGCTAATTTGAGTGAGAAATATACTGGAAGGGAAAATAAGTTACACCATCCATTTTTGTCCCCTAAAGGAAACATCAAAATCAATCAACATTTATTTCCTCCCTCTATCCATCATTGCCTTCCTCCCTCCTGTCACGCACACATACACATGCAACCATGACACAGATAATGGGAAGAGCTTTATTGGATTAGCAGAGATTTACAGACAAGATTGCACAAGAGATGCTGTTGCTGGATAGAAAATTGATCAGGTAGAAGTGATGCTACCTACTTGAGGATGGCCATCTGAATTGTTAAAAATTCTGTCATAGACTATTAAAAAAAAAGTTTTACTACTCCCAAGTACACACAGTTATGAGAATTAGGCTTTTAAAAAGTTGCACAGTGAAGGCTCTTTAGGAACCTACTTTACTTAATCAGTAAAAATTGAGTATTATTGATGCACCAACTATTCCCATATAAATGTACTTGCTTTTTCAGATAAAACACTTCTGAAGTGCTCAAGAATGTCTGAAAACAGTTTGTTTTCTTAAATAGGATAAATAATCATTCCTTTTGCAATCTTGTTTACAGTATTCATTCTCTTAGCCAATCCCTCCACGCAAATGGAGACAAACTTCATCCCAGTCCTAACCAGTATAGTTGAAGGGAATGGAGCCTTGTAGTCTATGATTTTTTTTTTTAAATTTCCATCGAAGGGATTGGGGATGTCAGAGAGCCAGAGCTTTCCCCTTTCCAGGAGCTAAGTTGGCTTCGGAAGTCTTCTGGGATTTGTGAAAATATTACTGTTGTAAAATTACAAAGTGGTAGCCATAACAACTCCCTCAGATTGGAGACTTGAAATGTCAAAACTCCCCTCTTCCTTTCCCCTAGTTTGGTGGATGCTCATTTATTAATTCATTCAATAAACTATTAGATGCCAGGTACCAAACTACTGCCATGGGAGTGCACATATTAACAAAATGCTCTACCTGCTGCCAAATGGCTTACTATTCTGTGGAAGAAACAAAGTATATAATCCTCCCCAATAACAGTTATGTATTGTTTGTTCACTTAATGTGGAAGGCAAGACTGATGCAGACACACAAGGAAGGCTCAAAAATATAAATCTAGCAGCAATGTCATCTTTTTTGATTTTAAATACCATATGTGCTTACTGCTAATCAGGAAATGAACAACCTCAGTAAAATTCATCAGTGCTGGTAAATAGTTTGCTGTAGTGGAAAGCTCATAACCTTTGGATTCAAATGATCCTAGTTTCTGTACCATTTATTAGCGTTGTGACCTAGGACAAGTACCTCACTTCTCTGAGCCTGTTTCCTCCTCTGTAAAATAATGTCTACTTCACAAGGCTGTTTCAAAGGTTAAAAAAGATAGCATATGTAAACTGTCTTAGCTCAGCGCTTGACATTTCCTAAGTGTGCCATAAATATTAATCTCTTTCCTTACTCCCAGCTCCAATACAGCGTAACAGTGCTTTAAAATGTATGTCCTTCATTTCTCCTTCATTTCTCAGTCACCTTTGTCTCTTCCCTAGGGCATATCCCCAAATTCTTAAACAAAAAAAAATGATTTTTTTCCCCTTCATCAAACTTTTCACTGGCTCCCTTAGCACCCAGTAGAAGGTCCCAACTCCTTACAGAGTCTGGGTTTTCATGTCCCTGTTTGCTTACACAGCTTAATCTTTTGCCACTTTCCCCCTCACATTGATTAAGGTAGCCAAGTTTAACTATTTACACAACTATTCACACAAGTTATTCTCTGGGCCTGCAGCAGAAACATGATTAACAATTTTAATGCCCAGAGTAAACAACAGAAATTTTTCTTAAATTAAAGGAATAGTGTGAAAATGCTGTAAGTACAGAAAATGCAACCTCCATTCCAGTAGAACAATTTCCTTTGCCTTGTCCTTGGCTCTCCAAAACTGTTCATTTATTGTGGTGTCTTTTAGATTTTAGTGCCCTGGGACAAAGATCTAATTTCCCCACCCTACTTTTGACTCTATCCTGGACTACCTTTCCTCACCTCTATCTCTCTCAACCAGACTAACTCTTTATTCCTTAGACTTGATGATGCATCCCTCTTTAGAGATCCAAAGACACCCCAAGCATCCCCCTCTCTCAGCAATAATCACATTGTATAGCAGTGTTTTTCAAAGTGTGGTCCTCACACCGCCTGTGTTAGAATCACCTTTAGTGTTTGTTAAAAGAATTGATTTTGGGTTCCCACTCCTGACCTAACCAGAATATCTGAGAACATAGGCAGGAATTTACATTTTTGACAAGCTCCTCATGATTCTGATGCACCAAAAATTTTAATGAATAATCATCTTCCCTACTAGACTGAACACCTTGAGAGGAAGGACTGTGTCTTTTATTGTTGTTATATTGTTAATACCTGGCACAGTGCTTGGAACATTAGCTTGGCTAATGTTTATTGAATGAATGTATGAATGAAAAAATGCATTATGAAAGTTTCCTCTTGTACTCTCATGTTCGTAGTGATGTTTGTTACTTCCTGGGCAGAAAAGCTTGGTTACTACTCCATTTGAGCTGTATTAATTCTATTTTGCAGAGATATCAAGGCTCCTACATAATAAATGATCATTGTCCTCCTCAAAAACTCTTTGGCAGTTATCTTGGGGAAATGTCTTTGGAGCATATGGCACCATTGTTTTCAGTAACATTTCAGTCTTGTCAAACTTTGTTGTTTGAAGGTGGATTTACATTTCGGTTATAGCCAAAAATCACTCAAAGCTAAGCCTACTTAAAAAAGTGGGGAATTAAACTGGGTTTGGAGTAAGCAATGAAGTTTGACTCTGAAGTCCCAAATTCTGAGTCAAACAGTGAAAAATGACTTCTAAGATACAACATGGTGACAAAGTACTTAGTGGGGGTGCGATGGGCCCCAGATATTTACTTCAGTTAACTTGGCTTTTATAGAATCCTGGCAATGCCATGGACCTTAAGAGAAGTAATTGGCTACCTCTAGCTAAACCCAGCTGGACAAAGAGAATAGGACTTGTATTTAACATTTTCAAAGAAGGTGACTGCATAAGCTTTTGTTGTTGTTGCTCTACTCAACCTGTTCTCCACAACTGTTTCTACCAGAAGATTATTTTATGTCTGCAATTTATGCTTGTTTCCACTTTTTATATTGTCTTATTGAAGAAAGCACAAAAATAATCAAAAATAAAGTAAAACCTGTTTTGAGAGTATGAAAGAAATTTTAATGCCACATTGAGGTTCTGGCTACTTGTAAGTAAGAGTAACTGCATCTGGATGTGTTTTTATTATACAATTCTATGTGTATCTTTAGATGCAGTGAAATTCAGATTGCAGCAAAATCACTTATCTGTTCTTTTCGGCTAAAACACTCTAGGTGAATTTTCTAAACTTCCATGGTTTACATATTTATATATGACTACCAAGATGGAGCAATCCACGGATGGACTTTTGAATAAACTCAAATATTTGATACTGCTTCCTCCAAGGAATGGAGAGTGTCAGGCAGGTAGGTAAGAACCACTCCTACACTTATTTCTAGCTCCTGAAGCCAACTGCAGCCTTGGAGCCAATGGCTGTATTTGGCTGTGTGTTACAGGTTGGCCAAACTGATTGCCATCAGGTCAGACAAAACTGCCTTTTATGGTGTAGTCTGCCAGCTTCAGACATATGCTGTATTGTTGTTATTGGCTAGACTATTTATTAGACTATTGTTGGACTATTTTTTATCAAATGCTTTACCCCACGCCTGTTTGTATTGGGAGCTCTGGACCAATAGTGTCTCTCCTAGTGACAGAAATATGAGCATCTGTGGATTACACAGCCTCATCCCTCTCTACAATATTCCAGCCCATCCAAAATGCTATATTATGAATTAAATAAATATATATGTATTCATGAATTCTTTGTTGTCTCTCGCTGGAGTTGAATTGGGGGAGGACTAAAAGGAAGATGGCCGTGGATTCTCCTGGAATTGGGTAAGTGACTAGGGGAAACCAAGGATCATATAATAGGTAGTGATCTGGACAGAAAGGACCCAGGGGGTCTGGAGCTCAAAATCCAATCAAGAAGACTTTGATTTCAGGAGCATGATATGGTCAAGAAGACCAAAGAAATGAAGATATAGGGTTCAAGGAAACATGACACATTCAGTTTTAGAGATTGGAGCAGAAGTTGAGAATTAAAGAACAAATAAAATCCCAGTGCTGGAACCCATTGATTAAGATTAGGGTAGCACCAGAAGCAAGTGAGCTGACTTACTGTTAAAACAGCTGGCCTGCAGGAGGAGACTGGGAGGAAGCCAGGAGGTCCCTCAGGGCTAGAATTGGGCATATCTTAATCAGATTTGTAGTGGCACTAAGACTAAAAGGGATCATGCGATATGAAGTGAATGAAGCAGGGCAGTCAAGGGCGGCAGCTAGAGAAGTGACTTGAAACAGGTCATCAGACCAGGGGCCTATAAGAACTACAGCCCAAAGGTAAAAGGAGTAAAATTCAAAGGAGAAAAGAATTTGGAACATTGTGTGTTTAGTGGTTTAATTGAAGAACAACCTAGGCAAATACCAAATATGAGGCTATTACCCATAGCTAAAATTTTAATATTTTGTGTGTGTGTGTGTGATGATGTTTGGAAAGGCCATCTCCATTTAATGTGCGAGGACAGGGCAGATATGGGATTCTTTATGTTTCCCCATCTGAGAATAGAATTGGTCCCAGAGTTTCAGTGAATCTGAGCCTGTATTTGGGAGGGAGGTGGTCTCAGTTATGATGGTTAGGAGTAACAGAGACCAAATAGGTTGTTACAAGCTTATTAGAAATGTATATAGCATGACAGCTAATGAGAATGACTCTCCTCCACCATGAATTTCCAGGAATGGAGGATCAAGGTGGTTTTCCTATACTGTTGGGCACAATACACAAATTACAATTGCGACTGATCTCGTCGGGTCATTCAAGAGCAGTTCTTAACCACTAGTTATGTTCCTAGTACTCTTCTCATTTCTGTGGTGGGATATTAAGATGAAAAATATTCCTAACATTTATAATGGAGTACCCAATTCAATACTGCTTCTCAGATAGTTTTACATCTATGAACTCAATGAGTTAATAGTGGTAGCTGACAAAGGGAGCATTTATAGAGACACTGGAGTGCAAGTGGAAGCTCTTACCAAGATCTAGCATGGAGACTTGTACATAGTAGGTGCTTAGTAAATGCTGGTTGAATAGAATTAGAATCTGATAAGCAGAATGACAAGTAGTCCACCTCATACATTGTGAAGTTGGGTGAACTCACCAGCACCAGGTGTATAATCCCTCTCAGGCACATATTCCTGGTCCAGGATTCCTATGACTGCTTCTTTCCATTGTTCTTTAAGGCCAGGCTCCTTCAAAGGGAACAATTAAAAGAATTAATAAATTAGCCACCAATAATGTGCTAATGGAGGAATGTGGGCAAAATTCACACAGAAAACAAGACATTGTTTCTCAGAAAACAAGAAATGTTAACAAGAACCTTCTAGGGAAAATGTTTTTGTGTCTGACTTGGGACTGACAAGTTGGGGAGGGCAAGCATCAGACTTTCCAGTTTAGAAGGGTCAGCTGACAATGCCCTGGCAGGCTAAGCCCCTGCCAGGGGAAATATTTTGGACCAAGAGGACTCTTTCAAAGGGGATATAGATGAGAACTGAGTCTCACTTAGCACAATGCCTGTGATCCTTCTAGAGCACAAGGGCTGGCCTTGCACACAGAATACGAAGAGGATCTGTTGCTCTTCCAGGCAGATTAAAAGTCCCAGAAAATGGAATTTGGGCTGATTTTCCCTTTGATGTATAGTGATAAGAAAAAGCTACTATGGTCAACAGCTCTTTGTTCGACTTAACTCCCTCAGTGGTAAGAGAGGGTCATGAGATAGCCAAAAATGTGAAATTCACAGTAAGCAGCTGTCAAGCACATATGGCAAGTCCAAGTCCAAGTCCAAGTCCAAGGCCTGACTGATTTAGTAGGTAAAGATACAAGGAATCACTTTTAAATTCAAACAGTTTATTATTTACACAGTGAAAGAAAAAGCAGTCAAAGATTCCAGCCCCAAATGGTCCTTGTCCCAAACAACAAAAAGGATGACACTGAAACAAAAAGGACCAGAAGACTTCCAAGTGAGTTGTGGGATACCTCACTGCTAAGAAGCCAATTATAGACTGCACTTAAGTGGCTTTATAGTCTGTAGCTCTATTCTGAGGGAAGTGGTTCAGGAAGTCTTGTACCTCATCAGAACCTGGGAGGTGGGAGGCTATGAAAATCTGTCTCATGAAACTTGCCAAGGGACATAAGGAGGCAAGTGGGAGATGATCTTGAAGCAGCTCCTCTCAGGCCTCCCATCCTTTGTGCTCTGGAAGGATCACAGGCATTCTACCAAGACTCAGATTAGCTGTGGTTCAAGTCTTTGCTCGAGGGACCATTGTAGATATTGCCAGGTGACTAGGGTGCCAGGGTAGAGCCATTCTCATGCAGAGACTAGCTGAAGGTCCAGGTAAATTCCTCAGGGCAAAGCAAAAGGAAGTAAAGTCAGGGTCTTTTGAAGTACCTCTTCTCTTCTTCCCTTCTGCTGACCTTCCATTCATGTCCTTTCATTCTTCTCAGTATTTTGGGAGTTGGGGGTGGGGATGGGGCAGAGATTAAATGCATAATTAGGATATAAAATAAATTCAGTCTCTGAAAGATTCAGTACCAAGGCCAGAGAATTCCAAGGCCTGGGTCCTTCGCCATCTCTGGCACTTAGTTTTTCAACTAGGAATTAAAGAGTATGGGTAATTTCTAAGGTCCCTTCTAGCCCTAACAGTATGAATTACCATAAATGCAAATTTAGTGAAGGTAGTGATAGGAGCTTGATGTGCATACCTACCCCAAGAATGTTGGGACATCAGGGCAGATCATCAGAAATCCTACGACTGGGACAGAGAAGTGGATGACATTACTGTTACTTTAGGACCATCATCAGAATCCCTTTTGGGGTGACTATCCTTCCCCATACACACTTCACTTCACTTGGACCTCCCTTGCCAATCCGCTGCTACCATTACTTTTGAGCTTTCTGCTTCAGCCCTCTCCCCCATCCTGCTTGATAACTGTACAAAATGCAAATACTGTTTTAGCTAGTGGCGTCTCTGTTTCAAATTTCAGGTCAGTCATCTGAGAGTCTTCAATGTGTACATGCAGGGAATTGCCAAAGATATTCTACTTTCCAAGGGCAGAGTAGGTCACTTGATACAGCAACTAACAGGGGTCCTGTGTGCCACCTTCTCCAATTATGATCTTCCCAATCCAAACTCCCACAGATACATCCCTTAAAAGGCAAAGGAGAGAGTCCTGGTACAGCCACCACTCCAAGTTATTATTCCGCCATTCATTTATTCACTCATTCAACAAATATTTTACTGATAGTCTGTTTGTGGCAGGTGCTGGAGCTCAGTGATGAATAAGACACATAATCCCTGCCCTCATGAGACTCATAATCTAGAGAGAAGACAGAGTATCAACGAATGAAGACTTTTTGAATTATAGGCGCTATCATTTATTGGTTGCTTACAGTGTGCCTGGCACTATGCCAAGCACTCGAGATGCAGTGATTCATTCAATCCTCCCAGGAATCCTATGAGGTAAAGACTATTATTGGCTCCCTCGAACATGAAGAGTTAATCATTCCATGCGCCCATGCCCAGGCCTGCAGATTCCTACATGCCTGGTGAGCTGCTAGCAAGGGTCTTAGCCATGGCTGCTTTGGGTACGAGGTAAAGTTTAAGGCCCAGCACTGAGGAAACAAATGACCCAGTGCAGCAGCTCCTGAAGTCAGGGTTAACCGGGAAGGCCTTCCAGGTCTTTGCTAGACACCCCCAAAACTGCCCCCGAGGCGATTCTCCCATCCTCTTTTTTCTCCCCTTTCCCTCCGGCACCCCACTACCCTCCCTTTCCAGCCCAGCCCCTCCCTCTGGGCCGCCTCCTCTCTGAGTCATTTCCCCTTCTCCGCCCTAAAGACCTTGTCTTTCTCTTGGAATCCCTTACCCTCTGGCAGGAAGTAGAGGAAGAGCAAACTGGCTTTGGGAACCAGGTGAGTCCTTTCCCCAGCGAGGATGAGAAACGCCTCCCCGCAGTCCTCTGACCCCCCACGAATTCGGAAGGACGGGAAATCCTGGGAGTCCCTCCAGCCGTGTGTGGGAGGTGCCACGCCCCACCTGGTGTCTCCTGGGATGTGAGGAGGGAAGCAGTGGTCCCGTCGGACCGGCCTGTGTGGCTGCGACCGGCTCCTGCGCTGTGAGCTCAGCGCGCTGGGGAGGGACCTAGCTGCCGCGAAGCTGGGGGCGCGTGGAAGGGTCGGCTCCAGAAGCCAGCCATTGGGAGGAGAGAGGGGGAAAAGCTCCGAGCGGTGCGTGTGGAGGGTGCAAGCGCTTGCAAGTGCGTGCAAGTGGGCTGGTACGTGTGTTGAGAAGGCATGAGTGTGTATGAAGGGGTATAGAGAGGTGCGTACGTGGGGAGGCGCGCGTGTGCGGGAACGCTTGTGTGCGTGTGATGTGTGGGGGACATGCGAAGATGTGATTTACACAGGTGCGGACGTGGCAGTGTGCGAGTGGTGACATGGAGATGCTTTCGAGCGTGAAGACTCACCGAGAAGCCCGTGGGGGATGTGTGTGCGTGTGCACGTGGAGGTGTGTGTGAGGGGATATAGATTTATTAATATATATGCGTGCGCGTGGAGTGCGTGCGTGCGTGGGGGTCCGTACGTGGGGGTGCGTGCATGGGGGGGTGCGTGTGTTGGGAGTGCGTGCATGGTGGTTGCATGGGTGGTGGAGAGGGGAGAGCGGGAAGGAAGGCGGGAGCCAGGTGCATGCGCAACTGAGAGTAAAGATGGCCGAGAAGCTCTTGCTGGCAGAGCTTAAAGTTAGGATTCTTAGCCTCTTTTTGTTTTTCTTGAGGTGGGCAGTAGGATGCACATGGCACCGTTTGAAAATAAGGAAAACTATTGACCAATTGACCACCTCCTTTAAAAAAATGCCCATGGTTTGCATGTAAGCACAGAGGGTTCGTGAACCCACTGATGGTCATCTGTAGACCCTAGATTATGGTTTGAAAAGGGGAGAAGATCCAAATAAATTACGTTGATATCCGCCATTGTGTCTTTTGATTCTATGAGAGAAAAAATGGAACAGCAGCTGTCCTTGGGTTGGTGTGGCTTTGAGGCTAGGTTTGCTGCTCCTGTTGGACGTGGTGCCAGCAGAGTGGGGAGTGTAAAATGGGATCACTGCCCAGAGTAAGACTGAGGAAGGGTGCCTCGTGGCCTTCAGGATAAAGCTCGGCCCCTCCCAAGCGGATCACTAGCCACAGGTTTTGCGGGTTAGTTCCTTGATAAAGTTGGAAAGTGGAGATTTGTGTTGCTTTCTTGCGTGATTCCCGTCCCCGCCCTCCGCCCTCCGTCCCCCGCCCCGCGCCCCGGCCCTGACAGCCTGTGGGTGATGTCAGGGAGTATGAGTCTAACTAAGGTTGGGACTTCGTTGGGTAAGTGACTAGAAGGAGAGCAGCAGACTTGGGTTCTGATCCCATCTTTACGATTAACTAACTGTGTGACATTAAGCAATTTTCTTTATCTTCTTGTGCATCACTTTATTTATTTGTTTATTTATTTACTGAGACTGAGACTCGCTCTGTCACCCAGACTGGAGTGCAGTGGCACAATCTCGGCTCACTGCAGCCTACGCCTCCCAGGTTCAAGTGATTCTCCTGTTTCAGCCTCCCAAGTAGCTGGGATTACAGGCGCGCACCACCACGCCTGGCTAATTTTTGTATTTGTTGTAGAGATGGGATGGCGCCATGTTGTCTAGGCGGGTTTGGAGCTCCTGACCTTAAGCGATAGCCCTGCTTCAGCCTCCCAAAGTGCTGGGATTATAGGCGTGAGGCACTGCACCCAGCCTCACTTTCCTCATTTATAAAATGGTAGTTCACAGGGTAGTTGGAAGTTTAAATAAGACTAAATAAATTCCCAGAACATGGGAAGCCTTTAATAAATGGCTGCATACCTAGGAATAAATAATATGTGTGTATATATATATATATATATATATATATTATACACGTATATCTATATATACATTTGCAGAAAAGTTAAAGCTAAAAGTTTTATTTTGAAAGAATGTCTTAAACTACTGTTTTCTTTTGGTTTCTTGTAGGCATACCTAGTTGTGCTGTCAGCCAAAGCCCACCAAGTTCATCCTGTAAAGTCACACGCCTGAAGTAAGTGGGACTTTATTTGGAATTATTTGCAGTGTTCAAGTAGACAATTATTAGTCCACCATCAACTCTCACTTGGATTGCTGCCATGGTCTTCAAGCCTTCACATTTGCCTGCTTCCCTCTTTCGTTCTCCATGTTGCAGTCACAGTTATCTTTCCCTCTGAGAGGCAAAATAGCCTACTGGTTTGGAGCACAGACCTTGGAGTCAGAAATATCTCCTTCAGATCCCAACTGCACCCTGCTCCACCACTTTCTAGCTGTGTGATCTTTCACAAATTACTTCACTTCTTTTTGGGGGATTTCAACATTTTAATTTCTTTTTAATATAAGTCACATTTGCAAGCTAGGAAACAGATTCAACCTAAGACAATCTAGTCCTCTGGAGATCCAGGCTGAGTCTTTCGATTTTTAGCAGAATGACATCATAATATAAGGTGCTAGCAATAGAATTATAAACTCTAAATAATAACCACTTATCTACATTTTTCATTAGGAAACAACCAAAAGTCCATTACTTAAAGACATGATATACAGAACATATTGATCTACAAAAGACCCAACGACCCAAATTATATGCTGCCCAACCTACTGGTGAACTGGATTGGAACTGGCCAAGGATTGGTAAATAGAGAAAGCGTTTACATTTTAAAAACTTCCTCTGTGGTTAAAAAAATTCCTGGTTGTTATCAATAAGAAAACAAGTAAAAAATGTTACAGATGGACCCACACTGATATTTGACTTTACCAAGGTCTTCCGCCAGAACATGAAGGTAGACATAAATGTAGGAGATTAGATATTGAGATATTTTAAAAATAAATTACTTAGTAATAAGAAGTTAGACATACAGCATTATTCCATTTGCTACAAGAACAAATGGACAATGAAGATTATTTAAAAGAAATGTTCAACTCTAAGGAGGGTGGTGGGAACAACACTTTCCACTAGAGAATAACCTCCCATTTTCTCAGACAGTTAGCATTACTATTCTTCCGTAATACATATTCATATGGAAAAACTTGTCAAGAGCTTTTGCCAGGGCCAGGAGATGAAAAATAGAGCATGTTTTAATTAGCAAATTGTAAGCTCAGTTAACATTTTTTGGGATGGACCCATACAATCTGGCCATTGTTTTGTTAAACTTCTGTAAACTGCAGAATTCCTTAACCCTTAATTAGCTTTGGTTTTTGCTCAATATCCTGAAGCTGGGCACAGTCTCAATGTAACTCTTCTCCTAGGGGCTGAACTGGGTGCTAGTCATCAAAGTTTGGAATGTCATTTTAGAAGCAACCTCTAGAAGTAATCCTGGTAAGCCCTAGAAGTAATCCTTTGGATGCATAGTAGGCTCTGTGCAGGTGGTAAAATCTGGGCAGGAATACCAGAATGTCAATGATCAGGACTGGAACTGCCCAGTCTGCCCCCGCTTTGCTGATGTAGCCAGAAGGTGAGCCTATGATAATGAGAAAGGCACCAATCGAAAAAGAGCACAGTGGCAAGTGCAGTGGCCTTATAAGGGATCTTAGGAGGGCTTTTCTTAAACTGGAGGTCAGTGTAGCCATCATCTGTGCTGGAGAGCCTTGAGTATATCACTTTACTACGGAGATTCCAGCCAGGTTGATGTGGGAGGGCATCATAACACACTGACACAGCTACAGTTGGAGTGCCATGCCAGGCTGCCAGTGGCGAGACTTTGCTCACAGTTGGCAGCAGAGGCACCCAAGGCTGTGCCACCTAACTGCCACCCAGCCCACCCCAGCAAGGGCCAGTGCCCTGGAAGTCTACTTGACCTCTTTTAGAATCTGTTTCCTTATCTCTGAAAGGGGACAATGCTGATACCACCTCAAGGGTTTTGTGAGAGATTGCAGAGATAATGTATGTAATGTGGCTCACAGTAATTGCTCAATAAATGGTAGATTAAAAATGGCAAGGGCAGTGAAGTAGCCAGCAAAAAAGAGGTTGAAGTGATGCACAATGGCACCTACACTGGGTAGGGATTGAAGCCATGAGGTGATAATGAGCTGGAGAATGGGAGAAATCAAAGGATGGGAGATCTTGATGAGAATGAAAAATGTTTGGCTGTGAAATGAGTCCTTGATCAAAAATTTTTTAAAAAAGAAAGAGAATGAGGAGTGGGTATTCTGAGAACCAAGAAGTAACTGGAATAGGAGGTTGTAGCCAGAGATTAGGCTAGTAGAGTTCAGGAATTCTAAAGTGGAGCAGCTCCATGCCTAGTGGGTGGTCCAGGAAACTAACGGCTAGTAATGACATAGAAAGTGGCATGCGGTCAGAGGTTGTTGAAGTAGAGGAGCTCAAAGGGCAGTGAGGCTAGCATGTTGGATGAGTCATCCACAGACATTGATGTTGCTTACATGATGGCAGGGGTTGAAATGGAGAGGAAAATGGAGCCAGTGCCAAAGCCAAGGTCTATCCTAACTAACGGAAAGCAGTCATTTATTTCACAAATATTTACTGAACTTTTACTAGATGTCAGGACGTAACAAGACAGACAAGAATCATGCTGTCATGGAGTTTACAGTCTAACAGGAGTAATAACAGACATTAATAATCCTACCTATAAATAGAAAGCTGTAAACTGTGATAAGAGCTATGAATGGGCCAGGCGCGGTGGCCCACGCATGTAATCCCAAAACTTTGGGAGCCTGAGGCGGATGTATCACAAGGTCAGGAGTTTGAGACCAGCCTGGCCAAGATGGTGAAACTCTGTCTCTACTAAAAATACAAAAATTGCCTGGGCATGGTGGCATGTGCCTGTAATCCCAGCTACTTGGGAGGCTGAGGCAGGAGAATCGCTTGAACCCAAAAGGTGGAGGTTGCAGTGAGCCGAGATCACGCCATTGAACTCCAGCCTGGCCAACAAGAGTGAAACTCCCTCAAAAAAAAAAAAAAAAAAAAAGAGCTATGAATGAAAAATAAGGGTTCTGTAAGTGTTATAACAGAGGAACCTAACCCTGTCTGGAAAGTTAGGGGGGGCTTCCCTGAAGAAGTGAGGACTGAAAGATAAATTAGGGTAGATGAAGGTGGATGGTGGGTAGGTGGAAGACATGTTCCAGGTAGAGGAAACAGCATGTGCAAAGACCTGAAGCTAGAACATGTATAGTAATTTGAAGAACTGAAAAATATCTCCTATGACTAGAGCATATTAAGTAATACTCTAGCCATAGGAGAGTAATATGAGCTGAGGCTGGGTGGCAGGCTCCCTTAAGGATTTGGGGCTTTATACTACGAGCATTGGTAATATTTGGATGACATGATCATATTTTAAAAATAATCAGGCCAGGCATTGTGGTTTGCACCAGTAATCCTAGCACTTTGGAAGGCCAAAGTTGGTGGGTCACTTAAGCCCAGGAGTTTGAGACCAGCCTGGACAACCTGGACAAACCCCATCTTTACAAAAAGTATAAAAAATTAGCCAGGCATGGTGGCGCATGCCTGTGGTTCCAGCTACTCTGGAAGCTGAGGTGGGAGGATCACCTGAGCCTGGGGAAGTCAAGGCTGCAGTGAGCTGTGATCATGCCACTGCACTCCAGCCTGGGTGACAGAGTGAGACCCTGTCTCAAAGAAAAAAATCAAACACATAAGTATATAGGGTAAATAGTGAAAGGCCAGTTTATGTGTATGTTAGTATAGGGGAGTATGTGTGTATGTGTATGTGTATACATAAAATACACATGTATAATATGTAAACACATATAATAGATGTATACATATATAATATATAAAAATGATACATACCATTTCACCACTTTAAAGAATGTTAAATACACAATGGTTATATTTCAGTGTCCATACATAGACATCCAATTCATTCTTTTTTTAAAAAAAAAAATTTATTACTAATACAAATAGAGATGGGGTGTCACCATTTTGCCCAGGCTAATCTCAAACTCCTGGGCTCAACCAATCCTTCCTCCTCCAGCTCCCAAAGTGCTGGGATTATAGGTGTGAGCCACCAAGCCTGGCCCAACTCATTCTTAAGAGTTGCAAAGTATTCCACGTTATTAATGTATGATGACTTATTTAACTATTGCCCTATTGATGGACAATTTAAGTTGTCTCTAATTATATATTACTTTGCAGTGTGCACTGTTCACAATAGCAAAGACATGGAATCAGCCTAAATGTCCATCAATGATAGACTGGATAAAGAAAATGTGATACATATACATGATGGGATGCTATGCGGCCAAAAAAAAAGGAATGAGATCATGTCCTTTGTAGGAACATGATGCAGCTGGAGGTCATTATCCTTAGCAAATTAAGGCAGGAACAGAAAAACAAATACCGCGTGTTCACACTTAAAAGTGGGAACTAAATAATGAGACCCAATGGGCAGAAAGAGGGGAGCAAGAGACAGTGGGGACTACCTGAAGGAGAAGGGTAGGAAGAGGGAGAGGATCAGGAAAAATAACTATCAGGTACTATGCTTAGTACCTGGATAACAAAATAATCTAAACCGAACGCCTGTGACACGAGCTTACCTATATAACAAACTTGCACTGCACATGTACCCCAAACCTAAAATAAAAGTTTAACAAAATTGCAATATGCCATTCTGTAAATTTTTTTCTCTAATATTATGCTTCAAATTTTATTTTTAAAATTACACTAGGAATACACAAGGAATTACGTGAGGAATATATGAATATATTCTTATAAAAATTGTAAAAATATAGAAATGTGTAACAATGAGAGTAAATGCTTATACAGGCCTTACTGTGCCCAACATCACTCTAAATGCTTTAAAGAGATCAGTACAACAATCCATGAAATAGGTACTGTTATTTTTTTCCATTTTACAGATAGGGACACTGAGGGCATAAAGAGGTAACTTGCATGTGGTCATATAGCTAATTATTGTTGGAGCTGGGCTCTTAATCACCTCATTATTTTCCTTCACCTCTACCCAGTTTAATGCCTTACCTCAAATGTGACAACTGTTCTTTTTTTCATTTGCAATTTTATCTACCTATATAAAACACATGCAAAATATTTATGTTTTTGGTGCGTTGGTTTTCTTTTTATGTAATAGGTTAATACTGTGTTATCTTGCAACTAGCTTTTTTCACTTAACCATGTGTCTTTGACTTTTTCCAAGTCTTTATTTTTAAATTAATAATATATAAGCATATTGTTGTGGTAAAAGATCAAAATAATACACAGGTTTAGAGAGAGTAAATCTTCAAACTTCCCTTTCCTGCCTGCTCTCTGACATCTCACCAAAAAAAAACCCCCAAAAAACCCCCAATAAACAACCAACTGTCCACAATTTGGTGAGTGTCCTTACAATCTTCTTTCCATGCATTTTGTGTGAATAAATAAGTATTTATATATATTTACATAACAGGATTCATTCATATTGTTATATAGCCTTTTAATTTCTTATTTATTGATTTAATTACACACATGATACTTGAATACATTTTTCTTTTGAAAGATTAGAGCACTACAGGGAAGTTGAACACTCCCTTTGATCATCATTGATTTCCTCTCTACCTCCTCTGTCCCTACTCACTGTTTGACTTTTCTCCTGCATCTTTTTTTTTTTTTAATTATACTTTAAGTTCTAGGGTACATGTGCACAAAGTGCAGGTTTGTTACATAGGTATACATGTGCCATGTTGGTTTGCTACACCCATTAACTCGTCATTTACATTAGGTATTTCTCCTAATGCTATCCCTCCCCCTGCCCCCCACCCCATGACAGGCCCCTGTGTGTGATGTTCCCCGCCCTGTGCCCAAGTGTTCTCACTGTTCAGTTCCCACCTATGAGTGAGAACATGTGGTGTTTGGTTTTCTGTCCTTGTCATAGTTTGCTGAGAATGATGGTTTCCAGCTTCATCCATGTCCCTACAAAGGACAGGAACTCATCCTTTTTTATGGCTGCATATTATTCCATGGTGTATATGTGCCACATTTTCTTAACCCAGTCTATCATTGATGGACGTTTGGGTTGGTTCCAAGTCTTTGCTAGGGTGAATAGTGCCGCAGTAAACATATGTGTACATGTGTCTTTATAGCAGCATGATTTATAATCCTTTGGGTATATACCCAGTAATGTGATTGCTGGGTCAAATGGTATTTCTAGTTCTAGATCCTTGAGGAATCGTCACACTGTCTTCCACAATGGTTGAACTAGTTTACACTCCCACCAACAGTGTAAAAGCATTCCTATTTCTCCACATCCTCTCCAGCATCTGTTTTTTCCTGACTTTTTAATGATCGCCATTCTAACTGGTGTGAGATGGTATATCATTGTGGTTTTGATTTGCATTTCTCTGATGACCAGTGATGATGAGCATCTTTTCATGTGTCTGTTGGCTGCATAAATGTCTTCTTTTGAGAAATGTCTGTTCATATCCTTTGCCCACTTTTTGATGGGGTTTGTTTTTTTCTTGTAAATTTGTTTAAGGTCTTTGTAGATTCTGGATATTAGCCCTTTGTCAGATGGGTAGATTGCAAAAGTTTACTCCCATTCTGTAGGTTGCCTGCTCACCCTGATGGTAGTTTATTTAGCTATGTAGAAGCTCTTGAGTTTAATTAGATCCCATTTGTCAATTTTGGCTTTTGTTGCCATTGCTTTTGGTGTTTTAGTCATGAAGTCCTTGCCCATGCCTATGTCCTGAATGGTATTGCCTAGGTTTTCTTCTAGGGTGTTTTATGGTTTTAGGTCTAACATTTAGGTCTTTAATTCATCTTGAATTAATTTTTGTATAAGGTGTAAGGAAGGGATCCAGTTTCAGCTTTCTACATATGGCTAGCCAGTTTTCCCAACACCATTTATTTTAAATAGGGAATCCTTTCCCCATTTCTTGTTTTTGTCAGGTTTGTCAAAGATCAGATGGTTGTAGATGTGTGGTATTATTTCTGAGGGCTCTATTCTGTTCCATTGTTCTATCTCTCTGTTTTAGTACCAGTACCATGCTATTTTTGTTACTGTAGCCTTGTAGTATAGTTTGAAGTCAGGTAGCATGATGCCTCCAGCTTTGTTCTTTTTGCTTAGGATTGTCTTGGCAATGCAGGCTCTTTTTTTGGTTCCATATGAACTTTAAAGTAGTTTTTTCCAATTCTGTGAAGAAAGTTATTGGTACCTTGATGGAGGTGGCATTGAATCTATAAATTACCTTGGGGAGTATGGCCATTTTCATGATATTGATCCTTCCTATCCGTAAGCATGGAATGTTCTTCCATTTGTTTGTGTCCTCTTTTATTTCGTTGAGCAGTGGTTTGTAGTTCTCCTTGAAGAGGTCCTTCGCTTCCCTTGTAAATTGGATTTGTAGGTATTTTATTCTCTTTGTAGCAAATGTGAATGGGAGTTCACTCATGATTTGGCTGTTTGTCTGTTATTGGTGTATAGGAATGCTTGTGATTTTTGCACATTGATTTTGTATCCTGAGACTTTGCTGAAGTTGCTTATCAGCTTAAGGAGATTTTGGGCTGAGACGATGGGGTTTTCTAAATATACAATCATGTGATCTGCAAACGGGGACACAAAGGGGCTGCTTCCAGCTTTTGCCCATTCAGTATGATATTGGCTGTGGGTTTGTCATAAATAACTCTCAATATTTTGAGATATGCTCCATCAATACCTAGTTTATTGAGAGTTTTTAGCATGAAGGGCTGTTGAATTTTGTCAAAGGCCTTTTCTGCATCTGTTGACGTAATCATGTGGTTTTTGTCATTGGTTCTGTGTATGTGATGGATTATGTTTATTGATTTGCGTATGTTGAACCAGACTTGCATCCCAGGGATGAAGCCCACTTGATCATGATGGATAAGCTTTTTAATGTGCTGCTGGATTTGGTTTGCCAGTATTTTATTGAGGATTTTTGCATCAGTGTTCACTAGGGATAGTGGTCTAAAATTCTCTTTTTTTGTTGTGTCTCTGCCAGGCTTTGGTATCAGGATGATGTTGGCCTCATAAAATGAGTTAGGGAGGATTCCCTCTTTTTCTATTGATTGGAATAGTTTCAGAAGGAATGGTACCAACTCCTCTTTGTACCTCTGGTAGAATTTGGCTGTGAATCCATCTGGTCTTGGACTTTGTTTTGGTTGGTAGGCTATTAGTTATTGCCTCAATTTCAGAGCCTGCTATTGGTCTATTCAGAGATTCAACTTCATCCTGATTTCGTCTTGGGAGGGTGTATGTGTCGAGGAATTTATCCATTTCTTCTAGATTTTCTAGTTTATTTGCATAGAGGTGTTTATAGTATTCTCTGATGGTAGTTTGTATTTCTGTAGGATCAGTGGTGATATCCCCTTTATCATTTTTTATTGCATCCATTTGATTCTTCTCTCTTTTCTTCTTTATTAGTCTTGCTAGCGGTCTATCAATTTTGTTGATCTTTTCAAAAAATCAGCTCCTGGATTCACTGATTTTTTTGAAGGGTTTTTTTGTATCTGTATCTCATTCAGTTCTGCTCTGATCTTAGTTATTTCTTGCCTTCTGCTGGCTTTTGAATTTGTTTGCTCTTGCTTCTCTAGTTCTTTTAATCATGATGTTAGGGTGTCGATTTTAGATCTTTCCTGCTTTCTCTTGTGGGCATTTAGTGCTATAAATTTCCCTCTATACACTGCTTTAAATGTGTCCCAGAGATTCTGGTACGTTGTGTCTTTGTTCTCATTGGTTTCAAAGAACATGTTTATTTCTGCCTTCATGTCATTATTTACCCAGTAGTCATTCAAGAGCAAGTTGTTCAGTTTCCATGTAGTTGAGCGGTTTTGAGTGAGTTTCTTAATCCTGAGCTCTAATTTGATTGCACTGTGGTCTGAGAGACAGTTTGTTGTGATTTCTGTTCTTTTACATTTGCTGAGGAGCGCTTTACTTCCAACTATGTGGTCAATTTTAGAATAAGTGCAATATGTTGCTCAGAAGAATGCATATTCTCTTGGTTTGGGGTGGAGAGTTCTGTAGATGTCTATTAGGTCTGCTTGGTGCAGAGCTAAGCTCAAGTCATGTATATCTTTGTTAAACATCTGTCTCACTGATCTGTCTAATATTGACAGTGGGGTGTTGAAGTCTCCCACTATTATTGTGTGGGAGTCTAAGTCTCTTTGTACATCTCTAAGGACTTGCTTTATGAATCTGGGTGCTCCTGTTTTGGTGCATATATATTTGGGATAGTTAGCTGTTCTTGTTGAATTGATCTCTTTACCATTATGTAATGACCTTCTTTGTCTCTTTTGATCTTTGTTGGTTTAAAGTCTATTTTATCAGAGACTAGGATTGCAACTCCTGCTTTTTTTTTTTTTTTTTTTTGCTTTCGGTTTTCTTGGTAGATCTTCCTCCATCCCTTTATTTTGAGCCTATGTGTGTCTCTGCACGTGAGATGGGTCTCCTGAATACAGCACACGGATGGGTCTTGACTCTTTATCCAGTTTGCCAGTCTGTGTCTTTTAATTGGGGCATTCAGCCCATTTATATTTAAGGTTAATATTATGTGTGTATTTGATCCTGTCATTATGATGTTAGCTGGTTATTTTGCCCGTTAGTTGATGCTGTTTCTTCCTAGCCTCGATGGTCTTTACAATTTGGCATGTTTTTTGCAGTGGCTGGTACCGGTTGTTCCTTTCCATGCTTAGTGCTTCCTTCAGGAGCTCTCGTAAGGCAGGCCTGGTGGTAACAAAATCTCTCAGCATTTGCTTGTCTGTAAAGGATTTTATTTCTCCTTCATTTATGAAGCTTAGTTTGCCTGGATATGAAATTCTGGGTCGAATATTCTTTTCTTTAAGAATGTTGAATATTGGCCCCGACTCTCTTCTGGCTTGTAGAGTTTCTGCTGAGAGATCTGCTGTTAGCCTGATGGGCTTCCTTTTGTGGGTAACCCGACCTTTCTCTTTGGCTGCCCTTAACATTTCTTCCTTCATTTCAACCTTGGTGAATCTGACAATTATGTGTCTTGGGGTTGCTCTTCTCGAGGAGTGTCTTTGTGATGTTCTTTGTATTTCCTGAATTTGAGTGTTGGCCTGCCTTGCTAGGTTGGGGAAGTTCTCCTGCATAATATCCTGCAGAGTGTTTTCCAACTTGGTTCCATTCTCCCCATCACTTTCAGGTACACCAATCAAATGTAGATTTGGTCTTTTCACAGAGTCCCATATTTCTTGCAGGCTTTGTTTGTTTCTTTTTACTCTTTTTTCTCTAAACTTCTCCTCCTGCTTTATTTCATTAATTTGATCTTTAATCACTGATACTCTCTCTTCCACTTGATCGAACTGGCTATTGAAGCTTGTGCATGCATCACGTAGTTCTTGTGCCATGGTTTTCAGCTCCATCAGGTCATTTAAGGTCTTCTCTGCACTGGTTATTCTAGTTAGCCATTCGTCTAATCTTTTTTCAAGGTTTTTAGCTTCCTTGCGATAGGTTCGAACATCCTCCTTTAGCTCAGAGAAGTTTGTTATTACCAACCTTCTGAAGCCTGCTTCTGTCAACTCGTCAAAGTCATTCTCTGTCCAGCTTTGTTCCATTGCTGGTGAGGAGCTGTGATCCTTTGGAGGAGAAGAGGCACTCTGGTTTTTAGAGTTTTCAGCTTTTCTGCTCTGGTTTCTCCCCATCTTTGTGGTTCTATCTACCTTTGGTCTTTGATGATGGTGACCTACAGATGGGGTTTTGGTATGATGTCCTTTTTGTTGTTGTTGATGCTATTCCTTTCTGTTTGTTAGTTTTCCTTCTAACAGTCAGGTCCCTCAGCTGCATGTCTGTTGGAGTTTTCTGGAGGTCCACTCCAGGCCCTGTTTTCCTGGGTGTCACCAGCGGAGGCTGCAGAACAGCAAATATTGCTGCCTGATCCTTCCTCTGGAAGCTTCATCCCAGAGGGGCACCTGCCTGTATGAGGTGTCAGTTGGCCCCTACTTGGAGGGGTCTCCCCGTTAGGCTACATGGGGCTCAGGGGCCCACTTGAGGAGGCAGTCTGTCCATTCTCAGAGCTCAAACAGCATGCTGGGAGAGCCACTGCTGTCTTCAGAGCTGTCAGACAGGGATGTTTAAGTCTGCAGGAGTTTCTGCTGCTTTTTGTTCAGCTATGCCCTGCCACCAGAGGTGAGGTCTACAGAGGCAGCAGGCTGTCAGACAGGGACGTTTAAGTCTGCAGGGGTTTCTTCTGCTTTTTGTTCAGCTATGCCCTGCCACCAGAGGTGGGGTCTACAGAGGCAGCAGGCCTTGCAGAGCTGCGGTGGGCTCCATCCAGTTTGAGCTTCCCCAGCCACTTTGTTTACCTACTCAAGCCTCAGCTATGGCGGACTCCCCTCCCCCTGCCAGGCTGCTGCCTCACGGGTCAATCTCAGACTGCTGTGCTAGCAGTGAGCAAGGCTCCGTGGGCATGGGACTCGCTGAGCCAGGTGCAGGATATTATCTCCTGATGTGCCATTTGCTAAGATCATTGGTAAAGCACAGTATTTGGGCAGGAGTGTCCCAATTTTCCAGGTATAGTCTTTCACGACATCCCTTGGCTAGGAAAGGGAAATCCCCCCACCCCTTGTGCTTTCTGGGCAAAGCGATGCCCTGCCCTGCTTTGGCTGGCCCTGTGTGGGCTGCACCCACTGTCCAACCAGTCCAATGAGATGAACCAGGTACCTCAGTTGGAAATGCAGAAATCCCGTCTTCTGCGTTGATTACACTGGGAGCTGCAGACTGGAGCTGTTCCTATTCAGCCATCTTGGAACGGAATCTCTCCTGCATCTCTTTTTTATTAATTCACAAGCATTTACATTTTTATATTTTTATAATATGTTTGTTATCTGGCATTGAAAGAGCTTCCTTTCATTTTTGTGGTTATTTTTACATATTTACTATTTCAACGAATTTTAAATGCAGATTATTATACCCATGTAGGATCTTACTAGCATTTTTATTTGGTATTTCACTGAGTTTACAGATTTAACCAGGGAGAGTTAGCATCTTTACATGAATGAGTCTTTATATGAATAAACATGATATGGCTTTCCACTTATCCAAATTTTTAAGTCCTTTAGTAGTGCTTCATAATTTTCTCTGTAAATATTTTGAACATATCTTGTTTGCTTTATTTCTAGATACTTCATTTTTGTTGCTACCTTCAATAGAACTTTTTCTTTCGTTTTATAATTACCATAGGAGTATAAGAAAGCTATTGATTTTTGTATGTTGTCTTTTGCCAGCAACTTTACTAACAAATTCTCTTTTCTTTCTAATCGATTTTTTGTTGATTCTATTGGATTTTCTTGGTAGGAAAACAGATTATTACAAATACTGATAGTTTTGTCTCTGTCTTTAGCCTGGATACCATGTGTACTTTTTGTGTTTTAATGCATTGGCTAGGACCTCGGATTTAAATTTGAATCATACCAATATCAGATATCTTTATTTTTTCCTTCCATTTAATGGGAATGCTTCTAAAATTTCATCAAGTATTATGTTTGCTGTGGGTGTCTGGCAGTTACCCTTTATTAAGTCAAATAAACTCTCTTGAATTTCTATCTTTCTGAGGCTTTTTAAAAACAAGAATGGTCACGCTTGTAATCCTAGCAATTTGGGAGGCCAAGGAGAGTAGATCGCTTGAGTCCAGGAGTTTGAGACCAGCCTGCACAACATTGCAAAACCTCATCCCTACAAAATAATAATAATAATAAATTAGCAAGGTGTGGTGGCATGTGCCTATACAGAGTCCCAGCTACTCGGTGAGGGCTGAGATAGTAAGATTGCTTGAGCCTGGGAAGGTCGAGACTTCAGTGAGCTATGACTGCACCACTGTACTCCAGCCTGGGTGACAGAGTGAGACCCTGTCTCAAAAAAAAAATAAAAATAAAAAAAAGAAACCAAGAAGGGATGAAAAAGCAAAGCTTTATCCATTGTTTTTTCACCTGTAAGTAGGACATATAGTTTTTTCCGTTTACATTATTAATGCATAAAATTGCATTGATAGCTTTAAAATTTTTTTATTAAAATTTCCGAATGTACATAACAGTAGAATGTACAATAAAACCCCGTACATACTCATAACTCAGCTTCAATAGCCATCAACATTTTTCCATGCTTGTTTCAACTATGATCTTCCCCTCTTTTATGCTGGAATATTTTAGGCTAATCAGGAATATCATGTAATTTCACTCCTAAATATTTCAGTATGCGTAGCAAAAGAATTATAGCAAAAGGAACATCTCATATAGTCACAATGCCATTATCACACTAATACCCGGTGAATAATCTGATTTTTCTAATTGTCTGAAAATGTTTTTGCCATTGAGGTTTGTTGGAATTGGGATCCAATTGAGGTCACCTTATTATATTATGTTATATCTATTAAGTTTCTTTTAAAAATTTTATTTTTATTTATTTATTTATTTTTTATTTATTTATTTTTTTTGAGACAGAGTCTCACTCTGTTGCCCAGGCTGGAGTGCAGTGGCGCGATCTCGGCTCACTGCAAGCTCTGCCTCCCGGGTTCACGCCATTCTCCTGCCTCAGCCTCCCGAGTAGCTGGGACTACAGGCGCCCGCCACCACGCCCAGCTGATTTTTTGTATTTTTAGTAGAGACGGGGTTTCACCATGTTAGCCAGGATGGTCTCGATCTCTTGACCTTGTGATCCGCCCACCTCGGCCTCCCAAAGTGTTGGGATTACAGGCTTGAGCCACCGCACCCAGCCTCTTTTAAAAATTTTAAAAGCTAAACCAAACAGTACCTCCTCTCTTTTATTGTGATGACATTGGCTTGTTGAAGAAACTTGGCATTTGTCCTCTAGACTGTCCCATATTCTGGATTCGGCTGATTACTTCCTTGAGGTGTTATTTTACTTGTTTCTATATTCCCTGTTGTTTCTTGTAAACTGGAATGTAAAGCTAAAGACTTGATTAGACTGGATGGTGTGGCTCATACCTGTAATCTCAGCACTTTGGGAGGTACTTTGGGAGGTGGGCGGATCACTTGAGCCCAGGAGTTCAAGATGAGCCGGGACAATATGATGAAAACTCGTCTTAAAAAAAATGCAAAAATGAGCTGCTGTGGTGGCCCGCACCTATAGTCCCAGCTACTTGGGAGGCTGAGGTAGGAGAATTATGTGAGCCTGGGGAGGTCAAGGCTGCAGTGGGCAGTGATCATGCTACTGCAGTCCAGCTGGTCAACAGAGTGAGACCTTGTCTCAAAAAAAGAAAAAAAAAAGACTTGGTTAGATTAGGTTTTTAAAATTATTATTTGGCAAGAATATCTCATGGTTGTTACTATGTACTTCCTTTTATGTAATTTGCAGTTGTCTCACTTTTAGTAATACTAAAAGTGGATTGAGGTGGTGATAGTCTGATCCCTTCATTGTAAAGTTCTCCATTATCCTTTCACCTTTTGCATTGCTTTACTATTTATTTCATAATTGTTATTCGAATCAATTATTTCATTATTGATTTCAAAGTAATGATTTTCTAATTCTTTCATTCTTTGAGCATTCATCAGCTAGAATTCCTCTGTAAGAAGAACTATCCCTCATCTACTAGGGTTATTTGGTAAGCCTAAAATACAGTTTCTATGGGAAAGACACGGTAAATTCTTAACTCTTTCCCTTTAATTGCCAGTTTTCCAAGTAAGGAGTTAGTACCCTGTTCCACGTTGACACATCTTTAAATGTTAAACCTTCCCTGCAGTCCTAGGATTAGCCTATTGGGGCATAATGTATCTTTTTAAATCTACTGCAGGATTTGAATGACTAGTATTTTATCTGCCATTTTAAAAAATCTGTGTTTATACATGAGATTGCCTATAGCATTGATCCTCAATTGGCAAAATTACCCCTCAAGAAGGCATTTGGAAATATCTGGAGGTGCTTTTGGTTGTCAGTTTATTAAGTGTGTGAGTTGGGGGAGTCCTACTACAATTGGGTAAATGGTGACTGGGGTTGCTAAATGAAGAACTGTCTCAACAAAAATGCTATTAGCACTCTTATGAAAAATGCTGGCCCGTAGTTCTCTTGTGCTTTTCCAATTTTTGTATCAAGGTTATACGTTTTTATATCAAGGTTCATATGTGAGATGGGCTATAATTTTCTTTCCCTTTACTTGTCAGTTTTGGTATCAAGATTATACCAGCCTTATAGCTGTGTGGTGTCATTTACCATTTTTTTAATATGGAAAAAATGTTTGGAAAGTTTCATTAATCTGTTCCTAGATGGTTTTGTCAAACACCCACAAAATTTCTGGAAATGGTGACTTTTAAGGTAGATTCTTGATTATCATTATACATTCTAATGTGATTAATAGGTTTATTTAAGTATTCTATTTCTTAGGCCAATTCTTGGACTAATTTTCCTAGAAATTATCCATTTCACCTAGATTTTCAAAGTTATTGGTGTAAAAGTTATACAGTATTCCTAAAATAATTTTTTGGTATAGTCTCTTTCTGTAGTTTGGTCCCCTTTCAGTTTTTTGAGATTATGTGTTGTATTTATTTTAAATAGATTCTGACACAAACTTTTGCAGTAGCAGAATAGAAAGTGAAACACTTAGAAGACATATGTGGCAATCAAATTGATAATTATGCCAGTTCATATTTTCACTGATCTTTTCTGCATTTCCATTGATTCTTTTTTAAATAAAATTTACTTTAAGTTCTGGGATACATGTGCAGAACATACAGGTTTGTTACATAGGTATACATGTGCCATGGTGGCTTGCTGCACCTATCAACTTGTCATCTAGGTTTTAAGCCCCGCATGTGTTAGGTATTTGTCCTAATTATCTTGCTCCCTTTCCCCCCAACCCCTGCCAGGCCCCGGTGTGTGATGTTCCCCTCCCTGTGTCCATGTGTTCTCATTGTTCAACTCCCATTATGAGTGAGAACATGTGGTGTTCGGTTTTCTGTTCCTGTGTTTGTTTGCTGAGAATGATGGTTTCCAGGTTCATCCATGTCCCTGCAAAGGACATGAACTCATTCTTTTTATGGCTGTATAGTATTCCATGTGTATATGTGCTACATTTTCCACATGTGTATATGTGCCACATTTTCTTTATCCAGTCTATCATTGATGGGCATTTGGGTTGGTTCAAATCTATGCTATTGTAAATGGTGCTGCAATAAAAATATGTGTGCATGTGTCTTTATAGTAGAATGATTTATAATACTTTGGGTATATATCCAGTAATGGGATTGCTGGGTCAAATGGTATTTCTGGTTCTAGATCCTTGAGGAATCACCACACTGTCTTCCACAATGGTCGAACTGATTTACACTCCCATCAATAGTGTGAAAGCATTCCTATTTCTCCACATCCTCTCCAGCATCTGTTGTTTCCTGACTTTTTAATTATCGCCATTCTAGTGTGAGATGGTATCTCACTGTGGTTTTGATTTACATTTTTCTAATGACCAGTGATAATGAGCTTATTTTCATATGTTTGATGGCTACATAAATGTCTTCTTTTGAGAAGTGTCTGTTCATATCCCTTGCCCACTTTTTGAAGGGGTTGTTTTTTCTCTTGTACATTTGTTTAAGTTCTTGTAGATTCCGAATATTAGATCTTTGTCAGACGGATAGGTTGCAAAAATGTTCTCCCATTCTGTAGGTTGCCTGTTCACTCTGATGATAGTTTCTTTTGCTGTGCAGAAGCTCTTTAGTTTAAGTAGATCCCATTTGTCAATTTTGGCTTTTGTTGCCATTGCTTTTGGTGTTTTAGCCATGAAGTGTTTGCCCATGCCTATGTCCTGAATGGTATTGCCTAGGTTTTCTTCTAGTGTTTATATGCTTTTTGGTTTTACATTTAAGTCTTTAATCCATCTTGAGTTAATTTTTGTATAAGGTGTATGGAAAGGGTCCAGTTTCAGCTTTCTACATATGGCTAGCCAGTTTTCCCAGCACCATTTATTAAATAGGGAATTCTTTCCCCATTGCTTGTTTTTGTCAGGTTTGTTGAAGATCAGATGATTGTAGATGTGTGCTCTTACTTCCGAGGTCTCTATTCTGTTCCATTGGTCTATATATCTGTTTTGGTACTAGTACCATGCAGCTTTGGTTACTGTAGTCTTGTAGTATAGTTTGAAGTTGTGTAGCCTGATGCCTTCTGCTCTGTTCTTTTTGCTTAGGATTGTCTTGGCTATACAGGCTCTTTTTTTGGTTCCATATGCAATTTAAAGTAGTTTTTTTCTAATTTTGCAAAGAAAGTAAATGGTAGCTTGATGGGAATAGCATGGAATCTATAAATTACTTTGGGCAGCATGACTGTTTTCATGATATTGATTTATCCTATCCATGAGCATGGAATATTTTTCCATTTGTTTGTGTCCTCTTTTATTTTCTTGAGCAGTGGTTTGTAGTTCTCCTTGAAGAGGTCCTTCACATCTATATTCCTAAGTGTTTTATTCTCTTTTTAGCAATTTGTGAATGGGAGTTCACTCATGATTTGGCTCTCTGCTTGTCTATTATTGGTGTACAGGAATGCTTGTGATTTTTGTACATTGATTTTGTATTCTGAGACTTTGCTGAAGTTGCTTATCAGCTTAGGGAGTTTTTGGGCTGAGACAATGGGGCTTTCTGAATATACAGTCATGTCATCTGCAAGCAGAGACAATTTGACTTCCTCTTTTCCTGACTGAATACCCTTTATTTCTTTCTCTTGCCTGATTGCCCTGGTCAGAACTTCCAGTACTATGTTGAATAGGAGTGGTGAGAGAGGGCATGCTTATCTTATGCCTGTTTTCAAAGGGGCTGCTTCCAGCTTTTGCCCATTCAGTATGATATTGGCTATGGGTTTGTCATAAATAGCTCTTATTATTTTGAGATATATTCCATCAGTACCTAGTTTATTGAGAGTTTTTAGCACGAAGGGATGTTGAATTTTATCAAAGGCCTTTTCTGCATCTGTTGAGATAATCGTGGTTTTTGTCATTGATTCTGTTTATGTGATGGGTTATGTTTATTGATTTGCATATGTTGAACCAGGCTTGCATCCCAGGGATGAAACCAACTTGATCGTGATGAATAAGCTTCATGATGTGCTACTGCATTCGGTTTGCCAGTATTTTATTGGGGATTTTCGCATTGATCTTCACCAGGGATATTGGCCTGAAATTTTCTCTTTTTTGTTCTATCTCTGCCAGGTTTTGGTATTAGGATGATGCTGGCCTCATAAAATGAGTTATGAAAAAGTCTCTCTTTTTCTATTGTTTGGAATAGTTTCAGAGAGAATGGTACCAGCTCCTCTTTGTACCTCTGGTAGAATTTGGCTGTGAATTCATCTGGTCCTGGGTTTCTTTTGGTTGGTAGGCTATTAATCATTGCCTCAATTTCAGAACTTGTTATTGGTCTTTTCGGGGAGTCGACTTCTTCCTGGTTCAGTCTTGGGAGGGTGTATATGTCCAGGAATTTATCCATTTCTTCCAGATTTTCTAGTTTATTTGCATAGAGGTGTTTATAGTACTCTCTGATGGTAGTTTGTATTTCTGTGGGATCAGTGGTGATATCCCCTTTATCATTTTTTAGTGTGTCTATTTGATTCTTCTGTTTTCTTCTTTATTAGGCTGGCTAGTGGTCAATCTATTTTGTTAATCTTTTCAAAAAACCAGCTCCTGGATTCATTGATATTTTGAAGGGTTTTTTGTGTCTCTATCTCCTTCTCTTTTGCTCTGATCTTAGTTATTTCTTGTCTTCTGCTAGCTTTTGAATTTGTTTGCTCTTGCTTATCTAGTTCTTTTTTTTTTTTTTTTTTCTGAAGTGGAGTCTTGCTTTGTCGCCCAGGCTGGAGTGCAGTGGCATGATCTCGGCTCACTGCAAGCTCCACCTCCCGGGTTCATGCCATTCTCCTGCCTCAGCCTCCTGAGTAGCTGTGACTACAGGCGCCTGCCACCATGCCCGGCTAATTTTTTTGTATTTTCAATAGAGACGGGGTTTCACTGTGTTAGCCCGGATAGTCTTGATCTCCTGACCTTGTGATCTGCCTGCCTCAGCCTCCCAAAATGCTGGGATTACAGGCATGAGCCACCGCGCCCGGCTGCTTCTCTAGTTCTTTTATTGTGATGTTCAGGTGTCGAATTCAGATCTTTCCAGCTTTCCAGTGTGGGCGTTTAGTACGATAAATTTCCCTCTTAACACAGCTTTAGCTGTGTCCCAGAGATTCTGGTATGTTGTGTCTTTGTTCTCATTGGTTTCAAAGAACTTCTTTATTTCTGCCTTAATTTCGTTATTTACCCAGTAGTCATTCAGGAGCAGGTTGTTCAGTTTCCATGTAGTTGTGAGGTTTTGAGTGAATTTCTTAATCCTGAGTTCTAATTTGATTGCACTGCAGTCTGAGAGGCTGTTTGTTATGATTTCTGTTCTTTCGCATTTGCTGAGAAGTGTTTTACTTCCAGTTATATGGTCGATTTTAGAATAAGTGCTATGTGGTGCTGAGAAGAATGTATATTCTGTCTATTTGGGGTGGAGAGTTCTGTAGATGTCTATTAGGTCTGCTTGGTCCAGAGCTGAGTTCAAGTCCTGAACATCCTTGTTAATTTTCTGTCTCATTGATCTGTCTAATATTGACAGTGGGGTGTTAAAGTCTCCCACTATTATTGTGTGGGAGTCTAAGTTTTTTTGTAGCTCTCTAAGAACTTGTTTTATGAATCTGGGTGCTCCTGTATTGGGTGCATATATATTTAGGATAGTTAGCTCTTCCTGTTGAATGGATCCCTTTACCCTTATTTAATGCCCTTCTTTGTCTTTTTTGATCTTTGTTGGTTTAAAGTCTGTTTTATCAGAGACTAGGATTGCAACTCCTGCTTTTTTTTGCTTTCCATTTGCTTGGTAAATATTCCTCCATCCCTTTATTTTGAGCCTATGTGTGTCTTTGCACATGAGATGGGTCTCCTGAATACCGCACACTGATGGGTCTTGACTCTTTATCCAATTTGCCAGTCTGGTAGCCCATTTACATTTAAGGTTAATATTGTTATGTGTGAATTTGATCCTGTCATTATAATGCTAGCTCTTTATTTTGCCCGTTAGTTGATGCAGTTTCTTCCTAGCATCGACGGTCTTTACAATTTGGCATGTTTTTGCAGTGGCAGGTACCGGTTGTTCCTTTCCATGTTTAGTACTTCCTTCAGAAGCTCTTTTAGGGCAGGCCTGGTGGTGACAAAATCTCTCAGCATTTGCTTGTCTGTAAAGGATTTTATTTCTCCTTCATTTATGAAGCTTAGTTTGGCTGGATACGAAATTCTGGGTTGAAAATTATTTTCTTTAAGAATGTTGAATATTGGCCCCCACTCTCTTCTGGCTTGTAGAGTTTCTGCAGAGAGATCAGCTGTTAGTCTGATGGGCTTCCTTTTGTAGGTAACCTGACCTTTCTCTCTGGCTGCCCTTAACATTTTTTCCTTCATTTCAACCTTGGGGAATCTGATGATTATGTGTCTGGGATTGCTCTTCTCGAAGAGTATCTTAATAGTGTTCTCTGTATTTCCTGAATTTGAATGTTGGCCTGTCTTGCTAGGTGGGGGAAGTTCTCCAGGATCATATCCTGAAGTGTGTTTTCCAACTTGGTTCCATTTTCCCCATCAGTTTCAGAGACCCCAATCAATCGTAGGTTTGGTCTTTTCACATAGTCCCATATTTCTTGGAGGTTTTGTTTGTTCTTTTTCATTCTTTTTTCTTTAATCTTGTCTTCACTCCTTATTTCAGTAAGTTGATCCTCAATCTCTGATATCCTCTCTTCTGCTTGATTGATTCAGCTATTGATACTTGTGTATGCTTCACGAAGTTCTCATGCTGTGTTTTTCAGGTCCATCAGATCATTTATGGTCTTCTCGAAACTGGTTATTATTGTTAGCAATTCCTGTAACCTTTTATCAAGGTTTTTAGCTTCTTAGCATTGGGTTAGATCGTGCTCCTTTAGCTCAGAGTAGTTTGTTATTACCCACCTTCTGAAGCCTACTTCTGTCAGTTTGTCAATCTCATTCTCCATCCAGTTTTGTGCCCTTGCTAGAGAGGAGTTGTGATCATTTGGAGGAGAAGAGGCATTCTGGTTTCTGGAATTTTCAGCATTTTTCGCCAGTTTTTCCTCATCTTTGTGGATTTTTCTACCTTTGATCTTTGAGGTTGATAATCTTTGGATGGGGTTTTTGTGTGGGGGTCCTTTTTGTTGATGTTGATGCTTTTGCTTTCTGTTTGTTAGTTTTTCTTCTCACAGTCAGGCCTCGCTTCTGCAGGTCTGCTGC
Source organism: Homo sapiens (assembly GCF_000001405.40). Lineage (NCBI taxonomy): Eukaryota > Metazoa > Chordata > Mammalia > Primates > Hominidae > Homo > Homo sapiens. The sequence continues at coordinate 107,959,164 of NC_000023.11, forward strand.
AGTTTGTGGGAGGTCCTCTTCAGACCCTCTTCAACTGGGTATCACCAGTGGAGGCTGCAGAACAGCAGTATCACCAGTGGAGGCCACAGAACAGCAAAGATTGCTGCCTACTCCTTCCTCTGGAAGCTTCGTCCCAGAGGGACACAGGCCTGATGCCAGCCAGAGCTCTCCTGTATGAGGTGTCTGTTGACCCCTGTTGGGAGGTCCCTCCCAGTCAGGAGGCATGGGCATCAGGGACCCACTTCAGGAGGCAGTTCTGTCCCTTAGCAGAGCTCGAGTGCTGTGCTGGGAGAATCCTCGTCAGGATCAGCTGCTCTCTTCAGAGCCGGCAGGCAGGAAAGTTTAAGTCCGCTGAAAATGCACCCACATCCACCCCTTCCCTCAGGTGCTCTGTCCTAGGGAGATAGGGGTTTTATCTATGAGCCCCTTACTGGGGCTGTTGCCTTTACTTTAGAGATGCTCTGCCCCATGAGGAGGAATCTAGAGAAGCAGTCTGGCCACAGCCACTTTGCCACGTTGTGGTAAATTCCGCCCAGCCCAAATCCCCCAGCCTCCTTAGCAGTGTCAGCGGAAAACTGAATACTAAAGCCTCAGTAATGGCGGACACCCCTCCCTGCACCAAGCTAGATTGTCCCAGGTTGACTTCAGACTGCTGTGCCAGCTGCGAGAATTTCAAGCCAGTGGTTCTTAGCTTGCTGGGTTCCATGGGAGTGGGACCCGCTGAGAGAGACCACTTGGCTCCCTGGCTTCAGCCCCCTTTCCAGGGGAGTGAATGGTTCTGTCTCACTGAGGTTCCAGCCGCCACTGGGATATGGAAAAACTCCTGCAGCTAGCTTGGTGTCTGCCCAAACAGCTGCCCAGTTTTGTGCTTGAAACCCAGGGTCCTGGTGGTGTAGGCACATGAGGGAATCTCCTGATCTGCAGGTTGCAAAAACCATGGGGAAAAAACGTAGTATCCGGGCCGGGTAGCACAGTTCCTCATGGCTTCCCTTGGCTGGGGAAGGGAGGTCCCCTGGATTCTTGCATTTCCTGGGTGAGGTGATGCCCCACCCTGTTTTTGCTTGCACTCTGTGGGCTGCATCCACTGCCTAACCAGTCCCATTGAGATGAACTGAGTACCTCAGTTGGAAATGCAGAAATCACCTGCCTTCTGCATTGGTCTCGCTGGTAGCTGCAGACCGGAGCTGTTCCTATTTGGCCATCTTGTCTGTACTCCAAAATTCCTTCTTGCTTGGGGGAGATTAGTCTTTGTTCCATTAAAGCCTTCAATTGATAGTATCAGGCCGACCCACATTATACCCTTTATTTTTTAATGTTAATTTGTGCCTTCTTTATTTTTGAAATCATACTTGCCAAAAACTTTTGTATTCTATTAATCTTTTCAAATAAATATTATTTCCTCTTATCCATCTACTCCATGGTTCTATTATTGTTTGTTTTCTATTTCAGTAATTATTAATTTCATCTTAATTATTTTTGTTTTTTATTTGTTTTTCTTAATGTTTAATTTTTGCAAGTACATAGTAGGTGTATATTTTTATCAGGCACATGAGATATTTTGATACTGGCATGCAATGCTTAATAATCACATCAGATTAAATAGGGTACTCATTACCTCAAGCATTTACCCTTTGTGTTACAAACAATCCAATTATACTCTTTTAGTTATTTTAAAAAGTATAATTAAATTGCTATTGACTATAGTCAGCCTGTTGTGCTATCAAATACTAGATCTTATTCATTCTATCAATTTTTTTGTACCCATTAACCACCTTCACTTCCCAGACTCTGGTAACCATTCTTCTGCCCTCTATCTCCATGAATTCAATTGTTTTAATTTTTAGATCCCATAGTAAATGAGAACATGTGATGTTTGTCTTTCTGTGTCTGGCTTATTTCATTTAACATAATGACCTCCCATTCCATCCATGTTGTTGCAAATGACAGGATCTCTTTTCATTTTCGTGGCTGAATAGTAGTACTACATTGTGATATGTACATTTTCTTTATCCATTTGTCTGTTGATGGACACTTAATGTTGCTTCCAAATCTTGGCTGTTGTGAACAGTGCTGCAATAAACATGAGAGTACAGATATCACTTTGATATACTGATTTCCTTTCTTTTGGGTATATACCAAGCAGTTGGATTGCTAGATCATATGGTAGCCCTATTTTTAACTTTTGAGGAACCTCCAAACTGTTTTTGTTAGTGGTACTAATTTACATTCCCATCGACAGTGTACGAGGATTCCCTTTTCTCCACATCCTCTCCAGCACTTGCTATTGCCTGTCTTTTGGACAGAAGTCATTTTAATGGAGGTGAAATGATATCTCATTGTAGTTTTGATGTGCATTTCTCTGATGATCAGTGATGTTGAGCACCTTTTCATATGTCTATTTGCCATTTGTATGTTTTGTTTTGAAAAATGTCTATTCAGATCTTTTAGCCATTTTAAAATCAGATTATTTGATTTTTTTCCTATTGAGTTGTTTCAGCTCCTTGTACATTTTGCATATTAATCCCTTGTCAGATAAATAGTTTGCAGATATTCTTTTTCATTCCGTAGGTTGTATCTTCACTTCGTTGTTTCCTTTGTTGTGCAGAAGCTTTTTAATTTGATGTGATCCCATTTGCCTATTTTTGCTTTGGTTGCCTGTGCTTGTGGGGTATTACTCAAGAAATTTTTTGCCCAGACCAATGTCCTGAACAGTTTCCCCAGTGTTTTATTTTAGTGTTTTCATAGTTTGAAGTCTTAGATTTAATTCTTTAATTGATTTTGATTTTATTTTTGTATAAAGCAAGAGATAGGAATCAAGTTTCATTTTTTTGCATATGAATATCCAGTTTTCTCAGCACTATGTATTGAAGAGACTGTCTTCCCCAATGTATATCTTTGTTGAAAATGAGTTCATTGTAGGTGAATGGATATTTTTCTGGGTTCTCTATTCTGTTCCATTGGTCTATGTGTCTGGTTTTTTTTGTTTTTTTTTTTTTGCCAGTACCATGCCCTTTTGGTTACTATAGCTCTGTAGTGTAATTTGAAGTTAGGTAATATGATTCCTCCAGTGTTATTCTTTTTGTTCAGTGTAGCTTTGGCTATTCTGGGTCTTTTATGACTCCATATAAATTTTAGGTTTGTTTTTTCTATTTCTGTGCAGAATGTAATTGGTATTTTGATAGGGATTGTGTTGTATCTGTAGATTGCTTTGGGTAATATGGGCATTTTAACAATAGTGATTCTTCCAATCCATGAACATGGAATATTTTCTCCTTTTTTGGTGTCCTCTTCAATTTCTTTCATCAGCGTTTATAGTTTTCATTGTAAAGATATTTCACTTCTTTGGTTAACTCCAGGTATTTAATTTTACTTTTGGCTATTATAAATGGGATTTTTTTTTCATTTCTTTTTCAATTGCCTATTATTGTTATTGTGGTAAAATATACATAACATAAAATTTGACATTTTTACCATTTTTAAGTGTAGAGTTCACTGGGATTAAGTAAATTTACATTATTGTTCAATCATCACCACCATCCATTTCCAGAACCTTTTCATTCTCAAGCTGAAAGTTCACAACTATTAAACAATTACTCCATTCTCAAACTGAAAGTTCACAACTATTAAACACTTACTCCATATTACCCTTTTCCTCAAGCCCCTCGTAACTTTCTGTCTCTGAATTTGACTACTTTAGGTAACTTATATCAGTGTAAACACACAATATTTGCAATTTTATGTCTGGATTATTTCACTTAGCATAGTGTCTTCTAGGTTTATCTATGTTGCAGCATGTGTCAGAATTTCCTTCTTTTTAAGGCTGAATAATAGCCTATTATATGTATAGACCACATTTTATTTATCCATTCCTCCACTGATGGACATTTGGGTTGTTTCCACTTTCCCATTTTCTTTTATAATTGCATTTTTATGGATTTTATTTATTTGATATTGTTTGATTCTATTCACATACCATAAAATTTACCTCTTTTTTGAAGTGTACTTTTTTATGATATTAGTATATTCACAATGCTCTGGAACTATTACAACTATCTAGTTCCAAAATATTTTCAACACCCCAAACAGAAACCCTATACCTGTTAGCAATCACTAGCAATTCTTCCTTCCCCCACTGCAGCCTCTGGCAACCACGAATCTACTTTCTGATTATATGGATTTGCCTATTCTGGATATTTCATATAAATGGAATTTCACAATATGTGGCATTTTGCTTCTGGCTTTTGTCACTTAGCATAAAGTTTTCAAGGATCACCTGCATGTAACATGTATCAGTACTTCATTCCTTGTTTTTTTTTTAAACACAGGATCTCACCCTGTCACCTAGGCTGACTTAAAACTACATAGAAGCTGCCAAGGCTTATGGCTTGTACCTTCCGAAGCAGTGGCTGGAGCTGTACTTGGGGCCCTTTGAGCTGGTGCTAGAGGGGCTTGGATGGGTGGTGAAGTGTCCTGAGGCTGCACAAACCAGTGGTGCCCCAGGCCTGGCCCCCTAAACCATTATTTCCTACTAAGCCTCTGGGACTGTGATGGGAGGGGCTGTCCCAAAGACTTCTAAAATGCCTTTGAGGCCTTTTCCCCATTGTGTTGGATATTACCACTTGGCTCTCTTTTGAGTCATGCTAATCTCTCTAGCAAGTGGTTGCTGTGCAGCCTGCTTGGATTCTTCCCCTGAAAATACTTTTCTTTCTCTGCCACAGGGCCAGGCTGCACATTTTCTAAACATTTGGACTCTGCTTTTAAATGTGAGTCCCAACCTTAAGTCATTCCATTGCTCCCATATTGGATCATAGGTTGTTAGAAACAGCCACACCACTTCTTGAATGCTTTGCTGCTTAGAAGTTTCTTCCACCAGTACCCTAAGTCCTCACTCTTAAGTTCAACCTTCCACGGTTCCTTAGGACCTGGACACAATGCAGCCAAGCTCTTTGATAAGGCATAACAAGGGTGATCTTTCCTCCAGTTCCCAATAACTTCCTCATTTCCATCTAAGACCTCATCGGCCTGGCTTTCACTGTCCATATTTCTATCAGCATTTTTGTTACAACCACTTAACCAGTCTCTAAGAAGTTCCCAACTTTCCCTCGTTTTCCCTGTCTTCTGAGACCTCCAAACTCTTCTAGCATCTGCCCATTACCCAGTTCCAAAGCTGCTTCCCCATTTTCAGGTAACTTCATATTAATACCCCAACCTTAGTACCAGTTTTCTATATCAGTTCGTTCTTGCATTGCTGTAAAGAAATACCTGAGGCTGGGTAGTTTGTAAAGAAAAGTGGTTTAATTGGCTCCTGGTTCTGCAGGCTGTACAGGAAGCATGATGCCAGCATCTGCTTCTGATGAGGGCCTCAGGAAGCTTCTAATCATGGCAGAAGGAGAAGGGGGAGCAAGCTCATCAAATGGCGAAAACCAGAGGAAGACAGGGGGAGGTGCCACACTCTTTTGAATAACCAGATCTCATGTGAACTCAGAGCAAGAACTAATTTATCATCAAGGGGATGGACCTAAGCCATTCATGAGGGATCCACCTCCATGATCCAAACACCTCCCACCTGGCCCCACCTCCAACACTGCTGATTACCTTTCAACATGAGATTTGGAGGGGACAAACATCCAAACCATATCAAATGGTAATCATGTGAGGTGATGGATGTGCTAATTAGCTTGATTGTGGTAATCATTTCACAATGTGTATGTATATATATCAAATCATCACATTGTACATCTTAAATATACACAATTTTTATTTTTCAGCTATATCTTAATAAAGGTTGGAAAAAATTGTAGCATTTCTTTCCCCTATTTTTGGCTGCATGCATACCATGTAGAGTCACCATATAAAGTTTTTCAGTTTGTTGACTTAAAAGGCACAGGACCAAGAGTGTGAATGGGGACTGCAATTAACCCATACTCTGCTCTCTAACTTGTATATCCTAGTTTGGTCCTGCCCCATCCAAGAGAAGAGAGCGCCATTTCGCCATTTTGTAGTTCAACTACTTAGAGGACACATCTCAGCATGATTTGTCTTCTTGAAGAGGGTACCTTTTAGTACTTTGTATAAATATCTGATATGTATCGGTGGAAATCCTAGAATAATGGATACTATTTTCCTATCCTGGAATTCGGGCCACCTCACAGCCTTTAGTCTAGCCGAGACTAATAACCGGTTATAAAATGCCCCTCATAATTCCCTCCAAAGGTCTGGTGATTGTAACTGGCTCTGTGGTATAATTTTTAAATCAGAATTCTTTAGTTGCAGACCACAGCAATTGATTTTGCATAACTTAAACAAAAAGGAATATTTAGAAGGATATTGGAATTACTGAAATCTAAATTGACATGCTGAAAAACAAGGCCTCAGGGAGGTCAGGAACCATCAAGCTCGAGACATTTAGGTAGCAGAACCTCAGTCTCTATAGTCCCCAGTCAGGTTTAAAAATTCAAGGATGGGGAATCTGATTATTTCACTAAGAGGGATGGGAACTTTCATCAGAACAAGGTCAGTGAAAGAATGCTGGACAAACCAAGCAATAGTTACCAAAGGAGACAAAAAAGCAAGGTGTCAACATCCAAGTGGAGATGTTGAGTAAACCTTTAAATATATAAGTCTGAATCTCAGAGGAGAGGGCTAGACTAGGATAAACGATTGGGAATCATAAAGATAACTGAAATAATGGGCATGGTGTAGATTGCCCAGAAAGAGAGTGAGAGGCCATACAGCCCTCCAGCTCTGTTGCCCAAGGGCAGGAGCACTTACTACACAGTAATTGTAGCTGGAGGATTGTTCCTATTTTGGGGAGTGCAAAAAAATATTCCTAGAGATTGGGAAGAGTGTAGGGTGTGAGACTATAACACTGTGCTGAGAACATTCCATTTCATAAGAATGAACGTGTTATGTGAAGATTTTAATGGAATGTAACATCTTTCTGTCAAAGTTACAATAAATGCCATCTTATTTTTTCTGTAACATTTATCATTTATATTGCACCAGGGCCTGTGTTGAGTGTTTTATGAGTATCATCTTATTTAATCCTCACAACAAATTAATGAGGTAGGTATTATTATCAACCACATTTTACAGTTTGGTTACCGAAATCTCAGAGAGTTTAAGTAATTTACTCAAGGTCATGTTGCTAAAAAGGGTAGAAATGGGACTTACGTAAGGTCTACCAGAATTTAAAAAAATTTCTACTCTATATAAGATGATACAGCAACACAAACATTAGCTATGGTTTAGGATTCTTGAGCCCCTACTGTGTAGCATGCAATGTGCTGAATATTTTACATTATCTCATTTAATCTTAATAAAACCTTATACAGAAAGTACCGTCATTATCCCTACCTAACTGATAAAACTAAGACCTGGAAATATTAATTTCCTGGTTGTCACACAGTCAGTAAGTGGTAGAGTCAGTACTTGAAGACATTTGCTTGATTCTAAGGCTTATATGTTTCACCAACACGCACTTTTCTCTAACAAAGATAACCAAATCTTATAAGAGTGGCTCTCTTCTCTGGCTTTGTACTAGAATCACCTGCGAAGTTTTAAAAAAATGATGCTGAGCCTCATCATCAAAGATTCTGATATAATTTAACAGTAATGTGGACAAGTCATTGGGTTTTTTTTTATTTTTTATTATTATACTTTAAGTTTTAGGGTACATGTGCACAATATACAGGTTAGTTACATATGTATACATGTGACATGCTGGTGTGCTGCACCCATTAACTCATCATTTAGCATTAGGTATACCTCCCAATGCTATGCCTCCCCCCTCCCCCCCACCCCACAACCGTCCCCAGAGTGTGATGTTCCCCTTCCTGTGTCCATGTGTTCTCATTGTTCAATTCCCACCTATGAGTGAGAATATGCGGTGTTTGGTTTTTTGTTCTTGCGAGAGTTTACTGAGAATGATGATTTTAAATTTCACCCATGTCCCTACAAAGGACATGAAGTCATCATTTTTTATGGCTGCATAGTATTCCATGGTGTATATGTGCCACATTTTCTTAATCCAGTCTATCATTGTTGGACATTTGCGTTGATTCCAAGTCTTTGCTATTGTGAATAGTGCCGCAATAAACATACGTGTGCATGTATCTTTATAGCAGCATGATTTATATTCCTTTGGGGAACTCCCATTCACAATTGCTTCAAAGAGAATAAAATACCTAGGAATCCACCTTACAAGGGACGTGAAGGACCTCTTCAAGGAGAACTACAAACCACTGCTCAATGAAATAAAAGAGGATACAAACAAATGGAAGAACATTCCATGCTCATGGGTAGGAAGAATCAATATCGTGAAAATGGCCATACTGCCCAAGGTAATTTATAGATCCAATGCCATCCCCATCAAGCTACCAATGACTTTCTTCACAGAATTGGAAAAAACTACTTTAAAGTTCATATGGAACCAAAAAAGAGCCCGCATCGCCAAGTCAATCCTAAGCCAAAAGAACAAAGCTGGAGGCATCACGCTACCTGACTTCAAACTATACTACAAGGCTACAGTAACCAAAACAGCATGGTACTGGTACCAAAACAGAGAGATAGATCAATGGAACAGAACAGAGCCCTCAGAAATAACGCCACATATCTACAACTATCTGACCTTTGACAAACCTGAGAAAAACAAGCAATGGGGAAAGGATTCCATATTTAATAAATGGTGCTGGGAAAACTGGCTAGCCATATGTAGAAAGCTGAAACTGGATCCCTTCCTTACACCTTGTACAAAAATAAATTCAAGATGGATTAAAGACTTACATGTTAGACCTAAAACCATAAAAACCCTAGAAGAAAACCTAGGAATTACCATTCAGGACATAGGCACGGGCAAAGACTTCATGTCTAAAACACCAAAAGCAATGGCAACGAAAGCCAAAATTGACAAATGGGATCTAATTAAACTAAAGAGCTTCTGCACAGCAAAAGAAACTACCATCAGAGTGAACAGGCAACCCACAAAATGGGAGAAAATTTTTGCAATCTACTCATCTGACAAAGGGCTAATACCCAGAATCTACAATGAACTCAAACAAATTTACAAGAAAAAAACAAACAACCCCATCAAAAAGTGGGCGAAGGACATGAACAGACACTTCTCAAAAGAAGACATTTATGCAGCCAAAAAACACATGAAAAAATGCTCACCATCACTGGCCATCAGAGAAATGCAAATCAAAACCACAATGAGATATCATCTCACACCAGTTAGAATGGCAATCATTAAAAAGTCAGGAAACAACAGGTGCTGGAGAGGATGTGGAGAAATAGGAACACTTTTACACTGTTGGTGGGACTGTAAACTAGTTCAACCATTGTGGAAGTCAGTGTCATTGGGTTTTTTTAAAAAGCTATTCACTCATTCAATTTATTTGATAAATATTTAGTGAATGTCTACTCTGTGCCAAACACTTTCTAGGCATTTACATTCTAGCAGGATGTATCAGTTAGCTATTGCCACAGTGATGTGTAACAATAACCACGAAATTTCCGTGGCATGAAAAATTAATCACTTATTAAGAATTTATCTTCACAGATCTGGAGGCCAGCTGGGACTCAGATGATTAAAGAGGGCTCTGTTGGGTAACTTTATTCAGGCTGGGGTCACTGTACTTTCCTTGCCGCAGTACTGTGGGTAAGCTATGGTGGCTCTGCTTCATGTATTTCTCATCCTCCTTAGACCAGTGAACTAGCTGGGTCTCGTTTCTCTGTGGCTTCTTTCATGAATCATAAGAGATGACATGTCCAACTCTGGTTTCACTCCATTAACCAAAGTCTCATGAATGAGCTCAAAGACAGGAGGTAGGAAAATAAGCTCCAGTTTTTTGTGTGCGGATTTGCAAAGTTCATGACAAAGGTTGAGAAAGGGGCCAGTAATTCAATTTAGGTGGGAAAGACTAACAAAGAACAATAAGCCTAATACATAAGTAAATTATCAAATATATTAGAAGGTGATAAGTAATATTTCAAGATTCTAATGTGTAGCTAAGACTGAGAACTACTGATCTTACAGTGTCAAACCTGGAAAGAAACCTGGTCTAACGTTCCTTGAACCATTTTGAAAATAGTAAAGCAGACCGTTCTCCCAGAAAGGAGAAGAATCTTATTCGAGGTCCATGGATGGATAGAAATGGAGCTAGGACCCAGGTCTTCTGATTCTTTAGATTATTTCTCTTATACCACAGTATTCCAATCTGTAGTCTTAGAATTCTCCCTTTATTGATGGCACCAAAAATATGTTGTGGAAGGACATCATCATTCTTACTTCTCTTGATCTCAGACATTAGAAGTATGCTACCTAATTCCTATACTTCTCTTAGTGACTCAATTCAGAGCCCAATTTGACATTCTCCATATTTGTACCCTTCAAAACTTTATACACATTCTATCCTCTTTCAGCTTTTTTTTCTCTTCAAGTTGAAGACTGTTAGTTTTGGTCTGTCTTCATGTGATTCCCCAGGGTGCTACCTCAGCTGTCTGCTTGGTTATTGGGCCTTCTCTTTTCTCCAGCTCTCTAATGCCTTGAATGAAGAGTATTTCTTGAGTTACTTTTTTACTCTGAGCATCCACTAGGCCTTATAGTCACCGTTGCTGTTCTGGATTACAGTCTTCTTGATTTGCCAGGATGAACAATCAGAAGAAAAGAAAATATATGGAACTTGCTTGTACCTGGAGTTTATTGTCTGGAGAGAATGGTGAGTAACTGAATGAAATAAGAAATGGTATATACTAGGTAAGTCTATTCATTCTCTTTCTCCTGTTTCTTTTCCTCATACCCTTGGAGATTCTTCTGAAACTTTAAAATGTTGTTAGATGTGAATTACTTGGATACAGTATTTACCCATTAATCTCTTGAAACTGTCTCCACAATTTTTATGTTGCCTAAAATAAGGATAAAGACGGAGAAGAGGCAACTGTGGTTTCTGTTGTTTTCCATAATCCCCCAAACATTTACAATTATAAAAGACTCCAAGTCTCTTCCTTTAATGTAACCAGAGCTTTTCACAGGAGACAGCACAGAAGAACAAAGAGTGAAGATTGCTGGAGTCCTGCCTCTTGTGGCTGATTCCTGAAATCCAAGGAATGTTTAGTTGTGGGGAACAGAAACCAGTTATTCTCAACAGACCACTCACTTGCCTGCTCATTTCTGTGACAGTCTAATGTCTGCCCGTCCACACCCTGCTTCTTCCCATTCACCTGTTAGCACCCATCTAGTCACAACTTCTTCTCCACTCTAATCTTACTCTTGCTTTTAAAAGTGTGCAAGAAGTAAACAATTATAGGAATGTGGAGTTGTGTGTGTGCTTGTGTATTCTTATTTATATATCTATATGTAAAGTATCTGGATTGAGTGTGTGTAAAATATGTATTTGAATGTAGATCATCATATATATCTTATATATCTATCAAATTAATATTCAGCAAAGCCCTGTTCTTTCCCATTAGCAAGTTAGGCTCAACGGAAGCCACAACAGAAGCAAGAGGGTAATATTCAGTGGAAAGAAAATAGCAGAAAACAATCACTTCAAATAATGTATGAATCTTTAAGCTCATGCCTAAAATTTTCCTTATTGATGATATAAATTAAAATATCCACAGCTAAATATATGCATAAGGGAAATTCTTTTTTTTAAGAGATAGGATCTCACTCTGTCAGTCAGGCTAGAGTGCAGTCATGCAATCACAGTTCACTACAGCCTTGACCTCCCAGACTCAAGTGATCCTCCTGGCTCAGCCTCCCAAGTATCTGGGAACACAAGTGCACACCACTATACTTGGCTATTTTTTTACTTTCCGTAGAGACAAGACCTCCCTATGTTGCCCAGGCTGGTCTCAAACTCCTGGGCTCAAGTGATCCTCCCACCTTAGACTCCCAAAGCGCTGGGATTACAGGTGTGAGCCACTGTGCCCAGCTGGGAAATTCTTATGTTTTATTTTATGTTGCGTATTAGCTATAAAATACCTTTGTGAGTAAGTTAGAAAAGATGTGAGATGATTTACTTCCTTTGTTGTATTTCTGTTTGGGGAGCAGCATGAATGGCTGTTACAGTGTGGCAAAATTTCTGTGCATTTCAGGTTTTGGTATAAAGGTGTATTTGTGCTACTCCTAACTTTAACTCTTTCTTCCACAGTTGCTTCAAATTCTCTGGCTTCGTTTTCATGTAAAGAGCTTACAGGTAGATGTCTTTTCTATTTTACTCTCTTTTTCTGTTTTGAGAATAGTATTTTCCAAGAACCCAACTACCCATCCCTACCCCGCCCTGCTCCTCTCTAATTTTTCCCTCTTATTCACTGGGGCAACAATCATTGCTTTTTTGGCAACTATAAAGCCCCAAACTGTCACGACAAATAGGGCTTCTATATCATATAGAATATATTCAAATACCTATTCGAATACTGGGAGGACCACTGGTGGTGGTGGTCAAGAGCTAGATGTAGAAAATTTTATTCTGAGAAAAGGCCAGTCCTCTTCTGGAATTATCTAGATCAGGGCCAGCAAACTATAGCTAGTGAGTCAAACCCAACCAGTTGCCTATTTTTGTAAATAAAGCTTTATTGGAATACAGCTATTTGTTTACATATTATCTATGGCTACTTTCACAGTAAGATGGCAGAGTTGAGCAATTGCAACAGAGACCGAAAAGCCTAAACTATTTAAGAAATTTTACAGAAAATGTTTGCCAACCGTTATCTCTATTAGCGTTCCCCAAACTGAGTTCTAGGAACAGTTATGCAATAATTAGTAACTTTGCTGTTAGAAAAGGGTTCTGTAGTCATTTAAGACCAGAAAACTTTGGGTTAAACACAGTTAAACAGCCTTTTTCAACTGTAGGAGAGTTAAAGAATGTTTCATATGCTAGTACAAGAGCCTTTCATATGCTAATAAGCATTGAGAAACTCTAAGAGACTACAGGGTGCACTCCCCTCAACTTATTAATGTCTTGCAGACAGTTTTCCAGGGAACCCTGATTTGGGAAATACTGGCATAGACATTCACTTAACGTAAGTTTGTACTTGATGTCACTTACTAGCATTGGACAAATTACCTAAAGCTATGTAAAGCAGCACTGGCTACATAATTTGTGGGATACAGTACAAAATGAAAATGCAAAACCTCTTTGTCAAGTATTAAGAATTTCAAGACAGCAATAGCAGAGCATTAAACCAAGTATACATCCTTCTGAGCATGGAGACCTGTGTGACTGCACAGACTGCACACTCATGAAGGTGGCCCTGATTATAAGTTTCTATTTCCTCAACTATCAAATGTAGGTAATACCTACTTCATGGGATTATTGTGAGAATTAAATCAGAAATGTACATAAAGGTCCTAACAGTATCTGTCACAGAATAGGCAATAATAAATAACTTGTTTGTAATCCAAAAGCATTTATAGCCATATTCAATAAATATTTATTGAGTGTGTGTTATGTGCTGGGCTCAGTGCCAGGTACTCAGGGTACTTATTGTAAAGGAGATAGACAGATAAGGCCCCTGTCTTCATGTGTATTATTGTATAGTAGAAAAGACAGTGAAAAAGTAAATGAACAAGACAGTTATAAATTGCGATAAGAGCTATAAAGGTAAAAATATGGTGCTGGCGGTGAAACCATGTCTCTACTAAAAATAGAAAAAAAATTAGCCAGGCGTGGTAGCGGGCGCCTGTAGTCCTAGCTACTTGGGAGGCTGAGGCAGGAGAATGGCGTGAACCTGGGAGGTGGAGCTTGCAGTGAGCCAAGATCGCACCACTGCACTCCAGCCTGGGCAGCAGAGCAAGACTCCATCTCAAAAAATATATATATATATATGGTGCTGCGAAGGGAAATAGTAGAGAGGATCTCCTTTAAATTGGGTGGTCAAACAAATCCTAGGAATTCTAGGAAGCAATCCTAGGAATTCTAGGAAGTAATATTTGAGATCAGAAGGATGAAAAAGAGCTTTTCATGGGAAGAGCAGGAGGAAGAATGTTCCAGGTGGAAAGATTAGCTAGCGCAAAGTCTCTGAAGTAGGAGAGAACATGGCATTTTTGAGAACTGAAAGTAGGCCAGTGTGGCTCTAACGTAGAGAGCGAAAAGGAGAATGATAAAAAATGAGGCTAGGGAGGGGAGGTAGAGAAGGCCCAGATCATGAGAACACCTTGTAGGATGAGGATTTTGGATTTTATAGCAAGAACAATGAAAAGCTCTTGAAGGATTTTGGGCAGGGAAGTGACATGATCTAATTGGTATCTGTAGAAGACTGTTTTGGCTGCTGCATAGGAAGGAACCAGTAGATGGGCAAGAATAGATTAGTAGGATGCTATTTGGCCAGTCTAGGAAAGAGGTGACAGTGCCCTGGACTTGGGAGGTATTTGAGGATATATTGGTAAATAAATGGATTTGAGGCTTATTTTGAAAATATAAATGTTAGGCCTTGCTAATTGATTGGATGTAGAGGATTGAAGGAAAAATACTCATAACATTTTTCTGAGCAACTGGATAGCACCACTTAACTGAGATGAGATGCCTGGGGAGGGTTTTTTGGCGGGGACAGAAGAGTATAAAAATCAAGAACTCGGGTTTAGACATGTAAAGTTGAGGATCCTTTGAGACATCTAAGTGGAGATGGTGGTGATGGAGGTACTAGTTAGAGTTGTTGTCTAGGATTCTATAATTACTAACTCTTGCTGTCACCATGTTAGATTACCAGGAAGTATTCAGAAAACATCTAAAAGAAAAATACCTAAAGATAGGAGTTGATAAATGTTATCAGCATGGCAAGCATATAGAGTCACGACTGCTTCTTGTAAAAGACCATGGTATATCAGAAGAGACACCATATGGAATTCCTCAACAAGATCATTTTATTGACATGGAACATGTATTTGATTCTAATGAAGAGGGCTCCAGCTCACCCCGAACTGTGGTGCTTCAGGCATGTGCTGGGACTGGAAAAACAGCTGTGGTGCACAAGTTCATGTTTGACTGGGCAGCAGGAACGGTTACTCCAGGCAGGTGTGACTATCTCATCTACGTCAACTGCATTGAAATCAGCCATATTGCTAACCTTAGTTCTGCTGACCTTATACTAACACTTTTCAAAATATAAATGGACCAATCTTGGACACTATTCTCATATATCCAAAGATTCTGCTCATTCTCGACAGATTTCCTGAGCTGCAGGACCCTGTTGGTGACCAAGAAGAGGATCTTAGTGTTCACCCCCAGGAGAGGAGGCCAGTAGAGAGTCTCTTGTGCAGTTTTGTGAGGAAAAAACTGTTCCCCGAATCCTCCCTCCTGATAACTGCCCGGCCTACAGCCATGAAGAAGCTCCACTCTCTGTTAAAACAACCTATCCAGGCAGAGATATTATGGTTTACAGATACCGAAAAGAGAGCATATTTATTGAGCCAGTTTTCAGGTGCTAATACAACAATGAAAGTCTTTTATGATCTTTGAGAGAATGAAGACCTTGACATTATGTCTTCACTTCCCATCGTCTCCTGGATGATATGCAATGTCCTGCAGTCACAGGGAGATGGTGACAGGACTCTCTTGAGGTCACTTCAGACCATGACTGATGTGTATTTATTCTACTTTTCCAAGTGCCTCAAAACCCTTACAGGTATCTCAGTATGGGAGGGACAAAGTTGCCTGTGGGGTCTTTGCCGTTTGGCTGCAGAGGGTCTGCAAAATCATCAGGTTTTGTTTGCAGTCAGTGACCTCAGAAGACATGGGATAGGAGTGTGTGATACCAACTGCACTTTTCTCAGTCGCTTTTTGAAAAAGGCTGAAGGAGCTGTCAGTGTCTACACTTTCCTTCACTTCAGTTTCCAAGAGTTCTTGACTGCTGTCTTCCATGCCCTGAAGAATGACAATAGCTGGATGTTTTTTTATCAAGCAGAGAAAATGTGGCAAGAAATGTTCCAACAATATGGAAAAGGTTTTTCATCACTAATGATATAATTCTTATTTGGCCTCTTACATAAAGGAAAAGGAAAGGCTGTGGAAACTACTTTTGGAAGAAAAGTTTCCCCAGGACTTCAAGAGGAGTTACTGAAGTGGACTGAGAGAGAAATAAAGGATAAGTCTTCTAGGTTACAGATTGAGCCGGTGGACCTGTTTCACTGTTTGTATGAGATTCAGGAAGAAGAATATGCAAAAAGGATAATTGATGATTTACAGTCAATTATACTGCTTCAACCTACCTATACAAAAATGGACATTCTGGTTATGTCCTTCTGTGTAAAAAGCAGTCACAGTCACCTGTCAGTGTCTCTGAAGTGTCAGCACCTACTTGGATTTGAGGAGGAAGAGTGAGCCTCAACATTCGTGCCACCAGCCTTAACACTTAATCAGTGCGTATATCCATGTCTTTCCTCCAGTTTTTATCCTTCCCAGACAACAGGCACTGTAGTAGTCAGTGTGTGTGTGTGTGTGTGTGTGTGTGTGTGTGTGTGTATTAGTATTCATTGTCACTGTGTGGATGTGGTTTGTAATTCTAAAGTGTTATGAGCATGTAAGGTCATCAAGTTGAAGACTCTGCTATTTTGGTGTAATGACCATTCTGGAAAAAGGTATAAACGTAACATTTGATTGGTTGTCACTCTCCTCTAAATATACTTCATCACTGAGGCCTCAAGGAACTTCAGGTTAGTAAGGGGCAGAGGTACACTCTTGTATTATCTTGCTATAAATCCTGGTTATTTCCATCAGAGCTTGCAACTTCACAGAAGGTCATGAGCTGAAGTTGAAAGAGGCTTAGGTAAGTTACTTTTATAATATGGACTCTGTATACCATAAAATACAGTCCTACTGGCTTACTGACTAAAGCAGCAAAGAAGACTTATACCTGTGTTATCTAGAAAATGCTGTAAGTCTGTTCTCAATATCTGGGTTAAGATTGATAATGCCTCTCCCTTAGTTTTCAGGCCAGTTGAGGGGCAGGGGACTGGGAGGAGAGGGGTCAGCAGAAAGCTCCACTTGAGGAATGAAATAACTCAAGTTGTGTCCCTTATAGTTGTATTTCTTGTGTGGGGAATAGCATAAAGGTGGAAATGAGCATGGGGTATGTGTGTTTGAGGGAAATGAGAGGGAGGGAGGCATTAACAAGAATTTGTGTTTGGAACTAGAGAGGGAAGGACCTCTAGTTCCTTCCCTCTCTAGTTTAAGAGAGGTTTAACGGACTCAGAATTATGAAAGACCTTGTCTACAAGGTCTTGACCAATTCTGTATATGTATATAATATACAGCCTTATTCCAGTTGTATATTATAAAGTAAAATAATGGACCAATACATTTAAAGTTGAAACACTGATGGAAACAAAGGGTCTTCTGGTTCATTCTGGGTTTCCAGAAAGTCAACCTTAGATGGCGTCCTCCCCTATAACCCTTATTGCCTTTATCAGAGGGCTTAAACTCTTATCAAAAATTTAACCCAACATTCTTCTTTCCCAAGCGTATTGGCTATGTAAGAGTTTACTATTGAGCTTTCCTGGTTTTTAATTATTGTTATGAATTCTTCTATTAGTACCGACAACCAAGAACCAGTTATATTGTAAAGTTAGCTTGGGCAAGTCACTTGACGACTCAGAGCATGTGGAAAATGGTGATTATAATACTTGTTATTGGATTAAGGGCCAGATAAGATAATTTGTGAAAATAAAGTGCTTACCTCAGTGCCTGGCACATAGTAACATGGTTTTGGACTCAGACCTGAGTAATGACCTCAGTTCTGTACCTACCTATGTGACCTTGAGCAGATTACTTTTTGTGCCCTAATTTCCTTATCTGCAAAATGGGATAATACGTCTCAAGGTTTTGGGAAGGGGTAAATTAGTGCTACTAGCAAGGTAACAAAAGCCAAATAAGCCTTTTACTTAAGTTTTATTTTAAATTACTTTTTATTTCCTCATCTCTTTTAGGTCCTTTCAGCTGCGCAGTTTGCCAGTGTGTCAGCTACACCTGCTCTGCCAAGCACTGCGTACTCCATACTGTAAAATCAAAGACCTGAAGTAAGTCGAACTTTGCTTTAAACTCTTAGGTATTTGCAGGTAAAGATTAGGTTTCTAGAAATTGCACTCCCAGCTGATTGACCTGAAAATAAAATATAGCTAGTTTTCAGCTTCGCCACAGTGGAGCAACAAATGAAGAGATATGCTACAGGCCTAGAAGGGGCAGGAAGGAGTCAGGCCCAGAACTCTACCCGCCCGTCCTGCCTTTTCCCCTTTTGTATGTACTGTTTTGCTGTAATGAGTAAGTGGACGGTTGTAACACCTGAGAGAGAAATTTGGGTGTGCTGCCCCACTTGGATCTGCCACCCCAACTTTCTTTTCCTCCCAGACTGCCACTGCTCTCCCCCTTAGTTTTCTTTCAGTTGGGTCTTATCCTACTCCATGCAGCTTGACGATCCTTTTCTCTCCTTCCATTCCCCACCTTTACCCCGTAGTTATTCCCCAAAGTACCCAAAGAGGATCCCACCCCTGCCCTGCCTTTCCATCTTCACTTACTTCCAAGCACTTTGTCCACAACACAAACACACAAGCAGGTGCCCCCTTGTTTTCACACCCCTTTGCCTTATAGATCAATGTCTGCTCTTCTTCTTTCCTCCTGTTCCAGAGGAAAAGGCAGCCCTTGCAAGCCACCCAAGCCAGTAAATTCACTTCATTATTTTTGTATTTTTGTGAATAATTATTTTACTTTCATAACACAGAGGTATATAAAGAAAGAAAAGCCCTCCACCCAGCTGTCCCATACCCCATCCCACCCTATATCCCCATACCCTGCTGCCTCCTATCCCCTGACCCTGAGCCCACCCCCACCCCAGGTACCTTGTTTGCTAAATATATTTCCAGACCATTTTCTATGCTTACACAAACATAAAACTGTAACGTAAGACAAACATAAATACATAAATTTGTAACATTCATATACACACTCACAGAACTTTGGGGAGTTTTGTTTTACAAAAACAAAAGCAACCTTGTCATATGATTTTTTCTTCATTTAACAATACAGGGGCCATGCCTCCAATACAGTATGCAAAATCTACCACATTCTTTCACAAGTGTTTTGCATTTTCAAGCTTTCTTCAGCTATCTCCTTCTCCATGGCTCAGATTTCTCCCATATTCAAAAGAACCGGCTGGGCACGGTGGCTCATGCCTGTAATCTCAGCACTTGGGAGGCTGAGGCAGGTGGATTGCCTGAGGTCAGGAGTTTGAGACCAGCCTGGCTAACATGGTTTCTACTAAAATTACAAAAATTAGCCGGGCGTGGTGGCACATGCCTGTAGTCCCAGCTACTCAGGAAGCTGAGGCAGGAGAATCACTTGAACCCGGGAGGCAGAGGTTGGAGTGAGCCAAGATTGCACCACTGCACTCCAGCATGGGCAGCAGAGCGAGACTCCGTCTCAGGAAAAAAAAGAAAATTAAAGAAAAAAAATCCTCTCTCAACTGAGTATCTCACTTCAATCCTTCCCTTCACAACCAAGAATCCTTGAGGAAGAGCCTCCCTCACTGACTCCACATCATCCTCACTCACTCCTCACTTCCGCAGTTTGGCTTCTGCCCTTGCCGCTCCCCTAGATCTGCTGGAAGATCCAAAGTAAATGCCAGACCCAGTGGATACTTTTCAGCTCCTGAGAGGGCCCCTCAGCTTTATTGACCTTTTTCTCCTAATTCTTGCCGTTCTGACTGCTCCTAAGTACCTCATTTTCCAACCAGGGACAATTTTGCCCTCTAGTGGACATGTGGGAGTATCTGGAGGCATTTTTGGTTGTTACAACTGGGACTCTGAGGGGGTGGATGCTCTGGCAACTAGTGGGTAGAGGCTAGGAATTCTGCTAAACATCCTACAATGTACTGGACAGCCCCCTGCAACAAAGAATTATCCAGCTCCAAATGTCAAGAGTACTGAGACTAAGAAACCCTGCCCTAGAGATATAGAAAGAAACCCAAAGACATTTCTGAAACTGCAGGCCAGGAACCTGGCCCTCAATCCTGATTATTGTTCATCCCCAACAGGAGAAAACCTAAAAATCAAGTTTAGCTGCAGCAGAGATGCCCCAGGGCCATGACAGCTTCTTAGTCTCTAGGTCCACAGATCCTGGGCAATATCCAGGGCTCCTTCAGTTGTGTCTCAGTCTGGTCCAGGTGTAGCCCCTTCTCATCCTTCCACCTGTGCGCTAAAACATACATGTAGCCCCCGTCAACAAAACTTACAATCATCAGAGGGAGAGAAGCAGACTAACCCGTCACCTACCCCCTTACCGTACCCACTCCTATCCTCCTCCACCTCACCCCTTCCCTCTGGAAGTTGATTTCCCATTGGGATATGTTTCTGTTCTGTTCTACATTTCTGAATTCACTGAGAGCTTTGTAGCCAGATTTCCCTCCCACATTTATCATGGTGGTGGGTTGGGGGAGAGAATCTCTCAAGATGGCACCATGCTTTGGCTCATAGTCTAGACCAGCAAACCCTCTGAGCACTATCAGTTGCTGACTCACCTCCTTGGCAGTGGCAGTTCTCTTTTCAGATCTGACTGCCCTGGTTCTACTCACTGGGGACTGGAAAGGATTCTCCTGTCATGGGGCCATACAGTCATAGCAGTCTGCACCTGCATGGTGCTGGTGTCTTCTGTAGGTAGGCCTAAGGGATTCCCTTAGGGGTGGCAAATCTCTGCTGTTGATTTGAGTCAGGATGAACCTGGGGTTCATCCTGGGCCTGTTTTGATTGTTTCTTGTGATATAACTCACTCAGAGCATGAATGAACTTCTATCCAGTTCATTCATGGAAACTCTTGGGATTCAGGAATCTCCACTGCTCACCACACCCTGATGCAACTCCCCAGCCAGTCCCACCATTTTCTTTAATGGTCTTTTGTTCAAAATTGCTCTTCTGGTACAAACTTCTGACTGGGAAATAATCTGGTTGCTCAGAACAGAAACTCACTCAAATTAGTTTAAAGTAAAGGGGATCTGTGTAAAGTACATTTTCCTGTAGCACAACTACAGGAAGTGAAAAGTGATTGGGCCATCACTACCCTCTCCATCTCTCTGTAGTCACAGGATGAACTCCTCTATGCCTGTCTGCTCCCTGAAACCTCATACTGGCGTCCTCTAAAAGACACTTGACTCTGTAAAGCATCCAGTTCTGTTCCCCCACAGCCAGGGCCAGGCCTCAGCTATGGCCTTGGTGTCCATGGCTGTGACCCTGGCCCCAACTCCAAGTGACCCACTGCTTCATTGCCCAACACTATTCTGACTGTGGAATCTGCCTGTCTGTTCAGATTTTCTAACGTAAAAATTCATTTGGCTCAGGATTGGTCAAATATCCACTCCTGCTCCAATTATCTAAAGCCTACATGAAGGGAGAGAGTGTAGGTGTTACATACTGCCCAGGTCCGACAGATACTTAAGATAGGGAGCTAGAGACACACACACAAATAAAAACTGCAGTAGTTCTGGAGTGTTGACTACTAATACTCTGAAATACAAATGGAGTCATTAAAACATGTCTCTCCCTGCCTGTCATCTACATCCTCCCACCCACAACCCCGCCTCCCCGCCCCCCTACTGTCCAATCTTCCCACTCATCCCCTTTCCCCCACTCCACCCAATCCCCCTCCCACCTCTCCCCTCTCCCCCTGAAGATTGATTTCCCATTGAGATATATTTCTGTTCTATTTTACATTTCTGAATTTACTGAGGCTTTTGCAGCCAGATTCGCCTCCCACAGAGGAAGCAATTTTCCCTCCATGAAAAATTCACAGCTTTACACCACGGGCAGTCCCAGTTCCCTGGCCTGCGATATACTGGAGGTCTTCTCTGCTGATGGAGTTCGGAGTCTCTCCTGTCTCTTGGGGGCTCTTGAGGGTCTATTCCCTGGGCCTCCACATCTGACCACAGGCTAGCATCAGAGGCCCCCCAGTTGAAAGGCATCTGAGTTGGAACCCGTTCTGTGACCTTTGCTGGTGAAGGGGGTATATTGGGTATGGCTGAGAAGGCGGACAAAGGGCATGGGTATGAGTATGTGAATGAGGTAGGGAGCTGGACAGGAAGAGGCTCCAGTGAGACTGTGGACCCAAGCCCAGAGAAGACAGACATGGCTGTTTGTACTGACCTGAGATCTTTCTCCCTCTGCCCCGCAAAGGTGTAATTTGCCTGCTACAATAGCTCCGAGGGGCTGCCTGAAGCCTCCTCCCAGCCCCTGCAAGACCTCTGCGGGGGCAGGCCCTGCCTCTGCATACCTCTCCTCTCCTTTTCCTCCAGCAGCACCAGCAGCAGCCACCGCCTCCTTTTCCTGCTCACCTGCTCCTTCTGTCCAATCCCCTCCGGCAGTGGCCAGGCCTGGAAACACTGTAGCCTGGCCCTGTCCCTGGGGAGGTGCCAGCTCCTGGAGAGAAGTAGGCAGAGCTGAAACACATTCTGGGGACAGGGCAGGGGGTCCGGACAGGTTGGGGCAGGGCAGAGGCATTGGACAGGGACCATTCGGGGGATCTTACGGCATGGAAGAGCTTCCATCTCAGCATGTCCCGCTCTCTCTGCACCTCCGCAAGGCTGGTCTCGGTTAGCTGCAACTGGAAGGTCGCCTCATTGCATTCCATCTCCTGCTGTTCCTTGAGTTCCGTCAGGTTTGAGGCCAAGACCAGCGCAGCTGATCTGTGCAGTTTGGCAAAGCCTTGCAGCCACTGCACCCTGCGGTTTTGTAACTGCCCCTGCCTGTGGGCAAAGCGCACACCCAAGGCCAGGCTGCCCCAGGTGCAGGCCTCTTTGACCTCGCTGGGCACCTCGCTGTCCTCCAGGATGGCCCTGAGCTTGTCTTCCACCTCCTCCCAGGATAAGGATATATTCTCGAAGTAGAACTCGGGGCCTTTCGTGTGCCTGGCCATTTTCTCGATGATGAAGGCCACCACGTTTCCGTGCCGGAACCCACTACTGGGGTCCTCAGGTCTCAAGGCCATGATCGCCTAGGGGCTTAACGGTTTCACTAGCCCTGTGTGGATGGAGCAGCCAATAGGTTTCTTTCCTCCTCCTTAGCCCCTCCCCTCATCTGTCTTCTCCGCCCTCCCACCTCTGACAAGACCCTCCTAATGACCCTCTGACCGGCTTGTCCTACCCTAGGACATCTCCCACCAGGCCTCACCTCTTCAGCCAGGGCCAGAGGAAGTACAGGCCAACCCCGCTGCTTAACACGCCTGAAGAGAGGGTGGCCTCTTTCCCTCCTAGGGCTCTGCGGGAAAAGAAGCCTCAGGGCCAACCCATGAGGATTTTACTCTGGGACTGTTCCAATTTCCAGAGACTGTAGGGGTGAAAGGGAGTGAGTGAGGAAGGCCTCTGCCATTCCACTGGGACAAAAGGGAACCTGCCACATGGTCGGGAGACCTTGAAGGCTGAAAGAAACAGGAGTGGTCCGGAAGGACTTAGGACCAAAAAAAGTATTTGTGAACAAGTTGAAGACTTATCCCTCCCCATCATAATGGTTTGTGCCATGCCAGGGGAGTTTCGCCCCCAACTGGAATATTCTAGAGCAGGAAACAGCCCCAACCCCTCAGTTGCCCTTGGAGGAAGAGGGTGGAGCCAGGAGCGGAGCTTATCCCCTGTTTGCTCAGGACTAAACATCCCAGACACCCTAACAAATCCTGGCCTGCCTTTCCTCCCTTAGCTCCTCTTTCCCCACACTCCTCCCATCACCCCTTCTCCCACTCCTCCCCTACTGAAACGCCTTGAATCTTGAAGCAACTGTGGGAGAAAGAGAGTTAGGAGTAGCATAAATACACCTTTTTACCAAAACATGAAATATCAGAGATCTTCCATCAGAGGGATATGAATATGTCTCTTAAAACCTTCGGCCGGGCGCGGTGGCTCATGCCTGTAATCCCAGTACTTTGGGAGACCGAGATGGGCGGATCACGAGGTCAGAAGATCGAGACCATCCTGGCTAACAGGGTGAAACCCCGTCTCTACTAAAATTACAAAAAATTAGCCAGATGTGGTGGCACGCGCATGTAGTCCCAGCTACTCGGGAGGCTGAGGCAGGAGAATCGCTTGAACCCACGAGGCGGAGGTTGCAGTGAGCCGAGATCGCACCACTGCACTGTAGCCTGGGTGACAGAGTGAGACTCTGTCTCAAACAAACAAACACAAAAACAAGAAAACCTTGAATGACTTTCTGAGACCCACAAGATAAATCAGACAAATCTCAGGTTGAGTCCAGCGTTGCTACGTATTACATGACATTGTACTGTAACTGAATCTGTTTCTACCTATGGATCTATGATGATGGCCAATGACAAAAGGGCATGTAAAGTTGTAGGAGTAATGTTTTCTATGATCCCGTATTTGTGTGTATGTGTGTGTTTGCATATGTTTGTATGTTTCTATAATCTTGGAGAACAGAATGAGAGAGGATATATAGCAGACTCAACATTAATTATCTCTGGGAAGTGGGGTTGGACTGGAGGTTAGAAAAAAAGTTTTTAACTTTAAAATACATTTTTCTCTAATTTCGCTTGTTACAAAGAGCATATAACTAACTATATGTATGCATACATCACAAATCTGGAAAGTTATATACTAACACTTTAACAGTGGTTATCTTTGGGTAATAGGAATACAGTACTTTAAAAAATATTCTTGACATTTTTCTCTATTGTAAAATTGTTTATAATAAACGTGTTATGTTTTTCAAAATTGAAAAAAAATGTTTCTCCCAGTAACAGCTGATCATTGTAAATAATTTTTAAGTGCTTGGAAAGTACTTCTATAATCCTACCCTTCCTTCAACCTGGGTGATAATCCCTCTTAATAGTTATATAGTCTTTTAGATAGGCCATAGCAAGTAATTTTTAGTTTTTCAAACGAAGCATCTTCTCTCTTCCTCTGTGGCCCTTGCACAGGCTCCTCTGTGCATGCACGGATTTCTCCTCATCCCCTCCTGCTCTCTCCACTCCCATTCTTTTCATTCACCTAACTCCTATACAGTTTCTATTCCCTTTTCATGACAGTGCTCAAACATTTCTTCCTCTTGTATTTCCTGATTCTCCAGACCCCACCTCAAGCTAGGCTGAATTGTGCAACCTTTTTGTGTCCCCATAACAACTTGTGCATATGTCTGACGGTACTTTTCACACTGTATTGTAATCTGTGATTTTCTCGTCATTTTTCTCCATCAACTGGGGATTCCTGGAGGGTTTAGTCTGTGTCTTAATTATCTTTGTGTTTTCAGCATCTAGCACAGTGGTAAGCACCCAATATATTAATTATTGAATGAATTGAAATAATTTATTACATCAGCAAGGTGCTAACAAGTACCTCTAAAGATATCTCTTATTTTTTTTGTTTGTTTCTGAAATGTATTTTTTCTCCACACAGACTGATTTTCTGTCGCCTCACAGCTTCTTGTGGTAGGGACCTCTCCTCAGTATTTGAAACTAACCAGCATCTGACAGATTTCGAATTTGTAAAAAATACCCTCGAAGATTCAGGAATGAAGCTTCTGTGTGAAGGATTAAAACAGCCCAACTGTGTCTTACAGACATTGAGGTAATTGTAGCAGGATAATTTGTTATTTGATATTCTTATTTTGGGGGTCAATTTCTATTTCTGTTGGGGGAGAGCATGAATGTGGTAATGAGGTCATTCTTCTGTTCTCTAAAGGTGGTACCGGTGCCTTATCTCTTCTGCTTCTTGTGGGGCTCTAGCAGCTGTTCTTAGCACCAGTCAGTGGCTCACTGAACTGGAATTTAGTGAGACAAAACTGGAAGCTTCAGCTTTGAAATTGCTCTATGGAGGCTTAAAAGATCCAAATTGCAAATTACAGAAGCTCAAGTAAGTTGTAACTGTTAGTTTTCATTCTGCAGGAATATTTGAAAAATATGCAACTCAAGACGGATGTCTTAGGATCAAAACACATTTCAAGGAGTCATGAAGAGGAGGAATAAATGTGGCAGTCCCTAAAGTTGCTTCTGTGTAACAAGTTTAGGAAGACAATTTTCATTTTAAGTGGAAACATTATCAATAACAATAACTCATGCTTAGCAATTATTGAGTACTAAGCATTGTGCTGAGTATGCACAAATTCTTTTAATCTGCACAACAGCTGTGAGAGATCCAGATTATTACTGGTATTTTCGCAGATGAGGAAATGGAAGAGGTCCAATATAGTTAGGGTAAAAAAATATGGCAAAGGCCCAATTCAAAACTCAAATGTGTCTGACTTCAAGTCCACCATAATCACATTAATTAAAAAAAAGTGTTATACATGTTAGTCAAGGTTCTCCAGAGAAACAGAACTAATTGCGTGTGTGTGTGTGTGTGTGTGTGTGTGTGTGTGTGTGTGTGTGTGTGTGTGTAGAGAGAGAGAGAGCCAGAGCCAGAAACAGATTTATTTTTAAAAATTGGCTTATGCAGTTTTGGAGGCTGGCAAGTCCAAAACCTGAATGGTAGGCCGGCAGGCTAGAGAATTGGGAAAGAGTCAATGTTGTGCTTTGAGCCTGAAGGTTGTCTGGTGGTAGAACTCCCTTTTCTGAGGAAGTCAGTCTTTTTCTATTAAGGCTTTCAAGTGACTGGACGAAGCCAAACCATACTATGGATGATAATCTACTTTACTCAAAATGTACTGATTAAAATGTTAATTTCACCTAAAAAGTACTTTCACAGAAACATCTAGAATAATACTTGACAAAATATCTGGGTACCATGGCCTAGCCAAATTGACATATAAAATTAATCATCACAATATGTATGTGGGATTTTTTTTAAAGCAAAAGCTCTTTAGCATTCAAGTGTTATGAAATCCACATTGAAAACTCATTTTATGCAAAGTACCTCTATTTAAAATTTCTAAATTGGGGAGATATAAATGCATCTCCATATGAGCTGTCTCTCTCTCTTTTTAATGCACAAGGATTTATTCTCTCTTTTTTATTATACTTTAAGTTTTAGGGTACATGTGCACAATACGCAGGTTTGTTACATATGTATACATGTGCCATGTTGGTGTGCTGCACCCATTAACTCGTCATTTAGCATTAGGTATATCTCCTAATGCTATCCCTCCCCCCTCCCCCCACCCCACAACAGGCCCCGGTGTGTGATGTTCCCCTTCCTGTGTCCATGTGATCTCATTGTTCAATTCCCACCTATGAGTGAGAACATGCGGTGTTTGGTTTTTTGTCCTTGCGATAGTTTGCTGAGAATGATGGTTTCCAGCTTCATCCATGTCCCTACAAAGGACATGAACTCATCATTTTTTATGGCTGCATAGTATTCCATGGTGTATATGTGCCACATTTTCTTAACCCAGTCTATCATTGATGGACGTTTGGGTTGGTTCCAAGTCTTTGCTATTATGAATAGTGCCGCAATAACCATATGTGTGCATGTGTCTTTATAGCAGCATGTTTTATAATCCTTTGGCTATATACCCAGTAATGGGATGGCTGGGTCAAATGATAATTCTAGGTCTAGATCCCTGAGGAATCGCCACACTGACTTCCACAATGGATGAACTAGCTTACAGTCCCACCAACAGTGTAAAAGTGTTCCTATTTCTCCACATCCCCTTCAGCACCTGCTGTTTCCTGACTTTAATGATCGCCATTCTAACTGGTGTGAGATGGTATCTCATTGTGGTTTTGATTTGCATTTCTCTGATGGCCAGTGATGATGAGCATTTTTTCATGTGTCTTTTGGCTGCATAAATGTCTTCTTTTGAGAAGTGTCTTTGCATGTCCTTCGCCTACTTTTTGATGGGGCTGTTTGTTTTTTTCTTGTAAGTTTGTTTGAGTTCATTGTAGATTCTGGATATTAGCCCTTTGTCAGATGAGTAGATTGCAAAAATTTTCTCCCATTCTATAGGTTGCCTGTTCACTCTGATAGTAGTTTCTTTTGCTGTGCAGAAGCTCTTGAGTTTAATTAGATCCCATTTGTCAATTTTGGCTTTTGTTGCCATTGCTTTTGGTGTTTTAGACATGAAGCCCTTGCCCATGCCCATGTCCTGAATGGTATTGCCTAGGTTTTCTTCTAGGGTTTTTATGGTTTTAGATCTAACATTTAAGTCTTTAATCCATCTTGAATTAATTTTTGTATAAGGTGTAAGGAAGGGATCCAGTTTCAGCTTTCTACATATGGCTAGCCAGTTTTCCCAGCACCATTTATTAAATATGGAATCCTTTCCCCATTGCTTGTTTTTGTCAGCTTTGTCAAAGATCAGATGGTTGTAGATGTGTGGTACTATTTCTGAGGGCTCTGTTCTATTCCATTGGTCTATATCTCTGTTTTGGTACCAGTACCATGTTGTTTTGGTTACTGTAGCCTTGTAATATAGTTTGAAGTCAGGTAGCATGATGCCTCCAGCTTTGTTCTTTTTGCTTAGGATTGTCTTGGCAATGTGGGCTCTTTTTTGGTTCCATATGAACTTTAAAGTAGTTTTTTCCAATTCTGTGAAGAAAGTCATGATAGCTTGATGGGGATGGCATTGAATGTATAAATTACCTTGGGCAGTATGACCATTTTCACGATATTGATTCTTCCTACCCATGAGCATGGAATGTTCTTCCATTGGTTTGTATCCTCTTTTATTTCATTGCGCAGTGGTTTGTAGTTCTCCTTGAAGAGGTCCTTCACATCCCTTGTAAGTTGGATTCCTAGGTATTTTATTCTCGTTGAAGCAATAGTGAATGGGAGTTCACTCATGATTTGACTCTCTGTTTGTCTGTTATTGGTGTATAAGAATGCTTGTGATTTTTGCACATTGATTTTATATCCTGAGACTTTGCTGAAGTTGCTTATCAGCTTAAGGAGATTTTGGGCTGAGATGATGGGGTTTTCTAAATATACAATCATGTCATCTGCAAACAGGGACAATTTGACTTCCTCTTTTCCTAATTGAATACCCTTTATTTCTTTCTCCTGCCTGATTGCCCTGGCCAGAACTTCCAACACTATGTTGAATAGGAGTGGTGAGAGAAGGCATCCCTGTCTTGTGCCAGGTTTCAAAGGGAATGCTTCCAGGTTTTGCCCATTCAGTATGATATTGGCTGTGGGTTTGTCATAGATAGCTCTTATTATTTTGAGATACGTCCAATCAATACCTAATTTCTTGAGAGTTTTTAGCATGAAGGGCTGTTGAATTTTGTCAAAGGCCTTTTCTGCATCTATTGAGATAATCATGCGGTTTTTGTCTTTGGTTCTGTTTATATGCTGGATTACGTTTGTTGATTTGTGAATGTTGAACCAGCCTTGCATCTCAGGGATGAAGCCCACTTGATCATGGTGGATAAGGTTTTTGATGTGCTGCTGGATTTGGTTTGCCAGTATTTTATTGAGGATTTTTGCATTGATGTTCATCAGGGATATTGGTCTAAAATTCTCTCTTTTTTTTTTATTGTGTCTCTGCCAGGCTTTGGTATCAGGATGATGCTGGCCTCATAAAATGAGTTAGGGAGGATTCCCTCTTTTTCTATTGATTGGAATAGTTTCAGAAGGAATGGTACCAGCTCCTCCTTGTACCTCTGGTGGAATTCGGCTATGAATCCATCTGGTCCTGGACTTTTTTTGGTTGGTAAGCTATTAATTATTGCCTCAATTTCAGAGCCTGTTATTGGTCTATTCAGGGATTCAACTTCTTCCTGGTTTAGTCTTGGGAGGGTGTATGTGTCCAGGAATTTATCCATTTCTTCTAGATTTTCTAGTTTATTTGCCTAGAGGTGTTTGTAGTATTCTCTGATGGTAGTTTGTATTTCTGTGGGATCGGTGGTGATATCCCCTTTATCATTTTTTATTTCCTTTATTTGATTCTTCTCTCTTTTCTTCTTTATTAGTCTTGCTAGTGGTCTATCAATTTTGTTGATCTTTTCAGAAAACCAGCTCCTGGTTTCATTGATTTTTTGAAGGGTTTTTTTGTGTCTCTATCTCCTTCAGTTCTGCTCTGATCTTAGTTATTTCTTGCCTTCTGCTAGCTTTTGAATGTGTTTGCTCTTGCTTCTCTAGTTCTTTGAATTGTGTTGTTAGGATGTCAATTTTAGATCTTTCCTGCTTTCTCTTGTGGACATTTAGTGCTATAAATTTCCCTCTACACACTGCTTTGCATGTGTCCCAGAGATTCTGGGATGTTGTGTCTTTGTTCTTGTTGGTTTCAAAGAACATCCTTATTTCTGCCTTCATTTCCTTATGTACCCAGTAGTCATTCAGGAGCCGGTTGTTCAGCTTCCATGTAGTTGAATGGTTTTGAGTGAGTTTGTTAATCCTGAGTTCTGGTTTGATTACACTGTGGTCTGAGAGACAGTTTATTATAATTTCTGTTCTTTTACATTTGCTGAGGAGTGCTTTACTTCCAACTATGTGGTCAATTTTGGAATAAGTGCAATGTGGTGTTGAGAAGAATGTATATTTGGGGTGGAGAGTTCTGTAGATGTCTATTAGGTCAGCTTGGTGCAGAGCTGAGTTCAGTTTCTGGATATCCTTGTTAACTTTTGGTCTCGCTGATCTGTCTAATGTTGACAGTGGGGTGTTAAAGTCTCCCATTATTATTGTGTGGGAGTCTAAGTCTCTTTGTAGGTCTCTAAGGACTTGCTTTATGAATCTGGGTGATCTTGTCTTGGGTGCATATATATTTAGGATAGTTAGCTCTTCTTGTTGAATTGATCCCTTTACCATTATGTAATGGCCTTCTTTGTCTCTTTTGATCTTTGTTGGTTTAAAGTCTGTTTTATCAGAGCCTAGGATTGCAACCCCTGCCTTCTTTTTTGTTTTCCATTTCCTTGGTAGATCTTCCTCCATCCCTTTATTTTGAGCCTATGTGTGTCTCTGCATGTGAGATGGGTCTCCTGAATACAGCACATGGATGGGTCTTGACTCTTTATCCAATTTGCCAGTCTGTGTCTTTTAATTGGAGAATTTAGCCCATTTACATTTAAGTTTAATATTGTTATGTGTGAATTTGATCCTGTCATTATGATGTTAGCTGGTTATTTTGCCCGTTAGTTGATGCAGTTTCTTCCTAGCCTCGATGGTCTTTACAATTTGGCATGTTTTTGTAGTGGCTGGTACCGGTTGTTCCTTTCCATGTTTAGTGCTTCCTTCAGGATCTCTTTTAGGGCAGGCCTGGTGGTGACAAAATCTCTCAGCATTTGCTTGTCTGTAAAGGATTTTATTTCTCCTTCACTTATGAAGCTTAGTTTGGCTGTATATAAAATTCTGAGTTGAAAATTCTTTTCCTTAAGAGCGTTGAATATTGGCCCCCACTCTCTTCTGCCTTGCAGAGTTTCTCCAGAGAGATTAGCTGATGGGCTTCACTTTGTAGGTAACCTGACCTTTCTCTCTGGCTGTGCTTAACATTTTTTCCTTAATTTCAACTTTGGTGAATCTGACAATTATGTGTCTTGGAGTTGCTCTTCTCGAGGAGTATCTTTGTGGCGTTCTCTGTATTTCCCTAATTTGAATGTTGGCCTGCCTTGCTAGGTTGGGGAAGTTCTCTTGGATAATATCCTGCAGAGTGTTTTCCAACTTGGTTCCATTCTCCCTGTCACTTTCAGGTATGCCAA
Source organism: Homo sapiens (assembly GCF_000001405.40). Classification (NCBI taxonomy): domain Eukaryota; kingdom Metazoa; phylum Chordata; class Mammalia; order Primates; family Hominidae; genus Homo; species Homo sapiens. Next base: position 107,990,711 of record NC_000023.11, read on the forward strand.
TCAGATGTAGATTTGGTCTTTTCACATAGTCCCATATTTCTTGGAGCCTTTTTTCATTTCTTTTTATTCTTTTTTCTCTAAACTTCTCTTCTCGCTTCATTTCATTCATTTGATCTTCAATCACTGATACCCTTTCTTCCAGTTGATTGAATCAGCTACTGAAGCTTGTGCATTCATCACATAGTTCTCATGCCATGGTTCTCAGCTCCATCAGGTCATTTAAGGACTTTTCTACACTGGATATTCTAGTTAGCCATTTGTCTAATCTTTTTTCAAGGTTTTTAGCGTCTTTGCCATGGGTTCGAACTTCCTCCTTTAGCTCAAAGAAGTTTGATCGTCTGAGGCCTTCTTCTCTCAACTCGTCAAAGTCATTCTTTGTCCAGCTTTGTTCCATTGCTGGCGAGGAGCTGTGTTCCTTTGGAGGGGTAGAGGCACTCTGATTTTTAGAATTTTCAGCTTTTTTGCTGCTTTTTTCCCCATCTTTGTGGCTTTATCTACTTTTGGTCTTTGATGATGGTGACGTACAGATGGGATTTTGGTGTGGATGTCCTTTCTGTTTGTTAGTTTTCCTTCTAACAATCAGGACCCTCAGCTGCAGGTCTGTTGGAGTTTGCTGGAGGTCCACTCCAGACCTTGTTTGCCTGGGTATCAGCAGCAGGGGCTGCAGAACAGGGAATGTTACTGAACGGCAAATGTTGCTGCCTGGTCGTTCCTCTGGAAGCTTCGTCTGAGAGGGGTACCCGGCCGTGGGGGGTGTCAGCCTGCCCCTACTGTGGGGTGCCTCCCAGTTAGGCTATTCGGGGGTCAGGGACCCACTTGAGGAGGCAGTCTGTCCGTTCTCAGATCTCCAACTCCATGCTGGGAGAACCAGTACTCTCTTCAAAGCTCAGTTGGAATTGCAGAAATCACCCATCTTCTGCGTCACTCACGCTGGGAGCTGTAGACTGGAGCTGTTCCTATTCGGCCATCTTGGAACCCAGTCCTTGGACTCTTCGTTTGTACACTTTTCAAAAAAATGAACCAGGTGGGTAAATCAATTGAAAGTTGCATATTTCATGGAAAAAATAGCCTAAACATGTCTCTATCTGTGGGATAACTAGTGGCACATTTGTGAATAAAACTCCGTACATTCACTATACAGTCTCAATAGTAGCCAGGAAGGAAAGACAGGGCCTTACACACGTTAGGTGCTCAATAAATGTTCATTGGTGATAGATGGCTGGTGAAAGGCAGGCCTACAATTGGAATTGAGTCTCAAAGATGATAGAAAGCGAAAGGCTGGTCTACCAGTTTGTGGCAACTGCAGGTGGCAGTGACTCTGGATCTGAGGCAAGCAGGGGTTAGGAAATCCTTAAGGGAGAGAAGATCAGAAAAGATACTGTCGACAAGAATAATGTGTAAACACTAATGGGGGTGGTAGCAACTTCGAGGTGTTTATTGTGGTTGTTACCACTTTGAGGACATCAAAGGAGTTTACTGGGAAGGGCCTGCTCATTTCACTTCACATTCTTTTTCTTTTTTTCAAGGCTCACTCTACCCAAGGGCTTAGTAAGCAGTTGCCTATGCAGCATGGGAAAGTTTTCCTCGCCCAAAGACCTGATCCTTTTCACATTCCCAGGCCTTCAGTTTTCACCACAAGTCTCATGAGATAAGGTGGTTGAAAGCACTCTATGGTCAAGAAACAAGAAACTATTTGCAGCCTGTTAACACCTGACCTCTAATTAGGTTAGCATATTAGCTCCTGACTGTTTCCCAGGAGTCTAGAACTTACAGAACAAGTGACTTCTAGTAGTTAGAAGAGGAGAGGGGAAGAGGAGGTTCTGGAGCACTGGTAGACAACATGGCAGGCTTGGTCTGGGCATATCTGTAAGTGCCTAAACTGGAGAAGGAGGTAATGGCCTGGGGAAAGAAGGTGTACACCACTAACAAGTGTCACCTACTTGCCAGTTTTATTTATAGTTGATCCAGTTTCTCTTACTCTCCTGTGTCTTTCTTGCTTTTCTAACTCTAGAAAACCTTCCCTGAATGAGTTGGAGGTGCAGTAACATGTTCCATTCCCTAGTGGGAATGTCTCATGCTCCACCTCACCAAACCACTCCTTAATCCCCATTAGAATGAGCTGGGGGTATGCCCCCTTTTCCAAAAGAAACAGATATTAATAATTGCATTAGTCCATTCTTGCATTGCCATAAAGAAATACCTGAGACTGGATAATTTATAAAGAAAAGAGATTTTATGAACCATGAACCTAGACCAGACTCATGGTTCTGCACACTGTATAGGAAGCATGATGCTAGCATCTGCCTGGCTTCTGGGGAGGCCTCAGGAAACTTACAATCATGGTGGAAGGCAAAGGGGGGGCTGGCATGCCACCTGGCTGGAGCAGGAGGAAGAGAGATTGAAGGGAGAGGTGCCACACACTTTTAAATGACCATATCTCATGAGAACAAACTCACTATTTTGAGGACAGTACCAAGAGGGATGGTGATAAATCATTCATGAGAAACTGTCCCCATGATCCAATCACCTTACAATTTGACATGAAATTTGGGCAGGGACACAGATCCAAACCATATCAATAATATTAATAGCAATAGGAATTATTACTGTTAATATTAATAACAATAAGAAGCTACTAATTCTTGTACAGGCATGGTACATTACTAAATTTTCTTATCTAATTCTATGAAGTAGATATTTATTTTCTTGATGTTACTTATGAGACTCAGAGCCATCAAGTAATATGCCAAAGGCCATACAGGTAGTAAGTGGCAGAGCCAAAATTCAACCCTATATCTGACTCTAAAACCTGTGCTCTTAACAATCAAACATCTTCATACAGACTTCAGCTAGAGGTAGAGGAAGAAGGAAGAGGTAGACATAAAACAATTATTCCACGCAACAAATGTGTCTGTACTTCCTACTATGCGTTGAACCTATGGAGTATGAAAAGATCAGTGTGTACCATCCCTGCCCTTAATAAGATTAGTTCAACAGAGGGGATATGACCATTGTTCTAATAGCTCTAATAAAAGGCAGAGTTGGACCAGTCCCATAACATAATAATGATAATAGCTACCATTTATTAAGAGTATAGTATGTGTCAGGCACTGTGCTAACACATTCTACATATATTTAATCTTCATGACAGTTCTGGAACTATTAATATTAGTCAATTTTATACATGAGAAAACAAGACTAATAGAGGGTTAATTAACTTCTGTGGCTCAGAATAATGTGTTACTGTGCTCTTCAGAAGCAAAAGGAGAGAACTGGACTCAATATTCACTTATACAATATTTTTGAGTGAACAAAGTATTTGTACCCAGCTCAGTGCCTACAAACCAGAATCACCACCTGCTTCTGTATCACCTGCACTTCAGCCAGCACTGAATCTGAAGTATCTTGACATTATACTTTCATTTCATTTGGAACCTTGATAACAGTGAAGCCCACTAGAGTCCTATCACTGGCTACCACTACAAATGCCCCCCACATCCTTTTTATGTTCAAAACCATTTATTGATTATGAATATACTAAGTGCCACTGAATGGTACACTTTAAAATGGTTAAATTGGTAAATTTCATGTTAAGTGTATTTTACAATAAAAAACATTTGTTAAACAAAATGTTAATTTTTATGAAAAGTGTAATATACATTGCTTGCTTCCAAAAAGTTAATCTTCCTGCCAAAAAGTTTCCAAAGCTGTATAATTAGGGCAACAGAACCTTTTTCCAAGGAGAAAAATAGACAGCTCTACTGCCACCTGGGCAGACTTTTGGAGAGCAGTTTTGCTTCCATTGTCTCTCATATTCCTATAGGTTGTGCTTCTTATCCCAGCCCTTCTTTCCACATCTTCCTTTTCTCATAAATATTTCTACTATGTTCCCCAGATTCTTTGTTGTGTGGTAAACAAGCTGTCTTACATGCTCACCCTTGTCACCAAATGCTACTTGTGCCTCCTTGCCTTACTTGACTCAACTTTTCTCTAAGGACGCTGTTGGAGTAGTGGAGAGTGGAGGATGCCCATTCTAATACAGGGACTGGAGACGGGGCTGGCATTCTCTAGATTTCCTGAGGCTGTTTCCAGGCCGTTGTTTGTCTTCCTTGCTGGAACCACCACTTTAACCCATGCCAGATGAATCAATCACTTACCACAGCTCATCTCTGTTGCCTGGCCACTGGTCATGCCCCCAAAGTAATCCAGGCCTTTTGGCCTCTAACACATATCTTTCCTTGCCAACATTCATCTCATTGTCCTGGGGGGTTTCAAAGTCCAAATGGTTTATTACTCCAAACCATTGGCCTAGCAGTTCCTGACTTTTTGAAACATAATGACCTTGACCTGCCTCCATTTTAGACATCCTCTTTCATGTCCACTCTCTAGACTCGTGCAGCTTAATATAGTAGCCACTAGCCACAGGTGATTGTTGAAATTTAAATTAACTGAAATTAAATAAAAATTTTAAATCAGCTCTCACTTGCACCAGCCACATTTTAAGTGCTCAATAGCTATGTGTGGCTAGTGGCTAACATATCAGATAGTGCAGACAGAAAATTTCCATCACCACAGAAAGTTCTATTAGATAGCATAGCTTCCAACATTGTCCTCGCCCAGAATATATACTTCTGCTCCACTGCAGAAATATAAAAAAATGTAACCAAATGTGGTAGCATGTGCCTATAGTCACAGCTACTCAGGAGGCTGAAGCAGGAAGACCATTTGAGTCCAAGGAGTTTGAGGATGTAGTGCACTATGATCATTCCTGTGAATAGCCACTATACTCCAACCTGTCTGTCTCTTAAACAAACAACCAAAACCAAAACAAAACAAAACAAAAAAACTTCACTCCAGCCTGGGCAGCAGAGTGAGACCCAGTCTAAAAACACAAAAACAAAAAAGAGTAAAGAAATAAGAGTCCCTAAATTTAAAGGCACAAAAATATTGCATCAGGAAAAATGGCAGGTAGGAGGAAGGACTAACTTGCAGCTCCCACTTGGATGGACAGGGTAGTGTGCAGAGGAGACTCAAATCGTGAACTTTTGCTCCAAGAACTACTGCAGGAACATACCAGGAAAGCTGAGAGAATCCACAGACCCTTTGAAAGAAGTGGCTTGCTGCTGCAGGCTCTGTGAGACAGATGAAAAACTGTGAGCGCCCAAAGTGTGAGAGGGGGAACATTTGCCCCTAAACACATATCCTCACTGGGGATCCTGAAGATCCAGATCATGGGAGAAGGATTTGACCTTACCTGGAGCTGAGTTGAATTTAGAGAGCTGAGCAAAATACAGGGATATAGGAGGCAATGGGAAGAGCCCTGTGGGCACTCTCAGTCCCCAGGGAAGCCATTCCTGACTTTGTCTCACAGGAATCCATGGGGTGGGCTGTCAGTGGAATTGGGGAAAGCCCACAGGGAGAAGGAAACTTCTAGCTGAACTGGGTAACAATTTTGACTGAATGCAAAGTTTCCTGGACAGAATCCATGGGAGGGAGCAAACGGGGAGTGTGGATACAAGCAAGGTAACTGTGGCAGGCAGGGAAGCATGAACCCTGAAAGCCCTACTTGCTTTCTCAGTGGGGAGGCTTGTAGCCTGGGGCAAGTTCTCAGCCCTGCTCACCAGCTGCCTGGGAACAAACTCAGTGCAGTTGGCGGGGGCATGGTGGAAGTAAGACTGGCCTTTTGGGCTGTGTGGGAGCCCGGTGAGACCTGTCACTGCTGCTTTCCCCCACTTCCCTGGTGACCTGTATGACACAGCAGAGACAGCCATAGTCTGTTGCGGGAAGTCAGGGACCCCAAACGGAGGGACCGGCTAAAGCCATGACAGAAGAATGTGGATTGTGAAGATTTTATGGACATTTATTAGTTCCCCAAATTAATACTTTTGTAATGTCTTATGCCTGTCTTTACTGCAATCTCTAAACATAAATTGTAAAGATTTCATGGACACTTATCACTTCCCCAATCAATATCCTTGTGATTTCCTATGCCTGTCTTTGCTTTAATCTCTTAATCCTGTCAGCCAAGAAGGATGTGTATCATCTCAGGACCCTGCAATAATTGCGTTAAGTACACAAATTGTACAGCATGTGTGTTTGAGCAATATGAAATGTGGGCACTCTGAAAAAAGAACAGGATAACAGCAATTGTTCAGGGAATAAGAGAGATAACCTTAAACTCTGACCGCCGGTGAGCTGCGCAGAACAGAGCCATATTTCTCTTCTTTCAAAAGCAAATGGGAGAATTATCACTGAATTCCTTTTCTCAGCATGGAACGTCCCTGAGAAAGAGAATGCGCACCTAGGGGTAGGTCTCTGAACTGGCCCCCCCGGGGCGTACCTGTCTCTTATGGTCGAGATTGCAGAGGTGAAATAAACTCCAGTCTCCCATAGTGCTCCCAGGCTTATTAGGAAGAGGAAATTCACACCTAATAAACTTTGGTCAGACCGGTTGATCTCAAAACCCTGTCTCCTGATAAGATGTTATCAATGACAATGGTGCCCGAAACTTCATTAGCAATTTTAATTTCGCCTCCATCCTGTGGTCCTGTGATCTCGCCCTGCCTCCACTTGCCTTGTGATATTCTATTACCTTGTTAAGTACTTGATGTCTGTCACCCACACCTATTCGTATACTCCCTCCCCTTTTGAAACTCCCTAATAAAAACTTGCTGGTTTTTGTAGCTTGTGGGGCATCATGGATCCTACCAACGTGTGATATCTCCCCCGGACACCCAGCTTTAAAATTTCTCTCTTTTGTACTCTGTCCTTTTATTTCTCAAGCCAGCCGATGCTTAGGAAAATAGAAAAGAACCTACGTGATTATCGGGGCAGGTCCCCCGATAATAGTCCCCCTGGGAACGTAATTCCATTGGCCTGATAACCACACTCCCATCCGCCACAGCAGCCACAGCAAGCTCTGCCTAAGGAGAGTCTGAGCTCAGACACAACCAACCGTGCCTCCACCTTATGGTCTTTCTCAACCCACCCTGGTAGCTGAAGACAAAGGGCATAATCTCTTGAAAGCTCTATGGCCCCACCCTCTGCCTGAGACACCCCGAATACTTATCCACCTGACCCTAGGGCAAGCTTATATCCTCCCTATACTACCGCAGCTGACATTGTCTTGAAAGCACCACCTCCTGGCTGGAGGCCAACCAACACAAAACCAGTGCACTAAACAGAACTACAACCAAGGACCCTCACAGAGTCCACTTTACTCCCCTGCTACCACCAGTGGAGATACACAGGTGCACAAATGGCTAACAAACATATGAAAAAATGTACAACATCACTAAACCACGAGATGCAAATCAAAACCATGATGTGATACCACCTTACTCCTGCAAGAATGGCCATAATAAAAAAATAAAAAACATAGATGTTGGCGTGGATGTGGTGAAAAGGGAACACTTTTACACTGCTGGTGGGAATGTAAACTAGTCCCAGCCACTATGGAAAACAGCCTGGAGATTTCTTAAAGAACCAAAAGTAGATCTACCTTTTGATCCAGCAATCCCATTACTGGGTATCTACCCAGAGGAAAATAAGTAATCATACTAAAAAGATACTTGCACACATATGTTTATAGAAGCACAATTTGCAATTGTAAAAATGTGGAATCAGCTGAAATTCCCATCAGTCAACTAGTGGATAAAGAAAATGTGGTATATATATACCATGGAATACTACTACTCAGCCATAAAAAGGAATGAAATAATGGCATTTGCAGTAACATGGATGGAATTGGAGACCATTATTCTAAGTGAAGTAACTCAGGAATGGAAAACCAAGCATCATATGTTCTCACTCTTAAGTGGGAGATAAGTTATGAGGACACAAAGGCATAAGAATGACACAATGGACTTTGGAGACTCAGAGGAAAGGGTGGGAAGGGGATGAGGGATAAAAGACTACACATCGGGTATAGTGTACACTGCTTGGGTGATGGGTGCACCAAAATTCCAGAAATCACCACTAAAGAACTTATCCACGTAACCAAACACCACCTATTGCCCAAAACTCTATTGAAACAAAAAATAAAAAGCAAAAAAAAAAAAATTGAATCAAGAAAAAAACGTGTTTTGTATCAATTTGCTAGGCACCTTGCAAGGAGTTGAGGAGTTGTTAACAAAACAGACATTATCTATTAAGATTACTATATAACTATAGTAATCAAGACAGTATGGTGTTGGGGTGTCCACTTTTTTGCACAAGTAATTCAATGGAGGAAGGATAGACTTTTCACCAAATGATATTGGAGCAATTGGACATTCATAGGCCAAAACAAAACAAAAAGCCCCAGCCTAAGCCTCATACAAAAACTAACTCAAAATGAGTCATGAACTTAAATGTAAAATGTAAAACTGTAGGCCAGGTGCAGTGGCTCACGCCTGTAGTCCCAGCACTTTGGGAGGCCGAGGTGGGCAGATCATGAGGTCAGGAGATCAAGACCATCCTGGCCAACATGGTGAAACCCCATCTCTACTAAAAATACAAAAATTAGCCAGGTGTGGTAGTGCACACCTGTAGTCCCAGCTACTCGGGAGGCTGTGGCAGGAGAATTGCTTGAACCTGGGAGGCGAAGGTTGCAGTAAGCCGAGATCGCACCACTGCACTCCAGCCTGGCAACAGGGCGAGACCCTGTCTCAAAAAAAAAAAAAAAAAAAAAAAAAAAAAGTAAAATTGTAAAACTTTAGGACAAACAGAGGAGAAGAACATAGGAGAAGACCTCTAGGATCTAGACCTAGTCATAGGTTCTTTGGTTTGACACCAAAAGAACAGTGTATAAAAGGAAAAAAATAGAGGAAACTGTTCTATACCTTGAGTGTATTAATGTCAATATTCTGAGTATGATATTATACTATAGTTTTCTAAGATGTTACCATTGGGAAAAACTAGGTGGGGGGTACCTGAGATTGTTCTGTATTACTTCTTATAACTGAATATCAATCTACAGTTATTTCAAAATAATTCAATTTTAAAAAGCTAAGGGAGGTGAACATTTCAAGAAGGAGGAAATTATTAACTGGTTCAAAGCCTGCCAAGAAGTCAAGTAAGTTGAAAAATGAAAAAAAGTTTGACAATATGGAGGTTATTGTGACATGAACAAGAACTTTTCTTGCTGTAGTAAAGGAGCCGGAAAGCAGGTAGAAGTAGACTGAGCTTGCTCCTTCTCTCGCCATGTGACATACCTGCTCCTCCTGTGCCTTCCACCATGAATAAAAGCTTCCTGAGGTCCTGACCAGAAGCAGATGATGGTGCCATGCTACCTGTACAGTCTGCAGAACCATTTTTTAAAAATTTTATATATATATATAAATAGATAGATAGAGGCAGAGAGATAGATAGAGGCAGAGAGAGAGAGAGACAGAGAGAGAGACAGAGACAGAGTGTCACTCTGTCGCCAAGGCTGGAGTGCTGTGGCAAGATAGCTCACTGCAACCTCCGCCTCCTGGGTTTAAGCGATTCTCCTGCCTCAGCCTCCTGAGTAGCTGGGATTACAGGCACCCGCCACCATGCCCAGTTAATTTTGTATTTTTAGTAGAGACAGGGTTTCACCATGTTGGCCAGGTTAGTCTTGAGCTCCTGACCTCAAGTGATCTGCCTACCTCGGCCTCCCAAAGTGCTGGGATACAGGCGTGAGCCACTGCACCTGGCCAGAACCATTATTTTAATGGTAATGCAATTTCCATTAATAAAGCTGATTCCAACATTCATGGTGTTTAAATGTGAACTTTTAAGTTAAGATGGTGGATGAGAGGCTTTTAGTGTGCCTTAGCCACTTGGAAATAGCAAAACAGTGTATAAAGATAAACTCTATGAGCTTTAATTCAAGAAGGAAAATGGGAATTCCCTGGAATCATGATGGACATCCCAGATCTCAGGGAGGAGGATATGGGCAAACAGCCCCCATGACATTGTCCAGCTGATAAGAGCCTGGGACAAGAGAAGATCTGCTACAGCTGCAATTTCTCTTGGGTGATGAGACTTGCTGCCAGGGCTGGCTTGGCAACCTGGAACTGGTGTGCATGTGTCATTGCTGGGTTCCCTAGCCTGCTCCCCTGAGATTGTGGGGCAGTGGAGCCCTCTCTGCTCCACCCCCATGCAGAACTCCAGGCATTCGGAGCACCTGCTCACATGTACTGGCAGCCTGAGTTGCCCCATCCCTCTTGGGAATAGGTTGTGGTGCAATGGATCCCTCTCTGCTCCATGTCCAGGCAGAGCTCCAAACACTCAAAGCTTCTGCTTGCCCAGATTGACAGCCTGAGTCACTTCACCCTTCCTATTCAGAGATCTAGGTGCAGAGGGCCCTCTCTGCTTCATGCCCAGGCAGATCTCCAGGCATGCAGAGCACCTGCTTGTCTGGTTCAGCAGCCTGACACCCCACTCCTATGCAGAGATCATGGTGCAGGGGGGCCCTCTCTGCTTCACGCCCAGGCAGATCACCAGGTATTAGGAGCACCCATTTGCCGGGGTCAGCAGTCTGAGTTGCCTGCCCCTCCTGTGCAGAGGTTGTGGTGCAGTGGGGCCCTCTGCACTCCACACCCAGGCAGATCTCCAGGAATCTGGAGCACCCACTCTCTTGGATTAGGAGTTTAGGCCATCTCCTCCCCCGTGCAAAGAACTTGTGACATAGGAGGTTTCCCAGCACCATGCCTAGGCACACCTCTGGGCACTTGGTAACCGCTAACTGGATTCTCCATTGGTGCTGGTGCTTGTGCCTGTCATCAGAGGAACCTGTAGGTGGGCTGTGGCCTGGCCATCTTGCCCCCTGCCAACCCGGGGCTGAACAGGAAGCTCAGATCACTGTGCACTCCGTGGATCAGCCCATCGCCTGAAGCAATATACAGTTTCTCCCAGTAAACAAAGATGAAATATATACCCAGCCGCATTGACGGCAGCTGGCTCTTACCTATAAGCGCCATCTACTGGCTTACAAGTCAAACCGCATAGCCCAATAAAAACCTGCTTACAGAAGTGCATAGGGCTGTAGGAGCAAAGCCAAAAGACGCTCCCCACCAGTCACACACCCTAGAAAGGCGGAGAAAGGGAAAAGGAAAGAAAAAATATAATAATATCATAGGAAAATAGACAAAAAATCCTACCTGTAAAAAATAATTAAAAAATTAGAAAGTGCTAGTGTCTCTAGAAGAGAAGAAGCCATTGCAAGAATTCTGACACCATGAAAAACCTGAATGTAGTGAAACTACCAAAGAATCACACTAGCTCTCCAGCAATGGTGGCTAATCAAAATGGAAACTCAGAAACAACAAAGAATTCAAAGCATGGATTGCAAGAAATCTCAATGGAATCCAAGACAAGACTGAAAATCAACACAAAGAAATTTCTAAAGCAATCCAGGAAATGAAAGATATAAACATCTTAAAAAGAAATCAATCAAAGCTTCTGGAATAGAAAAACTCACTTAAGGAATTTCAAAATGCAACTGAAAGCTTTATCAATAAACTAGACCAAGCAGAAGAAATAATTTCAGAGCTTGAAGACCTGTTTTTTGAACTAACCCAGTCAGACAAAAATAAAGAAAAAAGAATTTAAAAAATAAAGTCTATGAAAAATGTGGGACTATGTAAAGTGGCCAAAACTATGAATTGTTGGCTTTTCTGAGAGAGATGGAGAAAAAAGTAAACAACCTGGAAAATATATTTGAGAGAATAATTCAAGAAAAATTCTTAAATCTTGCTAGAGAAGTAGACATCCAGATACAAGGAATTCAGAGAACACCTGTGAGATACTATACAAAGTGATCACCACCAAAGCATATAGTCACCAGATTTTTCAAGGTCAACACTAAAGAAAAAAATCTTAAAGGCAGCTAGAGTAAAAGGTCAGCTCATATACAAAGGGAACCCCATCAGGCTAATGGCAGACTTCTCAACAGAAACCTTGCAAGCCACGAGAGATTGGGGGCCTAGTTTAGCCTTCTTAAAGAAAAGAAATTCCAACCAAGAATTTCCTATCCTGCCATGCTAAGCTTCATAAGCAAAGGAGAAATAAAATATGTTCCAGACAAGTAAGTGCTAAGGCAATTTGCTACCACTAGACCAGCCATACAAGGGATCCTTAAGTGAGTTCTAAACATGTAAATGAAATATGATACCTGCCAAAAAACACACTTAAGTACATAGCTCACAGACCCTATAAAGCAACCATACAATTGAAAGTACAAAGAAACCAGCTAACAACTTCACACTTTTCTCAAAACCTCACATATTAATGTTGACCTTGAATATAAATGATCTAAATGCCCCCACTTAAAAGGCACAGAGTGGCAAGTTGGATTAAAAAAAGATCCGTCCATCTTCTGTCTTCAAGAGACTCATCTCACACTTAATGATGTTCATAGGCTCAAGGTAAAGGGTTGGAGAAAGGTCTATCACATAAAAGGGAAACAAGCAAGAGCAGGAGTCACTATTCTTACATCAGATAAAAGAGACTTTAAACCGACAACAGTAAAAAAAGACAAAGAAGGGCATTACATAATGTCAAAGGGTTCAATTCAACAAGAAGACTTAATTATCCTAAATATATGCACACACCAACATTGCAACACCCAGATTCATCAAACAAGTACTTCTAGATCTATGAAAAAGCTTAAATAGTCACACAATAATAGCGGGGGACTTCAATACCCCACTGACAGCATTAGACAGATCATCAAGCAGAAAACTAACAAAGAAATTCTGGACTTGAGAATTGAAACCAAAATGACACTTGACCAGTTGGATCTAATAGACATCTACAGAATACCCCATCCACTAACTGCACAAAATATACATTCTTCTCAACTGCATACTAAACATACTCTAAGAAAGACCACATGCTTGGCCGTAAAGCAAGTTTCAATAAATTAAAAAAAAATTAAACTCATACCAGCCATACACTTGGAACACAGTGGAATACAAATAGAAATCAATACCAAGAAGATCTCTCAAAACCACACAATCATATGGAAATTAAACGGTTGGCTCCTGAATGGCTTTCGGGTAAACAATTAAATTAAGGCAGAAATTAAAAAAAATTTGAAATAAATAAAAACAGAAACACAACATGACAACATCTCTGGGAGACAGCAAAAGCAGTGTTAAGGGGAAAGTTCATAGCACTAAATGCCTACCTCAAAAAGTTAGAAAAATCTCAAATTAATGATGTGACATCACACTTAGAGGAACTAGAAAAACAAGAACAAACTAACTGAAAATCTAGCAGAATAAAATAAATCAGGGAAAAATTGAGAAAAATTGAGACCAAAATTTCATAAAAAGCATTAAATAACAAACCAAAAGTGTATTTGAAAGGATAAACAGGATTGAAAGAATGCTAGCTACATTGACAAAGAAAAAAGAGGGAAGATCCAAATAAGCACAATCATAAATGACAAAGGTGACATTATAACTGATCCAAGAAATACAAAAGATCCTCAGAGGTTATTATGAACACCTCTATGCACACAAACTAGAAAATCTAGATGAAATGGGTAAATTCCTGAAAACACACAACCTTCCAAGACTAAATCAGGAAGAAACGGAAACTCTGAACAGACCAATATAGAGTTCTGAAATTGAATCAGGAATAAAAAGCCTACCAATCAAAAATGCCCCAGACCAAATGGATTCACAGCCAAATTCCACCAGATGTACAAAGAATAGCTAGTACCAATTCTAGTGAAACTATTCCAAAAAATTGAGGAGGAGGAACTGCTCCCTACTCATTCTATGAAGCCAACACCACCCTAATACCAAAACCTGGCAAAGGCACAACAAGAAAAGAAAACTACAGGCCAACATCCCTGAGAAACATAGATGCAAAAATCCTCGAGAAAATACTAGCAAACTGAATCCAGCAGCACAACAAAAAGTTAATTTATCGCAATCAAGTAGGCTTCATTTCTGGGATGCAATGTTGGTTCAGCAAAGCAATAAAAGTGATTCACCACATAAATAGAATTAAAAACAAAAACCATATGATCATATTGATAGATGTGGGAAAAGCTTTTGATAAAGTCCAATACCCTTCATGATAAAAACCCTCAATATATTAGGCGTTGAAGGAACATACCTCAAAATAATAAGAAACATCAATGACAAACCCACAGCCAACATCATACTGAGCAGGCGAATGCTGGAAGCATTCCCCTTGAGAGTAGGAACAAGAAAAGGATGCCTACTCTCACCACCCCAATTCAACATAATACTGAAATTACTAGCTGGTGCAATCAGGCAAGAGAAAGAAAGAAAATGCATCTGATATAGTTTAAATATTTGTCTTCTCCAAATCTTATGTTAAAATGCAATCCCCAATGTTGGAGGTTGGGCCCAGTTGGAGGTGTTTGGATTATGGGGGCAGATCTCTCATGAATGGCTTGGTGCCGTCTTGGTGGTAAGGAGCAAATTCTCACTCTATGAGTTCATGTGAGATCTGGTTGTTTAAAAGAGTGTAGGACACCCTCCATCTGCTTCCTCTCTTGCCGTGTGATGTGCTGGCTCCCCCTTCACCTTCCACCATGATTGTAAGCTTCCTGAGGTCCTCACCAGGAACATTTGTGGGCACCATGCTTCCTGTACAACATGCAGACCATGAGCCAAAATAAAACCTTTTTTTTCCTTACAAATTAAATTACCAAGCATCAGGTATTCCTTTATAGCAACACAAAAACAGACTAACACAGAATCCAAATAGGACAAGAAGTCGAACTGTCTCTCTTCACTGATGATACGATTCTGTACCTAGAAAACCTTAAAAACTCCAGTGAAGGGCTATAAAACTGATCAAATATTTCAGTACAGTTTGAGGATACAAAATCATTGTATAAAAATCAGTAGCATTTCTATACATCAATAACACTCAAGCCAAGAGCCATTTACAGGAACCACACACACACAAATAAAAACCTAGGAATACATGTAACCAAGGAGATGAAAGATCTCTACAATGAAAACTATAAAACACTGCTGAAAGAAATCATAAATGACACAAATGGAAAAACATTCCACACTCATGGGTTGGAAGAATCAATATTTGTAAAAATGACCACATTGTCCAAAGCAATCTATAGATTCAACACTATTCCTATCAAGCTACCAAAATAATTTTTCACAGAATTAAAAAAAAATTGTAAACTTCATATCGAACCAAGAAAGACCCTGAATGGCCAAAGCAATCCTAAACAAAAAGAACAAAGCCAGAAGCATCATATTACCTGACTTAAAATTATACTATAAGCTACAGTAGCCAAAATGGCCTGGTACTGGTATAAAAACAGCGTATAGACCAATGGAACAAAATGGAGAACCCAGAAATAAAGCCATACACCTACAGCCATCTGATCTTTGACAAAGTTGACAAATATAAGCAATGAGGAAAGGACTTCCTATTCAATGAATGGTGCTGGGATAGCTAGCTAGCCATATGCAGAACAAGGAAACTGGACCCCTATATTTCACCAAATACAAAAAATAACTCAAGGTGGATTAAAAATTTAATGTAAGACTTCAAACTAAGAATCCTAGAAGAAAACCTAGGAAATACCTTTCTGGACATCAGCCTTGGGAAATAATTTGTGACTAAGTCCTCAAGCAATTGTAACAAAACCAAAAATTGACAAGTGGGGTCTACTTAAATAAAGAGCTTCTGCACAGCAAAAGGAACCATCAATAGAGTAAACAGACAACTCACAGAATGGGAGAAAATATCCACAAAGTACGCATCTGACAAAGTCTAATATCCAGAATCTATAAGGAACAATTATAAGAAGCAAAAAACCTAATTACTCCATTAAAAAGTGGGCAAAAGACATGATCAGACACTTTTCAAAAGAAGGCATATGAGCGGCCAATAAACATAAGAAAAAATGTTCATCATCACTAATTATTAGAGAAATGAAAATCAAAATCCTCTCACACTAGTCAGAAGGAATATTATTAAAAAGTTAAAAAAAAAAAAACAACAACAGATACTGGCAAGGCTGCAGAGAAAATGGAATGTGTATACACTGTTGTTGGGAATGTAAATTAGTTCAGCCACTGTGGAAAGCAGTTTGGAGGTTTCTCAAAGAAGTAAAAACAGAATTACCATTTTACC
This sequence comes from Homo sapiens, assembly GCF_000001405.40. Taxonomy (NCBI): domain Eukaryota; kingdom Metazoa; phylum Chordata; class Mammalia; order Primates; family Hominidae; genus Homo; species Homo sapiens. The sequence goes on from NC_000023.11 coordinate 108,006,812, forward strand.
CAGCAGTCCCTTTACTGGGTATAGTCCCAAAAGAAAACGAATCGTTCTATCAAAAAGACACATGCACTCATGTGTTCATCACAGCACTATTCACAATAGCAAAGATATGGAATCAATCTGGGTGCCCATCAGCGCTGAATTGGTTAAAGAAAATTTGGTACATATACACCATGGAATACTGTGCCGTCATAAAAAGAACAAAATCATGTGCTGTGCAGCAACATGGATGCAGCTGGAGACCATTATCCTAAGCGAACTAGTGTAGGAACAGAAAACCAAATACCACATATCTTGTTCTAAGCGGGAGCTAAACATTGGGTACACATGGACATAAAGATGGCAGCAATAAAGGCCAGGCTCAGTGGTTCACGCCTGTAATCCCAGCACTTTGGGAGGCTGAGGTGGGTGGATTGTTTGAGCTCAGGAATTTGAGACAACATAGTGAAACCCCATCTCAAGAAAAAAAAAGAGATTAGCTAGGCATGGTGGCACACGCCTGTAGTTCCAGCTACTTGGGGAGCTGAGGCGAGATTTCTTGAAACCAGGAGGTCGAGGCAGCAGTGAGCTGAGATCACCCACTGCACTCCAGCCTGAGTGACAGAATAAGACCCTGTCTCAAAACACACACACACACAAACCTACAAAAGATGGCAACAATAGAAACTGGGGACTACTGGAGGGGAAAGGAGGAAGGGTGGCAAAGTTTGAAAAATTAACTGTTGAGTACTATGATCACTACTTGGGAGAAGGGATCATTTGTATCCCAAACCTCAGCATCATGCAATATACTCATGTAACAAACCTGCATATGTACCTCCTGAGTCTAAAATTAAAATTGAAATTATATAAAAAAGTAGTGGATTGAGAGGTAAACAGGAGGCCTGGAAGCAAGACACTAGGAAGATACAATTCTTTTAAGAAGTTTGGCTGTGAAGGGGAGAAGGTAACTTGAGTAATGTGTGGAGTTCAGTAAGTTTTTTGGTTTTCGTTTGTTTTAGTGGAGATATGGAAACGTATTTAAACCTATTGGGAAAGGTCTAATGGAGTGGAAAATGTTAAAAAAAAAAAAACTGGAAAGGTAAAGGACCACCAATAGTGCAAGGCTCCTGAAAGATAGAAGATCCAAAGTACGCGTGGGGGATTGCCATTGGAGAGACATAGTAACAACCTTTCTATTCTTTTTTTTGTTGTTGTTAAATAATTGAGATATGGTCTTACTCTGTTGCCTAGGGTGGAGTGCAGTGGTGCTATCACAGCTCACTGCAGCCTCAACCTCCCAGGGCTTGGGTGATCCTCCCACCTCAGCCTCTTGAGTAGCAGGGATCATAGGTGTGTGCCACCACACCCAGCTAATTTGTTGTACTTTTTGTTGAGATGCTGTTTTACCATGTTGCCCAGGCTTGTCTCAAACTCCTGGACTCAAGCAATTCATCCTCCTTAGCCTCCCAAAGTCCTGGGATTACAGTCCTGGGAGTGAGCCACAGTGCCCAGCCAGTAACAGCTTTTCTAATGTAACAGAAGAGAATAAGATGAGAATGGAAGCAGATATTTTTCTCTGTGAAGTAGGAAGAACTGCTGAGAGCAGAGGAGGATGTGAGGGAAGGAGGTGTGTCAGGGAGAACTAGGATTTGACGAGACAAAGAATGTTTGAAATATTTGTTCTGGAGAATTGATTGTCCAGCAGTGCTGGCAACCTATTTCAGACTGATGATCTTAAACTTCTTGTAAACGAGTATGCCCTATTGTGAATTTTTCTAGCAGTGCTCAGGTGCAGGTATCAAAAACACAGTGTATTAGTCCGTTTTCACACTGCTGATAAAGACATACCTGAGACTGGGCAATTTACAAGGAAAGAAGTTTAATGGAGAACTCACAGTTCCACATGGCTGGGGAAGCCTCATAATCACAGTGGAAGGCAAGGAGAAACAAGTCACATCTTACGTGGATGGCAGCAGGGAAAGAAAGAGATTGTGCAGGCAAATTCCCGTTTTTAAAGCCATCACATGTTGCGAGACTTATGCACTATCACAAGAACAGCACAGGAAAGACCCACCCTCATGATTCAATTATCTCCCACTGGGTACCTCTCACAACACGTGGGAATTATGGGAGATACAAAATGAGATTTGGGTGGGGACATAGAGCCAAACCATATCATACCGAATTGTGTTTAGCAAGGTAGAAGTTTTACAAAACAAGTTCAAGGCAAGGGAGCTTAGAGTACTGTCAAGAGTGTTATCAAAATGATGAAGCATGGGATCTAAGTTAAGTAATGAGGGAAATAAAAAAGGAGATCCTTGATAGACTTGGAGGAAGTAGAAGGATCGATAAACTATAGGAGCTGAGAAATGATTGTAGTGTTAGTAGTTGAAAATCTGTGAATAGGGGGTTGTGGCTAGAGGATTGGATGGTACAATTCATGATTTAAACTAACTTGTAATTCTGGAGTGAAGTGGTTTCAGATAATAACAGGATCTCTGGTATGACTATCAGTGTGTGTGGCTAAGGTGAAAGAGAAAAGCCACCTGAGATATGGATTTCAAATAACTGAGTAGTCAGATGTTGCATTGTTTATCCTTGGGGATGTTGAAATCACTGAGGATAGTGGCAGATCTTGAGGTAGGAAGAAAGGATGTGAACAGGGGCCAAAGTCATTGATAAATGAAGGGGAGTGGCCCAAAGGTAAATCTAGGAATGACTAGAAGTGAAAGAGGGGATATAATTGAATGAACTCAAAGCATCAGGTTTGGGTTTTATAGTTTACACTTTTATTTCAGTAGCATAGGAATTTAATGGTCTGAAAGCAGAAATGGGGGCAAGGAGGACACCAACCCTACCCTTCATCTTGCTCTGAGGACAGAAAAGAAAAGCCCTACTCCAAAGGGCTGCAGTGGTGGCCCAGGTTTCACTTAAGGTCAGGGATGAAGGGAACTCTTGATGACAAGGCTGAGGATATAGAAGGGTTTGCTGGATACAGTGAGACAATTCTAGAGGGCACAGAGAAAAATTTCTAGGGCTGGGAGAGGAATGGAGTGCTGGATGAGGAGTAAGGATGTACATGGCATTATAAGGATGATAGTGGAATAGAGGCTAGATGTCAGTTGTAGGAGAAGTGATGACCACTTGGATTTAGCCTCAACAGACTCTTGAGGAGTCTGTGGATTTAGCCTCAACAGACTGTTACAGGGAATGGAAACTAGCCCTAATGGCCAGAGTTTCCTCAGTGTAGCATCTATAGTCTCTACCTATTTGAACTAACATGGTGGTAAACCCAGAAGTTACGGTTTCTGCACTGGTATGATCTGGAATGGCACTAGTCCCAGATGAGGTGGCTTCAGTCTTGATCCTTGTAGCCTCTGGTAGTGGTGTCTTTGGTGGCTAGAGTTCTACTTCTCTGACCAAATCCTTCTACCTCTTTAGTTTTTATGTCTTTGTTGTCACTACAGCTATTCTAGCTCATTTAACTCTCTTATTCTTCAATCTCTCCATTATCTCCCAAGCAATCTATAAGCTGTCTTTTTCATTTCCAGCCCAGACAACCATCTTACCAATATTTTCAACGGCCTTGCCCCTAGTCTGTTCACTGTACTTGTATAATAGCTGAATCCTGAACCTAGATCACACCAAAATGTCTACCTTCTATGTATGGGGTTTGGCTTTAGTCTCAATTGGGTTTTCAATAGTGCTATGGACCCATGTGCCCTTTATTAGCACATTCTCTCACTCTCTCCTTCACCCAAGAAGATATTTAAGCCCTTCACCTGTTTTCCTAAGTTCCTTTGCCCCTGTCTCTCAGCAGATAACTTGGAATCCCACTTAACCATAAATATAGGGGCCAGAAGTAACCTAAACTTCTTGCCACCCAACCTGATACACCCCTCACAAACTTACAGGCATCTAAGGTTAATCATGGCATCTATGCTGTGTATCCTCTTTCCTTCTTAGAAACCTTCAGCCATTATTTGACAACCTTCCCTCCCTGCTTTGTCTCTACTCTCTCTCTCTCTCTCTCTCTCTCTCTCTCTCTCTCTCTCTCTCTCACACACACACACACACACACACGCACATGCACACACCTGCTAGGTACAAATATGCTCAAGTATCATTCAGCTTAAAAGACAAATTCTACAAAAATTAGCCTGGTGTGGTGGCCCATGTCTGTAATCCCACCTACTCAGGAGGCTGAGGTAGGAGAATCTCTTGAACCCCAGAGGCGGAGGTTGCAGTGAGCTGAGATAGCACCACTGCACTCCAGCCCGGGCAACAGAGTGAGACCCTGTCTCAAAAAAAAAAAAAAAAAAAAAGACAAATTATATTTTCACACAAGTGTTTCTCTGATATTTTCTTCATTTGTTATTAAGTCTATTTTGACATAATTAATTATACTTCCAATGCACACTAGCTTGTGTAGGTGTGGAAGGGAGGGAAGGGAAGGGGACAGATGGGAAAGAAAGACAGAAGAGAATAGATGCTGACAAGGAAAGAAATGATGTTTCAATATGGCCTGTAGGAATACCACGTAGGTATTAGAATGTTGCTTACACAGAACATTTATTAATAGGGCAAAGTGTTTATAATGTATTTTAATTGAAAAGTAAGTTACAGACATAGGTGGAGTCAAAATGGCTGAATAGGAAGAGCTCCAGTCTACAGCGCCCAGCGTGAGCGATGCAGAAGATTTCTGCATTTCCAACTGAGGTACCAGGTTCATCTCACTGGGGATTGTTGGACAGTGGGTGCAGGACAGTGGGTGCAGCGCACCGAGCATGACCCGAAGCAGGGTGAGGCATCACCTCACTCAGGAAGCACAGGGGGTCAGGGAATTCCCTTTCCTAGCCAAGGAAAGGGGTGACAGATGGCACCTGGAAAATCAGGTCACTCCCACCCTAATACTGCACTTTTCCAAGGGTCTTAGCATTCGGCACATGAGGAGATTGTATCCTGTGCCTGGCTCGGAGGGTCCTATGCCCACGGAGGCTCGCTCATTGCTAGCCCAGCAGTCTGAGATCAAACTGCAAGGCAGCAGCGAGGCTGGGAAAGGGGCGCCTGCCATTGCTGAGGTTTGAGTAGGTAAACAAAGTGTCTGGGAAGCTCGAACTAGGTGGAGCTGAACACAGCTCAAGGAGGCCTGCCTACCTCTGTAGACTCCACCTCTGGGGGCAGGGCATAGCCAAACAAAAGGCACCAGAAAACGCTGCAGACTTAAATGTCCTTGTCCAACAGCTTTGAAGAGAGTAGTGGTTCTCCCAGCACGCAGCTGGAGATCTGAGAATGGACAGACTGCCTCCTCAACTGGGTCCCTGACCCCCAAGTAGCCTAACTGGGAGGCTCCCACCAGTAGGGGCAGACTGACACCTTACATGGCCGATACTCCTCTGAGACAAAACTTCCAGAGGAACGATGAGGCAGCAACATTTGCTGTTCAGCAATATCTGCTGTTCTGCAGCCCCACTGCTGATACCCAGGCAAACAGAGTCTGGAGTGGACCTCCAGCAAACTCCAACAGACCTGCAGCTGAGGGTCCTGACTGTTAGAAGGAAAACTAACAAACGGAAAGGACATCCACGCCAAAACCCCATCTGTACGTCACCATCATCAAAGACCAAAGGTAGATAAAACCACAAAGATGGGGAAAAAACAGAACAGAAAAACTGACAATTCTAAAAATCAGAGCGCCTTTCCTCCTCCAAAGGAATGCAGCTCCTCACCAGCAACAGAACAAAGCTGGACAGAGAATGAATTTGACGAGTTGAGAGAAGAAGGCTTCAGACGATCAAACTACTCTGAGCTAAAGGAGAAAGTTCGAACCCATGGCAAAGAAGTTAAAAACCTTGAAAAAAGATTAGACGAATGGCTAACTAGAACAACCAATGCAGAGAAGTCCTTAAAGGACCTGATGGAGCTGAAAACCACGGCACGAGAACTACGTGATGAATGCACAAGCTTCAGTAACCGATTCGATCAACTGGAAGAAAGGGTATCAGTGATGGAAGATCAAATGAATGAGATGAAGCGAGAAGAGAAGTTTAGAGAAAAGAGAATAAAAAGAAATGAACAAAGCTTCCAAGAAATATGTGGCTATGTGAAAAGACCAAATCTACATCTGATTGGTGTACCTGAAAGTGATGGGGAGAATGGAACCAAGTTGGAAAACACTCTGCAGGATACTATCCAGGAGAACTTCCCCAATCTAGCAAGGCAGGCCAACATTCAGATTCAGGAAATACAGAGAATGCCACAAAGATACTCCTCGAGAAGAGCTACTCCAAGACACATAATTGTCAGATTCACCGAAGTTGAAATGAAGGAAAAAATGTTAAGGGCAGCCAGAGAGAAAGGTCAGGTTACCCACAAAGGGAAGCCCATCAGACTAACAGCTGATGTCTTGGCAGAAACTCTACAAGCCAGAAGAGAGTGGGGGCCACTATTCAGCATTCTTAAAGAAAAGAATTTTCAACCCAGAATTTCATCTCCAGCCAAACTAAGCTTCATAAATGAAGGAGAAATAAAATACTTTAAGACAAGCAAATGCTGAGAGATTTTGTCACCACCAGACCTGCCCTACAAGAGATCCTGAAGGAAGCACTAAACATGGAAAGGAATAACCAGTACCAGCCACTGCAAAAACATGCCAAATTGTAAAGACCATCGAGGCTAGGAAGAAACTGCATCAACTAATGAGCAAAATAACCAGCTAACATCATAATGACAGGATCAAATTCACACATAACAATATCAACCTTAAATGTTAATAGGCTAAATGCTCCAATTAAAAGACACAGACTGGCAAATTGGATAAAGAGTCAAGACCCATCCATGTGCAGTATTCAGGAGACCCATGTCATGTGCAGAGACACACATAGGCTCAAAATAAAGGGATGGAGGAAGATCTACCAAGCAAATAGAAAACAAAAAAAAGGCAGGGGTTGCAATCCTAGTCTCTGATAAAACAGACTTTAAACCAACAAAGATCAAAAGAGACAAAGAAGGCCATTAAATAATGGTAAAGGGATCAATTCAACAAGAAGAGCTAACTATCCTAAATATATATGCACCCAAGACAGGATTACCCACATTCATAAAGCAAGTCCTTAGAGACCTACAAAGAGACTTAGATTCCCACACAATAATAATGGGAGACTTCAACACCCTACTGTCAACATTAGACAGATCAACGAGACAGAAAGTTAACAAGGATATCCAGGAATTGAACTCAGCTCTGCACCAAGCGGACCTAATAGACATCTACAGAACTCTCCACCCCAAATGAACAGAATATACATTCTTTTCAGCACCACACTACACCTATTCCAAAATTGACAACATAATTGGAAGTAAAGCACTCCTCAGCAAATGTAAAAGAACAGAAATTATAACAAACTGGCTCTCAGACCACAGTGCATCTAACTACAACTCAGGATTAAGAAACTCACTCAAAACCACTCAACTACATGGAAACTGAACAACCGGCTCCTGGATGACTACTGGGTACATAGCAAAATGAAAGCAGAAATAAAGATGTTCTTTGAAACCAACGAGAACAAAGACACAACATACCAGAATCTCTGGGACACATGCAAAGCAGTATGTAGAGGGAAATTTATAGCACTAAATGCCCACAAGAGAAAGCAGGAAAGATCTAAAATCAACACCTTAACATCACAATTAAAAGAACTAGAGAAGCAACAGCAAACACGTTCAAAAGCTAGCAGAAGGCAAGAAATAACTAAGATCAGAGCAGAACTGAAGGAGATAGAGACACAAAAAACCATTCAAAAAATCAATGAAACCAGGAGCTGGTTTTTTGAAAAGATCAACAAAATTGATAGACCACTAGCAAGACTAATAAAGAAGAAAAGAAAGAAGAATCAAATAGACACAATAAAAAATGGTAAAGGGGATATCACCACCGATCCCACAGAAATACAAACTACCATCAGAGAATACTATAAACACCTCTACGCAAATAAACTAGAAAATCTAGAAGAAATGGATAAATTCCTCAACACATACACCCTCCCAAGACTAACCCAGAAAGAAGTTGAATCTCTGAATAGACCAATAACAGGCTCTGAAATTGAGGCAATAATTAATAGCTTACCAACCAAAAAAAGTCCAGGACCAGATGGATTCACAGCCGAATTCTACCAGAGGTACAAGGAGGAGCTGGTACCATTCCTTCTGAAACTATTCCAATCAATAGAAAAAGAGGGAATCCTCCCTAACTCATTTTATGAGGCCAGCATCATCCTGATACCAAAGCCTGGCAGAGACACAACAAAAAAAGAGAATTTTAGACCAATATCCCTGATGAACATCGATGCAAAAATCCTCAATAAAATACTGGCAAACCGAATCCAGCAGCACATCAAAAACCTTATCCACCATGATCAAGTGGGCTTCATCCCTGGAATGCAAGGCTGGTTCAATATTCGCAAATCAATAAACGTAATCCACCAAATAAACAGAACCAATGACAAAAACCACATGATTATCTCAATAGATGCAGAAAAGGCCTTTGACAAAATTCAACAGCCATTGATGCTAAAAACTCTCAAGAAATTAGGTATTGATTGGACGTATCTCAAAATAATAAGAGCTATCTATGACAAACCCACAGCCAATATCATACTGAATGGGCAAAAACTGAAAGCATTCCCTTTGAAAACTGGCACAAGACAGGGATGCCCTCTCTCACCACTCCTATTCAACATAGTGTTGGAAGTTCTAGCCAGGGCAATCAGGCAGGAGAAAGAAATAAAGGGTATTCAATTAGGAAAAGAGGAAGTCAAATTGTCCCTGTTTGCAGATGACATGATTGTATATCTAGAAAACCCCATCGTCTCAGCCCAAGATCTCCTTAAGCTGATAAGCAACTTCAGCAAAGTCTCAGGATACAAAATCAATGTGCAAAAATCACAAGCATAACTTCAAATTTAGCTTCAAATTCAACCTATATGTTGATCACTTTCAAATCTATATTTCCAGGCAAGACTTTGATCTCTCAAACTTCAAACTTTTATAGCCTGCTTACTATTATTCAGAATACCTTCTGAATGTCATTTCTATTCTCACATTCAAAGCTTGAGGATTCTGAAGGACTATAGAAAAGTGCTATGTTTTCCCCTGTGCCTTCTGCCTTATTCACTTAGATGCTCACTCTCTCTTGTTCCAGAACACTTTTTCACTTACTTTTTTTTCTATCAGAATTTACCCATCTAGCATCCATTCCCTTGAATCCTGGCAGATGACAAGTGCTAATCTTATTCATTCATTCGTATAGGTATTTGTCGAATGGCTAGTATGTTTGAGACACAGCATTGTCCATGGAGAATTTAATATAAGGCTATATCAGAGGAGATATAATTGATTAATCATTTTCCTGGTTATGTCAGTAACTGGCTGTGTGACCTTAGATTAAGTCAGTTACATTTTCTGGGCTTCCTCCTGTAAATTGAGAGGGTTAGAAATTTTCAGTTTCCTCCTGTAAATTGAGAGGGTTAGATTAGCACAGTTTCTGGAATATGCCTGATTGTATCAATCACCAGAGCTGCTTGTTAAAAATAACAATTTCCAAGCATTTCCCCAAGGTAGGATTCAGTATGGTTTATCATGTCATGGATTTAACCACCTAAAATCCCTTGTATCAACCTTAACTCCAATGGGCAAACTCAAGAGCAAAAATCTCCATCTTCACAACTCAGAGTCCTTCTCCAGTCCTGCTCTGTCCCATCCTAGAAGGATATTCCTCTGCACTTCCAGTGCTAATGCCTTTCCATAGTCTTCCCCTACCCACCCCCTAGTTATAGGAGAGGTTGCAACTGTTGGGGTTAAAAGAAGGCATGGAATCAGGGAAGGCTGCATGGAGGAGGCTGCATTTGGTCTGGGCCTTGAGGGATAGGGCACAATTTCCCCAGATATGGAAAGAAAGAACTTTCCAGAAAGAAGCTATGGTGTGAATTAATTTATTTAAACTGTGTTGACTGTTATCTACTATGTGCCAGGCTCTAAGAGCAAGGTGAAGAATGGCACAGGCTTTAGAGTCAGAGGGACTTGGGCTCCAATACCTGTTTTATTTTCATTCGACTCCCTTCTTACTGCCAATGACAACCTCCCGTTCTGGAGTCGCCCACTCCTACCCTCACTACTCAAGTGCAGTTGTCTAATGGGTAGCCATGTTGCCTCTCTTTCCATGAAATTCCTGCTCCCGAGATATACTTTCTAGGGGGCTGTTTTCCCCTGCCCTGACACATTGGAGGTGCATTTTGGTTATTTAGAGCTTTGTCAGTAACAACTTCAATTAAAGTATACAAACTCAATTGCAAAACTCCACGTTATCCACCCCTAATCTCTGGTCAGGGAAAGCCGTCTTGGCCTGTTTGCCCACATTTCAGTGTCCCCTCCCCAAGCTTCAGTGCACATGTGCAGTGGCTTATGATAGTCATGTTCTCTCCCTTTTTGTGAGGTGTGCACACCTGGTCTCCACAATTCCTCCCCAGGGGTCTGCATGGATGTGCTTGTGAGATTTGCTGCTTTAACCCATCAGTATTAGTATGAGGTTTATAACTGTGGTGACTCCATAGTTTGTTGTCCCTGGTTGGCCAGGCTGTAAAAGTGGCACTATTAATCATTACACTGTGACAAGAGTGACCGTATATCAAGCCTTGCACTTCAGGAAAGTAAGTCACAGAACTGTCTGGGGCAAGCCATGATGTATAGTCACCTTATTTATACTCATATAGAAGCATTAACTCTAGGGTGCAAAATTGGGGGCAAAGATCTTTCTGTGTAAGCAGCGACTTGGCCTAGAAAGGCAGTTGAACCTTTTGGTGCTAAATCTGAGTATATTGTATTAGCCTTTTATAGTATTGGTCCTATTTGCTTGCAACAAAGTGGAGTCTAAAATCAGGGGGTATTGCCTGGTCTCACTGGTCTGCTTGTGATGTATTCATGAGGTAACAATCAATATTTGCCAGAGGTAGAGGATTAGATTGTCCTTAGTGTCGATTAGAATACCTTAAGCCAAAGTAGTTGTCAATATTTAAAGAATTTAAGAAGTTTTGGTTTAAAAATTCTATTAGCTTGAGTCAGCTCCAGCAGAGAGCAAGGTGAGAATTGAGTTCTAATCCCAGAGACCACCCAGCCAGGTTGGCCTATGGTAACCTAGAACCCTCACTGCCACAGTCAGGCTAGTCTTTGTCCTGAGATAGCAGCGACCCCACCCACTCCCATCTCAATGACCTGATGGCTCTGGTGGCCTCCCTAGGCCCAGGCAGTGCCTGCTGCTGCTTGTTTCTTGGCCCAGCCTGGGCAGGCCATCAAGGATGTGGTGCCTTTGGGCAGCAGACATGGTGGGGCAGGAAGAATGGCCGCAGCCCAAATGCTTAGGAGGGCTTTGAGGGGCCTTGAGATCTGAGAAGGTGGGTCAGTGTGGATGCCAGCTGGGTCACCTCAGCTTTAGACCATGGGCCCACTCAGGTCTGGGGATTTGGAGTCACTGCTGTGTCCCATTTGGATAAGATGCCACCTGGCCCTGGCAACAATAAATAAACGCCTTGCCAGATCAGTCAGTTGTGTGGAGCCCTGGACGAACACAAGTGCAGGGATCTAGTGACCAATGCTCTGTCTTTATTCTACCAGACCTTGATAATGGAAGACAGAAAAAGTAAAATAAAGAGCCACTTTTGGCCAATAGAAAGTGTCCAATACACTTTGGAAAGATTTTCTGTCCCCTTTAAGAGGGCCTAGTGTATATAATTTGAAAAGGCTGCTTTCAGCTTTTTTTTTCCCAAAGTAAAAAAGAAATTTTTGCTACATCTTCATAGTTGCTTATTCCAATGTTTAGAATTTGCTTTCACAGAGGAGGACTTTTTTTGAAGGTGTACCTGTGGTGTTACTTGAGTAGGGCACTTTGGCTTTGATTCTGGGTGCATGAAGTAGTGTAGTCTCTGTATGATTTCTTTGTCTGTAAACAGTGTCAGTGGTGTCTGTCATTTCCTTTGTGGCTTAGGGTGTGGTTATTAGTGGAGGTTACAGTGAAGTTCTGCTGGGGACTGGGATGACAGGTAAGCTAGTCTTTGGGCCCTCGTGGTGGTAACGGTGCACTGAGTGCTCCTGTTCCTGGGCTTCAGGGCAGCATATGCTGGCACCACTGTTAGTGTGTCCAGGTAAGCTAATTCTGGGGCCTCCAGGTGGCTTAATTGGGTGCTGGAAGTGGCAGCAGTGGGCCAGGCAGGTGAACAGGTTCTCTAGCCCCTGGGCAGTGAGCATAGCAGGGGCAATGTCGGTACCAGTGGTGAGACAACACTTTGGGATATAAGTGTTCCACTCTGGTATTGGCAGGAGCTGTGATGGGTTGAGAGGGCTGGTGCCCAGAACTGTGAGTGGCAATGTGCAAGTGGGTGCCAGTTGTGGTGATAGCAGAGGTTGAGTGTGCCTGACTTCAGACTCCAGGAGGATTACTCAGGTGCCACTATGGTGAACTGGGCTGTGTGACCTGCAGTCCCTGATGTGCTTGTGTACTGGGGTGGAGGTAGCCTGGCCAAATTGTGCTTCAACCCTGCCCCCCCGTGTTGCATATAAATGCTGGCTTTTGTATGCATGGGCAGGGTGAGCCCTATGCCACCAGTGGAATGATCAGGTGGAGGTGGCATGGCTGTGCTGCAGCCCTGATATTGAACAGGTTGAGGTTGCCTTCCATGGGAGCAGCCATAGGCAGAGAGTTGAGGGGCATGGGCTTCACTTGTACCTTGGCCCACAGTGTCTGCAGCTGCAGCAGTTGCAGGCAGTGGAATCTGTCCTTTGCACATGAGAATGTGCAGCCACCCCTCTTCGGGGGAGGTTAGAATTGTTTTCTGTGGCTTCTGCCTCAGCCCTAGTTGCAGGGCAGCATGTAGTCTGGTGTGGGTTGGGCTTTCAAAATGGTGCTATGCTGACACTACTTAGAACTTGGGGGTTTGTGGGACCCAGCATGAGTTTTCCCTCTGAAACAATGCCTTCACACAGTTTCCAGGGAACTTTCTATGTTAGTCTTCGGCCAGCAAGGATTGGGGGACTCTACCACGGCTAGGATTTTAGGAACCTGAAGCAGGAGCCACTGGGAGTCTCTCGCTTATCCTTTCCCCACACAGGAGAGTCTCTCCTGGCTCCCAGCCGATCTTGGTTAGGAGGCCAACTTGCTTCCTTCTCCTTTCTTGCTCTGGGTGTTTCCTGCCACTTCTGTGTTGAATTTCAGTATTCTCTCTGATGATCTATTCAAAGTGTGATTATCTACTCACTATTTTGGTTTTTCCTAGTGGAGGAGGCAAGTAAGAGATGCCTCTAATCAACCATTTGAACGCCTCACCAGGTGGTAATTTTCTATATCTTGTAGGTGATGTTTGTTCCTTTTACCTTTTTTTCTTTTTCCCTTTGTGTATTTTCAAATAGCCTGTCTTTGAGCTCACTGATTCTTTCCTCTGCTTGATCCATTTGGCTATTGGAAGCCGCTAATAAATTTTTCATTTCAGCAAAAGTATTTTTCAGTGATTCCTGTATGATTTTTTAAAAAAATCAATCTCTGTTAAATTTTTCTGATAAATTTCTGAATTGCTTTTCTGTGTTATCTTGGAGATCACTGAGTTTCCTTAAAACTACTGTTTTGAATTCTTGGTCAGAGAGGTTAAATATCATCATCTAATTAGGGTGTGAATCACTGGTTGCTTGCTTTGTCTGTTTGAGGAGGTCTTGGTTTTGTGTTTGCTGTTGTTTCTTGTGTATGTACATCTATGTCTTTGCAGTGAAGGATTAGCTACTTATACCAGTCTTCTCTGTCTGGCTTGTTTTGGTTTTTATTAAATATGTTTGATTAGAGATTCTTTGCAATTTACCTGTTATCTTTTTTCCCACTAGGTCACTGCCTCTTTTTTTGCACTAGATGGCGCCTTAATTAAGCTCAGGTTTGCCTCCTCAGTTCTGGTACTCAATCAGGGTGCCACCAGTCCGAAATGGGGAAGGTCCCAAATAGGATATCCTGTTAGTATGGGAAGACTGGTCAGGGGTTCATGCCTGGAGATCTGTGGAATGAACCTCTTACAGCATGGTGCTGCTGAACAGCTAATCTGTTTTGGCATCTCTTGACTGATTTACACAGCAGAGTTTCCAGGGCTGAGGATGGCAGTCCCACTTCCCCTACTTGTCTGTGGCTGTCTACAGAAATATTCCTCTCTTCAGGTACTCTCAATGCTTCCCATGAGTTGAGGCAGAGACAGGTCTCCTGTCAGGTAACCTAAGATGATGGGAAGCTGTTGTTTACCTCAATCATACTTTTTCCAGTGTGGAAACTATGAGTTGGGGGAAATTTTTCTATGCACTTAGTGCTGGGCAGATTGGGGGAAAGGGCATCACAAATATGGAAGTTTGATCCTCTAACATCTGCTCAGAGTTTTTTTCACTTCTCTGCTGCCCTGGGAACTGTCTTATCCTCATATTTGAGTTCTGGGATGTTGCTGGTGATAATCTCAATGCCGTATATTTGTTTTTGGTTTTGAGGGTAGGAAGTAAAACCAGCTTGTTTCTATGCCACCATTTTGAAGTGGGAAGTCTAAATTGGGTTGTTTGTCTTTTCATCATTGAGTTGTGATAGTACTTATATATTATGGATACTAGACCATTATCAGATATAAGATTTACAAATATTTTCTCCCATTCCTTTTGTTGTCTTTTCACTTTTTTGATAATGTCCTTTGACAAACAAAAAATTTTAATTTTGGTGAAGTCCAATCTATTTTTAATTCTATTGCTTATACTTTTGGTGTCATATTTAGGAAAACATTGCCTAATCCAAAGTACGAAGATTTACACCGATGTTTTCTTCTGATAATTTTATAATATTAGCTCTTACATTTAGGTATATGACCCACTTTAAGTTAATTTTTGCATATGGTGTGAAATAGGAGTAAAAAAATTATGCTTTTTGCATGTGGGTATTCATTTGTCCCAGCAATATTTGTTGAAATGACTATTCTTTCTCCATCGAATGGTCTTGGCACCCTTGTCAAAAATCAATTGACCATAGATTTACATGCTTACTTCTGGACTCAATTCTATTCCATTGATCTATATGTCTGCCCTTATGACAGTATCACACTGTTTTGATTAATCTAAGTTTGTAGTAAGTTTTGAAATTGGGAAATGTTAATCTTCCAGCTTTGTTGTTTTTTAAGATTGCTTTGGTTTTTTTTAGGTCCCTTGTATTTCCGTATGAATTTTAGAATCAGCTTGTCGATTTCTCTAAAAAAGGCAGCTAGAATTTTACTAAGAATTTCTTTAAGTCTGTAGATCAATTCAATGAATATTGCCATCTCAATATTAAGTCTTCCAACCCATGAACATGGGATGCCTTTCCATTTATTTAGGTTTTAAAAAATTTCTTTCAACAAGTGTTGTAGTTTTCAGTGTACAGTTTTTTCACTTCCTTGGTCAAGTTTATTCTTAAGTATTTTATTCTTTTTGATGCTACCGTAAATGAAATTATTTACTAAATTTTATTTTTAGGCTTTTCATTGCTATTGTAAAGAAATGTAACTGATTTTCAAGTATTAATCTTATATCCCGCAACTTCACTGGACTCATTTTTTAGCTCTAATTGTTTATTTGTGGATATTTCAGGGTTTTCTATATATGAGATCAAGTAATTTGTGATCAGCAGTACTTTTCATTCTTTTCCTATATGGATGTCATTTCTTTCTTTTTCTTGTCTAATTTCCCTGACTAGAGCTTTCCATACAATGTTAAATAGGAATGGCAAGAGTAAACATCCTTGTTTTGTTCCTGATCTTGCAGGAAATGATTCAGTTTTTCATTATTGGGTATGATGTTGTCTGTGGGGTTTTCATAGATGCCTGAAATAGCTTTGATATTTTTCCCCTTCAAAGCTCATGTTGAAATTTGATTTCCAAATTGGAGATGGGGCCTAGTGAGAGGTATTTGGGTTATAGGGGTGGATCACTCATGAATGGCTTGGAGCCCTCCGTGTGGTACTGAGTAAGTTCTTGCTCTATTAGTTTATGTGAGAGTTGACTGTTTTAGAAAGCCTGGCACCTCCACCCATCTCTCTTCCTCCCTCTCTCACCATGTGACACATCTGCCCCCACTTCACCTTCTGCCATGAGTAAAAGCTTCCTGAGGCTCTCACCAGAAGTAGATGATAGTGCTATGCTTCTTGTACAGCCTGCAGAACTGTAAGCCAAATAAATGTCTTTTCTTTATAAATGACCCAGCCTCATGTATCCCTTTATAGCAATGCAAAGTGGACTGAAACAATGCCCTTTATCATGTTAGAGAAGTTCCCTTCTATTCCTAGTTTTTCAGTGCTTTTATTATGAAGGAGTGTTGGATTTTGTCAAATGTTCTTTCTGTGTTTATTGAGATGATCATGTGCCCCCTCTTTAGTCTATTAATATGGTGTATTACATTAATTTGTTTTCATACACTGAACTAACCTTGTATTCCTGGGATAAATCTTACTTGGTCATGTTGTATAGTCTGTTAACATGTGAGTTTGTTAGTGTTTTGTTGAGGATTTTGTGTCTATATTCATAAGGAGTTTTGGTTTGTAGTTTTCTTGTGATGTCTTTGACTTTGATATCAGGGTAATGCTGGCCTCATAGAATGAATTGAAACATGTTAACTGCTTTTCTACTTTCTGGAAGAGTTTGAGAATGATTGGTTTAAATTATTTAATTATTTGTTAAACCATCAGCAGTGTAACCATCTGGTCCTAGGCTTTTCTTTGTTGGCATTTTTTTTAATTATTATTACTGAGTGTCTCAATTGTACCCACAGGATTTTAATTTATAGAGCTGACCAAATGACAACAGACAGAGATGCTAATCCCATTGAAAAAGTTTTGTTAATTACATTTCCCAAGAGAAGGGAATGCATCATGCCACACAGGGTCACATGGGGAAGCACCAGTGTTGGTTAGGAGGCAGAAATAAATGAGGGAAGCTTATGCTAGAGCCTTTATTGGAGTTTCCATAGGAAAAGCAAGGCAAGGCAGGAGAAACAGCTTAGGGTTGGCTACTTTGAATAATTCTGGTGGGTTTTTGGACATAGGAACGCTTCCTAGTTGTCTGGTACCTGACCCTGGGTTGATTTAGGGCAGGGGAAATGTGGCTTGATATGTGAGAGTTAGATAAGGTGGTAGTTCTGAGTATAGGCTCTGGATTGCAGGGGAGATGTTGATAACTTGGCCATTAGTTTGGCCCTGTAATTAATGGATGCCAAACAGACAAATACAGAATCTGCAAAAACATAGTTAGAACACTGACTCAATTCCTTTACATTCAGATTTTCTAACTAATTTTAGTCATTTTTTATAATTTGTCTGTTTCTAGGAATTTTTCCATTTCATCTAGATTATCTAATTTGTTGACATACATTTGTTCATAGTATTTTCTGATAATTCATTTTTAAAATTTTCTGTAAGGTCAGTAGTAATGTCCTGAGTCCGACTCTTGATTTTAGTAATTTGAGTCTTTTATTTTTGATCAGTCTAGTTAAAAGTTTGTGAATTTTTACTGTTCTTTTAAAAAACTGACTTTTCATTTCACTGTTTTTTTTCTATTGTTTTCTGTTCGCTATCTCATTTATTTGTGCTTTAATCTTTATTATTCCTTTCCTTCTGCTTGCTTTGAGATCAGTTTCTTCTTATTTTCCTAGTTTCTTAAGGTGCAAAATTATTAGGTTATCAATTACAGATCTTTCTTCTTTTTGTAATGTAGGTATTTACAGCTACAAATTTCCCTCTGAGTACTGTTTCTGCTGCATCCCACAAGTTTCGGTTGTTATGTTTTCATCTTCATCATCATCATTTCAAAGTATTTTCTAGTTTACTTTGTGATTTCTTCTTTGACTCAAGTAGCTATTTAGTAGTGTTTAGTTTTCACTTAGTTGTGAATTTTCCAAATTTCCTCTTGTTACTAATTTCTAATTTAATTCCATTGTGGCCAAGGAACATACTTAATGTGATTTTAATCTTTTAAAATTCATTGAAACTTGTTTTGTGGCTTACTATGTGACTTATCTTGGAGAATGTTTTATGTGCACTTGAGAAGAATGTTTATTCTTCTATTGTTGGGTGGATTGCTTTCTAGACATCTATTAGGTCAAAATGGCTCATGCTGTTGTTTACGTCTTCTGTTTCCTTGGTGATCTTCTCTCTGTTTGTTGTAGTCATTGTTGAATGTGGGATATTGATGCTTCCCACTATGAATGTAGAACTGTGTATTTATCACTTCAATTCTATCAATTTTTGCTTCATATATTTTCAGGCTCCACATTAGAGGAATTTATGTTTATAATTGTTATATAAAATGAAAAATGTCGAATAATTCAATGGAAACGTATCTTTTGGATAATATTTCAATAGTATAGATCTAAGAATGAATTCCCTTAGAAGCATTATACTTATTGTTCACTATTGTTTTTGTCTCATTTTAAGTCGAGCATTAAGAGAATAAAGTATTTTAATTGTAAGTCTGCCAAAATCTTTATCCAGATAATTTTTGTCATTTTTGTCTTTTATGAAATTTTTGTCCCCATGGAAGGCAGGATTACATTTCTTTCCCAATTGAGTTGGTGTTGTATATTCTTGGTTTTCAAAATATTCATGACTTTGGGACATTGAATTGATAAAAATTCATGATATTCTTTGAACTAGTAAAGATTCATACTGTGTGATCTCAACCACATACAAATATATGCGCAATTGTGTGTGTACACACATAAGGATTTAGATAGATATTTCAAGCTGTAAGCTGGGTGTGACTGTGGGTGATTTTGTGTTTTTAAATTTTTCAATAATGTACATATTCACTTATAAAAGTTAAACAAAAATAAACATTATTTAAAATACCATTGGCACTTTACATTCTTCCTGAATGGCTGAGATGGGTAATTTCTGGCCATCAGGCAATACCTTACAAATCCTCTTAATTATAGTCCTGGTAAAATGAGTATCTCTGTCACAAGGAAGGCTAAAAGGAACAACTTCTGGCTATCCAGAGAGAAGGAAGACAGTAATGAATACATATTCAAATCCTTGCGATAAAGGAAGTTATACAAAGTTCACTTGTAAATGTTCGAAGAATCCTCAAGGCTGTGGTTCCTGTCTATGTCTTACCTTAATGGTTTTTCCAGGGTTATGAGTCTTGTAGATGGAACATGCACTAGAGACTTCATCTCCTGTTTAAAATTTTCCCAACAATGTTGTCTGAGAATAGTTTTCAAGTTTATTTACTGTTATGAATCATAACCTGCAAAATTTTCATCAAGCTCTGTTTCAGAGAGACTGGAGAGACCAGGTGCAGTCTTGGTGTCTCCATAGGAACCCATCTGATTGGAGGGAACACCCAGATTTCTCCCAGTATCTTTTTTCAGAGTCTGGTGCTTTAACTGCAATTTGCTCAAAGTTTCATGGAAGCAATCTGCAGTAACCAGGTTGTCTTTAATATGCTGAACAAATTGAATGTGGCGAGAGCAGCCTGTTTAGCATACTGGTCAGACAGGGCATTTCCTTTTGCTTTATGGGTTTGTTCCCTAGTATGAGATTTGACGTTAATTACAGTCACTTCCTTGAGAGAGTAGCAAAGCATCTAGTAAAGCCTGTATGTGCTCATGCTGCTTATTGAAGTACCAGAAGCTGTTAGGAAGCTGTGTTGTTTCCATAGCATGCTAAAATCATAAACCAAACCAAAGGCATATCTGCTGTCTGTGTATATGTTAGCCCTTTTATTCTTTGCTAGCTTGGTAGGCTAGAGTTAAGCCTATAAATTCAGCTGGTTATGCTAACTTGACTTCAGGAAGGTGGTCATATTCAAAAAGCTCTTAGGAAGTAGTGACGGCATACTTAACTTGAAAATACACCTGTTCAGTCTCAATATATGACCAACCTACAAAGAATTCTGAGTTTTGTAGAGGAGTTTCAAGAAGATCAGAGAGAGGCAGATAAAGTTCTCAAGTTAAACAATCATGAGACTTTTCACCTTCTCTGAAAGAGGAAATAAACTAGCTGCGTTAAGATTATGACACTATTAAAGAAGATACATAAATGGCCAATAAACACTTGAAAAGGTGCTCAACATCATTAGTCATTAGGGCAATGCAAATCAAAACCACATTGGGATACTACTTCACACCCAGTAGGATGGCTATAATTTAAAAAGCCCAGCAGTAACAACTGTGAGAGTATGAAAAATGGAAACCTCATATATTATTGGTGGGAATGTAAAATGGTGCAGTCATTGTGGAACAGTTTGGCAGTTCCTCAAGCAGTTAAACATAGAGTTACCATATGACCCAGCATTTTTACTCCTAAATATATACCTAAAGAAATTGAAAACCCGTCTTCAAAGAAAATCCTATGCATAAATGTTCAAGCAGCATTATTCATCATAGCCAAAATGTGGAAACAACCCAATTGTCCATCAACTGATGCATGGATAAACATATAATGGAATATTATTTGGCCATAAAAAGAATGAAGTAATGTATTGATACATTCTACAACATGGATAATCCTTGAAAATGTTATGCTAAGTTAAAGAAGCCAGATACAAAAGGCCACATAGTGTATAATTTCATTTACATAAAATGTTCAGAATAAGAATATCCATAAAGTTGGAAAGAAGATTAGTGGTTGCCAGGTGGAGAATAATGAGTGATTGCTTATGATTTTTCTGGAAGACAATGAAAATGTTCAGAAATTAGATGGTGATGTTGGTTGCACAACATTGTAAAACATGAAAAACCATGGAATTGTACACTTTAAAAGGATAAGTTATGGTATGTGAATCATATCTCACTTTTTAAAAAAGAGTACAGTATTCCTATAGACTCCTAATAGATGATGATATGAACGGAGGACAGAAATAGTAATTCATAAGAAATGAGTCTAGAAGCAGAGAAATGTTGGGTGCTTTGGTGATGAGAAGGGTCTGAGCTTCATTAGGTACCATTAGATGAAAAGGTGATCCCAAGATTAAATGCGGCGACAGCTACTGCCCCCAGGAAAGAGGGATATATTTAGCTACTGGATGGAGCAATATTGTAATACCCAATGAGTCTCTGATTTCCATCATGTTTCTAAGATAAAACTCCAAGAGCTTGATCATCCCTTTTATATATAAACCAAAAAAAAAGATAGTATAATTTTGGGGTGACCCAAAATGAAATGCCTTGGGTTGGTCAATGGCTAACTCTGTAGTGACCATCCAAGGCAGAAGCTCAGGAATACCATTTTAATTCATGTCACTGAGGGTGCCAGCTAATTCAGAAAAGTTGGAAATCTACCACCTGCAATATCCTATAAGTCCCAGAAATCCTCTAAATTGTCTTTTGGTAGTAGGGCAAGGGCAATTTTGAATGACCGTACTCCTATTCACCGGGAGGAATTTGCCTCCCTAGGATATACCATGGCTTAGATAGTGAACTTGGGCCTAAGGAAACAGTAATTTATTCTTACAAATTTATCCTTTTATACAGTAATTTAAACAGTAAATTATTATTACAAATTTGTCCTTACAATATTTCCTTTTATAAACAAAGTTTCTGATATAGAGTCTTCTTGAGAAGAGGTTAAATCAGGTGAACATAAGAGCAAGTTACTTACTATCTGATCAAGGCAGAGGACCAGGGAAATTGTAAGTCTTTGAGATTATGATTGAGAAGCTGAGAGAAGTGTGAGGGGGCTTGCAATGTGAATGCAATGAATGAAGTGAATAGAGGACTTAAGAGTGGGTGCATAGGAGTTGAGGGAAGCCCCATAGGATGGTGTACTGGGTCATGAGAGACTGAGAGATCAAGAAAAAGGCCTTTGGATATACATCTAATAGTAGTTCCCCATTGAGCCAAAAGGTCCATCTGTATAGGTTAGGGAGGGTGGAAGACAGAAGAGAAAGATATATTGAGAGGTTAAGCATCCCAAAGAGATAAGCGAAGGGTTAGAGAGAGGAAGTGAATATGTTTAACAAGTGAGTCCCACTACTGAGCTTTTTAAAATTATTCTGAGGAAGGATGGTAGGAAACTAGAAGGAATTAATGATGGAGAGTGTGTCTCCAGGGTCTACTAAAAAATGAGCTTGGGTAGCCATTCACAAATAAATAGAGTTATTTCTCCTTGCTGATCCAAAGACAATTGAGGATACTGAAGGGTACATTCCTCGGAGAAGGGGAATTGCTTTATTTCAGATTGAGTAACCTGTATAGTGTTGCCAAATAAAATATGGGAAGTGCAGTTAAATTTGAATGTCAGATAAGAAATGAATCATTTTTTAGTACAAGTGTGTACCCAACATTTCATGGGACATACTTATGCTAAAATGTTACTCATTTATTTGAAATTCATATATTTTTTCATTTTTATTTGCTAAATCTAACAACTCTAGTTGAGTGTCTCATTTCTTTGCTACAGCGGGATGATTGCAGGTCCAGTGTCTTTTTCTCTGCAATATCTGCAAGTGTCTGTGTCTCTCTGTGTTTAAATTGTGGAGGGCCTTTTTATTTCCCCCAGGCTGTTCGAGTTGTAATGACATAAGTTTGCGGTGTGCTTCTCTCTTTATTTACTATGCTTTCCACAAAATGCTGGTTTAAAATCTGCTGAACTCAAAGTGTTGTAAATCATGAGTGGATGTGGTCTGCCAGCCTGTTTTATGCTTCTGAATAGCATCTGATATATCAGGGTTAAGGCCATTAGTAAAGAATGTGCAGATTGTTGTTGGAGTGTTAGTGTTAATGCCCAACCCTGAGCATTCCTAAAAATGCTTTCTATCATTGGTCCCTAAAATTGGAAACAGATTTATCACACCCTTGCTGACAGGTTTGGATTATTCCTCAGTCGATGGAATAGTGAAAACCTTCACCAATTGCCTTTAAAAGACTTTCTCCTCTCTATTTGGCTTTTCCATATCCAGAAAGGGTGAAGGTATGGGTCAAAAGGTGAGAGGAAGGTGAGAAAGTGGAAAAGGAGGAGAAAGAGAGCAGAGCAGAGGACAGAAAGCAGAAGAGTAGGGAGGCCAGGATAAAGTCAGATTGTAAGGGGAAGAAATAGAGTTTGATAGAAAGGAGGAGGTCTTTGGAGAGAGAGAGACAGCTGAGGTTGTTTTAAAAGAAGACTCAACAGATTGGAAACTTTCTGAATTGTTTCTTTCCTCAGCTTCTTCTTTTGGCTTAAGGAAAGCTGTCCATTGTAAATATGTTATCTGGTTTCCTTTTGCTCTAAAGAATCATGCAAATGCTTGCGTTGTGACATGTCCCGAGAGTCCCAAATGAACCACTGCAGCTAAAAATTGTCTTCCTTGAGGTCATACCACTTAGCTCATAACAAAAAAGGTTCAATGCAGAAGAAAGGTGAAGGGCCTGGTCCTACATTATGATCATCATCTAATTCTCTGCTCTTGGAGACCTGAAAGGCCAGAGAACTCCAAAAGACAAAAGGAAAATAGAAGTAATGACTTTAATCAGAAAACAAGTTAACCTTTCCAAAGAATCAAAACATGGAACTTCCTTGACACAACAAAAAATTGGAGCACGTGAGTGGGAACAGGACTTATCTGACCCAATAGGGCCCTCCAAGAAGGGAGGAAGAAGGTCCCTCAGTTCATTCTGTCTTTATCTGAAACCTCAGTAGGCTCAAGGGCCTATTCAGACCCAATCTGAGTCACAGTGACAAAACTGTTAAGGACCAAAATAGTTAAAGTGACTCAAATAGAGGTTACAGGCTTTATTCAGTTGATGTGCATCAGGGAACATGCAACTCAATGTTAAGTAACTCCTTGAGCCAAAGTAGGATCGGGTTTTTATAGGACAAGCAGCGGAGACTCCTCATCTCTTCTGTGACTGTGGTCTTGTCCCAGCTTGCAGTTTTCTTTATCTGTAACCGCTGCAAAACTTCCAGTTGGAATGGTTGGAAATTGTTCTGGTTTCTCGGGATCATTGGTGCAATCTCATTTTGGCTACTGTCAGGACAGTTCTTTCAAATGTGATCTTTGTAAGCT
This sequence comes from Homo sapiens, assembly GCF_000001405.40. Taxonomy (NCBI): domain Eukaryota; kingdom Metazoa; phylum Chordata; class Mammalia; order Primates; family Hominidae; genus Homo; species Homo sapiens. The sequence goes on from NC_000023.11 coordinate 108,030,847, forward strand.
GGTGAGTTGTCTAATGCCAGTTAAGGTACAGGAAGTGGAGACATAGGAAGGAAAAAAAGGCAAACAAGAGGATAAAATAAAAGGAGACAAAGTTTCAAGCAAGGAAAAACTGTAGTCTGTTTTAATTCTTTTACAGTTGTCTCTCAGCTTCCACCATTTATGCACTTCCCACTCAGATGCACAAATTCCAAAGTTCAAACCTCAGATATTTTCTTCTACCTACAGCCCAGCTCTAATGATCCCAGTGATCTGCCCTCCAAATACTCCTCCGCATCCCAGTTTTGTTGCCTTCAGGTCCTCCATCCCTTAGCCACATCTGTTGGGGTGGGGAGCATGAAATCAGGGAAGGCCTCATGAAGGAGGCTGCATCTGAGCTGGGCCTTGAGAGATAGGGCAGGATTTGCCAGGGTAGAAACAGAGGCAAAGACCTTTCAGTAGGAGACAATGGAATGAGTGTGTTCCTTCTTCAAATACAGTATTATGGAGTGTCTTTTTTTGTGTGTGCCAATCATTAATCATGTACTGGGTAAGAGTATGGGCTTTATGGAGAAAGGCTCAAATCCCAAGCCTTGCCACTTCCTGGCCATACCAGAGCTTGAGGATCAGCCATAACATAATCACTGAAAAAGGCTAATTTGGGGCTTTGACAAACTGGAGAGCCAGAGCTCTGTTTAGTGGAGATAACTCCTGCTCAGATGTTGGCAATCGTAGCCATGTGGGCCTGCTGGGGTGTGATATTCTGGTATTTCAAGAAAAGCAAGAATTTTGGATTTTTATGTGAAATATTTTAATGTTTAAAATATTGGCCACCAAATTTAAAGGAATAATTTTATAGGTCAAACTATACACATCTGTATACTAAATGTTTATAGTGTTTTTGTTGTTTAAATTGACAGATATCATTGTGCATATTTATCGTGTACAACATGATCTTTTAAAGTATGTCATCATTAAGTATAGTCACCACACTGTACAATTGGATCTCTGCATTTGGCAAGTTTGCCATACTGACTTAAAGGCTTAACTGGATACTTATAACAGCAGGCAAGGCTCTCAAACTAGGGCCTCTGCTTCGTTTCCAGCCTTGCTTCTACCAACATCTTTCCTTCCCTGCCATTCTCTGGCCCCATATGGTAAAGCTGTTGCCCAGAGGAGCCTTTTTCTTGCACTTGTTGTTCCCTCTGCTTGAAGTGTCCTTCTCCACATCCCCACTTCAATTTTCTTTTCCTGACTAACATCTTCTGTTATTCAAGGGCCATCTCCTTTGACAAGCCTTCACCAATTTCTTCTTGTGCTTCCACAAACCCTGGATAGTGCTTACTCTGCTGTATCGTCATTTCATGTCAACTCATCTTTGTTTTCCACTAGACTGGGTGGGAAGCCTGAGACATAAGAGAATGCAAGAAGTATTTCTTTAGAAAACGAATAAATGGAATGAATATATGTTTACAAAGCCACTTTCATTTATGTAAACATGCACCGCTTCTGTATCCACCCATCCATTTATTCAGTAAATATTTATTGAGCACCTATTATGTGCCAGGCCCTGTTCTAGGTGATTAGGATGCAGGAATGAACATACCAGATAAAGTCCCTGTCCTCACAGAGCTCATATTTTAGTGCAGAAAGACACTAAACACAGTATGTACTGTAATGTAACATGATGATAAATGCTCTATGGAGAAAATAAAAGTAGGGCAAGGAGTTTTAGGGTGACAGGTGCATAGGGCAACTGGGGAAGGGATCGCTGAGAAGGTGATACTTGAACAAATATTTGAGGGAAGAGAGGGAGCAAAACCCTACAGACAACTGGAGAAGAGCATACCAAATGGAAGGAACAGCAAATGCAAAGGCCCTGAAGTGGGAGCATTTTTAGCATGTTTGAGGAATAAAAAGGAGGTCAGAGTGGCTGCAGAAGGCTGAGCAAAGAGTGGTGGGAGATAAGGTCATAGAGGCAATGGAGATCTAGACCATATGCCATCAACTTATCCAACCACCCATTGAACACATACCCTCACTGAATAATGTGGTAAGAAATTTCAATATTGCTGGGGTGAGTGGTGGCAGTTCCAGGGAGCTATATGTAGGACAAAACAGCTTTCCCTACAGATAGATGCTTTCCTTAGTTCTCTCCTTACCCAGAGCCCTTCCCACCAGGTTCTCAGATGCAGGTCCTACAGGAGACCAGGCACTGTTTGCCTTGGGAGGGTCATGAACTGGTGGAAATTGGCCAAGTTGTTTCCTGCTGGTTGGGGCTGGGACCAGGCTGTGCACCTCCGCCTAGTTGGAAGGGGCTCTAGGGCTGTTATTCATCAGATACGCTGCTGTGTGTAACCATTCTCAAGTTTCCCTCCTTTGCACCTCTCCCTCTCCCAGGAAGTCACACCAAAAGAGTCAGGAGACCCATGTTCTACTCTCTGCTCTGTCGCTACGAGCGGTGAGATCCAGGGCAGGTTTTGGGCTCTGTGAAATGAAGGATTTGAACTTGTTCTAGCATTGTTAGGTCACCTCTGTGTCTTAACGCTTTCTGCATGGTGGGCCACCTGAGTTCTATTCCTGGCAGTGGGTCTTTTGTGACCCTCCTCATGCTGCTGCACCCAGGTGTAAGCACAGCTGGGCTGCTTATTCAAAAGCAGTGCAGGTAGTGGGGTTTGACTGAAGCCCCAATGTCTCTTCTCCTGAACGTCTCCCTCCACACTTTTCTCCTGGGTGTCCTGACATTTCTGCCATTAGTCATTCCCCACAAAGGTGAGAGACCATCTCCAGGGGTAAAGGAGCCAGCAGGCCTGAATGTCTGCCCTGCCCAGACGGGGCTCAGTCATCCTCTTGGAGAGCAGAAAGGAAAGGCATCTCTCCAGAGGGGGAATGATACGAGCTGAGACTGTTAGAAAACCACTGGGGGAGGCTGATGTGGGGCTCACTACTGAGTGTTCCCGAGCAGCTCCAGACCACAAAGAGCCAGGGAAAATTAGAAAGCTCACTGCCTGAAAAAAAGCCTTAACAGATGAGGGCTCTGAAGAAATAGTTAATCTCACGGTTTGGTTTAAGGCTAGTTGCTGTGTAAATAACTCCTCAGCTGTGGATTTTTTAGATCGTGAGGCAGAGTTGAATCCACTAAACAAGCAGAAAAAGGAAGACACAATTTATTTGTCTGGCAACTCAGAGGAAGGCTGCACATTCTTGCTTTGCTAATCTCAGCTCTGGCCTTCCACCAGAGTTGCTGCTGCAAAGGATTGTGGGAGTCCTAAGTCCTTCCTATCAGAAGGGCTGAACTGGGCAGGAAGACTTGAGGCAGTGGAGGAGGTTTTGGGGTTGGGGGTGCTTGTACAGCCCGGTGACCCAGCATCTCAGGTCAGGGGGATCCTGGCTGGGAGAGGAGGATGGATGCGTTCTCTTGAATTCTAAGGATTAGAGCATCCTGTGAACTCAGCCAGGTCTGGATTCCAGACCCAAATTGCTTCCTTTATGAGCTCTCTTTGAAAATATAAAGGCATATTAGGAGCCAAGATGTTCCTTTCACTTTAAACTAGGAGTCACAAGATCACACGAAGTGGGCCAGGTATAAGCAGCAGGGAGTGAAGGGGATTGTGGGAGCTGGCAGCAGCCACTACTCTGATATCGTCAATTGTTGCCATGGTGCCATCTGCCTGGATGGCCACATCTACCAGGTGTTTTTTTGTTTGTTTGTTTGTTTGTTTGTAGAAAGATCTTTACACAATGATTTTAGAAATTTCCCACATTTCAGTGTTGGGAATGAATTGCTTTTGCATTTATACCACAAGCATATCGAGAGCACTTACTGTCTGCAGGCACTGTTTTAAGCACTTCACAAATAGTAACTTATATAGTTTTTATAACAATCTTATATGTAAGTTTTATTATACCTTATTTCGTGGATGAGGAAAACAAAGCACAAAGAAATTAAATAATTTGCCTAAGGTCCCCCAGCCAGTAAGTGGCAGAGCCTAAGTTTAAAGCCAAGCTGCCTGATTCTAGAGTCCATATTCTTTGTCACTAGGCTATGCTGCCTCTCGTTAAAACCAAAGACAGCGGAAACAAAGCATATGCAAAACACTGTACAGGACTAAAACCAAACAGACAAATGACCAACAATAAAAAACACACACACACCCAGACCTTTTGTTTGCTTCTTATGATTTAAACCCAATAAAACAGAATTTGCCATCTTTGTCATTTTTTCCTGCTTTTGTGTCTACTTTGTACACTCCTTCATACCTAACTCCTGTCTTAACAATTATTATTATTATTTTAGATGGAGTCTTGCTCTGTTGCCCAGGCTGGAGTGCAGTGGCATGATCTTGGCTCACTGAAACCTCCGCTTCCTGGGTTCAAGCGGTTCTCCTTCCTCAGCCTCCCGAGTAACTGGGATTACAGGCATGTGCTGCCAAAACCAGCTAATTTTTTTGTATTTTTAGTAGAGGCGGGGTTTCATCATGTTGGACAGGCTGGTCTCAACTTCTGATCTCAAGTGATCTGCCTGCCTCAGCCCCGCAAAGTGCTGGGATTACAGTAACAATTCTTTTTTTTTTAAAGATATTTACAATACTGATATTTTCCAGCCCTTACGTACAACCAATCTTGCCTCCTGCCTTTCTGCCATTCTTGGTCTCTGAAATGCTACTTGTCTCTTTCTTTTTCTTTTTCTTTCTTTTATTGTCCATTCTAGATTCTCACTTTCAAAATTCATGATCAAATCCTCCCAGAATTCCTCTCCCCTGCCAGGTGGACCCCAATGAGCAATGAGTATTTGAGGGCTCACAGACATCCCATGCAATGACCCACAGTCTCTTTCCTGTACTTGTATTTATTTGTTTTCTGTGTAGCATAATGCAGCTATTCATAATCATAATACTTCTTAGTATTAATCTCTATTTTGTGTGTATTTGTCTTATCTTCCCAGCAAGAGCGTGACCCTGGGGAGCAGGAATTGGGTTGACTATGTATTCTGTTGTCCCTTGCCCAGTGCCAGGAGGCCATATCACATAATGGGTAAGGGCATGGGCTTTGGAGCCGTCCCACCTGGGCTCAAGTCTTGGTCTTCTACTTACAAGCTGTGTGACCAATGGCAAGTCACTTACCTCTCTGAACTTCATTTTCCTCATCTGTAAAATGAGGAGTATAACTAACACTTCCTTTATATGATTATTGTGAAACACAATGCATAAGAAATGCTTCAGCCAGGGCCTTATTGTCATCTAGTATGTCATCAGCATTTCGTAGCTCTTATCACTATGTCACAGGTACCATTAATCAGTTTTGGTATCTGTGAAATGCTTCAATTTCTTGGCTCCAAAAGGATGTCTGTTTTTTAGGGTTAATTTCACTCAGGTATGGCATTTTTAAGAAGTGTTGGATAGGACCAGTCAAAAAATACAAGGCACTGCAGTTATAGAAATAGAATGTGACTTTTTTGTGGCTCTGGTCAAGCTTAACCTCTCCAGAATTGAAAGAATTGGAGGGTCTAGGACCTCTTTGTGTTGAATAGGAGTTGGGGGAAGTGCAACTGCACATGCCTGTGATTTTTTTCCAAGCAATCTATGACATGTGTTTGTACAGTGCGTCAACACAAATTGCTTAGGAGTAGGCTTCCCCAAACAGTTCAATGTACATAATAGGTTGAGTCACACTATCAGTTAACATAGAGTTCCTGGTACTAACCCACTCCAGCCTCCCTACTATCACTAGGTAAGCAATCCCAGGCTACTCAGCACAAGCTGACTCATACTTATTGTTAAAACATGACTTGCCAAAGGAGAACTTTCTGCATGGTTCTTCCCTCTAAAACAGGAAACAAAGATATTCCAAATTCAAGATGACAGGAACCTCCATGGCCCTCCTTCAATACGCCCTTGAAATTCCCCTGCTTCACAGCCTTACTGAGATCCACTTCTAGCACTTTTCTGAAGGCCTCTGGAGGACTCCCAGTAAGATGTCCAGAGGGCACATTTAGGGACGTGTGGTCACATTAGGTTCATCACTGAGAAAAATTACTGTCCTTATGCGTGGGGATGGCAGGCAGAAGAGGGACTTTCACTGCATAACAACATCACAGAGCTCACTTGGGTTTCTCTTACTGTTATTATAATGAGGGCACCAGCAACAGTGGTTGGAATGTTGCACAGGTTTGCAGGTTTGGAGAGACAGAGAGATGTATGAGGTGGAATTTGAAGTGCCAGGGGGATCTTTAAGAGGAGATGCATGGCAGGCAGTTGGAAAAAGTAATGAAGCCTCAGTGGTGCAGTTATTGCCCAAGGGGTTTTTGAAACACCTTCTTTAGAACCATTCCAATATAAATGAATTAAAATCTTTAGACTCTAAGCACTGACTAGATTTCACCTTTCATATGTAATTCAGATTTTTAAAAAATTATACAAAACCACAAAATATGTAAGAGAAAGTTCAATCAATAAATTCTGATTTTCCTTTGATGCTTACTTTGATGATCAAAAAATATATATGAAAAAGCTTTAGCCTCAGATTTTCCCCATCTACCCTGTTTCTGTTTCTCTCTCATGCTGGTGCCATAAGAATTACATTGGACTGCCTTTTAGAAACCCCAGACTGCCTTCTAAGTCAGCTCCCAAGCACCGCAAAGACAGTAGCCTCTTTACTTTATGATTACACCTCATTTATTGACTACGAAGCAACATTAGTGCACTTGATTACCACCTTATTAATTAGAATTTGCCTCAAGTGACCTAGCTGTTTCCAAAGAGCAAATCTTCATCAAAGGGTAATGATTTGCCACTATTTCAGACTTTAGGACATTTAAAAAACATTTCACCTTATCCCACACAATACACAAAAAATACTCCAAATGGATTAAATCCAAATTCATAAATTCACCAATTTAACAAATAGTTATTCAGTGCCTACTGTGTGTAAAGCACAGTTCTATGCCCTCGGGATAAATAGTGAACAAAACAGACTGAAATTCCTACTTTCTTGAAACTTACATTCTAGCTGGGTGGTGAAGCAAATAATAAGTAAATTGTGTATTATGTGAAAAAGTAATGAGTGCTATGAAAAAAGGAAAAAGCAGGTGGATTGGGAGGGCTGGAGTGGGGACAGTTAAAATTTAAAATTGTGTAACCTTGCTGAAAACTGATAATTGGGCAAAGATCTAGAGAAGATGAGGGAGTCATTTCTGCTGATACCCAGGGTGAAAGTGTCACACAGGCAGAGTCAACTGCTAGTATAAATGCCTTTTTTCATCTTTCTTTTTTTTATTTTACTTTAAGTTCCATGATACATATGCAGAACGTGCAGGTTTTTTACATATGTTTACATGTGCCATGGTGGTTTGCAGCACCTATCAACCAGTCATCTAGGTTTTAAGCCCTGCATGCATTAGCTATTTTTCCTAATGCTCTCCTTCCCCTTGAACCCCAACCTCGTGACAGGCCCGGTGTGTGTTGTTCCCCTCCCTGTGTCCATGTGTTCTCATTGTTCAACTCCCACTTATGAATGAGAACATGCGGTGTTTGGTTTTCTGTTCCTGTGTTAGTTTGCTGAGAATGATGGTTTCCAGCTTCATCCATGTCCCTGCAAAGGACATGATCTCATTGTGGAAGACAGTGTGGCAATTCCTCAAGGATCTAGAATCAGAAATACCATTTGACTCAGCAATCCCAATACTGGGTATATACCCAAAGGATTATAAATCATTCTACTATAAAGACACATGTACACGTATGTTTATTGCAGCACTATTTACAATAACAAAGACTTGGAACCAACCCAAATGTCCATCAGTGATAGGCTGGATAAAGAAAATGTGGCACATATACATCATGGAATACTATGCAGCTTAAATGCCTTTTTAAAAGTGGGCATGTGCCAGGCTAGTTGAGGATTCAACAAGGAGAGCAGTATGGCTAGAGCAGAGTGCAGGGGGGAAGTATGCTAAGAGATGAGGTTAGAGAGGTGGTGGTGTGGGTAAGACAGATCATTTTAGCGTCTTCTAAGCTATTTTATTTTTTTAAATTTTAATAATATGTTTTACTTAACCCAATATATTCCAAATATTATTATTTATATAGTCAGCATAAGAATTAATGATATTTTTCCATGTTAAGTCTTTGAAATCTAATGTGTTTGCTACACTTACAGCACATTTCAAGTGTTCAAAAGCTACTTGAGGCTTGTGGCTGCCACATTGGACAGCACAACTGTAAGAGAAATACAAAGGGCACTGGAATTGACTTAAGCAAATTTAGGGGCTTATAATTGCCCCCCATCAACCACCTAGAATGTGTTAACTAGGATACTTCACACATGGGCTATACATTCCTAGGTAATTTTTTGTTTGTTCGTTTGTTATTGTTTTTGAGATGGAGTCTCGCTCCCCAGTCGCCCAAGCTGGAGTGCAGTGGCCTGATCTGGGCTCACTGCAACCTCCAATTCCCGGATTCAAGCGATTCTCCTGTCTCAGCCTCCCGAGTAGCTGTGATTACAGGTGTGTGCCACCACACGCCCAGCTAATTTTTTTTCTTTTTGTATTTTTTGTAGAGACGGGGGTTTCATCACGTTGGCCAGGCTGTTCTCGAACTCCTGACCTCAAATGATCCACCCGTCTCAGTCTCTCAAAGTGCTGGGATTACAGACGTGAGCTACCACACCCAGCCTCTAGCTATTTTAAATGCTTTGGTTTCTACCAAATTGGAAACGAGTGGAGAATCTGAGCAAAGGTGAGACATGGTCTGACTTACATATTAAAAGAATCTTTTTGCCTGCTGTGATAAGAATAGACTGTGAGAAGGACAAAGGTGGAAGCAGGAAGACCAGTTAGGAGGCTATAGCCATGATCCGGGTAATGGGCACTGGTGGCTCAGATGAAGAGGGGGGCAGCAAAGATGGGGGAAGTGCTTAGAGTCTAGATAGGCTTGAAACACAGAGCCCAAAGAATTTGCTGACAAATTGGATGTGTTATATGAGAAAACGAGAAGACTCAAGGATGATACCAAGGTTTTGTCCTGAGCAACTAGAAGAACAGGATTGCTATAACTGAGATTGCAAGAGATAAAATTATAGAAGCATTAACAGAATATATAATATCATAATTATACAATAATAATATAGAATAATATTTCTATAGTCTTGGATTGGGGAAGACTTGCCTAAGGAAGGCATGAAACTCAGAAGCTGCAAAGAAAAAAATTGATAGATTAAAACATAATGAAAATTTCTTTATGGTGAAAAACATAAAATTAAAAAGGAAAGTGATAGACCAGAAGAAAATGTTTATAACATAGATACCAAACCCAGAGTAAGATTCATAACATATAAAGAGTACTTCTATAATATCAGAAGACAGATAACCCAGTGGAAAAATGGGCTAAGCTTGTAAACAAGCAATTCACAGGGAAAGGAATACCAGTTAGGCCAGTAAACCTCTACAAAGAGGCCCAACCACATTACAGAAATACAAATTAAAGCAACAACACAATACCAATTTTCACCCATGATACTAGTAAAAATAAAAGGCTGAGGACCACAGAGGAGGTTTACAGAGTAAATAAATAAATAAAAGACTGATAATTTTCATTGCCAACAAGGCTGTGGAGAAGCAGGCACTCTCATACACTCTTAATGGAGGTATGGTTTGTAAAGAACTTCTGGCGGACAATTTTGCAGTCTACCAAAAATGTAAACTACATACCCTTTGATCAAGCAATTCCATTTCTAGGGACCTAATCTACAATAATAATCACACAAGTGGGCAGATCTTGACAAAAGGATGTTCATTGCACCATTGTCAATAATATTGAAAAACTGGAAACCATCTAAGAATTTACCAATAAGAGAATGATTAAATAAATTGAGGTACATTCATATCATGAAATACCATGCAGCCTTAACATGGACAAGGTTGATCTATAGATGCAGCTGGACCTAGTGACAGAAAGAGAGAATAAAAATACTTTTTTTAAGGGAGAAAAGCAAATTATAGAACAAAATGTACAGTATTATCATCTTTATGTTTTAAAAAACCTCGTGTGTGTGTGTGTGTTTGTGCATGTGTACATGCACAGAAAAAGGTCTGAGAAAAATGCTAAACTCCTGTTCCATGTGAGCCTGGGAAAGGGATTACATGTGTGAGTGAATGAATGGGACTTTTTTTCCTCTGTATCCTTGTTTGTCCTTTGAAAACCATTTACTATCAAAATGTATTACTTTTGTAATTTTTAAGTTAAAAATGAGGGATAAATCAGATATCACATATTTCTGAAAGTTCCCAAGGAAGAATACTGGGGGCAGTAGCATATTTGTTACATTACAATCACACCGTGCCATTGTGTGGTGTGATAGGAACAGCTTCTAATGCGTGCTATGGTGACCTTGGGAAAAGCACAGCACTTTTGAGCCTCAGTTTTCTTATATAGAAAATGTAGGTATACCTGACTTATTTGTTGTATTGGAAAGCTACATGTTCATTGAACCATTGTCAATAATATTGAAAAACTGGAAACCATCTAAGAATTTACCAATAAGAGAATGATTAAATAAATTGAGGTACATTCATATCATGAAATACCATGCAGCCTTAACATGGACAAGGTTGATCTATAGATGCAGTTGGACCCAGTGACAGAAAGAGAGAATAAAAATACCTTTTTTAAGGGAGAAAAGCAAATTATAGAACAAAATGTACAGTATTATCATCTTTATGTTTTAAAAAACCTCGTGTGTGTGTGTGTGTGTGTGTGTGTGTGTGTTTGTGCATGTGTACATGCATAGAAAAAGGTCTGAGAAAAATGCTAAACTCCTGTTCCATGTGAGCCTGGGAAAGGGATTACATGTGTGAGTGAATGAATGGGACTTTTTTTCCTCTGTATCCTTGTTTGTCCTTTGAAAACCATTTACTATCAAAATGTATTACTTTTGTAATTTTTAAGTTAAAAATGAGGGATAAATCAGATATCACATATTTCTGAAAGTTCCCAAGGAAGAATACTGGGGGCAGTAGCATATTTGTTACATTACAATCACACCGTGCCATTGTGTGGTGTGATAGGAACAGCTTCTAATGCGTGCTATGGTGACCTTGGGAAAAGCACAGCACTTTTGAGCCTCAGTTTTCTTATATAGAAAATGTAGGTATACCTGATTTATTTGTTGTATTGGAAAGCTACAAAGATAAAATGGAAAATTAGTTTAAAAATTATAAAGCTCTATAAAACTGCAAAGGATATTTAATATTTCGTGTCCTAGTTAATGACCCACTTTTTAAGCAATAGTTAATAACATCAAAATCCAGGTCCAAGCAGAGAGTTTAAATTCTCTTTTAGAGTTTGTTATAACAGAATTCTTCCTGTCCTGGTTAGGTCTTACATAGCAGCAGTATAGATATTTTACTTAAATATTCCAGAGTGTTTTGTGTTTGCACAACAGATTTTGGTGCAGATGGGTTTGGGCAATATCCTTAAATCATACCCTCTGCTGCACTCATCTTAGGGCCAACCAACTCAGACATACTGAATTAATTAGCAAGCTCTTACTTAGCACCTACTTTGTGCCTAGTAATCCCCTGTGGGTAGGTAACCAGACACCCAGGTTTGTCTGGCACTGTTACTGTTTATGCTGTCTTTCCCAGGTAATTGCTAATAGTGCCCCTTTCACTTTCAAAAGTGTCCTAGTTTTAATGATCAATGGTCACACTACTATAATCACTTATGGGGCATGGAAGGAAACACAGGAAGCTTCTGGCTTACAAATGCCAGACTTATAAATTTCGCTCCCCATCCCACGTCCTCACCACTGGAACTACCGGTATTACTTCCAGGGTGGGGGGCATTGTGAAAACTATGGGTCTTTTAGAGACTTGGTGGACTTAGAAGTCAAGGCAGAACCAAGCCTGAGAAAAGGTGGTATGGATCTCCAGAGACCCACCCTACAAGTTGTCCTCCTTTGCAAAATCTTCTCCCTCAAACTATTTCTCTTTATTGCATTGCCTAATTCTCCTGGTCAGAGATTTATGTGAGGAAAGTAAGCACTGTATTTTTAATAGCACAAACAGGTTGGAGAATGTTCAATGAAACGTTTTTTTTTCCCTTCCTAACATGGAGCTGCTGTCTGCTTATACAGGGGAAAGGGAGGGTTTCTGGGAGGAATAGAGGTGAAAAGGAAAAAGTAATTTTGGAGCATGAGATATTCTGGGGAATGAGACTCTCCCTTAGGGCAAACTAGGGACCCAGGAGCCAGGGGGCCGTGAAGGTGGGAGGCAGAAGAGAAGGTGGATGTCAGAGACATGCAATAGTTATTTGGGGGAAAATGTTGATTTGTGCACAAGTCATATCTTGGGAAATGAAAGGAACGTTCTTTCTCTGTCACCTGCTGTTCCTCCTCACCCTCCACTGCCTTATACGGCCCAGTACGCAGAATTCAAGCCAGTGCTAGATTATGTGCTACATGCCTGACAGTGAGACTCATATTATAACATTGCTTCTGCAGGAGTTCTTGCGTGCAGTCAACGAGTTTACCATTACATCTTGGGACACGCTCATTTTAAAGTTGGGAACTGCCTGTATAAGACATGGTCCCTACCCTGGAGGGATTCACAGTGACTAGATTTAAGGTAGACCAGTTAATAAATGCGAAACTACTGGAGAATAATCAATGGTCAGCTGTAGGATATTGGCTTTAAGTAAAATGGAAATTTATGCTAGGGTGGTATGTCGGTTCATTGAAATTCTCACATAGGACAGTATGACTGATCTATGCTAAGAATATACTTGGCTAGTAAGAGGAGGAAGAAGAAAACTCTAGTGATGGAAATCACCTGGAGCCAACGTTTGGCATCAGACATGAGCATGGACAGGATAGGCTGCAAGGAGGAATCAGGCATGATGGAAGCAAAATGGCTTTCTAAGAAGCAGTGGGAGATTGGAATGGCTAAAGTAAGATGGGGTCAAACATTTCCTGTAAATTAAAGACAGGAACATAAAACATATCACTTGAAATTTGTACACATTTCATGTGACTGAACACTTTGAGGCAATAAATCTTGACATACTTTTTCAGGGGCATGAGTTAATGTGGCTAAAGTTCAGATGAGGTGAGGATCAGATATTGGAAGAATGGGAATCCATATTAAGGACTTTGGATTTGATGAAAGAGTCCATTTATGGTGTTACTGGAAATATTTCACTAGGGCTGGAACATTGGCCTGCGGCTGGCACACAGGATGAAGGTGGAATAAGTCAGGGAGACCACTTAGGAAGCTGCTATGATAGGCCAAAGTGGGAAGCTGAGTACCTGGACCAAGATGGAAGCAGCAGATTGGAGAAAGAACACATCTGAAAGTCGCTGTGGAGATGGAAATGATAGGACTTAGAAATCACATGGGAAGAGCCAGAGAAAGTCCTTAGGTTTCTCCGGGTAACTTAAGCATAATAGGAACACTATTAGAAGTTCATGTTCCCATGAAAGTTCCTTACCTGTGGAGCCTCCCATGCCCTCCTGGTGAACCTCCATTTCTAAGGAAACCCTATAGCATTTACTGAGTATCTTAATTCTCCAAAAAATCAGACTTCTCCAAAGAAAGTCTTTAAGCATGTATTCACTAACTTGATTTTGCAAAATTACGTTAGCAAATACGTGCTATAAGGTTTCTAACCCGACAGACAAAAGCATGTAAATCATTTTACTGCTAGTTTTGGTGGAGGGTAGTGACAACTGCCAGTGTTTCAAAAAAGAGTAACATATCCAGAGTTTGTTCACACAGAAATGAATGCTTTTTAGCTTCATAACCCCTGTGCCCTTCCCGTGAGCCCCATCTCCCCAGGAAACGATATAGTACCAATTTACTAACTTAATTTGTAAAAGGAGGTTAGTGAATCAATTCTGTAAGACTCATGGAAATATTTGAAATTAATTAGCCTTGTCAGCTTTTATTTGCATAGGCTCTCTTCCAACCATATCCCCCAGCCCAAGTACAACGTTTTAGTAAGATTGATTTTAAACAATGAGACTTAGAGAATCTGTGTACAAGGAGCTTGAATAATTTAAATGCGTGGGTTTATTATTAACACAGTAGCAAATATATCAAGGAAACACGCCCCATGAAAAGTGTTTCAAAGAAACACAAATCTGTACTGAAAAAAGTCTATACGCAATAAGTAAGCCCAAAGAGGCATGTTTGCTTGGCGATGCCCAGCAGATAAGCCAGGCAAACCTCGGTGTGATCGAAGAAGCCAATTTGAGACTCAGCCTAGTCCAGGCAAGCTACTGGCACCTGCTGCTCTCAACTAACCTCCACACAATGGTGTTCGCATTTTGGAAGGTCTTTCTGATCCTAAGCTGCCTTGCAGGTAAGGAAAGGATCTCCAAACCACCAAATATAATTGGAAACAGAGTTTCCTTTTAAATAAAAATTCCACATTTTTACATAGAATTTTCATCTCCTGTACTTCAAATGAATTGTGATTAGTATGATGAGTTAATTTTCAGAACTCTTGCTTAGCAAACATATGCCATGCTGATATATTAGGGGTGTAAGCCCATAATATTATTGTTTTATGGAGCTTCTGAATGAAAATTTTCTCAGAAAAAAATATAGTTTATTACTTTACTTACTTTGAAAAGTGAAAAAAATGAATTTACTCAGAAACCAAACTTTGTGCTAGGGATAATTTTGTCTCTGTTTTACTTACTTTAGTGTTTCCTTTAAGCTCAGTGATTGACTTGCTCTAGCAGGCAGAGCCTGGGTTGGAGGGCCTGCCCTGGCTTACATATGGGAAGAACAGAAATTTACTGAGTACTTTACTGTCTAATATTTCTTAAGGAGTTGTGGTTTTCCAATCCTAAGACTGTATTTTGCAAAATATGTGAGTGATTTATGGTGCACAACATGGGTGATTTTAGGTATCTGAACAGAAGAAAATCAATTTTGGAATCAAAATACTGATGTTAGTTAGATCCAGGAGAGATCATTAATTCCAAAAATCCCTTGGGTAGTTTTCAAATATCAGATACATTTTGCATCTGTTCTTATAAGTTAGGTCCATAGTAAATACAATAATATTGTTTATCCAAAAACAGGATTTTCAAGCCATTAGTAATATTAGGCAGTGGTTAGAATGAGGTTTACTAGGCGTATTAATGACATAAGAAAATACCCACGATAAAATATTAAGTGAAAAAGCAGGATGCACACATATGCCTAGAATAAATTACTAGAAGGTTATATACCGAAGTGCTCATGGTGGTTGCCTCTGGGTGATGGGATTATAGATGATTTTAATTTTATTTCCCAGCTTTTCATACTTCCTGGGTTTTCTACGAAGAACATTATGCTATTTTTATAATTAGAAAAAAGTGTTACTTTTCAAAGTGATCTCATGTTTAGAAATAGTTCTTTAAATGTTCATTACTAAATGTTTAAGCATAGATGTTTTATGGAGTTAAACATCACCAGAAGGCAATACTCCATTTGTCCAGTGACCTAACTAGGCCCTAGAGCTGGAAACACATGTTCCTATTTTCCCTTCTCCCCAGGCATATTCATTTAAATGTAACTTTAGATATGGAAGTTTTGTCTCTTCTTAAAGGGTTTCCAGTCATTAGCCAGTTGGGTCGACCCCTGGGCCTTCTGCATCAGCCCTCTAAGATCATACCTGTTTCCCTATGTGAAGCCTTGCCCTGGCCCATACTAGGCACAGGGTTTGGAACGGTTGTTAAGAACAGTTTTTTTTTTTTTTAACTGTACCTAACATACAAGTAATTTTTACTGATTATAAATGTAATGCATGGTCATTGTAGAAAGGTTGGAAATATGGAAATTTAAAATAAAATAAAAATCATCTGCAATTTTACCACTCAGATTTGGGTGAATTATTATTCTTTTATTTGCAGGTGTATATATTACATTTTAAAAATTGGGTTTATTCCTTGTATACTTTTTTATTGTTTAAAAAAATTGTTTAGCATCATGTCAGGATTTTATTTTATTGTGACTTTTAGAACAAGACCAATAAATACTTCAGAGTGTGTTTCCTAAGTTACTATATAACTGATTTTGTTGGTATATAGTGTACACTATATATCTACACACATATTATCTAGTTGGCCCAAAGCAGTAGTGTCAGTACAGCAAATTGTGGTATGCTCTATTGTCGTTTGCTGTGCTTACATATGTATTGAAGTCAGAGAAAGGATCACTTTAGTAATCTACACCTGTCATTAGCAGTGTTCATCAGTTGATCTGGACAACTGATAGTGTTTCCATCAATGTGCAATTTGATGTTCTTCCTGGACTTGTTTTGGAGAGAATGTCACTTTTTGGTGTTAAGCGTGGTGCCTAACACATAGTGGATGCATAGTAAATGTTTGTTGAAAGAATGAATTACTTTCCCAAATTCCAAACATCCAGACATCATTTTCACATACATATTTAAAATTGATTTTGATATAACTAAACAGGTCAGATTTTGCTTAAATCAAAATATTTTCAATGACTTCTTAGGAATTCTTAGGTTAAATTCTAATTCAGGAAAACGAGTTTTAATCAAACTTCTGCAAAAAATTTATGCATATCATTTTAGGTATTTGAAATATGTATTAGTCACCTCTTAGAAAGATATGTTAATGTGGGTTTCATTTTCTGGAGGTATATGCTATGCATTTTAAAGGAGTAATATATTTGAACTTTGAGTTTGCACTCAAATCCAAAAAAGTGAGTGATCATTTGATTATATTATTTCCTAAGTCAAAATGAATCTATTATATATGAAGTTGCTGGAAATTAAATCACTTCAAATCTATCAGATTAAATATGAATATTTGGGGGATATTTTGCTGTGGTACATTAGGAGGATAATAATCCTTCTATAAGCAAAATGTTTGCCACCTTGTAGGCATTAAATGAATGAACAATCACCACCAAAATACAAGACATTCTCTCTCTCTCTCTCTCTCTCTCTCTATATATATATATATATACATATATATATACATATATATACACATATATATATACATATATATATACACATATATATATACACATATATATATATACACACATATATATATATACACATATATATATACACATATATATATATACACATATATATATATATATACACACACATATATATATATATATATATATATATATATATATATATATACACATATATATATTCTTTTGAGACGAAGTTAAGTCTTGTTGCCCAGGCTGGAGTGCAATGGCACGATCTCGGCCCACCGCAACTTCCGCCTTCCGGGTTCAAGTGATTCTACTGCCTCAGCCTCCTGAGTAGCTGGGATTACAGGCATGCACCACCACGCCCGGCTAATTTTGTATTTTTGGTAGAGACAGGGTTTCTCCATGTTGGTCAGGCTGGTCTTGAACTCCCAACCTCAGGCGACCCGCCCACCTCAGCCTCCCAAAGTGTTGGGATTACAGGCGTGAGCCACTGCGCCCAGCCTAAAAATATTTTTAAATGTTGATTAAGTGTGTACATCTTGGATTATTTTTCTTTAATAATAAGCACTTTTTTAATTATTATTATACTTTAAGTTTTAGGATACATGTGCACAACGTGCAGGTAAGCACTGGTTTTTAAAAGAGATTACACATATTTCAACCACATATGCATTTTTGTTTTGTTTTTAAATTTGGTCAAGTCAGAGAGGGACATTGCGTTCTTGGGTTTTGTTTAAATCAGATACTAATCTTTACTTTGCTATTTATTCACAGTCCTATTGATGTAGAGATTTTTCTGACTTATTCAATTTTTAAATAATTTCTCAACTTAGAATGACTTAATCCAAAGGAAGGGAACTTTTTTCCCTGACACTCAGAGAATCACCTCCACTTTAGGACTAAGTTTGCACTGCCCATTGTCTACATGTGGCTATTGAAATTTAAATCACTTCAGATTAATGAAAATTATAAAGTCAGTTCCTCAGTTTCACTAGCCACATTTCAAGTGTTTGATAATTCTATTTGGGCTACTGAACTGGATGGCGCAGAGATAGAACATTTCCATCATCACAGGAAGTTCTGTTGGACAGCACTGTAAGGGTGAGCTCAGAGGTTTTAAGTAATGTGCACTAATTGAATGATGTGACATTTTAAAAAGGCTCATCTGGAAATATATAACTTTTAGCTCTGAAGCATATCATCACTATATCATGGTTGGACAATGTCTGAAAAACATCTTTTCTTCAGAATTTAATTGGTTATGGTGCTAAGAATTGGGAATCTGGGCAATAAAATGGCCTGGAGGTTTTGCTTTGCCAACTGTTACTTATTTACATGACAATGTGTAGTACCTCAAAAAATATTGTCTCACTTTAAAATTTGAAATTACCATCCTAATTCCAAGGTGATATTATTAAACTTTTGCAGATTTCTAATTAGTTACACATTTATATATCTTCTATATTTAAAATGTTAGAAATGTTTGAATCAGATTTATATTTTCCAAATCCTTGATTTTCATTCACCTCTATTCTCATCTGTGCTATAAATGGCTTCCTGCTGCACTGAGGGATGGCAGAGATTGTGTCTGTCATGTTCATTCTTGTTTCCCCAGTGTTCAGCACTGTTTGTGGCACAAAATGGGTGCTCAATTGATATTTGTTGCTAGGCTCCACAGCCTCTTCCATGGCTTGACTTGTGTGAGTACTGTGTGTACTCTGCCATCAAACACTTTTTCCAAGAGTGGTCTTCAAAGGGGGTTTGTGGGGTTTTGTTTATTGTTTTGCCTTATCTGTTCATAAATTCTCACCCTTAACCAATCTCGTAACAGATACTGGGTCCCAAACTAGAGAACAAAAATTATGGCCAAATAATATCTCTAAAATCTCTGTTTTTAGGGAATAAGTCTGGGAACTTTAAGGGCTACCAAAACCCCAGTTTTATCCTTTTTATTTTGGACACTTTAAAGACATTTGGAAGTCATCATTTAAGCACGGCCAGAGATGTGGCTAACTTCCAGGAGAAATGAAATGGGCTCTTTGAGGGTGGGAGGGAACCATCTTTCTCCAGTGAAGTTTTTGTTGGAAAGATTAGCTGCTTTCTGAAAGCCAATTTCCTTTTTGGAGGAGGCATTATGGAAACCAGGAAAGCATGGGGAGGAGAATATTGGGAAGAGGGAAACTGTATGGAGTTAAAAAGTGCTGCATTTTTGTTTGCATTCAGGCACTTTTCTTAATTTATCAGTGCATTGGTTGCCATGTAAACAGCCAGCTTCTGGCAGGAAAGCAGCTGGACCAGGTGACCTGGCTGTGACAGAGAACACAGATATTGAATCCATGAAACCAAGAGTAATCAGTACAACGATTTTTTTTCTTTTACTTTTTAAAAGTGTTTGTCAATCCTTTAAGTTCTTTTTGTCTGACTGCTGTCATTAAGTAAGAAAAATATGAAATAAATAAGTCTTTGGGTATGCAAAATTGGGAAGATGGACAGGAATTAGTCCCTCTATGCAATTTCCTCTGAATCTTTCATAATTTCTGTATCCTCATCCCTTCACCCTCAACCCTCCAACACCCTCTGTTACCCTGCAGGCAACTAGGACAGCATAGAGAGCGTCTCTTGAACTTGACTTTCTCTTCCAGTGCTTGCCTGCCAATCCCGTGACCCATCCTGGAGAACTTTTATAGTCTTCGACAATGCAATGCATAGCAACCAGTTAATAAGATAAGACAGTGACTGTATAGTGCTCCCCAAAGTGCCATCACCTAAAATAGCCCTTTGGAAAGTGCTCATATAGAACTGAGAATTTTAGTGTAGTGGCAGGCTGGATTTGGGTAGGGTGCCCTTCGGTGGGCCTCCAAATCCTATGGGGAGCTTAATTACTTCATCTTTCTGTAAGGCCAACAGTTCTCAAAATTTGTGGTCTCAGGACAATTTTACACTCTTAAAAACTGAGGGAGATTTCTGGTCTGGACATGTAGTACAGACCTGTTTTTCATTGTTCCTCCCTGCTAAGCACAAGTATAAACCCTGGAAATAATGCAAGAGACAACCAGGGTAGAACTCTGGAAGGTTGTAAGGAGAAGGCAAACTGGTTTGAGACCCAGGGAAAAACAAAGAGCAAGGGTATCCTATGTTTCCCACCCAGCAGAAGAAAGAAACCTAGTCCTGGCCATTCCTGATACCCAACTGAACAACAGAGGGCAGCCCAGGTAAGCTTACTCCTCCCTCAGAGTCCCTCTGACAACATCAGGTAGGCCCAACACCACAGGTAAGGGGGGATCTTCAGAAACCCCACCAACAACAGTGGACAAAAGAAGCATTTGCCTTCTCCCCAGGCCTGAGATGTCCCACTTTCACCTAGAGATATCGAGGTGGGAGGGTAGAACAGACACGAGGCATAAAGTGATGGCAAGCGGCCCAGTCTGGGAAGGCTCTGTCTCAGTGGGTGTATGACTGTCCTCTCCTACCCATAGAGACACCAACAGTGCAGGGCGCCAGTAGAAGTGTCCCACCATACCTACCCCAACTGAGAGGCACCTGGAAGCCTGACCTAGGGAAACCTTTCTGCTCCTTCAGGCGATATGATCTGGGACAAATGTCAGCCTCAGTGATATCCGATAAACCAAACAGAGCAAAACAATACTGAAAATTAAACTGCTGTTAGAACAACAGACCACAAAAGTAAGCCAACACCTGCTTGCATGTGAAGCATAAATAATGTGACTGACTGCAAAAATAAAAAATGTAAATATGAGTTTCCTAACATAGTAGACAAAATGTTCAATCAAAAATCATCTGTCATACCAAGAATCAAGTAAATCACAACTTGACTGAGAAAAGGCAACTACTGCCAACATTAAGATGAGTTCGATGTTGGAATTATCTGACAAGGATTTCAAAGTAGCCATCATAAAAATGCCTCAACAATCAATTAACATTATCTTAAAACAAATAAAGAAAAAAAAGGAAACTTGCAGAAAAGAAAAAGAAGTTATAAAAATATAAGAAAGAAGGAAATTCTGTCATTTGCTACAGCATGAATGAACCTGGGGGACATTATGCTAAGTGAAGCAAGCCAGACACAGAAAGACAAACACCACATAATCTCACTTATATGTGAGATCTAAAAGAGTTGAACTCAGAATTAGAGTAGAATGGTTACCAGGGACTGTGGCTTGGAGGGAGTGGGAAATGGGGAGAAGTTGACCAAAGGGTACAAAGTTCCAGTTAGACAAGAGGAATAAGTTTTTAAGACCTATTTTGCAGCATGCTCACCATAGTTGATAATAATGTATGTGCATTTCAAAACTGCTAAAAGCATAAGATTTTAGTCTACACATTGGGTACAGTGTACACTGTTCGGGTAATGGGGGCACCAAAATCTCAGAAATCACCACTAATGAACTTATCCACGTAACCAAACATCACCTGTTCCCCAAAAAAGTATTCAAAAAAATAATAGATTTTAAATGTTCCTGCTATGAAAAAAACAAAACGAAACAAAAGATAGGTAGGCCAGATGTGGTGGCTCATGCCTGTAATCCCGCCACTTTGGGAGGCCAAGGAAGGTGGATCACTTGAGCTCAGGATTTCGAGAAGAGCCTGGGCCACGTGGTGAAACCCTATTTCTACCAAAAATACACACACACACACACACACAAAATTAGCTGGGCATGGTGGCATGTGCCTGTGGTCCTAGCTACTCGGGATGCTGAGATGGGAGAATTGCTTAAGCCTGGGAGGCAGAGGTTGCCGTGAGCCGAGATCACACTACTGCACTCCAACCTGGGTGACAGAGTGAGACCCTGTCTGAAAACAAAACAAAACAGAACAAAAAACAAAAAAAAGGATAAATTACGTGAGGTGATGGATATGTTAATTAGCTCGATGTAATTATTCCACAGTGTATGCATATATTAAAATATCACATTGTATCCCATAAATATATGCAATAATTATTTGTTAATTAATTAAAATAAAAATTAAGTTAAAAACAAGAATTTAAAAAATACATACTTTGCAATTATCTACTATTTTTCTAAAGACCCTTACAATCTATAGGCTCTTTCTCAGTTTTCTTTTTTCCCCCTTGGAATTATTTTTTGAATAAAACTGGCTTGTTTGTCCCCTCCCCCCAAAAAACAAATATAAATTATAGAACTGTAAAATAAAATAACAAAAATGAAAAACTGGCTGATGGACTCAATAGAAGAGCAGAGATGACAGAAAATAGAATCCATATCTGGTGAAACTATCCTTCAGGAATTAAGGGGAAATAATTAAATTCTCAGTTGAAGGAAAACAAAAAGATTTGTTGCTAGCAGACATACTGTTAAAAAATAGCTAAAGGGATTTCTTCAAACAGAGAATAAATGATAAAGAGCAATCAGGAAGGATGAAAGGACAACAGAAAGAGCAGAAATGTAAGTACATAAAGTAGACTATCTTTTAACTCATGAGTTCTATAAATCATATTTGATAATTGAAGCAAAATTATAACACCATTTTATACTCTAGACAATGATATTTAAAAGTGGGGAAGGTAAAGGAAACTAAATGGAAGTGAGGTTTATACACTTCAATCAAAGTGGTAAAATATTGATATGAGTAGACTGTTATGACTCACACATGAATGTTGAATACCCAGAGAAACCACTGGGAAAACTCTACAAAGATATATATTTTAAAACACTATGAATAAGTCAAGATGGAATCATAAAAAATGCTCAAGTAACTATCAGAAAAGCAAGAAAAGGGAAACAGAAGAATAAGAACTAAAGGGAACAAACAAAAAACAAATAATAAAATAGCAAACAAGAATAATATATCAATAATTACATTAAATAATTATATTGAATGCGAATACCACTACAGTAGTCCCCTTTTATCTGTGGTTTTACTTTCTGAGGTTTCAGTTACCCATAGTACAGTATAATAAGATATTTTGTGAGAAAGAGTGTGAGTGTGTGAACACAATCACATAATTTTTACTCCAGTACATTGGTATAATTGTTCTATTTATTAGTAGTTATCATTGTTAATCTCTTACTGTGCCTAATTTATAAATTAAACTTTATCATAGGTTTGTGTGTATGGGGGAAAAATATATATAGTATACATAGAGTTCAGTACTATCCATGGTTTCAGGCATCCACTGGGGGTCTTGGAATATATCTCCCTGGAATAAGGGGGAACTACTCTATATGCTATTCACAAGAAACTCACATTAAATTTGATGACATAGGAAGATTGCAAGTAAAAATATAGAAAAAGATGTACCACATAAGTATTAATTTTTCAAAAATCTGGAGAAGCTTCATTAATATCTGATAAAATAGTCTTCAGAGCAAAGAAAGTTAAAAGAGATAAACAGAGACATTACCTAATGATAAATGGATCAATCCAGCAGGAGGATACAATGATCCTTAATGGGTACACACCAAACAACTATGTCTCAAAATTCATGAACAAAAACTGATCAAGCTAAAAGAAGAAAGAGACAAATCCACAATTATAGTTGGGAAATTCAATACCCCCTCTCAGAAATTGATAAATCTACTAGACAGAACATCAGTAAATATAGGGAAGATCTGAAAAAGACAGTCAATTAACAGGATCCAGTTGAATATTTTTACGATTTTATATTGGTTTTTCCATAGTGGTTTTAAATTATATCTCTTTGTATAGAAAACTCCACCCAACAACAGCAGAACACACTTTTTTTTGGCACCTACAGAACATTCACCAAGATAGATAATGTGCTTGGCCGTAAAACAAACCTAAACAAATTTAAAATAATTGAAATCATACAGAGTATATTCTCTGACTACAATGCAATGAAACTAGAAATCTGTAGCAGAAAAGTATCTAAACACGTGGAAATTAAACAACACTGTTCTAAATAATCCGTGGATCAAAGAGGAAATCTCAAAAGGAATTTTTTTAAAAATGCGTAGAACTGAATGCAAATGAAAACACAACATATTGAAATATGTACCATGTAGATAAAGCAATTCTGAGAGAGAAATTTCTAACACTAAATGTTTACATTGGAAATAAAGGAAGGTCTTAAGTCAATAACCTAAATTTCTACATCAAGGATCTAGAAAAGAAGACCAAAATAAACCCAAAGCAAGCAGAAGGAAGGGAATAATAAAGAGCTGAAATCAATGAATTTGAAATAGAAAAACTATAGGGAAAAATTAATAACACAAAAATTTGCTTTTCTGAAAAAAAAATCAGTAAAACTGACAAACTTCTAGCAAGACTAATAAAAAGAGTTAAGACCCAAATCACTAATATCAGAAATGAAATATGGAATATCACTATAGATCCTGCAGTCATTAAAAATATAATGAGAGAATATTATGAACAATTATACATTCATATATTTGACAACTTAGAAAAAAATTGGCCAATTTATCCAAAGCAGCAAACTACTAGAACTCACCCAATATGAAATGGATAATCTGAATAGCTCTATAACCATTAAAGAAATTGAATTCATAATTTTAAAAGCTCCTACAAAATAAATCTCCAGGCCTAGATAGCTTCAGCAAATAATTCTAGCAAACATTTAAAGAATTATTAAGATCAGTTTTACACATTCTCTTCCAAAAAATAGAACAGGAGGAAACACTTCCAACTCATTTTATGAGGCCAGTATTATCCTGATACCAAAACCAGACAAAAACAGTACAAAAATAGAAAACTACAGGCCAATATCTCTCTCATGAACTTTGACACAAAAATCCTTAGCAAAACACTAGCAAATTGAATCCAACAATGTATGAAAAGAATTATACACCATGACCAAATGGGATTTATTTCAGGTTTGTAAGGCTGGTTCAACATTCAAAAAGCATTCAGTGTAATCCACCATATCAACAGGCTAAAGAAAAAAAAATATGATCATATCAACTGATGCAGATAAAGCATTTGACAAAATCCAATACCCATTCATCATTAAAACTCAGCAAGTTAGGAATAGAGGGTGTATTTGTTTCCCAGAGCAGCTGTAACAAATTGCCACAAATGGGGTGGCTTAAAGCAAGAGAAATTAATTCTCTCACAGTTCTGGAGGCCAAATGTTTTAAATCAAACTGTTGGTTTCTTCTGAGGTCTCTGAAGGAGAATCTGTGCCATAAGTCTCTCTTAGATGGCTGCTGGCAATTCTCGGTATTCTTTGGCTTATAGATGCATCATTCCAGTCTCTGCTTCTGTCTTCACAGAGCCTTTCCCTTTGTGAGTCTCTGTGTTAAGCCTCCCTCTCCGTTTTCTTATAAGGACAACAGTCATTGAATTTAGGGTCTGCTCTAAATCAGTGATTATCTCATCTCAGGATCCTTAATTACATCTGCAAAAACCCTATTTCTAAATAAGGTCACATTCACATATACTGGAGGTTAGAAATTGAACTTATCTTTTTGAGGGACACAATTTAACCCCCTACAGAGGAGAATTGCCTCAACTTGATAAAAACACCTACAAGTAACCTACAGCCAACATTATACTTCATGGTGAAAGACTGAACGCTTTTGCCCTATGATTGGAAACAATGCAAGGATGTCCACTCTCATCTCTCTTATTCAACATAGTACTGGAAGTTGTAGCCACTGCAATTAGGCAATAAAAATAAATAAAAGGCCTACAAATTGGAAATGAAGAAATAAAACTCTCTATCCCCAAAAGATTTGCATCTAGATTATATAGAGAACTCTCAAAACTCAATCATTAAAAAACTAAACAATCCAATTAGAAAATGAGCAAAGGATATAAACAGATATTTTGCTGAAGATGTACAAATGGCAAATAATCCCATTAAAAGATATTTAGCATCGTTATCTATTTGAGAAATGCAAATTAAAACCACGATGATTATATTACTTCATACCTGCCAGAATGGCTAGAGTAGAAAACTGTGACAACACCAAATGCTGGTAAGGATGCAGGAAA
Organism: Homo sapiens; assembly: GCF_000001405.40. Taxonomy (NCBI): domain Eukaryota; kingdom Metazoa; phylum Chordata; class Mammalia; order Primates; family Hominidae; genus Homo; species Homo sapiens. Next base: position 108,056,759 of record NC_000023.11, read on the forward strand.
ACGGAATCCTTTTATTTGGTGGTGGTGAGGGGAATGTATAAAGGTACAGTCATTCTGGAAAACAGCCTGGCTGGTTTTTTAAAATAAAATAAAATATGCAACTGGCGTATGATCCAGCAATTGCACTGTTGGGCATTTGTGCCAGAGAAATAAAAATTTATGTTCATGCAAATCTGTACCTGAATGTTCACTGGAGTTTTATCCAATACCCAAAAACTAGAAACAGCCCAGATGTCCTTAAATGGATGAATGGTTAAACAAACTGTATTACATATATATCATCGGGTACTACAAATCAATAAAAAACAACAAACTACTGATACACACAGCAACTTGGGTGAAATTTTAGATAATTATGCTGAGTAAAAAGAGTCATCAATTCCAAAAGGTTACCATGATTCCTTGTATATAACATTTATGAAGTGACAGAATTTTAGAAATGAAAGACAGATTAGTGGTTGTCCATGGTTAGGACAGGAATGAGGTGCAGGATGGAGGTGAGTGTGATTATAAAAATGTCAACATGAGAGGTCTTTGTGGTGATGGAACTGTTCAATATCTTGACTGTGGTGGTAAATACACGAATCTACACATGATAAAATAGAGAATTAAATGTGCATGTGCACACACACAGCAGTACATGTAAAACTGGAGAAATATGAATAAGGTCGATAGGTTTTATCAATGTCAGTATCCTGGTTGTGATATTATACCACCATCTTGCAGAATGCTACCATTGCTGGGAACTGGGTAAAGTGTACATGAGATCTGTCTTATTTCCTAGAACTGCATGTGAATCTACAAATATATAAATAAAAATTTTAATTAAAAATTATCGAGGACCCCAAAAAGAAACTGATATGTTTTGCCTGAGATTTACCTGATTTTAAAACTATAAGTCCCACATTCAAGGAATTCCCATGGTACTGGGAAAACTGAGTCAGTTGTTCTCTATACTACCAGACAGTTTTGGGTCCCTGGACAAGACTTTAAGAACCTGTGTAAGGCCGCCCTTAACACAGAAGAAATTCTCAGTTCAGTGTTATTACCACACCATCATCTAGAATTTGAGTATCTTCATATGATAATTTGTTAGAAACTCTCCTCCCACTACCCCAGTGAGCCCCAAGAAAACTCAACTTTCTTGTATGGTTTATTCTACCTTCTTCCCCTCACCTTGGATTCCTCAAATAGGATGTCTTTGTAAGTGTTCTGTGATGAAACAGTGTTATCAGAATTTGAGTATGTACTATTGATTTTTTTATGATTATCTTTTCAGGTCAGGTTAGTGTGGTGCAAGTGACCATCCCAGACGGTTTCGTGAACGTGACTGTTGGATCTAATGTCACTCTCATCTGCATCTACACCACCACTGTGGCCTCCCGAGAACAGCTTTCCATCCAGTGGTCTTTCTTCCATAAGAAGGAGATGGAGCCAATTTCTGTAAGGACACTTTTTCCTAAACTCTTCCCCTTTTGTAGTTCTGACTGAAAACTGTTGGGGTAGAAAAAATGTGAAATGTGAAAGAATGGCATGCCAGTGACAGTAGTGGCAGGAATCTCAGATACAAAAAGTTTGAAGACAGCTGTATAGAGAAGATCATCATCTAAGTGACTTGACTCTTGTCCTCTCTTCATATTTAGTTATAACCCATTATCTCGGTCTGTGTAGGTCCACATCAAGTGGATCATGTATTTTAGAGAAGACAGAAATGGTTCTTCTCATAGGTGAAATTAATAGTAATTCTGAAAGGGCTCCCCCTCCACCTTTATCTCCCTATTATTTCCAGAAGAAACTAGTTCAAATGCAAGTCCTGATTGATCTGCAGATCTCTGCCAAATTTAATATCTAGGATCTGGCTGTCAAGTGAACTAGCTCACTGTGCTAGACTGAGGCCTGACAGAATGAGACTCTTCAGATGGATGAAGAAGGGCCATAGTAGTGATGAACCCTGCGTAGTTCATCAAGAACAGCATGAGGATAGAGGACAGGGGATGGAGTGGGTAGGCATAGGGTCAGGGGGAAGAGGTTGCCAGAAAAGGATGGGTTGAAAGTCAAGGGAGGAGAATGATTTCACATGCAAGCTGCCTATTCCCAGGTTTCCTTCATCAGGCCTTGAGGGAAATTCCTTCTTTAGCCCAAAGATTCAAATTGTATACTCAAAGGTGTGTGTGTGTGTGTGTGTGTGTGTGCGCATGCATATGCACGTGCGTGTGTGTGTTTGTGTGTTCATGCACATGTTTATGTGAGCACATATGCCATGCATGCCTACACATATCCCTTGATGGAAAAGGTCTGTAGCTTTCATCAGGTTCTCAAAAGGCTGCATGACCCAAAGCAGAGTTTAGAGAAGAGACAAGTCGGTGTGGTTTGGAATAGTTGGATGCAGCTGAATTGGGCCTTGAAGGAAAAGAAAGGTTTTGATTAGTAGAAAGATAGAGGGAGAGCAAGTTGAGGAGGCTGGGGGAGGCCTAGGGACAGGGGTGGAGAAGAAAGAAGGCATTAGTTTAGAGGAGCCACACGTTGGCCAGTGTCACTTCAGCCATCACTAGTCCTTCAGAAGTGCTGAGTCCTCTGTTTACAAATCCTGAGCATTTGTTTAGCAGGAAATGCCGTACAGGGGGAGATTCCATCAATGCCACTCTCTAGTCCAAGTTAAACAATTTTGCTCAATACTGGTTACCTTGGACAAGTATCTGAATCACTCTGCACCTCTCTTTAAAATATGGTAGATCAGCAATACCCATGGGGAATCAACTGATATAATGCATGTGAAAAATATAAAGCTCTGTAAGTTTTATCCCTTGTAAACACTATTATGATTATCATCATCCACAGCAGCACCACCACCAACAGTGCTTCTACCAGTTTCCATCACCCAAGATGTCCAGACCCAAGGCCTTGTATGTAGGAGTCAACTAAGAAATTATTGCCTTCTTTTGCAGGATGCTCTGTTAGATTGTAGATGGCAATAATCACATGACCTTTCTTCCTTTTTGAAATTCAATTTCCGGACTAGTCTTGTCAACACATTCTTTATCTGTAGGCTTGAAATCCTTCTCATTTTGCCAGGTGGGGCTGGATTTAGGGAGACCTTGCCAATGTATTTTGAAATATTTTCTGCTTGATATTCAAATCAAGATGTTCTCAACTGCCTGAAGGATGGGCAAGGCCACAAATTTTTATTTATGCCTCCTCTGACACTGGGATTTACAAGGCTACCTCTTGGTTGAACTGTGTGTCTAGTGAGGAACTGGGAGGGAGCTGCAGAGCCGAAGGATCCTGTGACCAGCAATGAGCTTTTTCTATACCAGGAAATGCAAGGGAAGAAGATATGGTGATTGAATTGAGTGTGGCCTGAGCCCAGAACATCTCTTAGAAGCACTTTTAAAAAAAAATCTGTTAACAAATAAATATTTATTGAGTAGCTTATTTACTTGCCATTTGCTTCATTCTTCAAAATGTCAGGTACAGGTGGGGCAAGTGATTTAAGATATATACTCTTTTGGAATGTCCACATCAAAGGAGGGCCTCTGCACTGAGCTGCTGGATCAGGCAAAACATGCTCTCTGATCTTAAAGCTGCATGATACCTGTGTTACGCCTGTGCCTTAGCTGCATAGAAGACAAGCTTTTGTGTTTTTATTGCTCCCACAGCTTGGGAGCAATAACAACCATCCCCCTAAAGGCAAATTTTATCCTCCTTCTATTTTCCTGTCTTTCTTTAGCTTACCCTAGCCAGATCCCCATTACAACCATTTTTAGCTCTCTACTTCTAAAGAACCGGAGTCCTTCCCCTGACTCCCCATATCCTGCTGGCATGGGCTTCTCACTGCTTTACCAGATGAGTAGTTTTGAAGTCCTAGTGGAAATCTCATGATGAATGTCAATTCTTCTTGCTCTGCCACTTATTTATTGACTGCGTGATCTTAGACAAGTCGTTTGACCTTTCAGTTGTTCCGTTTCCAATCTTTAAAATGGGGCTACTTACCTATCTCATAGGTTGAATATGAAGACTAAATGGGATGATGCTTGTGAAGCACTACGAAGCCTTCTACCCAGTAAGCATTCAGTGAATGCGAGCTTTTATTATTGGCATCATCACTTACAAAATGGCGATTTTGCAAAATCCCTGTTCCCTCCATACCCCTGGTGATCTAGAGGGACTGACTCATGGGCACTAGGGAGCCTAGCTCAAGAAGATACACTTGAACAGGGACAGAGCTCTTCAGGGCCATACTAGCCCAAGATCAGCTTCGAGTTCCACTGCTTACCAGGTCACTGTGGCTAAAGGGAGGGCCCAGGCCCTTTCTCTACCTGCTTCTTATCCCTGAACTGACAGCCTGCTCAACCAAGAGGTTGCAGACATCCTGTGTTGAGGTGGTATTTTTCAAAATGGGATTTGGCCTCCATTTCAAGACTGTTTCCTCTTTGAAAACATTCAAAATTCTGTGGAGCATGTTGTATGTTAATCTAGGGATTGCTGGTGGAACATTTATGGGAGGATAAAAAGACTGCTGCACTATTAGACAATTATGTGATTTATGGGACTAAGATGTTGCCAGACATCAGTGGTCACACTGAGAGATTCAGTTCAACTCCTGGGTTGATGTGGCAGTATACTGTATAGCATTCAGCTCTCAGATCCACCCATTTCTGCTCAAACACAGCACAGCTCGTGCCTCAGTACTGAGGGTATGGAGGAAAAGGCAGTCAGTCAGTGTCTAAAAATGACGCACGCAAGAGACGCTCGGGGAAGATGTAGCTGGACCTCTGAGGTAAGAACACTTATTGGTGTACTACTGGACTTCTTCATTGTTTGGAGACTCCAGGGCACTGGCACCAGCTTTAGGAATGGGATGGGAGGGTCTGACTTTGGTAACAATCAAGATCAGCACAAGCCCCTGACAAAACTGGGACAGTCTTGAGTTTACCTTCTCACATCCATGTCTGGAGTTCTTCTGCCTCTTCCTAAAGGCTCAGGACCCTATTGCTGCCCTGATCAGGGCAGTGGCCAGCTCTTTCCATAGTCCCATCTTCCCTTTCCTGAAATCATTGTGTTAGATTAGCAATTGACTCTGAGGCCTGGTATTCCTCAATACCTAGGGGCTGATGTTATCTCTTACTGACTATCCCCTTTGGAGAACAGAGACTGAAGTATCCCACAGGTCTTCCCACCAAGAAGGCCAGGATATTCATTAGCATGGTCCTTCTCTCAGAGAAACATTCCTCTCAGAAAATATGAACAGCTTTAGATAGTCAATCCCTCAGCAGGGAATCTCAGCTGAAAACTCTAGGCCAGGTATGGGCAGGCTAACATGGAAATTTGGGGTGGTCTGGTGCCTTTCTGGTCACACAGATGGCTTCATCTTCCATCCAGTCTGTTAATGCTAACACTACAGAGACCCCACCTGTCCCTGAACAGACCATGCCTTGACTCTGCTTAGCATGAATCTCTCAGACAATACTTATTCTTCAAGAATGTTCATAGTGAAAAAATACCCTTTGCCAGTCTCATAAACAACTTAGACAACTTCTTTCCCAGGACCTAGTGTTCTTATGTTCTCTGGCTTCTCAGGTTTTACAACCTGAAATACACAGGACAGAGCCACACAATAAAGAGTTGTCTGCCCAAAATGCCAGTGTCACCCCTACTGAGAAATACTGCAAGTTCTTCCCCACCCCACCATCAAATTTATGTATTGTGTCCCATTCACTTTCTGCTAAATCTGATAAATTAATCTCATGGTAAGGTGTTAGGGACTAGCGAAAGCTTATTTTATTCTCTTCTAAAGAATGCATTGAATGGGACCTTCCATGCCTTCTTCCAAAAGGAGCAACTCAAATGGCAGATACCCAGGCAAATGGAGGGTTGGTAAGAGAGTTGGTTTGGAAGCAAGAGAGTCTTTCTTTTGGTATCCCATTCCTTCCACATGCCATCCCTGCACCACAATACAGTCCAAATAAAATTCTGAGCTTGTGACCATTGCCACCTTATACCTGCACACCCCTTCCCTATCCTATGGCTAGCCCCTCTATCAGCAGTACAAGAAAGCAAGAAGCTGGAAAGGAAAGAATGGGTGGTTTGCTGTGGATGTCCATGTCCTCCACCTTCCCAGAAGGAATCTGCAAAAGCAGCTCTGGAAGCTAACTCCAACTCAGATTCAAACAGAAAGCAGACTGAATTCTTTCAACCCTTCTTGTTTATACTCCATGCTTCTAGTTAGAGAGCAGTGTCACTAAGCTGAGGAAAAAGTCTTTTAGGACAAATCTGGTTCCCAGCTGCACGGCCTTGTGTGAATAGGAACTTGGCACAGTAGGAAGGGAAAGGTTGCTCTGCAAAGAACTGAGGGGCCTACAATTGCAGCTGGCAAATATTGAGGGCATCATGTGGTGAACATACTCAGCATGGGAAGCATCATGCCAATAAATAGCAACAATTGGCAGGAGAAAGGTTGGGCTGGAGCAGGGAATGGAATGGTCCCAAAAGGAGAAGGTTGCCCAGGAATCATCTTTCTCATCTTAAGAAGCACTGTGAGTGCCATCTTAATATATTCAGTGGGAATCAGAAGGTCTGAATTCCAGGTCTGACTGTAAATTGTGTGACCTTGGGAAAATGGCTCCCTCTATTGAGGCCTCGGTGTCCTTTTTTTGTATTAGAAAAGGATGAATTCGAGTTTACTAACCGCAGGCCTCTGGGTCAGATTTGGCCAGTGGATGTATTTCAGTCGGCCTGCCCAGTATTTTGTTTGTTTGTTTCAACAGTTCGAATGCCTTGTTTGCGTTGACTTTTCCGTTCCCTGCAGTCCCCATATCTGTTATGAGCTTACCACTACTTACCAGCCCCTCCCAGCCATTTCCCATATTTCCAATATCCATCGGGCTCCTGAAGGCCCCTTAACCTTAGAAACCACAAACCAAACTATCTCACAGAGGTCTTATAATTAATGTGCAATTATGACTCCACCCATCAGCCTCTAGCGTCACCCTGGGGGCAGGCAGAGAGGACCTTGGGAGAAAGCAGGGCAGTCTACCATGAACCCAAGCACAAAGTGCAGGTGGGTAAAAAATTAACAAGCGCCCCTTAAGGGAACACTGGGATGGATTTCCTTAAAAAAATCACCTCCTCCCCACCTCCACCCAAAGATGTGGCCCATTGTACATCCGGGGCTTTTTCTGGATCTCCATTGCTTTGACGTCTAAATTGATAATATTCTTTCTTTGAAAAGTGTACAAGCCACACAGGATCATGGGCCAGGCTTTGGCCACTGTTCAGCTTTGATTTTTAAAAGAGTTATTCTTTTATGGAAAGTGGAATCAAGTTGTAGCCCTTCCTATATGATTAGATAAGCAGTTTCAGGAAAACACTTCTTTCTTTTTTTCTTTACAAGGACAGTGTGACTGTGTGGACTTCCCCTTAACAGAAAGCCCCTCCATGTATGTGTCTGGCTGCTGCTGTCTACCCCTAGGTACTTTACTTCTTACAGAGAACTGTGAAGCCAAAGCCTTGGCTCTTTTAGGTCTCCATTGTTAGCCCTCACTACCCCCATTTCTGTCTCTAATACCTTTTAGTGTCAATCGTGAGAGGGCAAAATGTATTAGACTACAGCATGAGGAGCTAGCATGTAAGAGGTAGTAAAGGTCTTTTTCATGGGTAAGGTTCCAGGGCCTCATTGCTTATATACTCATTTCACCTTGACTCATGCCCAACTATGGGACTTTTACAGTGGGCATGGACACATGGATACAGTGGACACTTTTACTTCTTCTCATATCCTAATTCTGGCCTAAAACACACCATTTTGGCCTCAAGATCTCTGCAGAAATAAGGTCCTTTTCACCTGGATCCTCTGGGACTTGCTGTGGGCCTCAGGCGTGACTGATGTTGTATCTCATTGTGATGTCATCAAGCATCAGTATAAAACAGGGCTGATGTTTTACACTGTCCACAGTCTCCTTGGGAGGAGGGGAAGTGGCCAGATGTTGAGGCTGTGAAGGGCACTCTTGATGGACAGCAGGCTGAACTCCAGGTAAGAAACAACAAGACCTCAAACTGTCAATTAGAAAGTAAATAAGCCCCATGCTGCCTAGTGAAATTGAAAGCCTGATAGCGTGGGTGCCAACTCAAATGAAAGTAATCCTCTGATGTATTGAACCTCCTTCTGTCCCACTTGAATACCTGGAGTTAATCCTGGCTTTCTGGTTTGGAAGTCAAACAAGACCATTCTGGGGCAAGAGTTTGTGATTTCAGTAGGTGTGAATGAATGAATTATAAATGGCTGCATTTATAATGCAAGCAAGAAAACACGTTGATGTTAGAAAAAACGGGAGAGAAACAAATAGTTTTCTCTGTAAATGTACTCTTTTCCTGGGATTTTTCCCTCAAAATCCAGCTTTCTGCCTTAGTTTTAAAATATATTGACTTTCTGCTTAAAGGAGAATACATTTGAATTCATCTAGACAATATCTTTTGGTTTTCTAATTGCTTTCCCTCTTTTATTGGCCTGTTAAGGTAAAGCCCACAGTACAAGGAATTAGGAAAATTGGATTCCAGATCTGTCTCAACCGTCAATTTTGCCTTTTATTTTTTAACCTCTCTGGGCTTTGGTTTCTTCTGTAAACTGAGGGAAGTGAATTAAATGAACTGTAAGGCCTTCCAGTAGATTTTATGAAAAATTAGTCTCACCAGACTAAGACAATACAGTTTATTGAACAATAACAATCACTTGAATAATATACATTTACATGAAACCAACAAAACATGTACATAGAAGGTGTGTATTATGAAGGGACCTCAGGAATTACCTAATCCAGTGATTTCCCAGCTTCAGTCATTCATGTACCATCTACATGATTTTTGTCATATTTGTGTATCACCAGCACTATTTGTTATTTAATGTTATTTTCTGTATTGACTTGTTTTCTTAAAATCTTAAAAAATATCTACCTTAATCTACCCTATGCAACAATATTCAGGAAGTCATAGATTTAATGTGCTAGATTTTTCTGTTTCTAATACACATTGAAATTTGTAAGTTTTCATTTATATACTACCTAAAATCAACTTAAATGCCTATACTTGGTAAATACATATCATACTTTGGAAAACATTACTCTCTTTTCTCATTCAGATGTGGAAAGTAAAGGTTGGAGAGATTAAATAACTTTGTTTCTTATCTAAAACCAGGCTGCCATGGAGGCATGACTAGAGGCCACCTCCCCTAACTATATCACAGTGAGGGGCAGAGCTGTGACTAACTCAAGCCACCTGACCCCTAGACCAGGACCCTTTCCACCACATCATGCTGCTCCCACAGTTGCCATTATGATCTAAGTATCTATGCTCTTTAATAGAAATGGGACTAGAATCCAGATCTTAAGTTTAATAAGTTATAATAATAATAAATGAGCCCTTGTGGCTTCAGATGGGTCACTTAATCTCTCTGGGTCTGAGATGCCTTATTTGTTTAAATGACAGAAGAATTCCAGTTCTGCCTTCTGCCACATGGGGAGAAAGATGGTAGCTATCATTGGCTGAGCACTTCCGAGGTCCTTTACTAGATTTCTTAGTTTCATCTTCACAACACCACTATAAAGGGATGGGACCAGATGATTTCTAAGATGCTTTTCCGCTTTGCTTCTAATAAACAAAACAAACCCAAGTTTGTCTATCCAAAAGAGTAGGTGTGTCTAAAAGGAGCATGAACATTTGAACATTTAAGGAAACCAGATAGTCTCACTGGGTAAGGTAAATTCAAATTTTAAGAAGTTTATAAAATGGTAAAAAAAAAAAAATGATGGTTTTGGTTTCCCATCAGACATTTGTGTTCTACATAATGAGTTTCTCTCAGGTGGATTCATTAAGTGAGCATCTTGATCTCCTAGCCCAAGCTTAGGTGTTGAATCCTGTCAGCTCCAGCTGCCTCCTCCTCTGTAAGATAGGCATACTAATCCCTGCCCTGATGACATCACAGAGCTGCTCTGAGGGCCAAATGCGCAGCTGTGAGCAAACTAAAGTGCCCCACTGAGTTGAGAAACCTTGGCCACAGGGACCTGTTCCTGGTGGGGGGAAGATGCTGCTTCTTTATCAAAGGTAATGTGTTTAGAAGAAGCTTTCAGGTAGCTTATCCTAGTCCTGGACTCTCTCCAGTTCTCACTTCTGTTATTTTTCTGTCTAGATTTACTTTTCTCAAGGTGGACAAGCTGTAGCCATCGGGCAATTTAAAGATCGAATTACAGGGTCCAACGATCCAGGTAATGCATCTATCACTATCTCGCATATGCAGCCAGCAGACAGTGGAATTTACATCTGCGATGTTAACAACCCCCCAGACTTTCTCGGCCAAAACCAAGGCATCCTCAACGTCAGTGTGTTAGGTATGAGCACTTTTTTCTGCTTTTTCTTTTCTTGGAAAAAGTTAGGACACTGAATGAGCCAGGACAGTGAGTTATGATGCCAATTAAGTCTCTGTAGGTAAATATACTCCCTAATATTTTCATTATCAGGGAAATAGAGACAAGCCACCAGCCCAACCAAAACAGTAACACTGAGAAATCACTCATAAAACATGCAGAACAATTGTGCAAACGGGCTGCCAAAATGACAGCAGTAGATGACCCAACCTCCAGTGATCCCTATCTCTGAGGGATGGAATGAGAACAGATGAGACAATCCACTGTCCCACAAAATGATCACTAGCAACTCTTTTAGAGGAAACCTCCATTTACAGCCAGATCTACCTGGGGGAGACTACTGTCAACTTATTATTCCTTTTAAGCTCGACACAATTCCCACCATTAAATTATTCTTTTAAATAAAGACAGGAGAGTCCCTTTTTTAAAATGCTAATGTTATTTGGAAAAAGGACTGAAATTAATCTAGTGTTGAGAATCAACATATTTACATACAAATATTCATTATATGATATTGGGCAAGCCGTATCTGCTCTTAAAATGAATTTGGAATCTCATTTGTTCAGTATTTATTGAGTTACAGTGATGGAGGTGTTGTTTTTGCCCTTGGGAAGCTCCCAATTTTGGCCATTTCTAGAAGTCCTTACAATCTCTGTCTGAGAGGACAATGTGGGCTAAACTTCCATCTGCAGGCTGGTATTGGGAAGTATCGAAGCAAGGGATGAAAGGGCTGCCAATCCTCAACTCTTACAGACAGACCAGTTGAGATGAGCATTTTCCCACTTCTAGGTAGCCCCAAATGAAGCTGATCTAGTCATTGCTGCTCTCAAGCTGTGTGCACACATCACAAGAAAGGAGGAACTACATCAAATCAGTGACTTAATAGTTGAGTAGCTTGGAAAAGCAGCAATTGGTAACAAGGTGCATACCCAAGAGAACTGTTTACAGTTGTCCTGGCTTGCCACTCAGGTAATGCCACAAAGGAACCAGCTGACATTTACTGTGAGGTTTGCCACTGCATCTACCCACCTGGGAAAGAGGGAAAGGTACCTAAGAGCTATTTTTTAAGAGTGGGTTAGCTTAATCAATCATATTTTTATCTTACTGAGTTCTGTGCCAGGAATTGGGGTACAGGAACAGACAAGAGAAGTATTACTCAAGCAAATTCCTGGGAGAGTTTCTGTTTCAGTTTGGAAGACTAGTGTATTAGTCTATTCTTGCATTGCTGTAAAGAAATACCTGAGACTGGGTAATTTATAAGTAAAAGAGGTTTAATTGTCTCACGGTTCTGCAGGCTGTACAGGAAGCATAGCAGCTTCTTGGGAAGCCTCAGGAAACTACAATCATGGCAGAAAGCAAAGGGGAGGCAAGATGTCTCACATGGCTGGAACAGGAGGAAGGGGAGGGGAAGATGCCACACACTTTTAAACAACCAGGTCTTATGAGCACTCATTCACTATCACAAGATCAGCACCGAGGGGGAAATCCGCCCCCATGATCCAGTCACCTCTCACCAGGCCCTATCGCCAAAATTAGTGATTACAATTTGACATGAGGTTTGGGTGGGGACACAGATCCAAACCATATCAACTAGTTAGTTATATACATGGGAACTAAGTGATGTGCTATAAATGCCAAAGCATCAAACTGGCACTCAGAAGACCTGAGTTTTAGATCTTACTCTGTACTCAGTGACCTTATACAAGTCAGTCCACCTTTCTCTGACCATTGTGAGATGGGGTTATAATTTCTGCCCTGTCTTCTTTACAGGTTTGTTATGAACAGTTTTGTTATTTTACCTATAAAATGAAATACTGGAGATCAAAGGGGTTTTTAAATGTTCAAAAACTGGAGGGATTAGCTAATGATTTTCTGTTGCTTCCTGGTTCTGGGATGTTCTGACCAGAAACAATCTAAAGAAGCCAAGTCTCTTCATCTCAGAGCTTGGAAATAGCCCTGAGATAAAGTTAGACAAGAAGGTTAATATTCTTAAATTTAAAGCTCAGAGGATCCCAAATCAATTTCCATAAGAAGTTGAGGGTCACTTCATCTCAGAGGTGTTTTTTCCCATGAGTCTTTGTGTCAGATAGCTCTGTGTCATGACTTTTCCTTAAGCAGCCAGGATCCAGACAAGGTAAGAGGCAGAAGGGTCTGTGGATTTCCTTGTTTGTTTAGGAACTCTAAAAAATATTGTTTTTGTTAATTGGGCAAAGAACAAAGGCCTCCTCCAAATGTAGGCTTTTTGGAAAATTTGAGACTGCTAATTTTCTCTAAAAATTGCAGCGACTATTTGCAATTCTCAAATCTCATTGTATATGAGTGACAATTTTGCTTGCCCTGACTGAAAGGTGAGGCAAGATGGGGACAGGTGGGTAAGAGAGACAGGTTAATTGTGGGGAGAGGTGTTGATATTTCCTTAAAGATGACTCTCATAGCAATGTATCTTTCAGATGTTTTGTTACCCAGCAGTGAGCATCAATCCCATGCATTTACTCGTTCATGCATGAATTCATTTAACAAACCCTGAGCACACGTGCCAGTTACTGTGCTAAGCAATGGACATGGGGAAATGTAAAAGATAGGGTCTTAGCCCTCTAAAATTCAGTCTAGTGAAGGAGACAGACGCGTAACATAAAAGCTTTCAGTGGAGGTATGAGAGGAGAGCTATGAGGGCACAGGGGAAAGGGCAAAAAGCTGTATCAGGAATTGGAGAAGGCTTATTGAGGAAAGTGACTTTTGTGCTGAATGTTGAAGGATGTGCAAGAGTGTGTGATGAAGAAGAGGGGCTGAGATGGCAAGGCACAGTTTAGGTGAAGGAAACAGCAATGGGCAAAGAACCAGGTGGTTTGGATGGCCATTCATTTGAGAGCTTTCCATTAGGTATGACAACCTTGGAAAATTAATCTCTGAAAAATACCCAGATCAAGTTTGAATAATTATTTTGTGTGCATTTGGAATGAGCATCATCTACCTTCCGCAATTTGGCACATAAAAAGAAAATGATTGATTTAGGGAAGGTTTAAGAACCTACTGAAGCACTTTGTTTTTTCTTTTTTCTTTTTTTTTCTGAGCTGAGCCTTTTCCTCCCACCCCAATTCTGTTGAAAGCAATAAAGCTAAATGGTAGATCAATGGCTTTGCCAGTAAAATACCCAAGTTCCACTGGGGACTTTAACTGGATGAAATTTCAGTTCAATCCTGGGTCAGTAGTTTTAGAAAATATATAGGTTTGGGACTTGGTTCAAAGTGATTCACTAAATGTTTTGTTAATAAAAAATAAAAGGAGAAAAATATTCTAAGCAAAAAAAATGCCTATCTGGGTTTGATTCTGGGCTCAAGAAATGAGTGCAAGTCATTCCAGGTTTTTGCCATAATTTAGTTCAAGTCCTGGTGTCCAACTTTGTGATGAAACACCCCCATTTAATTTTCTGTTCAAATTGTTCTATTCTGCTGTAAAGGCTATACAATAGCCATCTTTTTAAAAAGGCAGTATCTAAATCTAGTGATAGCTGCAATGGACTTCTGGTTAAATAGCTTAGTTTAGGATAGGCACATCCAACAAGTTGTTCCTACCTGAGAAAATCTTTGATAAGAAAGAATAAAGAACTAAGTAGAAGGATATTCCTTTCAATTAAAAAGACACATGCTTAAAAGATAGGGCTAGTAAACTGTTTAAGAATTATAGCTATATGCATCTGTCTTCTCGCACCTGTGTACAGATAGTGAGAGTCTGGGAAGGCTGAACTGAGCGGAAGTCAATGGGAGAGTAACTTTAGTAGCAGGAATTAGTGCTGCTGTGGCCAACAGAAATTCCAGGTTCTAGGCCCTATATTTATTATTGTATTTAATACTTGGATCAGCCAGAGGTTAGATAATCTCTTAGTCACGTTTTACAGATGAGTCAGCTGAGGTTTGGCTAAGTTAGGTAACTTGCCTATACAGATCCAGGGTAGAGTTACAAAGCCCGTATTCTGTGTGGATCCAGAGCTGTGCCCTTAACCACTGCGTCTCAGGTAAGAGCTGTAGGACTGAGTAATATGACACATTTCATGTCTAACTCACCTAAATTAGAGAACCTAAGCTTTAAAGGGTTCTAGAGCAAAATGAAGATAAGCAAGGTGAGTTGGAAAGTATAGAAATTTACATCATTGTCTGTATATAAGATAGATATATAAGGTGTATAAGATAGATGTATAGATATAAAATAAATATCTAAGATAAGAGATATAAGATAGATATGTAGATATGATAGATATATAAATGTATAAGATATGTAAGATAGAATAAACCGTGCAAGTAAGTAAGATGAATGAGGAGATTCAGATTCCCAGCTTCCCACAGGACTTCTCCCCTGACATGTTTTCATAAGCAGCTAAAACTCTATGTCCCGGACTGACCTCATTAGTACCCCTTCCTCCTTGTCACCCCTTCACCTAAAACCTGTTCTTCCTGCTGTGGTCTTGGAGGCCTCTTCCCCTCTCTAAAGTCATCTCTCATCCCTCTCCCACCCCACTTTAGAACTGTGTGAAAGTTACTTTTGAATTCCTGGTGCCTAGTCCCATGCCAGGCCCACAGAAGGCATGGGTGCTTGCTGAGTGAAGGATGAATAAATATTTCAGTGCTGAGTAGCGTGCACCCCCCAAATGGACTTCCCCTACTGATGATGCACACAGGCAAATTTAAACCTTTCAACTATTTGTGTCACCCACAGATGAACAAATGCAAAAAAAAAAAAAAAAAAGAAAATAATCATGAGAGAAAAGAGAAATACAGCATTAAATATTTTAAAAAGAATAATAGGTTATCTCAGAGTATTTAAGGATTCTATTTTCCTTTAAAACTGTGCTTTTAAAGCATAAACTATATTCCTGGTCATTTAGTATTTGCTTATATTTGGCTGTTTTAATAAAGGCATATTTTAAGACACAATGCGGAAATTCATGGTTATAAATCTGAGGAGGAGGCAGACAGAGGAGTCACTATTTGAATCTTAATGGCCTCTTGACTAGAAGGGCCCTGCACCTGAAGTGCTCTACTCCCACCTGGTGGTGCAAGCAGAAAACTGCCAACATACATTTTAATAATTTTTTTTGTGTGTGTGGAGACCCAGTCTCACTTTGTTGCTCAGGATGGAGTGCAGTGGCGTGATCTTGGCTTACTGCAACCTCTGCCTCCCAGGTTCAAGTGATTCTACTGCCTCACCCTCCCAAGTAGCTGGGATTACAGGCGCCCACCACCACGCCCAGCTAATTTTTGTATTTTTAGTAGAGATGGTGTTTCATCACATTGGCCAGGCTGGTCTCGAACTCCTGACCTCAGGTGATCCACCTACCTCGGCCTTCCAAATTGCTGGGATTACAGGCATGAGCCACTGCGCCTGGCCAAGAATTTTTTTTAAAAATAAATAAACACACATATTATTCAAAATGAAAGTGAGGAAGTGACTGCAATTGTCACAGAATGCCATTCATCCTAAAGAATTTTTATTCTTTGTCATTGCCTTACAGTGAAACCTTCTAAGCCCCTTTGTAGCGTTCAAGGAAGACCAGAAACTGGCCACACTATTTCCCTTTCCTGTCTCTCTGCGCTTGGAACACCTTCCCCTGTGTACTACTGGCATAAACTTGAGGGAAGAGACATCGTGCCAGTGAAAGAAAACTTCAGTAAGTGTAACCTGCAGTAGACCCTGGAAAGGCCTGGTGTCTGTGGTTGGATGACAGCAGGAGTGTGTGGTTGGCTGCTTGACCTTACAGTTCAATCTTCTTGTTTTCTCAGTGGTGGCGGGTGGAGGGGGGCGGCTGGTAATGTAAAAAGAATGCCTGTCTCCCAACACGATGATTGTGTTCTGGTCTACTCCCCAAATTCTAAAAGCCAGCTCAGAGATGGTGAATATGTAGGGAACAGGCATGGTCCCAGGTGAGTTAGCACTGGAACAGTCCTGAGGGGCCTAGTTGAATCCTGAACATCTCAAGAAAGAGAGGCCAATATGGGGGAGTGGGTGGACATTGAGTGATCTGTTACACTGATGTTATCTGTATGCACAGAAGAGATCTCAAAAGTCTATTCCCTGGTTTCAACAGACCCAACCACCGGGATTTTGGTCATTGGAAATCTGACAAATTTTGAACAAGGTTATTACCAGTGTACTGCCATCAACAGACTTGGCAATAGTTCCTGCGAAATCGATCTCACTTCTTCACGTGAGTTGACCATACAACTTTAACGGTTTCTCCTTAAATCAAGTAGTCTGGGCCTGTCAGACAAATAAATTAGTTAGGATCCCCAGTTAGTGCTTCCTGCTTCTCTGGAGATTTGTGTGCTTTATATACAGGCTGATATGATGAATGACCATCCTAATATCTAATGCTCACATAATAATATATGCCATATGCTGCCCTAAATCCTTTACAAAAAGCAATTTGTTTGCTTCACAAAATCGCTAGAAGGTAGGTATTACTATTCAATACTAAAAAAGAAGCCTTTCTGATAACAGCAGGCTGAATTTCTCTTTGTGATGCTGTTGGTAAATCCAGGTGACACTGTAGCTCTGACAAACATATACCTTGCAAAGATCTGCCACTAATAATAATAGTATTATAATAATAACACTCGTACCCACAATCACGGTAGCTACTATTTGTGGAGCATGAATTATGCTGAGTATTATCTCACTCTTTCCTCCCAACCACCCCTATCTAGGGAGGCAGACTATTGTCGGCCTCATTTTGCTGAAAAGAACACTGAAGCTCAGGGAAGTAAATGACTTGCCCAAGGTCATCCAGTTAGTAACTGGCAGAGCCAGGATGCCTCTAAACCTCAATTTTCCTATTCGAAGGTGCTTACTCACTCTCTGAGTGTAAGATTTAAGACTCCTGGAATTGTCCAATTGAGCTGACCCAGGGGCAACTCCTCACAAGGAATATCTCACCAAACATCTCAAGGATCACTTAATAACACTTAGGATCTTTTTTCAAACTTACTTTGAATTTGTGATTTTAATATATGCCATATCCAGGGATGGCAAGTTCCAGTGGGTTTTTGCTCTTCCTATGCACCTGAACTTTCTTCCTTTTATTTCTCCTGAAGTTTGCTCCTTTATTCTCATATCACTTTCAGCTATATTTCCTGCATCATTTCTGTTATCTTTCTTTAGAATTCCCTCAATATCTTTTTGCCTTCTCAGAGGTACAATCATACTGCAGATGTAGAGATATGTAGGATTTGGACTTGAGCATTGCTTCCTTTCTAGTCTTTTTTCCAATGATGTCCAGCACTGCCTTCCTCTCTCCCTCCCACATCCCTTCTTTCTTCCTTCCTTCCTCAAATATTTATTGAATATCTACTGTGTTCCAGGGACTGTCCTAGGTGATAAAGATACAGAGATAAAGAAGATGTATGTCCTATACTCAAGGAGCTCACAGTTCAGCTAGAGGGACAAACACAACTAAAACATGCTAAATCCTATAATAGAAGTCTGAACAGGGTCTATAGAGCACCAAGGGAGGAAAATTATGCTTATAGAACTGGGATGGCTTTACCAACAAAGTGCTATTTGAGCAGGATCTTGAAGGAACTTGCAAAGCCTCATCATCTATAAAATGGGAAAGCTGAAGCATGACGGTAGAGCAGCAGGCTTAGGAGAGCAACCAGGTCATGATGGGGGAAGAGAATGGAGGGCTTCACATGGCATGTCTCTGAGGGAAAAATCACAAGAAACTGATATATCATCTGATATGTTTGAATCAATTGAAAGAAGTTTAATGGTTTTGTTGGAAATTTCGGGATGAGTGATAATGCATTTATTAATCCCCAAATGAAGCAATTATTAACCTCCGGGAAAATTTTTGTAAATGTTGTACAAGAAAGAATCATAGTATACTGTGTTCCTCAGCTGTGAACAATATTTATATAGCCATACTACTGCAAACTTGGATTTAACTAAAACTTGTGATATAACTATTTTGGAAGAACATGGTGGGTGTGAGGGGAGTGGTGTAAAAGAGCTCAATCTCCAACTTCTAGGGTACGAAGTTGAAAGAAAATGATGGAATGGAAAAAAGGTAGGACATATCAGAGCAAACATAATAAAAACATGGGGGCAAGAAGACTTTTAAAAAGAGTTAAGAGTGGTTGCCTTTCGTGAATGGGACTCAGAAACGGGAAGGAGTCGGGCAGGGAACTGCTGTTTTTGTGAGACATGTAGTAGAACTATTTGACTTTTTAAACTATTTACTTATATTCTCTTAATCATAAAAAGTTAAAGGAATTATTATCAGGCAGCTCAAAATATAAGGTGTCCATCCTTGTGTGAGGGGAGGCAGATGGGGTTGGGTTGGCTTATAACCCAGATGTGGTCTTCCAGAGACAACACCTCAGGGCTTGAAGGTCTGGTGCTCAGCTGGATAATGTCCCACTCATTAAGTTTGTCCATAGACCGAGACAATAAACCAGATGCCTGTTTATCAAAATGGGCATATCACTTCCCAGTGACCAGAGTGCATGAGGTTCCTTCGTAAGCATTGACGCCATGGGGGAGGTTTTTAGGGACCAATTTCACCTGTGCTCTGGGAAAGCCTAGTGAAATGTTCCTGCCTGTAACAGAGGCTTATCTCTAGTGACCAGATCACAACTCCATGGTGTCTCAAGACTCTTTTCTCTAAATCCCATTTCAAAAGCAACCCCACCTCCTCCAAGTTGGCCACATTTTATTCTTTATGTGCACAAATGTCAATAGTCTTCTCCCACTGTGAGTCCAAATGACAGAGTTCTAGGGGTTTCCATTTCCCTAGCCTATACAAGTCATTTTCCCACTATGTGAATGGCCCTGATATTCCCCACTAGTCACAAACACACATTATAAAATGACAATATATTCCACTTTATTAACCAGCTGCTTGTATCCTTCAGATCCAGAAGTTGGAATCATTGTTGGGGCCTTGATTGGTAGCCTGGTAGGTGCCGCCATCATCATCTCTGTTGTGTGCTTCGCAAGGAATAAGGCAAAAGCAAAGGCAAAAGAAAGAAATTCTAAGACCATCGCGGAACTTGAGTAAGCCTTCATTTTGTTGTCTTTACTTGAATACAAACATTTCTCAGGCATGTCTTTTTCAGTCATCAATTCCTAAGCACTCCTTTTAGTATAAGATATCAGAGGTATCTTTCTGTTTACTCTCATTGAATTTAAAAAAGAATGATGATGGCTGCTATTTATTGAGTGCTGTGTGCCAGGCTCTGTTCTAAGCACTTTATGTACATCAACTCATTTAGCTATCACAACAGTTTTAGGTCCAAGAAAACATTTTCATATATAATACTAACATACTTGTCTTAATACCAACATAGTCATGAAATATAATTTTAAATTTTTTTATGGAACAAGAGACCCACAAGGACAGTGCCCAGGGAACACAGAAGTTAGAATGTGGCCCAGCCCACAGCTCATGCTCTTAATCACTCTATTTCTTTCCTAGTGTGTATCTCACTCATTCATTTTTTTTCATCTCCTTGCTTCTACAACTATCTATTGGGTATCAACCAGGTGCCAAGTATTGTACTAGATGGAGTGAGAAATAGCGATACATCAGAGCTATGAATTTGGACCTTAAAGACCTTATTAGATTCTTAGACTCTTTCATTCTGACATTATTTTCCCACCTTGAAACACTGCTCTTTCTTAAACTTTCATGATATTGTTGAGACCTAACCTTTCTGAATCCAAAATGACCTATGGCCTGACAATGAGTCAGAATATCAGAAATAACAGATTTCCTGAAGTCTGGGACCTATGGTCATTGAAGCTACAGAACATATGGTTTCACATGAAATTTCAAAGTTAGCATCTCCCTAACTTGTTCTTTTCTGGGCCTTCTTTCTTGCAGGCCAATGACAAAGATAAACCCAAGGGGAGAAAGCGAAGCAATGCCAAGAGAAGACGCTACCCAACTAGAAGTAACTCTACCATCTTCCATTCATGAGACTGGCCCTGATACCATCCAAGAACCAGACTATGAGCCAAAGCCTACTCAGGAGCCTGCCCCAGAGCCTGCCCCAGGATCAGAGCCTATGGCAGTGCCTGACCTTGACATCGAGCTGGAGCTGGAGCCAGAAACGCAGTCGGAATTGGAGCCAGAGCCAGAGCCAGAGCCAGAGTCAGAGCCTGGGGTTGTAGTTGAGCCCTTAAGTGAAGATGAAAAGGGAGTGGTTAAGGCATAGGCTGGTGGCCTAAGTACAGCATTAATCATTAAGGAACCCATTACTGCCATTTGGAATTCAAATAACCTAACCAACCTCCACCTCCTCCTTCCATTTTGACCAACCTTCTTCTAACAAGGTGCTCATTCCTACTATGAATCCAGAATAAACACGCCAAGATAACAGCTAAATCAGCAAGGGTTCCTGTATTACCAATATAGAATACTAACAATTTTACTAACACGTAAGCATAACAAATGACAGGGCAAGTGATTTCTAACTTAGTTGAGTTTTGCAACAGTACCTGTGTTGTTATTTCAGAAAATATTATTTCTCTCTTTTTAACTACTCTTTTTTTTTATTTTAGACAGAGTCTTGCTCCGTCGCGCAGGCTGTGATCGTAGTGGTGCGATCTCGGCTCACTGCAACCTCCGCTCCCTGGGTTCAAGCGATTCTCCTGCCTGAGCCTCCTGAGTAGCTGGGACTACAGGCACGTGCCACCACGCCCGGCTAATTTTTTGTATTTTTAGTAGAGATGGGGTTTCACGTTGTTAGCCAGGATGGTCTCCATCTCCTGACCTCATGATCCGCCCACCTTGGCCTCCCAAAATGCTGGGATTACAGGCATGAGCCACTGCGCCCGGCCTCTTTTTAGCTACTCTTATGTTCCACATGCACATATGACAAGGTGGCATTAATTAGATTCAATATTATTTCTAGGAATAGTTCCTCATTCATTTTTATATTGACCACTAAGAAAATAATTCATCAGCATTATCTCATAGATTGGAAAATTTTCTCCAAATACAATAGAGGAGAATATGTAAAGGGTATACATTAATTGGTACGTAGCATTTAAAATCAGGTCTTATAATTAATGCTTCATTCCTCATATTAGATTTCCCAAGAAATCACCCTGGTATCCAATATCTGAGCATGGCAAATTTAAAAAATAACACAATTTCTTGCCTGTAACCCTAGCACTTTGGGAGGCCGAGGCAGGTGGATCACCTGAGGTCAGGAGTTCGAGACCAGCCTGGCCAACATGGCGAAACCCCTTCTCTACTAAAAATACAAAAATTAGCTGGGCGTGGTAGTGCATGCCTGTAATCCCAGCTACTTGGGAGGCTGAGGCAGGAGAATCGCTTGAACCCAGGAGGTGGAGGTTGCAGTGAGCCGAGATTGTGCCACTGCACTCCAACCTGGGTGACAGAGTGAGATTCCATCTGAAAAACAAAAACAAAAACAGAAAACAAACAAACAAAAAACAAAAAATCCCCACAACTTTGTCAAATAATGTACAGGCAAACACTTTCAAATATAATTTCCTTCAGTGAATACAAAATGTTGATATCATAGGTGATGTACAATTTAGTTTTGAATGAGTTATTATGTTATCACTGTGTCTGATGTTATCTACTTTGAAAGGCAGTCCAGAAAAGTGTTCTAAGTGAACTCTTAAGATCTATTTTAGATAATTTCAACTAATTAAATAACCTGTTTTACTGCCTGTACATTCCACATTAATAAAGCGATACCAATCTTATATGAATGCTAATATTACTAAAATGCACTGATATCACTTCTTCTTCCCCTGTTGAAAAGCTTTCTCATGATCATATTTCACCCACATCTCACCTTGAAGAAACTTACAGGTAGACTTACCTTTTCACTTGTGGAATTAATCATATTTAAATCTTACTTTAAGGCTCAATAAATAATACTCATAATGTCTCATTTTAGTGACTCCTAAGGCTAGTCCTTTTATAAACAACTTTTTCTGACATAGCATTTATGTATAATAAACCAGACATTTAAAGTGTACAATTTGATGAGTTTTGACAGAGCACATACCCATGAAACCACCACACCCATCTAGAGAGAAAACATTTCCATCAGCCCAAAATGTTTCTTCATGCCCCTTTGTGCGATCCCACCATTGCCCTGGACCTAGGAAATCACTCATTGTTTTCCATCACTAGAGGTTAACTTTGCCTTTTCTTGGCCCTCATACATATGGGATGATACAGTATGTACTTTTTGTGTCTCACTTCCTTCTAAGGTGAATCCTTTTTAAACAAAGTAGTGAGTTTCTCATTTATCACTTTCAGATTTTCATGTAAAATATTTTCTTAAACTGCAAACTCCTTTCTATATAAATCATAACCATACACAGATTGAGGTAGAGTCTCTGTAGGTTTTAAGGAGAGTTAAAATGGAAATTAACATTACACTTATCTAGAGCCATGGAGAGAAGAGATAGCAAGCGTTTATTTCTGCATTTTCTTCGATGCGTCCATTTTCAGAAAATGTCAGGGATTTCTGATGCATTTATAATTTCATTCATACTAAATATGATAGTATGGTATATGGTGTCTGATGGACACAAGAAGCAAAATAATGAAGGTCTTAAGAATGACCTAATATTTAGAGATTAAAAAGTAAACAACAGTGTAAACATCTCAATTACCAGAATGCCCAAGTAGCTGGAATTCATTTTTCCTTTCCATTTTTATTATAGAGGCAAATCGCAAGAGACTGACATGTAATAGTCAACAATTACACCCCAAAATTTTTGATGGATCAGTGCAGTCCAGGAAAGAAAGCACTACTGGTAGTCTTATAGAGCTCTGTCCTTATTAGCACTGTTCTGTTCAAAATACTGATGAATAGTTGGATCAGTGGCTTGTAACCTTTTTCTGAGGTCATGGAACACCTTGAGAATCTGCTGAAAACTCTAAACTCATCTTCACTGAAAGATGCTTATACACATAAAGTGTCACATATAGTTTCAGGTGAGTTACAGACTCCCTGAATCCAAGATGAAGAAACAGTTACTTAGATCAAAACACACAAAGTACACTTAATAAATTTGTGGATGACTTGCTCCTAGGGGGAATGGCCACTAGGCTATAAGAAAGAATCACGATTCAGAATGATCTTGATAGCTCAAAAGTGGAGTTGAAACCAACAAAATGAATTTGACAGGAATAAATAGAAAAATCTGGATTTAAAAATATGAAGTACATGTTGCCCAGGCAGAAACCCTACATGGGCAAGGTTAGGAAGCACATGAGATTAATCTGAATTCGTACCTTTGGATCTCTCCTTTCAGTGCCATTTCTGGCCTTGTGGCATCTTATTTTCCAAACACCCAGGATTCTCATGCTCCCATTAGCTCAGTGACCCTCTCAGTTCTTCTTCCCTCGGGCAAGACTCATTGCGCAGGACCTAAAGTAGCTGTTCTGTAACCTGTTCTTGTCCAGTGAACATGATCTTTCATCATTCAGTGATCTCATTAGGTTGATAAATGAGTTAGTCTTCTTTGGAGTATTTACCTTTTAAAGAGGACTCAAGCACAGATAATCCTTAATCTGAAGAGTCTAAACAATCCAGAGGAGATATATTTCTGAAAAAAGGAAACTTCTCAGCCCCTCTCAAATCAAACCAGGTGGTTTACCACCCATTCAATCTACTCTGGGCAACTCAGTTTTGATCAACTTTGATCAGAGCTAGAAGAGTGCTCTGAAATAAATAGTATTCAAACTTTTTCAACCCCAGCACACCTGAGTTATAACACATACAGTGGGCCACTCCTAACAATGATGAAGCTGGAGGTGGGAGATGATGTACAATTAAATTATTGGTGGGGGAGACAGGAAGGGGTAAATGTTCTTTTAAAAAGCTGGTTCACTCTTATATATTGCCACCCAGCCCCTAGAGGAGAATCCCTGAGTGCAGAGAAGTAAAATAATCTGCCTGAGATTACGCAAAGTCAAAACTAGATCCACATCATCTGGATTTCAGGGCAATGCTTTTCAACTGCACCAAACTACTAATTTCAGTGAAACAAACCCAAGCTTTAGTAATAAAAAGTTGTTTTACAATGTCTACCTGCTGGAAAACACATCAGTGGGCCTCATAAAAGGTTTAAACTAATCGATAAAGACTCAGTACTCCCACTTGTCTTTGAAACTTTGGTTTAAAAACAAAACAAATAATTCAGAGATGATAATGAGGGCTCCAGGAAACCATAAAAAGATATGCCAATAAAGAAAAACTGTTCCACTACTCACAACACTTCAGAAAGCAAATGTGTGGGGTTTCCACACCAAGTAATTCTCCAATTCTCTGCAGACACTGACTGGGTGTCCTGCAATTTAATTCAATTCTGACACTACCCAGGGTTGGGTCTGACAAGACTGCCCCCAACTTCAGACACATCACAAGTATTGGGTGCCCAGTGTACCCACACTTCTGTTAGACTTGGGTACAAATTGGGGGTTCCCGCAACCTCAAGTTTGATAATTTGCTGTAATGGCTCATAGAACTCAAGGAAACACTGTTGTCCACCAGTTTATTATAAAGGACATTATAAAGGATACAGATGAATGGCCAGCTGAAGAAGTACATAGGGTGAGGTCCAGAAGGGTCCTGAACATAGGAGCTTCTGTTCCCATGGAGTGGGGGTGTACCACTCTTCTGGCATGTGGGTGTGTCACCAACCTAGATGCTCACCAAACCCTGTAGTTTATGAATTTTTATGGAGGCTTCATCACATAGGTATGATCAACTATTAACTCAATCTCCAGCCCCTCTTCCCTCCCTGGAGGATGGGGGGTTGGGGCTGAAAGTTCTAATCCTCTAATCATGGCTTGGTCACTAATAGCCCCCGTTCTAAAGCTATCCAGGAGCCCACTAAGAGTTGCAACATTAGAACAAAAGGCACTCCTATCACCCAGGAAATCCCAAGGGGTTTAGAAGCTCTATGTAAGACACTCCTATCACTCAGGAACTGTCAAGGGTTTTAGGAGCTCTGTTTCAGGTACTGGGGGCTGAGACCAAATATGTATTTCTTATTACGTCACAGCCAAATTAAAGAAAAGCACCAGGATAGGTGTTTCAACTAACCGGTTATTTTCAAAATGCCAGAATACCTTCCATTTGGTCCACTGTCTTTGAAGAGGCAGAAAAGAAAATGAATTAGAATCCAGGAAAGCTAGATTTTGGTACTGGCTGTTTCTCTAGCTCTGGGTATATTCTCATCTGTAAAATGGAGATGATTTCTGCCTTCTTAAAGACTACAGTGAGAATAGATGTGAAAACTTATAAATTAAAAAACTGTAGTAGAACTATAGTTGTAGAAATGAGGTCTCCTGACAACTGATTCAGTATTCTTTTTTGTCTCAACCAGGGATTTTTAACCTTTTGGGGGAATCACAGATGTCCTTGAGAATTTGATGAAAGCAATAAATCCTCTTCCCAGAGAAATTCACATTACAAATTTCTGCTTTCAATTTTAGGCAGTCAATAGAACTGTGAAGCTGGAGCCATAAACCACAAAGTCAAGAATCTTTATACTCTATCAGACTTGCCAACAGATTGATTTGGAGGCCTTGTAGTGTAACAGAATATGGGAGCAGAAAGCAGCAGACGCAGCCATCTAAGGAATTCATTGTAGTTGGTACAGCTGAGAAATTGGGGAATCAAACACTAGTGTCATACAGTTAAATGTTAAGTCAAAGATTATGAAGAAAAACACAGATTTACTTTGAAGTTCCCAAAACCTCAGTGAAATTGTAATTCTCTATAACATATTTAAGAATGTAAATGTTTTCACTATTTTCATTGGCCTTTTTCTTCCATCGTATATTCTCAGTTAAGCTTTACCATTAAATTATTTATGTATTTTGAGATGAATTGTCGCTCTGTCACCCAGGCTAGACTGCAGTGGCACCAACTCGGCTCACTGCAACCTCCACCTCCTGGGTTCAAGCAATTTTCGTGCCTCAACCTCCTGAGTAGCTGGGATTACAGGCGCCCACCACCACACCCGGCTAATTTTTTTAGTAGAGATGGGGTTTCGCCATGTTGGGCAGGCTGGTCTTGAACTCCTGACCTCAGGTAATCTGCCCGCCTCGACCTCCCAATGTGCTGGGATAACAGGCATGAGCGACCATGCCCAGCCAAATTATGTTTTGAAACTGTAAAATCTGCTGACCTTGAATCAGCTTCATCTCTAACACCTTTCCTACAGACACAGGTAACAATCTGATCAATATCCGAGGCCACTAATATCTTTATTTTATACAAATCTGTGATCTAAATATTAACAAGTCATGCCATTTAAAATGCCAAAAGCCTACAAATTACCTGTGGCTTAGCTCCATCTGTATTGCTTATTGAAGAACTCGGATGAATTTCCTTTTACACCCACGAAACCTATCACCTCAGACAATTAACTCAATATTTATGAAGAGTAAATGTCTTCAGTTGTAACAGACAAAACTTTACTCTGATCACACTAAAAATACTAGAAATATTATTTCCCCTGCTATCAAGTCTATCTCCAGCATTCAATAGAGTTTTGTTCTATAAGATGCTTCTCTGATTGTTAAGGTTAGCACTCACAATACTTCTGTAAAAAGTTTCTATATCAGTAACACAGTTCGTGTTTACGAAACTCATTTTAGCTACTGATCATTAAGACTTTGACCGAAAATTAATGCAAGTTTGTAGGTTCACTTGGATCACTTATTTCGAGCAGTATTTGCAGCATAAAATTCAAATAAAAAATAATCTGAAAGTCACTTGGAGTTCATTAGATTTTATGACTAGTATCAGTTAAGATGCTTCCCTAAATGGAGCTCAAGTTTATACTTAATAATTTCCTTTTGTTCTACATTTAATTAGCAATTCAGAAGATGGCTATTTTAAAAGATTTTAGCTACAATTCAAGCTTCACTAATTTTATTGACTTAGAGCTACCAAAAACTGAGAAATGTCTTTACTAAGGATTCTAAGGCTTAAGTGAATTCTAGCTAATTTGAAAGAAAAATTGGAAGATTCTTTCAACATTTTATTTTTTAGTTTCTGAAATACAAATCAAAATACATTTTTGTTACATGTCATTTTAACAAGCTTGACATTCTTTTCAATACAGGATGACACAAAATAGGTACTTTAAAACTTCCTTTTAAGAAAACCATACATTTTATTTCAGAGTAAACAACCCATCAAAAACAAATACATAGGTATATGGGCTATTGTTTTTCAGTATTTTAGAGCACACCATCCAACTTAAAATGTGGTCCACTAAAATATGTAAATATCCCTCCTATCACAAAAATAAATTAAACCTCATGGTTAAAAAAAACAGAAACGTTTGGCGTAGGCCTGAGTGAGCTTGAAAAACAAGTTAGGATGTTTTAACTGTATGGAGGAACATTACAGAATCCACATAGAAACATCTGGCAGAACAACTAGCTTGTTGCTATTGGAGCTGTTCTGTTTCAGAGAGGGATATAAGGTACATGGGAGGGTGCTGAAGACTCACAACAGCCACAGAATTAGTTACTCCAAATTAACCAGAATTCAATATAGAAGAATATACGACAACAGTAGAACAATCTCAACAGTTATTCGATGCCTGGAAAACAAGCTGTAAGCTTCGAACAAGTAACTCAGCAGGAACAAGAGTCAACATGTTTATAAGACTTTGAAGGTGAGAAAACTTCATCATTCATAGATGATGTCTTGTGCACAAATACATTAGTTTGTAGGACACTGGGGACAACAACACAACATACAAAGTAAGAATAAATCCAAGCTGTTTAACCTTCCACCATTCTCTTGAGTATTAAACCCAGGCCACCTTTGGCCACTTGCAGGGGTGTCTTTTCTTCTTTATTCTCAATGTAAATACTTGCTCCTTGGGACACCAGCAGTTTTGCTTCTTCCACTCTCTCCTCATCACAGGCTAAGTGTCTGAAATCAGGGACCACCAGAGACCAATTAATCACTACCAATTCTATGTAATGGTTAGGATTTCTTGCTAGGTAGTCTGAAGTGCATATGATTAAGAAATGGTAACATTGGAAAGTTATTTAATCAGGAAAGAAACATCAGTTTGCATAGGGAGACTGTAAGTTAAAATTCTACAAAAAAAGCCTTGTAATACCAGATCGTAAATCATAATTCTGGTTCTACTTACAATAGAAGAAGGGATCTAAATGCTAGCCTAAGGAACAACTTTCTCATTTTACAGAGATAAGTAGTTGTTTACCTCAAACACTACATGTAATAATTCAGGGTTAGAATTTAGAAAAGCCTCAGTTCATAAACTGTTAATAGTAATTCGTGCAGCTTAAAGTTTGAAAAAGCAGTTTAAAAGATTTTATCTCATTTAGTCCATATATCTATCTTATAAGTTAGCAAAGTATTATTATCATCATTTTACAGTTGAAATGGTGACAGAGGTTAAAGTTCCTACCTATGCTGACATGTCTTGGCAGTAGACTGAGTGGAAGAGGGTAACAACTTTTGCCATGCACTTAAGAGTTTGCCAGGAGGGTATTAGGAGGCACTTTACATGTTGCTTTACTTAAACCTCACAATAATCTAGTGAGGAAGGAATTATTACCCTTATATTACAGATGAGGAAATTAAGATTCAAGGAAGATTAAGTAACTTTTATAAATTGTTTAATACAAGTATTTAATATTGTTAGTAAGTGGTAGAGTCTGAATTGGGTGAACATCATCTAGCTATTCATAAATCCTATGTTCGTCCCAGTACTCTATCTTGTCTGACTCCTAGATTTCCTCTAGGCCATCCTGCCTTTCTATTTATGGAGAAAAGAGGTAGGGCATACAGGTCTTTCTAAACAGGGTCTCTTAGAATGCAGGAAAGATTTTAAAAACTAAGAGTTAAGAAAATAATACTTTTTAAAAGTTGGCTTAAAGTCAAATTGGAAAAGGCTGAACCTCACTCTGGACTAAAAAGAAGACTCACAGAACTTCTGGTTCAAGAAAAAGTCACCATTCAACACAGAAGAAAAGTGGCCAAGTACCGTGGAAAAATATCAAGGTAAAGGCCAGCTTCAGATCATACACATAATTCAATTACAGATGGATTTTAAGAGTTAAATGCAAAACAATAACACTAACCCTCAATCAAAACCAATGAAACGTTAAAATAACCTATAATAAAAGACGGGTGAATATTTAACTAATTTCAGGGTAAGGAAGAGCTTTCTAGTCATGAGGAAAGATGAATGGGCTTGACTACGTAGAAATTTTAAAACTTCTCTTATGTAAAAGAAATTATGAACAAAATGAAAAGATAAACTAGGAAAAATATTTTCAACTAACATTGCAGAAAATTAATATTTTACCATGCCAAATCAAGAGCACTTAAAACCCAGTGAAAATAAATTAATTCCCCAAAAGGAAACAGAGAAAGGGACACAAAAAGTTACAATTAGATAAGAAATGTAATTACCTATGGACATTAAAAAAAGTTCAAATTCACTGATAATAAAAATATAAATTACCTCTATGAAATATCATTTTCACATAACAAAAGGATAATTTAGTGTTGGTGAGGGGGTAATAGGCACTCTTACACTGCTGTTGGGAGGGTAAAATGATACAACTCCTCTGGAAGCAATTTGGCAACATATAGCAAGTCTTAAAATGTGTGTATTTGTTGACGCAGCAATTCCACTTCTAGGAGTCTATAAGAAGGTAATCATCAGAAATGTGGCCAAAAGTTTTCTGTACAAAGTTGGTCAACTATTTTAGAGACAAGGTCTTGCTCTGTTCCCCAGGCTGGAGTGCAGTGGTGTGATCACAGCTCACTGTAACCTGGAGCTCCTGGGTTCAAGCAATCCTCCCACCTCAACCTCCCGAGTAGTTAGTACTACAGGTGCATGCCACCATGCCTAGCTAAGTTTTTAATTTTTTCTAGAGACGGGGGGTCTTGCTGTGTTGCCCAGGCTGGTCTTGAACTCCTGGCCTCAAGTGATCCTCCCGCCTTGGCTTTACAAAGTGCTGGGATTACAGACATGAGCCATTATGCCTGGCTCAATGTACCATTATTTATAATAGTGAAAAACTCATAAAAGTTTAAATATACAGTAATAGAGGAATGATTAAATTATGGCACATCTATACAGAATTTTATATACCCATTAAAAAGGTTTTAAACATATTTAATATATGCTTATACTATGAGGTGAAAAGAACAAGAGCTAAAACTACATACACAGTATGACCCCAATTTTGCTAAAAAATATGTATGTATAAAATATATACATTTGAATATAAAAGACCAGGAGGAAATACACAAGAATGTGATCAGTAGTTATTTCTGAGTGGCAAGATAATAGGCAATTTTTAT